>NC_000007.14:104381779-105006779 GCF_000001405.40 Homo sapiens
AATAGTGGTAAGTTGATTTTGACTTTTAAAATATCCTGTTTATTTCATTGATAGCTTGCTTTTGAGTGAAATATCACTGCTTCCACTGAAACAGAAGTATTGGAACGATAGGAGACACCAATCTGATTTAAAACTGCCAAATATTAGCATAGAAATGCAAACCCTCATTCATCATTTGAATTAACCTTAGGAAAAATGGTGAGATGTACAGAGTATATTTAGCTTCCCTTCCCTCTGTGTGCCCTTAACACTCCATTTTGAGATCCCTGGATATCCCTTACCTCCCCATATAATCACTGTCTTACTATATTGTGGCTTCTCAGACCAATCCAGGCACATGGATGCAGAGGGAAATTTTGAATGTCTAAGGTAGTGGTTTTCAAAGTGTGCCCTCTGGACCAGCAGTATCTGCATCACCAGGAAATTTTGTTTGAAATGCAAATTCTCGGGCTCCATCCATGTCTACTGAATCAGAAACTCTGGGGATGTGGTCCAGCAATTTCTGTTGAAATTGCCTGACCAACATGGAGAAACCCCGTCTCTATTAAAAAAAACAAAATTAGCCAGGCGTGGTGGCGCATGCCTGTAATCCCACCCGCTTGGGAGGGTGAGGCAAGAGAATCGCTTGAACCTGGTAGGTGGAGGTTGCTGTGAGCCAAGATGCTTTTGATACATGCTCAAGTTGGAAAACCACTGGTCTGGTTACCCTCAAGCTTGGCTACACATTGGACTCACCTGGGGAGGCTTGCAAGTCGTTGATGCCTGGGTTCCATCTCCAAGGATGCTGGATTTAATTGTTCTAGAATGTGGCCTGAGCAGGGTTTTGAATGTGTGCTGCCAAGTTTGAGTACCACTGACCTAGATCTTTACAGACTGTCACTCTCTGTATGCCCCATATCTGTTGAGAGTTTACGTACCCTATGTCCCATTCCCGTAAAGAAATGTAAAAAACAGTCAGCTCTATTAATGATCTTATTATGCTAAGATGGTGTGCAAAGTACATGGCTGGGCTTTAAAGCCAAATGGTCTTGATTACCTTTCAGGGCTCTGGCACTCACCTGCTGTATGATTAGTCAGCAGGTTACTTCACCTCTTTATGGCTCAGTTTTCTCATCTGCAAAATAATCAAAATGCCTATTGCATACTTGTTGCATGCCAGTCACTCTTCACAGTAGTCCTGAGAGATAAGTACATTATTTGCCCCCATTTGCAGATGAAGAAACTGAGGCGCCGTGAGGCGCTAATACATGGCAGAGCCAGGCTCAGGTCCAGGTAGTCTATTTCTACAGCTCATTTTCCTGGCCACCATGCCGTAACAGCCTTGTCATCTGATACCAACAGTGACAACTCATGAGATTTTTGTCAGAATCGTTAGTCATTTAATTCCTGTGCCTTTAGCTTCCCCCATCTTTCCTCCTATGAATTATGCATGTTTTAGTATTTGTTCTTAAGGAGACATCTTCTTAGCACAGTGACTCTGATGTGGAGGTTTCAGATAGTGTAAGTACAAACTATAGGTAGGGTCTTGGGCCACAAGGACCGTCAGTGCCTCTCACAAATTAGTGACTTCCTACTCTGCTTAAACATAGGCTGACCTTGTTAATCATTAAACTTGATTTTTAACAAGCCACATAGTAATTGGTTCCTGCCAGCGTACTTCCTTTAACCAGATATGCAAACAGGCCAGCATTTCAAGATCTTCGGTTTAACAAGTTTTGCCCTGAGATATTAGCATTTCATTAGCATTTACAGATTGAATACACAACACCTGGCTTCTCTTTCAAGGTGATCCTATAAAGGAGCTGGTCTTTTCTCCTAAGGAGCAACATTTTTAATTGACTTGATTTCTAGAGGGAAAAATGCAGCTCTCAGTAAGGACCTTGTTGTAAGTTTGCTACTCTTTTTTTTAACAGTATTTAAAATTTAAAGGTAAGATTGTAGGAATTGCTTATCCTTTTTTTAAAAGCTGCAAATTAATAAGAAAGAAATAGTGCTTTTTTCTTCCTTTGCCTTGTTAGGGGGAGTGAAGAAGGTCTTATGAATTCTCATTAAAGGTTAATTTTGAATCTTGAATGTCAATGGAGCTTGCTTCTTATATGCCTTGTGGAATTATTTTAAAGAATGTAATCAGTTGTCTGACCTCTAGCAGTGGCCTTCCCTCAGCTCTCAAGAGAATATCTTGTGAATCCTGAAAGTTTAGTGTACCTGACTATTAGCCGCCTGGTTTTTTACCTTTTCCACCTGCAACCTGTATGATGGGAGAAGTAGAAATGAGGGAAATTTTGAATAATTGGAGCAGGATGAGTGGAGAGAATAAGTTAAACAGGGGACAATAATGGTGACAAAGGATATTAAATAACACCAACTACTGGGGGTGCTGAGTATGGGAGAAGTGGAAGAGCTAGGGAGTAAGCATGTTAGAAAATGTTATTAATTCCAAAAATTGAGAGATTAAATAAAAGGTTTAAGAATTAAAGAAAGATAAAAGACTAGACAGACAGCAAAGGAAAAAGAGAATAATTAGTATCTTTTTAGACAGTTTTGTTGACATGAAATGCCATAGAACCTTTTGGATGCAGATATAAAAAAAGAAACCTGGGTGATAGAGGCAAGAAATGGCAGCAAAACCAAGATGCCACCAAGAACTTGGGTCAGAGCAGCTATCTGTAAGTTTGCTATGAGGCGCTTGTATGAAACAAAAGTATGACTAAAGAATGAATGTATAGGCCGGGCATGGTGGCTCATGCCTGTAATCCCAGCACTTTGGGAGGCCGAGGCGGGTGGATCACCTGAGGTCGGGAGTTTGAGACCAGCCTGATCAACATGGAGAAACCCCATCTCTATTAAAAAAAAACAAATTAGCCAGGCATGGTGGCACATGCCTGTAATGCCAGCTACTTGGGAGGCTGAGGCAGGAGAATCACTTGAACCTGGTAGGTGGAGGTTGCCGTGAGCCAAGATCGTGCCACTGTACTCCAGCCTAGGCAACAAGAGTGAAACTCTATTTCAAAAAAAAAAAAAAAAAAAAAAAAGAAGAATGAATATATCAAAAGAGGGGCTGTCCAGAAATGTCATATATAAATAGAGGAATCAGCAAGGAGGACTTAAGCAAGAACCATCCAAATCCTGCCCAGAAGAAGGAAGTTTTTGGCATTAGAAAGGTAAGGAGCAATCAGGAAATTAAATTTTACTTATATTTTACAGTAAGGAATCCTATGGATTCCCCAATCCGAAGAAATTGGCCTCACGTTTTTTATGTGCCTTAACCTTTACTCTCCCACCTGGAATGGCCCATTTGAGAACCTGGTGTGGTGACTCACGCCTGTAATCCCAGCATTTCATTATATCTAGGGTCCTAAATCAAGAGGAACAAAGCAGAAGTTAAGATCTGAATAGTTTATCAGGACTTGGTAGCCCAATACCATTAAACATTTGAATTTTGTAACAATTCTTGTTGCCTTGTTTCTCTGCCCATCCTGTAAACTTCTCAAAAGGATTTGTCTTCCCATGTAGATTACCTTCAAGGATAAAATGCACTAGTCTTGGCAATACAATTATTATGGTCCTCATGGCATTTATAATTCTTATTGTAAATTAATATATGGCATTCTGATTGATATCTGAGCAGAGTTAATGAGAAGCTGTCCTAAAGATGTGGCCCTATTTATGTGCTGACAGACTGGTTTTAAGCTAAGTCTGCAAAGCTGAAGGCTGGATTTGGCACCAGAGTAAAATCACCAAGATAATGATTGCCTCTCTAGAAGGCATCTTGGTATGCAGCCAATCTGTCTCTCTTGGTGACACCTGAGTTCCCTGAGAGCATGGGTATTCATCACTTGTGCATGCATTCACTCAGTCAATCATTCATTCACTTACTCATGGCAATTTATTCATTCATTCATTCAAGAAGTATAATGAGTTTTACTTTAAGGCTAGAATGAACTAAGGTAACTGCACTTTCTTATCTATATTATAATGTGTGGACTATAAATGTTTCTAAGTAGAAAACGAATGCATCAAATGTCACATTTTCTTCTTTTAATATGGAAGTATGTTTTTAAATACTTATTTTTAAAGGTCTGAAAAAAGAAAGCACTTCCAAAATGGTGGAGAAAGGGCCTCCAATAATTACTCCTCCATAAAAGCAATGAAAACATTGGCAAAAAAAAAAAATCATCAAAATCAATTTTTTGAGAGCTCTGGAAATTAACCAAAGGCTTACAAAAATGTAAGAAGCGTTTATTCAAGAAATATCGGTAAGAACAGTGAGCTTTGTGGCATTTTTACTTGTCCTATTCCCATCCTCCTCCCCCAGCTCCGTGGTAGCCTTGAATACTAGCTGATTCACAATGATGGTAATTGTAAACCAAACAAACAAAAAACAGCAGCCTAACAGCCACTGGAGTGGACATAACAGGTTTGGAACTTTTCAAAAAGTCCCATTCCCAGGGCATTGTCATTATTTGACATATTTCACAGTTCCCTAAAAAGCTCCATTCACAGGGAATTGTCATTATCTGACCTGACTTGGAGCTCATTCTGTAGGAAAAACACTATACCTAGGGAGTTTGTTGAAGACAATCTTTGGTGATTGTTTAATACCACAGTTGCCTGAGATTCCGATAACAACTGGGGCAAACAAGAGCCTGATTAAAAGAGCCTGGCTAAAAACCTAAAAGGAAGATGAGAGGAACAAGATGTCCACAGGGGTTTAGAAAGTTCTTCCATCCCTAAGGCTCTAGAAAGTCACGTGTGTATTCAAGGCTGTGATCTTGCCCAGGAGACACCAGAAAATGCCCTAATTTCTCACCTCTGTCTAACCTTGAGTCTCTGCAAAAGCAGGAAGTAAAAGCACTAAGGCAGAATTGTAAACTGTGGAACATTGCAAATGTGCCCTGATATACGTGTAGGACCTCTTGGCAAAGAATGGGAGACTGTTGATTCAAGAAAGTTTAGAAAATTTTTGTTCAATCATTAGCTGACCTTCAAAGAGATTTCCATGGGTGTAAATAACCTAGAATGCAGATTATTTCAAGAAAGCCACTAAATAAAAACAACAAAAACACAAAAGAGCACCAACTAAAAACCCTGGGTGGGAGTGGGGGTGGGGAAGGATCTGATTTTTAAAGCTGCCACATTGTATCACCTAAAATGTCCACCTTTCAACAAAAAATTACAAGACACACAAAGAAACAGGTAAGTCTGGCCCATACACAGAAGAAAAGCAGTTAATAGAAACTATACCAGAGGAAGCCAAAATGTTGGACCAATTAGACAAAGACTTTAAATCAGCTATTACAAATATGTTCAGAGAACTAAAGGAAACCATGTCTAAAGAAATGAAGAGAAATATAAAAATGATGTCTCAGCAAATAGAGGACAGCAACAAACTTATAGATTATTTTTAAAACTGAATAAAAGTATGGAATTGAAAAGTACATGGCCAGGTGTGGTGGCAGGTGCCTGTAATCCCAGCTACTTGGGAGGCTAAGGCAGGAGAATTGCTTGAACCCTAGAGGTAAATGTTGCAGTAAGCCAAGATCATGCCATTGCACTCCAGCCTGGGCAACAAGAATGAAACTTGGTCTCAAAATTAAAAAATGAAAGTAAAAAAAAGAAAAGTACAATAACTGAAATAAAAATACTAGAGGGGCTCAAGAGCAGATTTGAGCTGACAGAAGAAAGAACCAGCAAAACTGGAGGAATTTCATTCAGGATTATCTAGTCTGTAAAACAAAGAAAAAAGAATAAATAGAAATTATGAAAGTCTCAGAGACTTGTGGACATCATCAAGCATACCAATATATGCATAATGGTACTCTCAGAATGAGAGGTGTGCAGGTAGAGAGAAAAGGGCAGCAAGAATACTTGAAGACATTTTGGCCAAAAATTTCCTAAATTTGATGAAAAACATCTATCTAGACAGCCAAGAAGCTCAATGACCTCCAAGTAGGATAAACTCAGAAGTCCACAACTACGTACATTAGAGTCAAACTATTGAAAGACAAAGAGAAATTTTTTTTAACTTTTAGGTTCGGGGTACATGTGCAGGTTTGCCATATAGGTAAATTGTGTGTGATGGGTTTGGTGTACAGATTATTTCATCACCCAGCTAATAAGCATAGTACCTGATAAGTAGTTTTTCTATCCTCCTCCTCCTCCCACCTTCCACCCTCAAGTAGGCCCCAGTGTCTTTTATTCACTTCTTTGTGTCCATATGTACTCAATGTTTAGCTCCCACTTATAAGTGAGAACATGTGGTATTTGGTGTTCTTGTGTTAGTTTTCTTAGCATAATGGCTTCCAGGTCCATCCATGTTGCTTCAAAGGACATGATCTCACTCCTTTTTATGGCTGCCTAGTATTCCATGGGGTATATGTACCACATTTTCTTTATCCAATCCACTGTTGATAGGCACCTAGATTGATTCCATGTCTTTGTTATTGTGAATAGTGCTACAGTGAGCATACACATGCATATGTCTTTATGGTATAATGATTTATATTCCTTTGGGTGTATACCCAATAATAGGATTGCTGAGTCAAAGGTAATTCTGTTTTAAGAGAGAATCTTGAAAGTGACAAGAGAGAAACAACTTATCATGTAAAAGGGATCCTCAATAAGACATACAGCTGACTTTTCACCAGAAATTGTTAAGTCCAGAAGGCAGTGGAATGGCGTATTCAAAGTGCTGAAAAGAAGGTCAAACCAATCTTTCCCAACCTCTCTAAATAGTAAAAAACGAACACTTCCCAACTTACTCTATGAGACTAGTATTATCTTGATACAAAATCAGACAAAGACGTAACAAGAAATTAAAAACCAATATCTTTTTAAATATAGACACAAAATCCTCAAGAAAATGCTAGCAACCTGAATCCAGCCACATGTAAAATGAATTATAATCCATGAACAAGTGGCACTTATCCCAGATATAAGTTTGCTTGACATCTGAAAGTCAATGTAATATATTAATAGAGTAATGGACAAAAAACATGATTACTTTCATAGATGCAGGAATAGCATTTGACAAAATATAACCCCCTTTTATGGTGGAAAAAAAAGTGTTCAACAAACTAGAAATAGAAGGGAATTTCCTCAAACTGATAAAAGACATCTATGAAAAGTCCACAGCTAGCATTATCCTAATAGTGAAAGACAATACTTTCCTCTTAAGATCAGAAACAAGAATGTCTGCTTCAATTACCACTCTTCAATATCATACCAGAGGTTCTAGCCAAGGCAATTTTGTAAGACAAAGAAATAGAAGGCATTGAGATTGGAAAGGAAGAAGTAAAACTATCTGTTTGCAGATGACATGTCCTTCCATATAGAAAACCCTAAGAAATCCACACACATACAAAACTATTAGAGCAAATAAATAAGTTTAGCAAGGCTACAGGATACAAAATCAATATACAACAATCAATTGTATTTCTGTACACTAGTAATGACCAATATGAAAAGGAAATTAAGAAAACAATCCCATTTACAATAGCATCAAAAATAATAAAATATTCAGAAATACATTCAATGAAAAGTACACAACTTGCAGACCGAAAACTACAAGACATTGTCAAAATAAATTAAAAGACTAAATAATTGGAAAGGCAATTCATGTGTATAGACCAGACGACATAATATGAAGATGGCAATGCTTCCTTAAATAACCTACAGACTCAATGCAACCCCTATCCAAACCTCCAGTGGTTCCTTTGTGGAAATCAACAAGTTGATTCTAAAATTTCTATAAAAGTATAAGAGGTTCAAAATAATAAAAAGTTTTGAAGAAGAAGAACAGTTGGGGAATTCACACTTCCCAATTGCAAAACTTACTACAAAGCTACATTATTTAAGACAGTGTGGTTCTGACATAAGGATAGACATATATATCAAGGAATAGGATTGAGAGTCCAGAAATATATGTACACATCTATAGTTAATTGATTTTCAACAGGGATGTCAAGGCCATTCTATAGAGAAAGAAAAAATAGTCTTTTCAACAAATGGTACTGGAATGACTGGATAGTCATATGTAAAAGAATGAAGTTGGGCCACCTACCTCATACCATATATAAAAATCAACTCACCATCAATTACACACCTAAACGTTAGAATTAAAACCATAAAACTGCCAGAAAAAATGTGTTAGTAAATCTTCCTGATCTTGGGTAATGCTTTCTTTAATATGACACCAAAATCACAAACAACAACAAAAATAAATAAATTGGATTTCATCAAAGTTAAAATTAAAACTTTTTGTGCATCAGAGGACATTAAGAAAAATGAAAAGACAACCCACAGAATGAGAGAAAATATCATATATCTGTTAAGGGTCTAGTATGCAGAATATATAAAGGACATTTACAACTCAGCAATAAAAAGACTAACAACCCAATTTATTTTTTATTTTTTATTTTTATTATACTTTAAATTCTAGGGTACATGTGCACAACGTGCAGGTTTCTTACATATGTATACATGTGGCATGTTGGTGTGCTGCACCCTTTAACTTGTCATTTACATTAGGTATATCTCCTAATGCTATCCCTCCCCCCTGCCCCCACCCCACAACAGGCCCCAGTGTGTAGTGTTCCCCAACCTGTGTCCAAGTGTTCTCATTGTTCAATTCCCACCTGTGAGTGAGAACATGCGGTGTTTGGTTTTCTGTCCTTGTGATAGTTTGCTGAGAATGATGGTTTCCAGCTCCATGTCCCTACAAAGGACATGAATTCATCCTTT
This sequence comes from Homo sapiens, assembly GCF_000001405.40. Classification (NCBI taxonomy): domain Eukaryota; kingdom Metazoa; phylum Chordata; class Mammalia; order Primates; family Hominidae; genus Homo; species Homo sapiens. The sequence continues at coordinate 104,390,522 of NC_000007.14, forward strand.
TTTAAGGCTGCGTAGTATTCCATGGTGTATATGTGCTACATTTGCTTAATCCAGTCTATCACTGGTGGACATTTGGGTTGGTTCCAAGTCTTTGCTATTGTGAATAGTGCCACAATAAACATATGTGTGCATGTGTCTTTATAGCAGCATGATTTATAATCCTTTGGGTATATACCCAGTAATGGGATGGCTGGGTCAAACGGTATTTCTAGTTCTAGATCCTTGAGGAATCTCCACACTGTCTTCCACAATGGCTGAAGTAGTTTACAGCCCCACCAACAGTGTAAAAGTGTTCCTATTTCTCCACATCCTCTCCAGCACTTGTTGTTTCCTGACTTTTTAATGATCGCCATTCTAACTGGTATGAGATGGTATCTCACTGTGGTTTTGATTTGCATTTCTCTGATGGCCAGTGATGATGAGCATTTTTTTATGTGTCTGTTGGCTGCATAAATGTCTTCTTTTGAAAAGGATCTGTTCATATCCTTCGCCTACTTTTTGATGGGGTTGTTTGTTTTTTTCTTGTAAATTTGTTTGAGTTCTTTGTAGATTCTGGATATTAGCCCTTTGTCAGATGGGTAGATTGCAAACATTTTCTCCCATTCTGTAGTTTGCCTGTTCACTCTGATGGTACTTTCTTTTGCTATGCAGAAGCTCTTTAGTTTAATTAGATCCCATTTGTCAATTTTGGTTTTTGTTGCCATTGCTTTTGGTGTTTTAGACATGAAGTCCTTGCCCATGCCTATGTCCTGAATGGTACTGCCTAGGTTTTCTTCTAGGGTTTTTATGGTTTTAGGTCTAACGTTTAAGTCTTTAATTCATGTTGAATTAATTTTTGTATAAGGTGTAAGGAAGGGATCCAGTTTCAGCTTTCTACATATGGCTAGCCGGTTTTCCCAGCACCATTTATTAAATAGGGAATCCTTTCCCCATTGCTTGTTTTTGTTAGGTTTGTCAAAGATCAGATGGCTATAGATGTGTGGTATTATTTCTGAGGGCTCTGTTCTGTTCCATTGGTCTATATCTCTGTTTTGGTACCAGTACCATGCTGTTTTGGTTACTGTAGCCTTGTAGTATAGTTTGAAGTCAGGTAGTGTGACGCCTCTAGCTTTGTTCTTTTGGCTTAGGATTGCCTTGACAATGCGGGCCCTTTTTTGGTTCTATATGAACTTTAAAGTAGTTTTTTCCAATTCTGTGAAGAAAGTCATTGGTAGCTTGATGGGGATGGCACTGAATCTGTAAATTACCTTGGGCAGTATGAGCATTTTCACAATACTGATTCTTCCTATCCATGAGCATGGAATGTTCTTCCATTTGTTTGTATCCTCTTTTATTTCATTGAGCAATGGTTTGTAATTCTCCTTGAAGAGGTCCTTCACATCCCTTGTAAGTTGGATTCCTAGGTATTTTATTCTTTTTGAAGCAATTGTGAATGGGAGTTCACTCATGATTTGGCTTTCTGTTTGTCTGTTATTGGTGAATAGGAATGCTTGCGATTTTTGCACATTGATTTTGTATCCTGAGGCTTTGCTGAAGTTGCTTATCAGCTTAAGGAGATTTTGGGCTGAGATGATGGGGTTTTCTAAATTTACAGTCGTGTCATCTGCAAACAGGGACAATTTGACTTCCTCTTTTCCTGATTGAATACCCTTTATTTCTTTCTCCTGCCTGATTGCCCTGGCCAGAACTTCCAACACTATGTTGAATAGGAGTGGTGAGAGAGGGCATCCCTGTCTTGTGCCAGTTTTCAAAGGGAATGCTTCCAGTTTTTGCCCATTCAGTATGATATTGGCTGTGGGTTTGTCATAGATAGCTCTTATTATTTTGAGATATGTCCCATCAATACCTAATTTATTGAGAGTTTTTAGCATGAAGGGCTGTTGAATTTTGTCAAAGGCCTTTTCTGCATCTATTGAGATAATCATGTGGTTTTTGTCTTTGGTTCTGTTTATATGCTGGATTACATTTATTGATTTGTGTATATTGAACCAGCCTTGCATCCCAGGGATGAAGCCCACTTGATCATGGTGGATAAGCTTTTTGATGTGCTGCTGGATTTGGTTTGCCAGTATTTTATTGGGGATTTTTGCATCAATGTTCATCAGGGATATTGGTCTAAAATTCTCTTTTTTTGTTGTGTCTCTGCCAGGCTTTGGTATCAGGATGATGCTGGCCTCATAAAATGAGTTAGGGAGGATTCCCTTTTTTTCTATTGATTGGAACAGTTTCAGAAGGAATGGTACCAGCTCCTCTTTGTACCTCTGGTAGAATTTGGCTGTGAATCTGTCTTGTCCTGGACTTTTCTTTGGTTGGTAGGCTCTTAATTATTACCTCAATTTCCGAGCCTGTTATTGGTCTATTTAGGGATTCAACTTCTTCCTGGTTTAGTCTTGGGAGAGTGTATGTGTCCAGGAATTTATCCATTTCTTCTAGATTTTCTAATTTATTTGCGTAGAAGTAACAACCCAATTTAAAAATGAGCATAGGATCTGAACAGAGATTTCTTCAAGAAAGATATACAAATGGCCAATAAGCATATGGCAAGATGGTCAGCATCATTAGTCATCAGTGAAATGGAAATGAAAACAATGAGATACCACTTCATACCCACTAGGATGGCTAGAATCAAAAAGTCAGAAAATAATAAATAATGTTGAGGTTGCAGAGAAATTGGAAACCTCATACCTTGCTGGTCGTAATGTAAGATGATGAAGCAAGTTTAGAAAATAGTCTGGCAGTTTCTCCAACAATGAAACATAAAGTTACCATATGACCTAGCAGTTCCACTCCTAGGTAGGTCCTAAAGAGAAATGAAAACATATCACACAAAAACATATGCATGAAGATCCATAATAACCACAAAGTAAAAAAAAAAATTATGTTCATCAATGAATAATGAATAAACAAAATGTCAGGCTGGGCATGGTGGCTCATGCCTGTAATCCCAACACTTTGGGAGGCCAAGGTGGGAGGATCACGAGGTCAGGAGTTCGAGACCAGCCTGATCAACATGGTGAAACCCCGTCTCTACTAAAAATACAAAAATTAGCTGGGCATGGTGGTGCACACCTGTAATCCCAACTACTCAGGAGGCTGAGGCAAGAGAATCACTTAAACCTGGGAGGCAGAGGTTGCAGTGAGCCGAGACCATGCCACTGCACTCCAGCCTGGGTAACACAGTGAGACTCTGTCTCAAAAAAAGAAAAAAAATCATATATTCATACAAAGAATATATTATTCAGTAATAAAAAGGAATGAAGTACTGCTGTGTGCTACAACATGAATGAATATTGAAAATATTGTGCTGAGTGAAAGAAGCTAGTCACAAAAGACCACATATGGTATGATTCCATGTGTATGAAATTTGTACAAAATGGATCCCTAGAGACAGAAGATAAATTAATGATTGCTAGGAGTTTGAGGGTAGGAGGAGTGGGAAATGACTATTAATGGGATGGATTTCTTGGGAGGCTGATGAGAAGGTTCTAAAATTATATAGTAGCAATGGCTATACAACTCTCTGAATATACTAAAAAATGTTAATTTGTACACTTTAAAAGAATGAATTGCTTAGTATGTGAATTATGTTTTAATACAACTGTTCTTTAAAACTCTACTTCAACATTTTGGCAAGACTGAAAGACTACCTAGCGTAGTGGTTCTTGACTTTACTGTACATCAGATCACTTGCAGAATTTCATTAAAATGCATGCTCTGATTCAATAAGTCTGAGTGCAGCCTGAGATTCATCATTTCTAACAAGCTCCCAGGTTGCATCTGTGCCTCTGGTCCTCAAATGAACAGACTGGAGTAAAAAGGTCTGAAAAGATAACCTCAGAAATATTAATTAATGGTGGTATAATTTAGGTAATTTTAATTATCTTTTGTATACCCTTCTAGGTTTCCTGATTCTTTAAAAATTTTTTTCATACTCATAAAGAGATAAATAGCCATTTCTAAAAAAAGTAAAAGAAATCCTCTTTGAGCATGTTTTATTTATTTTAGGGTAGTGGTAGTTTTCTTGCCTACATTTCCATCAGGAGAATTAATTTTTGTAACAAAACTATGGATGAAAATGTAAATATATACACATCATTATTGATTTTATATTTCCTTTTTAAACATTCTGGTTAGCATTAATAAGGCAATTGACATTAGTTTGTTATAATTGCTAGTCGTCATTTTCTTTTTTTTTTTGGAATGGAGTCTTGCTCTGTTGTTCAGGCTTGAGTGCAGTAACACAATCTCAGCTGATTGCACCCTCCACCTCCTTGGTTCAAGCGATTCTCCTGCCTCAGCCTCCCGAGTAGCTGGGATTACAGGCACCCACCACCGCGTCAGGATAATTTTTGTATTTTTAGTAGAGATAGGGTTTCACCATCTTAGCGAGGCTGGTCTCGAACTCCTGACTTTGTGATCCACCCACCTCGGCCTCCCAAACTGCTGGGATTAAAGGCATGAGCCAGCACGCCAGGCTGCTAGTCGTCATTTTCTAAGAACCCAAGCTACCGTATGCTGTAACTTGTTCTTGCCCAATGAGCTTATTGTATACCACAACTATCCAACATCTAGTATACGCTTCATTGGCATGACAGACACAGAGGAGGAGGGATTCTAATGGTCAGTTTACAAAATCTTAGAATTATTTCATTTGGTGTTAGATAGCTTACTAATTAACAAGGCTCTTTTTAACACAATTAACAAACAAGGAACATGTAAAAAATTAAATCTAACTTTTTCCTGAATACTGTGTCCACAGTCAGTTAAAAAGGCTGACCTGTGATTTGTCAGTTTGGAGCAGTTAGGTAATAATTGCAGTAGCAAGATCCTCCTGTTTGCTCACACATTTCCCAATTCTTTTAGTACATTCAGTGACTTACCTGTGTGCTCCAGCCAGTCTGCCACTTAGTGTCACTTGTATCATTACAGGCAATAATTTATTTTCTGAAATTGGCAGCCAGTTTCTTTGCCACCTTCTCCCAGACTTTCTCCTCCACTCCTACCCCAGAGACACTCTCCATAATTTTATGTATTTGGTTATCAGAAGGACCCACTGACTGACAGGAGAAGCAGGAGTTAGGAGAGGTAGGAGTAATTGTGCGACAGGTGGAAGAAATAAATTGCCTGCCACTGAGATACTGGCTTTCTCATGCATTTTTCTGTCTCAATTTCTGCTCTGTCCCAAACATTCAATACTTTATGCAAATAAATTTCCTCAGCCTAGATTTTTCTAGGACACCAGGTAATTTCATATAAAGGACTAAGTCACAATGCTATTTATTCTTTATTTTCTAACGTTTATGATGTTCAGCTAGTTTTATTTAGACTTTGCAACACTCTCAAAAAATAAAACTTTCCTTTTTATGAATGTGCACTTATTAGTAAAGACTATTTTGGTTATAAATGATAGAAATAGGCAAGTAAACCTAAGTCCAAAAAGGGAAATCTCGGGTCATCTCACTGGTACCAATGGCAAAAAGGCAGGTGGGACTGAGGGAAGGACGCTTTGGAAGATCACCCAGACAGCTCCTCTTCATCCTGCCCACTCTGTAGAGCAGCTATCCCTGGCCTTGGGTTCACATGGTAGAAAAGATGGCCACTCTATTGCTTTGGAGGTTATGTGTGACAGGTTTAGCCACACTAAGAGGGACCAACTGTCTTGTACCTATTCTAGATTCTTAGGAAAGAGAGTTAGGCAAGTTCTCTTCAGTTGCCTGCCTTATGTTAGGACCATAATGTACAAATGGTTGCTAAAGACTCGCTGCTACAGGAGAGCAGGAAGGAGGTCAAAAGGTGAGAAATGGGGATGGCAAAAAAGGACACAAAATAGCAATGACACAAGAGACATGAAAGCCCAGAGATGAAGGTCTCCAGAGCAGCGGCTATGGTAAGATACAGAGAAGTTGATAAGAGGCTGACTAACCAACTGAAAGCAGAGTGGGGCCAGTGAGGATAGGGTTAAATACTATAATGCTGGGTTCCTCAAGGAAAGGATAACATCTAGAATATTGAAGGTGCATCAGGTTCAATTTAGAAAAGTCAGAGGCATCCTCTTTTCTCCAGCCCATACCCTTCATTAGATTCTCCTGCATTTTTGCCATGAAATATGGTACAAAATTAGAAAAAAAAAAAAAAAGATAAAAAGTGTGCAGAGGGCAGGCGCAGTGGCTCATGCATGTCATCCCTGCACTTTAGGAGGCTGAGGTGGGCAGATTGCTCGAGCTCAGGAGTTCAAGGCTAGCCTGGGCAACACGGCAAAATCCTGCCTCTACCAAAAACACACACACACACACACAAAATTCACTGGGCGTGATGGCCTGCGTCTGTGGTCCTAGCTACTCAGGAGGCTGAGGCTGGTGGATCACTTGAGTCTAGGAGGCTGAGGTTGCAGTGAGCCGAGATCGCAACATTGCACTCCAGCCTTGGGCAACAGAGTGAGACACTGTCTTAAAAAAAAGAAAAGCTCGCAGAGATTTCCTTCTGTTTTTAGTTGTAGTATTTTGCTTGGTTGGATTAAAAAACATCAAATGAATATACCTGGGAAGTTTCCATGAAAATCTGGAAATCAGAGAAGACTGAAAATAAAATCAAATATAAAAATATATATTAGTACATGAAAATGTTCTTATAGAACTTGAGACATTTGATTTCAAATAATTAGTAGCAAGTGAATTTTCCAATAAAATTATATGAATGCCATTAAAGTAAAAGTTATAGGCTGTGATTTTATATTATGTAATATTTTTATCTTAAGTAAACACTCTGTTAGCCCCAAAAGTAGAGAATAATTTATTTGTTTGGTTTCAGCACTTTACCATATTCTTCCTAACTTCCCCATTTATTTCATTATTTTTAAAATTTATATGAAATGAAATTGTGTTGTACTTAATTTTTTACCTTTTCACCACACCACCTAAGAAAACCTAAGACCCTTCAGATATTCCTGGGGATTCATGGTTCATCGTTGTGGAGACAGAATAGAAACATGTAACTGTTGGTCAAGAAGTCTTCAGCCACTTCATATACTTTACCCCTAGTTTCCCCCGGGGGACGGCACTTTCCTTTCCTCCTTCTCTGGGAGCAGTCTCTCCTCCCACTGCATACCTACTCTAGTGACAGAGGGAGGGACATTTCTTACTCTCCAGCAGCCCGCTTCTTCAGCAAACACCTCCTGAGTATTTATTTACTACATGAAAGGCAGAAGGAAGGGGTGTGAACAACCAGAAAAAAAGCAGTATAAATCAAGGAGTGTTTAGTTCAAAAAGAAGGTGACAGCAGACTTGGCTTTGGAGGAAGTGTGGGGGAACTTGACAGTGAACAGAGGAGGGACATTCCTTGTTAAGGAAATAGCACATGCCAAGGATCCTATGGACACATAGTTTACCTTGAGTTTCATTGAGAGCAGAAAACAGAACTGCTTCAAATGCGCAGTTTCTCATGATAGACAGGGTGAACCTTGATTTTATGTTTATCTCTTTTAGGATGATAATCCAACTCCTTTTCATTTTTGACATGGGTATTATCTTCTATGCATTTAACTTTTTTTTTTTTTTTGTAAGTCTCTACAGCTTTTCTTCAACTTTCTTCTAACAGAAAGATCACACCTACGTAAAATCTTCCTCTGAAGGTTTTAGAAGTGCTGGCGTCTAGCATGAACGGCAGAAGTAAGTGAGGACCAACATCTTGTAACAAGTTCATGGTACTCTTTCCACTTGTTCACACTTAGATCCCAGGGTAAGCAACCCTGTATTATCTTCCATGTCAAAAGTAGGAGGAAGGGACAGGCTCCAGGCCTCCATCCCTGTTTTCAAATATCATAACCTGAATGAGGAAACACAGAATATCACACATGCAAAGGTAATCTCCTCCAGAGCTAGTCATCTACTGCTGTTCTATCTCAATCATTTTCTTCATGTTGTTTGTGGATTGCCTTTTAGTCACTTTGTAATGGAACTAGGGCAAAGAGAGGGGGCATCTGAGAAACTGTTCCAGTAAAAGCAATAACTAACATTGTTGATGCTTTATAGTATATAAAGCATTTCCACATGTATTGTCTCATTTAATTCTCACATCCATCCTACATTTCTTATCCTATTTTTCAAAAGAAAAAACTGAGACAGAGGGATAAAGTAAATTCCCAGCATCTTCCAGCCATTAGCAAGAAGTTCAAGCCCAAGTCTTCCTGCCTGTCTCACCTTATTATGGTTTAGCAGTTCTGAGCTACCTGGACAGCTGCCGTATCCCGTTTTGCACTCTCACTCTTCTGTTCTTCGCTGGCAGATTTCTGTTGTCACCTCCTTCTGGAAATGTTTTCTGATGCCCGCCCCCCGGCCCTGAATACTCCCTTAGAAGCTACGTGTCCCCATATCACAACTCCTATCATGCTGTTTTGCTATGATTTGTTGGCCTGGTTTCCTCCCTTGATGGTTGTAGATTTGGAGGGCAGGGGTTAGGTTCTGTTGGTGTTGATATCCCTAGTGCTATGCTTAACAGTTGTCAGTTCCCTTTCTAAGGACAGGCTTTATGGTTGGAGGGCAAACGCTAGTTTCCAGAAAGTTCCTGTGTGCTACTGAAAGACACACAGGATAGTGGGGGAAGATGTCACTTCCTATGGGGTTTTCTGGGGAATGGAGAGTTTCAGTGAGCTGCCCCAGGAGCTGCCACCCCTGATGTCCTCTTACTTCCCTTGATATCGTAGGTTTCCAGCTGGACAAGGCCCTGGTGCAGATTTAGGGTGCTAGAATAAGCATCTAGAATTACAATGAATATGGGTGTTTGGGGCAGTTTTACTTTCATTGGGTAAGTTACGATTAAATGTAACTTTACTATTGCTCTGATAATTTTTTTCCCATTTATCCTGTAACTGGATGGGATCAGAGTAAATTACCTGGAAATGTACTATGTTCTTCTGTTTTTTTTTGTTTTTTAGGTTTTTTTTGTTTGTTTGTTTGAGATGGAGTCTTGCTCTGTTGCCCAGGCTGGCAGGCTGGAGTGCAGTGGCGCAGTCTTGGCTCAGTGCAACCTCTGGCTCCTGGGTTCAAGGAATTCTCCTGCCTCAGCCTCCCAAGTAGCTGAGATTACAAGCACCTGCCACCACACCGGGCTAAGTTTTGCATTTTTTTTTTTTTTTTTGGTAGAGACGGGGTTTCACCATATTGGCCAGGCTGGTCTTGAACTCCCAACCTCGTGCTCCGCCCACCTCGGCCTCCCAAAGTGCTGGGATTACAGTTGTAAGCCACTGCGCCCGGCCATATGTTCTTCTGTCCTTAAGGTAATTATGTTACCATGGAAGTGGCCCCAAAGAGTCATGTTGAGAGGGTTGGCTAAAGACTCTGTAAGATCAGGGAGCCGAGGCAGGTGGATCACGTGAGGTCGAGTTTGAGACCAGCCTGGCCAACATGGTTAAACCCTGTCTCTACTAAAAATACAAAAATTAGCTGGGCATGGTGGCAGATGCCTGTAATCCCAGCTACCCGGGAGGCTGAGGCTGAAGAATCCTTTGAACCTGGGAGGCGGAGGTTACAGTGAGCCGAGATTACACCATTGCCCTCCAGCCTGGGTGACAAGATCAAAACTCCATCTCAAAAAAAAAAAAAAAAAAAAAAAAAAAAAAAAAAAAAAAAAAAGACTCTACAGGAGAGCTGAAATTTGACCTTCCATGTGTTTTACAGGTTTATATCTTTGAGCATTCACTCAGGGTTGAGTTACTGTAGTTCAAAGGAGAAAGAATGCATTCTCTTTTATGATGATGGACATAAAAAATGTCTGAACCTGCTAATTAACTATTGTTGGAAAGAACAGTTTGGCATAAATTATACTGCAACTAAGGTTGTATTTGGTAGACTTTGTCAAGCATTTAATGGGAGAATATAATTAATCCTATTTGGTAGGTCAATTCTTTCAGCTACCTATGAGGATATTCTTAAGGTAATCCATAATGATAAGCCATTTTGTTTCTGTTCTTCTAAAAATTAAAAATAAAAAGTCAAATGTTCTATGTAGACCACACTGAGGTTCTTTAATTTATTGGTAATTCATGCCCAATATTTCCAGTTTTCTATTACCTGTCATCTGATTATTATTATGCTGCATAAGTGATACATGAAAAAAATCTAGAAATTTGACCCCAAAGACAAAATCCTCTCCACTCAGCCAGACTAACAACTCAAATACCCCTCAGCATGATCTAAATTGACCTACTCTTGATAGTTTTTGCAAAAGCCACAAGCATTTCAAAATTTTTATCAATATTTTCACCCCAATTGTTAACCTCCTCTTTCTCCACACTTTTCATAAGAACTGTTTATTATTTTTTCATTATATATCATTTGGAATCATTTTTATAAATACTCCCCATTGGGGTAGACAGCCACCATCTGTACAGGTTTAGTGAACTCTCAATGTGTGCCTCATTACATTGTAGGAAATAATTTAGAGCTAACAAATGTTATTTGACATCTATAATGGAGTCCTATAGAAGTAACAGAATAGTATAATTTTCTTGTTTGTCAGCTATAAGGAATGGCCTAAGACCAGTCTGGGGATAGGCCCTGGCCCTGGGGGTGGCTCTTGGGTCACCTTACCTCTCCCTCAGTTCCCTATTTTGTAATGGGAAGTAGCACAAGTAATCAGTTATATGTGGAGAAAACATACAATTCTTAGCCACAAACTTTAAACACAATAGAACATGGCTCTTCTAGATCCATTCCTAATATTTATCCCAAATTAGTGTATAAGGCTCCATGAGATTCTTGGAGGAAAATTAAGCCTGAGAAAAATATTATTTTGTTCATTTTTTAAAGGCTATAGCTGACCATCTAACTTTAATTAGTTCCATAATCAACAGATGAAATTTTTAAAAAAGTATTTAGCATCACATTTAAGCTAACATTTTCATTAAATAAACACACCCAAATCATTTCAGTAGTGTTCAGAGGACCAGAAAATAATTTGTATTTACCAAATAGAAAATGACAGAGACCAATAGAAGAGAAAAAAATGAACATAACCTTTTAGATAACTTAGAATTTGAAAGACTAAAGCAGAAATCCTAAACTCAAATAAATTTTATTTAAGGAACAAAAAGATAACCAGTGCCAGATACTTTTCAGAAATTCAATTTGAGAAAAAGAATATTTAGAAAATAGCAGTCAAGACCAACTAGATTTATTCTTAAAACACATAGGAAGTAAACTCATTCATTCTCTGATTTAGCAGTCAGGACAAACTAGATTTATTCCAAAAACAGATAGAAGGTAAACTCATTCTCTGTTTTTGCCATTGATGTTTGAGCGGCTCAGCCGTGCACCCCTCATTAAGAGAAACATTCAGTAAATTAAAGAAAAGATCCAGTGAAGAGAAAACAGACAATACAAATTATTAATGGAACAATGGAAATAATTCTTGAAGAAAGATTAAAGTAGCAAAGAGTGTCTAGCTTTGCTTAGAAATGACTCACAGGAGTCATAACAGTCTACAAGCATTGAAAAAGTATAAAACACTGAGACAGAAGAGGAATTATTTGGCATAAGGCCACATGGGTATAATCAGAAATAACCGTATAAACTAAAAAAAAAAAAACAAAAAACAACAAAAACAAACAAAAAAGCTTCCAAGTCATGAGTAGTTTTGGATGACTGTGTATTTACTTCCACTGAAAGTGCTGCAAGTTTTAAACACTGGGCTTTCCAAACACATAAAACAAAAGTATTCTCTTTGTTTTCCCTTATTAATCTTCTCAATCCACCAACATCCTGAGGTCCAAATTTCAGAGAAGTGGGGGAGATTCTACCACCTACTTAAAGTAAATTTATAAGAAAGTTTAAATTAGGAAATTGTGTTTGGCTTATTAGCCAAGGGCTTTTGACGATTGATTTTGCTTATGCTGATCTGGTTTCCTCTTAGAATTTTCCTCCAAGAATTTCATCGAGCCTTATAAACTAATTTGGGATAAATATTAGGAATGGATCTAGAATAGCCATGTTCTATTGTGTTTAAAGTTTGTGGCTGAGAATCGTATGTTTTCTCCACACATAATTGATTACTTATGCTACTTCCCATTACATTTCACCCCCTCACAATAGAGGGGTTGAAAGCCCTAACCACAGACTGAGGGAGAGGTGGGGTGACCCAAGAGCCACCCCCAGGGCCAGGGCCTCTCCCCAGACTGGTCTTAGGGCTTTCCTTATATTTGACAGATAAGAAAATTATACTATTTTTTTGCTTCTATAGGACTCCATTATAGATGTCAAATAACATTTGTTAGCTCTAAATTATTTCCCACAATGTAATAAGACACACATTGAGAGTTCACTAAACCTGTACAGATGGTGGCTGTCCACACCAATGGGGAGTATTTATAAAAATGATTCCAAATGATATATAATGATTTGAATGAAGCTGGAAGCCATTATTCTCAGCAAACTAGCACAGGAACAGAGAACCACACACTGCACATTCTCACTCGTAAGTTGGAGTTGAACAATTGGAACACGTGGACACAGGGAAGTGAACATCACACACCGGGGCCTGTCAGGGGGTGATATACCTAATGCATGCGGGGCTTAAAACCTAGGTGACAGGTTGATGGGTGCAGCAAACCACCATGACATGTGTATACCTATGTAACAAACCTGCACATTCACACATGTATCCCAGAACTTAAAGTATAATAAATAAATTTTAAAAAAGAAAACTCCTACTCAGTCTTTGAAACTTAGCTCAGAACACTTGAGAAGCTTTTGACACACGGGCAAGGGTTGACCGTTGGACCTGGGTCCTCTGGAGGCAGAGAATGCCTGTAGTCTAGCTCATAGCACAGTATGATGGAATCCTGTTTACTTGTGTCTCTCCTGCTAAGAACCTGGGCTCCTTCAGGACAAGGACTATGTCTTATTCATCTCTGCATCCTTGGCCCTTCTCAAGCCACTGTGTACATAGTAGGCACTGCAAAATTTTGTCACAGGAATGAATGAATGAGAAAAAGATGCAAATAGTGATGGAGCCATTCAACTCTTCTCCTCTTTAATACATTACTTTGGTCTTTGTATACATTTGTAATTCTCAGATCTCTTTATACTGTTTAAAAAGTGTTATTAAAAATATCTTTGGAGGAAAAAGAAAGATGAGAAAGATTACAAAAAGAACTTCCAGGATCTGGCTGGGAATCTCATCAAGGGAATCTAATCATGTCCTTAGTGAACATTCTCTCTCTCTCTCTCTCTCTCTCTCTCTCTCTCATCATTAGGAAATGGCCTCTAATGGAGGTGTCATTCCTATGCTATGTCTAGAGCAGGCTGGGCTCAGCAAACTACAGTAACCAAGCCTGATCTGCCCAGCCTTCTGTTTTTGTATGCCTCATTACCTAAGAAGGAGTGTTATATTTTTAAATGGCTGAAAAAATTTTGTGACATCTGAAAACTATGTGAAGTCCTAATTTCAGTGTCCACAAATAAAGTTTTATTGGAACACAGCCATGCTAATTTGTTTACGTACTGTCTGTGGCTGCCCTTGTTCTATAACAGTATAATTCAAGGAGTTGTTTCAGAGATCATATGTCCCACAATCCTAAAATACTACCCAGCCCTTTACAGAAAAAACTTGCTAACCCCTGCTCTAGAGAGATAATAGAGTACTACCGTGCTGTAGATGAGAATGAGATCTTGAATCTTGGTCAGTAAGCTAAATCTTTAAAGTTATTTTAATGAGACCACTTAGTTAATTATTTTCTGATTTTCCTACTTCCTATAACAGATATTCATAAAATAGCCATTGTTTAAAAATTTGAAACTAAACATATTTTTCATTTTTAAAATAAAATGACATTTAATTAAATGTCTTTGGAGTTACACTTTTAACCAGATGAAGCAAATATTTTTTAAAAACTGCTTATGCAATTCAGTAGAGATCAGTAGTGATTTAATTATTGGTCAATTTTTACTGAAGTAAAATTATTGAAGAAATACATGTCATATTTTACAGAAAGTACATTGAGAGGTAAAGTCTGGCTTGAGAACCAAGGTTACTGACAAATCACAGTCATCACCTCTACACTCATAAGAGGAATCAGAATTGAGCCATAAAAGTATAAGACACACTGCAGTAGTCCAAAGTAATCGTTCTGTCTCCTTGCTTTTCTGCCTCTGACTGTATTAGGAAGGAGCCCTTTTAGGAGGTAGAATAACTGAGTTCCATGTTTCTGACCTGAAAAATTCAGGTGAATTGGTGGTACCTTTCTTGCTAATAACCAGACACCTATGAACTTAGCTAAATATTTATTGAACCATTTTGTACTTTGATCCTGTGATACTTTACAGAGATTATAAATGTCTTGATTTCATATGATTGTCCATGTAGGTCAAGTAATTATCCATGTAAACTTTATACATTTACCTACATAAAAAAGGTAAAAATTAGGTTCTCCAATTTGTTGTTTTACCCTGGTCTATTGGTGATATTTGGCAATTAACTGATAAGGTCCGTAAAACCAATTCAATAAGTTGTTATAGTTTCTTTAGTTACATGGGTTTTTAAGAAGTATTTGGATGAGTGTGTGTGTGTAATTTATTGATTTGTTTCTAATAAATTCAGATAGGTAGTTTTTCAAAATAGTATTGATTCTTAAGGTAAAAATCATGATTGGGTTTGTCAGTCTGGTTTTCTAGTGATTCAATTTTTGAGCCTAGCAAAACAATTTCAGTACTACAGAATTATAGACTGAAGTAAAAAAATGACATTTGTGATACTGTTTTTCCTAACTAATATTCTATGATATAAAAACTATTATTTCTCCTCCCTGCTTTTTTACTTACTAAAAATGTAAAATCGGTCAGAAATAAAATATTTGTCATTGCCTATTTCAGTAGTACATTTAATATTTAATTTATCAGATGGCTGGCAAAGTATAAATAAATTCAGATATTCCTGAGATAATGGTAGTTAACATTTACTAGGGATTGTGGTGTGCCTGGCATTCACTTAAATATTTTAGATAAATTTTCTCTTTTCATCCTATCAACACTCTTATGAAATAAGTACTACGATTATTCCCATCTTATAAATTGAGACAGAGAAGGGGTAAGTAAATTGTCCAACATCATATAGTAACAGTAGATTCAGGATTCAAATTCAGACTGTTTAAAATCAAAGTCTATGATTTTAACCACTATGTTATACTGCCTTCCAACCATTATCTTCTTGGCAACATTGTAACTCTAAATTTTGTCTTCAGAGCTTTGGGGAAAAACAGAGCATTTAAAGCATGGGTGTGTTTGAGAGGACTTGGATGTAACTGGTATTAATTGTTTATGTTAGACCCCAGGCCAGGGGCATTCACTTCCTATAATTCCCTTTAATCCTCCTAAGAGTGTTGATGTAGGATTTATGAATCCTGTCTTATGTAATAGGTAATGGAAGCTTAAAGAGGTTAGCAACTTTTCCTGAATTAAACAGGTAAATAAGTGATAGCTAGAAATCAAATGTAGAATAACTCCTTCTTGAGTGTATCTGACCAAGAGTCTGCTTTTCCTTGAGCATCCTCTAGACAAGGCTTCATAACTTTTCACAAGTGTGCTGTCAAATCATAGTCGCTTCCTCTAATTTCAAGCTTTCTATTAATAACCAGCCATTCCCCACCTAAATTCTTGCCAATTGACAGCTTCCTGGTGAGCTGGGATCCACGAATGAGGTGTAATTGTGCTCCAGGTACATTCCTGTTTGTCTGGAGAACACTGTGAGCCCCAAAACTGGGGACTTGAACCAGCAACACATCTTTGTAGGCAATAGATGAAGTGAGCATTTTACCTGTGGAATGTAGGCCAGGTTGGAAATATTAAGAGAGCAGTTTTGGAGCTGACACTAGCAGTGGTTGTCCAGGAAAGGATCAGAGATAAGGAATATGTATTGTCTATCCACTATGTGCCAGGAAATTAATATATTATCATTTATTCCTCAAAACTACCTGAAAATGACATTGTTATAACTATACCCATTTTATTGAGATATGAATTAAAAGAGGATGATTAACATGACCATAGTCATGTAGTCAGAATTCTAACCCGGGTCTTCTGATCCCAGAGCCCATGATCTTTCCACTGATCCAAATCCTTTCTTCTCAGAGAAAGACACAGGTAGATATGCAGGAGGAAAATGTGGATGTCATTGGTGCTGCACAACAGCCAAGTCATGCCTGACATGACTGGTGATTGACAGGGAAATGCAATGGAAACAATAGGTATTCACTGATCTCTTCTTGGGGCCAAAAGCAATGGCCTCAAACCAGTGGGATTCAAAAAGGCAAAACAGACACACCTTTGCTTGAGGGGACTTATAATTTAGGGGACATTCCAGGGTAGCTGCATAGTCTATCTTTCTGGAAACCTGTGTTTAATAACTTATCTCTTTGGTCATGAGCTAGAAAGACCTTCAACTTTGAAGTCCAAGGTATGAGTTAGATCCCTGCTTGTCCACTTACCAGCTACTTGATTTGGGGCACCACAGGGGACCTCTCTGAGCCACAGTGGCTCTGTTGTACAATGGGGATCACAGTACTGACATCACAGGGTTGAAGTGAAGATTCAGTTACATCATCTGACCTCGTACTGGATACAAAAATAACTCTTCCTTTCTTTAAGTTATTCTCACCTAGATGCTAATTCTAAAAGGTCAGGTCACTCTGCTAGGTTCTGTGGTTGGTGAAGGATTGTAAAACATAACCCCGTCTTTAACTATTTTTAAATTTGGAGGAGATAAGAACAAAAATAGTTTTAACAATAGATAGGGCAAGTTCTATAAGATGAGCACAAAAAATGTTCTGTAGGTCTAATGAAGGAAAATAACTTTTAAGAGAACCTTCTGGCTGGGCGTGGTGGCTCATGCCTATAATCCCAGCACCTTGGGAGGCCAAGGTGGGCAGATCACCTGAGGTCATGAGTTTGAGACCAGCATGGCCTACATGGAGAAACCCCATCTCTACTAAAAATACAAAATTAGCCAGGCATGGTGGTGCATGCATGTAGTCCCAGCTACTAGGGAGGCTAAGGCAGGAGAATTGCCTGAACCCAGGAGGCAGAGGTTGCAGTGAGCTGAGATTGCGCCATTGCACTCCAGCCTGGGCGACAAGAGTGAAACTCTGTCTCAGGGAATAAAAAAAGAGAGAACCTTTTTGGTGTCACTGGAATGTGACCTGTGACTTGAAAGATAGTTAAAGATCTCAACATTGAAGTTGGCAGAAACATGATGGGTAGAGATCAGCCAAGTCCTTCATGCTTTGTCTCCAACTTGGAATGAAATAACTTTATTTAAATTATTAGACTTTCTTTCATGACAACCATCTAGAAAGTTCAAGTAAAAGCTGAACAATTAGTAAGTGGCATAGTCTGGATTTGAACCCATGAATTACAATTCCAAATCCAGTGATTTTTACTTCAACATAGTGGCTGTCATCTAATTTCACCCTCTTTGACTTTAGAACTGCAATTAGACTGCCTCTGGATCTTCTTTTGAACCCTCCCCTCAGATGGTAGGACTAGGAAACCCAGAAAGAAATTCCCTGCTTCACACTATTTATTGGACTATCTGCTTGGCCCCATTAACCCAGATACATATGAGTGGGCTTTTTCTTACTCTTATTTTATTATCCAGCACAGTCTGCAATGACTAAGGCAATATTTGGGATCTTTGACTCTTCTTTTCTGGCTTTAACAGTATTTCTAATCTATAGAAGGGCTGTTCATTTGAAATACATTGTTTCTCATTTCTGTTATTTCAGAATCCCTTTGTTATTCAATTTTAACCAATAGCAAGGGTTAATTGTTGAGCTCCATGTTTCTTGTGGCAACATTTTTTTTTTTCTAGATTGGATCCAACTTTCACATATGAATTTGTGGTATTTATACATACTAGCTAGCAATTCGCTCACTGGATCTTCTGCTATTTGGAATAAATTTGACAGTCTTCTACAATCCCCAAATATTGATCAATATTGAACCATATGGTAGAACTCTGATGTTCTGCCATGGCTTCATGCAAATTGAGCAGATCATCTCTGTGGGGTAAAATCTTAAAAAGATCTTGAACCAAAAAGGAAGCCATCTGGCCAAATTCATTTTATCATCACAACTTGAAAATGTTTACTGGTAGAGTCTATGTCAGAAACAGTAAAAAGGTTACACTCCACATGCCAATGCTGAACTGGGTAGTGGCTGTCTGGATCCTAGCAGAAGTCTGAGGCATGTTCTCACTCATTGGAATGAGTACCGTGATAGACTAGCAATGTCTGCCTTTTTGCTAGGGTACAGGGAGGGGCAGAGGAAGAGTGGAGGCACTAGTGTTGTAATTTTCTTTCTTTTTTTTTTTTTTTTTTGAGACGGAGTCTCGCTCTGTTGCCCAGGCTGGAGTGCAATGGCGCGATCTCGTCTCACTGCAAGCTCCGCCTCCGGGGCTCATGCCATTCTCCTGCCTCAGCCTCCCGAGTAGCAGGGACTACAGGCGCCTGCCACCACGCCCGGCTAATTTTTTTTTTTTTTTTTTGTATTTTTAGTAGAGACGGGGTTTCACCGTGTTAGCCAAGATGGTCTCGGTCTCCTGGCCTTGTGATCCGCCCACCTCGGCCTCCCAAAATGCTGGGATTAGAGGCGTGAGCCACGGCGCCCGGCCTAGTGTTGTAATTTTCTAACCCTGTTGACAGGGAGGGAGGAAATAGCTCTCAATCCCTGCTTTTTGTTTAGAAAATCAGACAAGTGGCCTTCCCACATCTTGAATTGCTAAAAACTTACTTATGTGTGCTGTGTGTGTGTGTGTGTGTGTGTGTGTGTGTGTGTGTCTGTGTGAAAGTTATCAAGTCTTACAACTGAAAGCATATTGGGTGACCCCTTGGTGTTGCCTGGATTCTCAGAAGACTCATTTCTGTGGAAGAATAGACTTTTTGAAAAATCTTGAATACAAAAATTAGCTGGGCATGGTGGTGCACACCTGTAGTCCTGGCTATTCAGGAGGCTCAAACAGGAGGATCACTTGAGCAAGGGAGGTCAAGGCTGCGGTGAGCTGTGACCATGCCACTGCACTCCAGCCTAGGTGACAGAGACAGGCCCTGCCAAAAAAGAATAAGTAAATAAATAAAAGAAAAATCTTGGAAAATACTGAAAAGTTAAGAAAAATAAAAAATCACCCATAACCTATTTTATTAAAAGCTATTTCATTGTATTTAAATGATTAAATGGTTAAAACAGATTTAACTTAAACATGGGACAAATGCCTTCGAACATAAATCTTTGCTTGTGTGTCTGACAATGTCTCTTGACTCCTAGAAATGGAATAAGCTCTTGTTACAGATCAACAGATTTCTTTTTAGAGAGGTTGTATCAATTGCTCTCCTGCCCACTTTGCTTGGATTTACGCTTTTCAGAAAGCAATGCACGAGATTGTTACCCAGATGCTGTATCAATCGTGGTATCCATTTTCTTCAGTGAATATTTAAGTTTGATCTTTATCTGAAATTAGATCTGGTCTGATGTATGAGAAAAACCACTTGAAACGTGGTCCATATTCCTTAACTAACCAGCTGCGTGACCTGAACAAATTATTAACTCATCTATATGTCTGCAGTTTTTTGTTGTTGTTGTTTTTGTTGTTGTTTGAGTTTTTGCTCTTGTTGCCCAGGCTGGAGTGCAATGGTGCAATCTTGGCTCACTGCAACCTCCACCTCCCAGGTTCAAGCAATTCTCCTGCCTCAGCCTCCCAAATAGCTGGGATTACAAGCGCCTGCCACCACATCCAGCTAATTTTTGTATTTTTAGTAGAGACGGGGTTTCACTATGTCAGACAGGCTGGTCTCGAATTCCTGACCTCAGGTGATCCACCCGCCTTGGCCTCCCAAAGTGCTGGGATTACAGGCATGAGCCGCTGCACCCGGCCTGTATGTCTGTTTTACCCATTGAAGAATCTATCCTACCTATTCCACAGGATTGCTGAGGATCTATTGGGTAACATAAAATAATGAATGTGAAAACAAGTTAAAAGTTAACATAAATGTAGGTGTCTGTTAGTGATTAAAGGGAGGAATAATCCACAAATCAAAATATTTCACCATTAAACTGACCCACTAAGTCATTTGTGAGTTATAGCACATTAAAGATTCAAACAACATCATGCAAAAGACATAAATAGTGCATTACTTTGCAGCAGTGAGGAAAATATGTGCAAAAATGCATTTAACATTGTATTGATTAATATGGATCATACAAATGTAATCACCAACCAATCTTAATAACTCAGCAAGGAAGCAGCTAAGAAGGATATTAGTAAACATGTAAATTAAAACTTTTGAAGGATGAATTGGCCAAGTGAAATGTCTAATGCTGACATATTTGAGTGGCTCACTGTGATTCCGAGTGATTTTCAGAAATGTGATTCATTTCCTGAATTGTACAGGAAAACAGGAGTATCGTAGGGCCCAGCCAGACATTATTTTTAATGGGAAACACCTCATCCTATGATTTAAGCACCATGGAATATAGAAAGCACATTAACTATGCCCTCGTGAAAGTAGATTCTAACTGGATTAGTTTCAGTGAGCGTATTTTAATTAAAAGATAATATGAGTTTAGTTGTATGGAACGTGTTGTAACTGCTCTCTGCTTGCTGGCAATCAGATGGTTTTGAATATATTAACCTCTTGATTTAAGACTTATGAGTTCTGTTCTAGCTATCAGTAGTTTTTTATTGATAATAATGTTGATCATTTATCTTTATATGTGAAATGAGGTGACAGATAACTACAGTGCAATTGACTGTAGTGTGAATATTGTGAAGACATTCCTCAGATTGTCAGGTTATTTTGGCTGGATATATTCTTTGCAGTAGAATAACCAGAGGGTTTATTTGTATAACTTCTTGACAAAAGATGGTAGTGGAGGAATGATCATTTATATGTTTTATTGTATGTTTTTGAAATTCAATAATATTAAGTCTTTGAAACATACAGGTAACATTCCTTTAAGGGCCCTACCCTTCTTCCTCCTAAAATCACCCATCATAGATCTGATTAAAACTTAGAAGTAGCAGTTTCAGAACAATAAAAATAGGCTACCCAGAAGTCCTTAGAAAACAAAATTTGCTCTTTTCAACCTCGTTAGTGTTTGTAGGTTTATTCTAATTTCATTTTGAGGCTATCAGAATATCAGCAGGACACACAGCACATACACGAAAAGAAGTTCAAAGAAGGGTAGTATTGAAAATAAGCCAAAGAAATATGTTCGCTTTAGAAGTAATACTGCAATTCAGCTGTTAAAAAAATAAAAATGTTTCTTTAAACTGGTGGCAATTTTTGGAACTAGTTTTGCTAACTCCAGAAATGACATACCAAGCAAGTAGCAATATTTTAAAATGTTTTTAAAAATCTGATTCAAAAGGTAGGACTAAAGTTTTCCTTGCAAATCTCCCGTCCGACTGTGTGCTCTTTATTACCAAGCTTCAAGAGAACAGAACAAGGAGAACATGGGCATAAAATTAAGTGAAAGGAACAGAATCTTTCTCATTTTACTGTTTCTCTCCCTTCCCTTATATACCAGCAAGTCATTAATGTGGGATTCAATAAGATCTTCCTTTAGTATTAACAAGAGCTATGATTTGGAAAGTATTTAGTATACTTTTAAGTGCTGTATTATGTCCTTTAAGTATACCGTATTGTTCATTTAGTTCTCACAGCAATCCCTTGAGGGGGTGTGGCTCTCTCCATTTTTCAGATGAGGAGGCTGAGGTGAAGACAGATTGATGAATCTGCCCATAGTCTTGCAGCCCATGGGTCGGGGAGTCACCCAAAACTCCTGCTCTTTAACAATCCACCCCATACCCCTTCCTTCTGTGTGATCAGCCCATTAGCTTGTGAAGAGTGGCACAGAGAAGGAGCAAATGAAAGCTAGAATTGTTCATAGTTATTAAAAATATGCCTAGACAACACAAAGCACCAGATAGTGAAATCATACTCACACATTATAGAGATCTGATCTAGTATCGAACTTGACCAATAATTTCAATGACACAGTAATTTCAGGGTGCAGGCACAGCAGGGAGTGGTCTCAGACCTCCAACGCAGCACACCATGGTTTTTCTTGCTGCATTAGGATCTACTTTGGGCCAAGACTAGCATAGGAGGTGTGTAAGCGATGTGTTCAATTCACATTGCTTACACAGAAAGAGAATCTCCATTTTATACTAGAGAGTTCAGTAGCTTATGTGACATTTTCTATTTTTCTATTTTTTTATCTCACAGATCGTTGAGATCCCAGGTTTGTTTACCATAAGCAATCCTAGATAGACCAGATACATCCTACTAAAAGCAATCTATTTGTAATGACTCTTTCACTAGTGAGTACCATAAATGTGTTTGTCAGGTCTGTCATTAGCATGCCTGTTTACAAGGAAATTTGAACCAGTCACCTGCCTTCTTTCCAAAGTTCTTCGTCCATTGCACTCCACACACAGAATAAGGGACAGAATGGATTACAAACCTGCTCCTTATCCATATACTCCCTGTAAGCTTTGAAAAAGAAATGGCAGCTGCTGGTCTCTTTTCAAAGTCAATTACTGGCTTGGAAATATGCCAGGAAAAGGAAAGGAAAGAAACAGGCTCTGACTTTTCACCACGTGCAGGCTCCTTCCCTGTCAGACCAAACTAGCAGAGTGAGACCCCAGGTAGTGTTGACCTGCTTCTTTCCTGAAATGAATTTGATGTTGTTAAACCCACATTGACACTGGGGCCATGACATAGATATGCCATTCTCACGGTGTCTGTTTTTGCCCAAGTTGTTCCTATTCCCCCAGGGAGTCCTTGCCCTTTGGTTCCCCTTCTCTGAATCTTCACCATCCATCTAAAAACAGTTATACTGGCCAAGACTTATAAAGCATTTATTTGTCAGGCACTCTTCAAAGATCTTTTAATATTAGCTCATTTAATCCTCAGAACAACCCTATGGAGAGATGCTATTATTATACCCATTTTAGAGGTGAGGAAACAGAGCAGCAAGAAAGCTTGTTCGAGGTCACATAGCCAGTCAGAGGTGGAGTGGGAATGGAACCAGGTCGTCTGGCTCCAGAGTCCATATTCATGACCACCAAGCCTCTGCCTTCTCCAAGGCAACTCAGTTCTGCGTCCTTCACCTTCATGTCCCTCACCTCCAGTGAAGCCTTTCTAGGCTGGTCCGAACCATCATGCATTCTTCTACAGATGTGAGTGTTTACTCATAGAAATACAATCTCACATTGTTCTTAGTATTTTAAGGCCATTTAAAAAAAATAACCGTACTCTATTCCCATAAGGCGAAGCTTCTTATAGCTGGAATCACCTGGTATTATTTTTGTTTGTTTGTTTTTGCCAGGAACTCTTTTTAGATTTTCCATTCGACCCACTGGCCAGATTAATTTATTTTCAGCAAAAAAGGTGATTTAATATATAAGAATCTCTTATTCATTAGAAAAGGCAGGGTTTTTAAAAGTATAATATTACAGTACAGAGTGAATATTTAATGTTAATCCCTTTATCCCTTGTAAATGTGGTACTGTATTCCTCATTATTTCAGTGAAAAAAAAAAACTATCGCACAGAAGCTTTTTTTTTCTTTCGTTTGAAACCCATTCATTGGCATTTAGTATGAATAGTAGATGGAGAATCAGAGTCATGCTGAAAATGATTAACCATCAGTCAAAGTGACTTTCATGTCTTATCCATGTAAGAAATGTGCTCTTAATTAGAATTTCCCTTCGGCTTTTTAACAAACATACAGAGTTTCAGGAATGAGAAGAGGAAATTGCAGCTGATGAGATTTTCAGGATCCCTAGCAGAGCAATTTCTTTGTGGATTTTGGAAAGCATTCTGTAGAAGGACAACATCGTTAGGCTCTTCATAGAGTTTCTTAGAAGCCTCAGTATTCTGAGCAACACGTGATTGCGCCCAGATCTGAGGATGGGGAACTCTGAAATGAAACACAGCTGTCCTGATATTTTTAAGAAAATTGTAAGGGAGACACTTTGTGCAATCAATTAGATTGTTCTTTTCTTTTTTCCTATTTCAGAAGACAGAAAAAAATTGTAAATGCAGAGTTGCTGTTGAGAATGTAAATTGACTAGAGTATCTGTTTATGCTGTTAAATTTATGCATAAACTTTAGATGGTACAAACAAGGCCTTATTGACCTTCGCAGCTAAGCGGTGATCCAAAACAGGCTCTTTGCATTCAATTTCGTGCTGCCAACCAGCAGCCTTAACATTTCAGTTTTGAAGGTTGAATTCTCTTACTGACTGAAAAAGAACTTTGACAAATACAGATTATGTTGCCATCTAAAAATTTTAGTCACCATTCCAAATGAGTGTGCTTCCAATATTTAATAATGGGATTGCTGAGGATGTGTTTGGATTTAATGGTAGTTAGCATTCATTCATGGGTCAGCCTGAGAAGAAAACAAATTGCGCATATAGTTACATTTCGGGTAAATGTTAACTCTGATTAGCATATAATTGAGATCATGCTGAAAAACAAGGACAATAGAAATTGATTTAAGAGGATAACTTTTTAATTATCAACTTAGGTTGGTCTGAGCAGAACCAAGAAATTGGAAATAGAAAAGTGGGAAAACGATTCTTAATCCTATATCAAGGACACCTACCTACTCAAGCAATTATTAATAATTGAAACATTCAATAACAGATGTTTGTTGAACATACTCTGTAATGCCAACAACAGAATAGTGAAGGCACAGTTTCTGACTTGAGAGCTTGGTTAAATGGATGTCACTCTTAATTATACTGTGAATGATGCCTACTGTTTTTGATACGTTTTCTTAATATCAAAAAGTGTTACATGAATCCCCTTTCCCCAATACTGATTTTTAATTTCCTATTATGAAAACAATAAATTATAGTATTGAATTGGATGCATACTTTGGGTCACTGTTTCTTTCCTTCCCATCCCTTCTGTAATTTTTGAAAATTAATAATATTATATAAAAATATGAAAGACAATTGTGAAAAATTAATAAACCACAGCTATTCTCTCACCCCAACTCTAACACAATACTTTCCTAATATTACTTTCCAGTTCTTGGTAACCTAAATACCTGTTTTCAAATGTCTGTAATCATAAAACACATTCCACTTTCTAGTCAGCTTTTCTATTTAATGTGACACATAAGTATTTTTGTACTTCTAAATAGTTATATAGCATTCTTGGTTGAATGCAACAGACATATATCCAATTTCAGTAGCAAAAAAACATTATTTAAGGACATTAGAGTAGCTTCTACTAGAATGTTCGGAAGGGCTATAGTTGGCTACAGAGTCCAGAACAGGGTCCAATCAGGTCACAGAGCATGAAGTGTAAGGACGTCTCACTGCTGCCACCAAGCAGCAGACATTGCAGCTTGCACTGGACTGGCATGGGTCAGTACATACCACCTATTATGGGTTGCATTCTGTCTCCATAAAAAGATATGAAGTCCTAACATCCAGTACCTCAGAACATGACCTCATTTGGAGATACTGTAGTTGCAGATGTAACTAGTTAGGTTAAGATAAGTTTACACTGCAGTCAGGTGGGTTCTTAATCCAATAGGACCAGTATTCTTATAAGAAGTCAGGAGAGAGACACAAAGGGAGAAGATGGCCAAGTGACAACAGGTGCAGGGAGTGGAGTGGTACAACTAGAAGCCAAGGAATTCCAAGGATTGCTGGTAAAGATCATAAGCTAGAAGAGGCAAGGAATGATTCTCCCCTACAAGGTTTCAGGGAGAACATGGCCCTACTACACCTTGATTTTGGATTTCCAGCCTCCAGAACATTGAGATAACAAATATCTGTTGTTGAAGCCAACAAATTTCTGTTGTTACAGGAGCTCTAGAAAATGAATACACCACCCATCACTGTATCACCTACTCACTGCTGCCTCCACTCCCATGGAGACAAACCTTCCGTGGCCCTACTTTCTAAATCACCAACTCCCCTTTAAAGCATGGCAAAAGTGAATCCTAGGGCACATGCCCATGTCCTTCCTACAAGGGAGGCTTGGGAAAAGGGGGTCTGGCGTTTTCTGTTTCTATAGCCTCTCAGAAAAACTGATAAAGAATGGAATTCTTGCAGCAGAGAAACATGCTCAGATGCTGGGCAACTTAAAGAGAATGACATATGTTCAACACAATAGGCTTTATAATTATGAGTATTAAAGTACGTATCTTAGTCTGTTTTGTGCTGCTACAACAGGAAGCCACAGACTGGGTAATTTACAATGAGCAGAAATTTATTTGGCTCACAGTTCTGGAGGCTAGAAGGTCCAAGATTGAGTGGATGCATATGGGCCTTCTTGCTGCATCATCCCATGGTGGAAGGCAGAAAGGCAAGAAAGGGGAAGAGAGCAGGAGGAGGCCAAACTCATCTTTTCATAAGGAACCTGCTCCCACAATAACAGCGTTAATCAATTCATGCAGACAGATACCTGGTGGCCGAATCCCTTCTCACTAGGCCCCACTTCCCAACATTCTTTCACTGGGGATTGAGTTTCCAATGCATGCTTTGTGGAAGACACGTTCAAACCATAGGGGGCATAATATTCCATTACGTTGATGTCTTTACTAAAAAGCTTTTAAAATTTCTATTGGCATTTAGAGTAATTTCCAGATTGCTATCATTTTACATCGTGACATTTGTGTGCCTGTAAGCTTCTGCTTCAATGAGCATGTCTCATGTCTCAGGTGGAATATTTAACCTTCATGTCTTCAACTGCATATTCACAGATTTTTTTTCAAAAGCGTTATCTCAGTTTAACAACTTCACAGATAGATAGTATGCCAGTGTCCCTGTTTCATCATATTCCCAATATTAAGTGATTTTTAAAAGTTTCTTTGTAACTCAATTGATAAAATAGGCATAAAATGGTGCCTTAAGGTTGATTTGATTTGCATTTATTTGATCTTTAGAAGGAATAAATATTTTTCTACATGTAGTTTATACTTTCCATTTCTTCTGGTCTGTTTTTATTGGGGTCTTGTGTTTTTTAAAGAATATATTTAAACAAGTACTTTTTAGGTATTAGTCTTTAGAGGCATTAATTTGCTGCCATTGTTTTTGCTAAGGATCAACAAATTATATGTAAAATATCTAAGAAAACAATCCTTGTGGGTTTTTTGAATATTTTTCCAAGTTACATTAATTCACAAAAAATATGAGGAAACACTGTACTTAAGACATAACTAATATGCAGTAAAATACTTAACGGTGCTTGACTCATGGTAAGTACACGAATGTGCTCAATGTCAGTAAAGGTTAATTTTTACTGTTATTCGTATTTTCTTTTCTAATTCTTCTTCTTCTTCTTCTTCTTCTTCTTTTTTTTTTTTTTTTGAGATGGGGTCTTGCTCTGTCACCCAGTCTGGAGTGTAATGGTGCAATCTTGGCTCACTGTAGCCTCTGCCTCCTGGGTTCAAGGGATTCTCCCAACTCAGCCTCCTGAGTAGCTGGGATTACAGGGACCATGCCCAGCTAATTTTTGCATTTTTAGTAGAGACAGGGTTTCACCATGTTGGTCAGGCTGGTCTCGAACTCCTGACCTCAGGTGATCCACCTGCCTTGGCCTCCCAAAATACTGCGATTACAGGTGTGAGCCATGGCACCCGGCTGTTACTGGCATTTTCTATTGTTGTTCTTAAGGAAAGTAAAATCAAAACTTTATTTACTCATTGTTTCTACAAATATTTCCTGAGGGCAAGAGACTGCACCAGGCACAATAGATGATTCAACAATAGGCAAGAGGATTGCCTGAGGCCAGAGATTTGAGACCAGTCTGGGCAACATACTAAGACCCCATCTCTATAAAAATTTAAAAATTAGCCAGATGTGGTAGTGTGCACCTGTAGTCTTGGCTGCTTGGGAGGCTGAGGCAGGAGGAACACTTGAGCCCAGGAGTTTGAGGCTGCAGCAAGCTATGATTGCACCACTGCACTCCAGCCTGGGCAACAGAGTGAGACCCTGTCTCCAAAAACAAACAAACAATTTAAAAAATGGGTCAAGTCGCTTTGAATTAGTGAAAGAAATGAGAAAATTTGCTGAGAACTGTGATACAGTGTGGTAAGTTTCCTAAAAGAGATACAAGGTGCTTAGGATTTGGGAGAAGAAGGAAGTCACTGCAGAGCATAATGAGTCCAGAAGACTCAGAGAAGGGTCAGGTTTCATCTCAGCCTTCAAGGATAGGTGTGATTCTGAAGAACAGAGATGGAGTGGAGGCATTTCAGGTGGAAGGGATGGCATGAAAAAGATACAGAATGAGAAATACTCATTATTAGTATTCTAGCTAAAAGACAGTGAATCCTTCTGCTGTGTCAGGCACCGTGCTAAGCCTGCACTGCACATGTGTTATCTAAATGCGAAGAGCAATCCTATGAGACAAGTACCAATTATTGCTTCCATTTTATTGATAAGAAAACTGTAGCTCAGAGAGGTTATACAATTTACCTAAGATTACACAGCTAGTAGTAGATTTTATAACTTGCATCCTTGTTTAAGATTTAACAAGATGTGAGAATATTGTCTAAATTGTCTAAATAAAACCAGCAGATCTAATTTGGTTGTAGTTTGGAACGTAAGTTGGAGATTGATGAAAGATAAACTCCAAGGTATATTGGTAAAAAAAAATAAACTATGGATGATGCTTTGATGTCAGGCAAACAAGTTGGAGCTTCATTTAGTAGGGACTAGCGTGTCACAGTATTCTGAGCAGCAGAGTGACAGGTTCAAAGCATTGCTTTAGAATGGTAATCTGGTTGCATTGTATAGGATTATGGGAAAGAGAGATAATAGAATCTCCTTAATTATCATTGCTAAGGTAACAAGTGCCTGAAATACAGTCAAGAGATTAAAATAGAGCAGTTGTGAGTTTGAAAGACATTGCCAAGTTAAGTGAACATAATTTAATGACCCATGGAATATAGGGAGAAGGAAATGAAAGGGAAAAATCAACGAGTTCATTTCAGATCTGGGTGACTAGAGGATTCTGATACCATTAAAAATACATGTTATAAGAGAAATAGATCTGAGGAGGAAGATTATAAGTTTGACTTTAGACATACCGGTTTTCGAGGTGGAAATCAAATAGCTCAAGAATTCAGAACTAGAACTTGAGAGAAGGATGAAGCCAAAGTTCCAGACTTGGGATTCTTCTGAGTAGAGATAATCATGGAAGTCATTGGACGTATGGTTTAGGTGAAGGAAAGGCTAGAGAGGATGAGATGGAGGCTGGAAGCTCAGGAACATCACACTGAAGGGGCAGGACAGATACACAGAGGTGGCAGTGTTCTCTATGTTAACCCAAAGCAAATATGCTGGATTGGACTTTGGGCACCCAGAAGTATCCCGGTTCTATCCTTGATAAATTTACTTACATCCTCAGTCTCCCAGAGTTAAAAACAAACAAACAAACAACAACAACAACAACAACAAAAAACAGTGGAGGCAAAGCAAGGCAGAGGAGAGCTTCACTATTAAAGAGCTTTGGTTCTAACCCCATGAAGAGTTCCAGGGGGCCAGAACTCAGTCGTGTGGAAGACCCCACCTGCCTAGATTGGCCAAGCCTTACTAGTCCACAACCAAAGCAGGGTGGAAGGCACTTTTCTGGGTCTTCTTCTAGGAGGTACATCCAGGCCTTCTGACCACTTTTGCCACACAGAAGGGAGAGAACCAGAGGGCCACACTAGTAGTGGAGACCCGCCTACTGGCATTGGGTCAATATAGTGTCCATGGCAGCCTCCCCTCCCCTTGTTAGTGAAATGGGAAAACCAGGACATAGAACAGCTATGACTGTCCACTGCTTTATATTTAACAGAGAGGCAGAACAGGGAAACCGGTGGTAACAAAGAGGATTTTTAAAAAAGAAAAGAGGAGCTTTGAGAAAGAGAGGTGGTTCTAAGTATTAAATTCTGTATAATGACAGAGGAAGGTGAAAATGGAAGACAGTGATTTCACTTAAGCTGTACGTGGTTACTGGTGGCCTCCCAAAGGGTGAATTTTTTTTTTTTTTTTTTTTTTTGAGACGGAGTCTCGCTCTTTCGCCCAGGCTGGAGTGCAGTGGCGCGATCTCGGCTCACTGCAAGCTCCGCCTCCCGGGTTCACGCCATTCTCCTGCCTCAGCCTCCTGCGTAGCTGGGACTACAGGCGCCCGCCACCATGCCCGGCTAATTTTTGTATTTTTTTTTAGTAGAGACGGGGTTTCACCGTGTTAGCCAGGATGGTCTCGATCTCCTGACCTCGTGATCCGCCCATCTCGGCCTCCCAAAGTGCTGGGATTACAGGCGTGAGCCACCGCGCCCGGCCCCCCAAAGGGTGAATTCAGTATAGTAGCAGATTTAATCCAAACTGACAGAATGGAAGAGTAAGTATGTGGGAAAGCAGAGAAAAGGATCAGTTAGTGGACTACACGTGGGATAATTTGAGCTGAAAGGAATCAGACAGATGGGCCAACAACTCAAGGGCATAGCCAGATAGAGAAGGTTGTGGTCCTTGCTATTTGTTGATGGAAACATAAGGAGACTGGCAGAGAGAAGGTAGTAAGGATAACTACGCAAAAGAGGAAATACATACTCAATGAAGTAAGATCCTGGAGGTGTTGAGAAAGGATGAAATTAGAAAATGACCTATTATTGAAATTTATCAAAAAAGGAAAAATGCTTGAAAAGTTTTAAGTATAACTATAGTCTGTAAACAGTAAAAAAGGATAGCTCTGCTCCTGTAGGAAAAAAAGACAAGGTATAGGCAAATTCAAGTGAAAGTAGGGAAGAGAAAAGGTGGAAGTGAGGCTTGACCAGATGAGAGGCATTGTGGCAGGACAAACCTCAACATGTTACAGATGGTTACCTGCTAGCAGCTGGTTTTTTCAAGTAGTATCTGAGAATTAGGGAGATATGAGATGCGGTAAAGAAACAAAATGTGATGGGAAAAAGTCACTGGAAAGGTTTATTGGGAAGAGGTCATGAAGATAATTTTTTTCCTGCAGCATCTTGAACTGGAGGAAATGAAATCTTCAGTGAGTATTTGGAAAGGCTCAGCCAGAGAAGCCAGAGACAAGATTACAGCTGTCAACACTGGAGATTCCTTAAAGCACTAGAAAAGATAAGATAGATCTCCGCAGAAACAATAACATGAGGAAGGATAAGGTAATTTGCCAAGATATGGAGGAAGAAGAAATAGATCTGGAAATTGTTCAGAAATTGTAAAGAAAAGATAGCTGATATGGACTGAATGTTTGTATCCACCCCAAATTCATACATTGAAATGCTAACTTCCAATGTGATGGTGTTAGGAGGTGGGGCATTTGGGAGGTGATGAGATCGTGAAGGTGGAGCCCTCATGAATGGGATTAGTATCCTTATAAGGAAAGACCCCAGAGACCTCTCTAGCTCTCTATCTACTATGGGAAAACGTAATGTGAAGTAGGCCATCTGCAACCTGCAAAACGGCCCTTACCAGAACCTGACATGCTGTCATCCTGGTCTTGGACTTTCAGCCCTCAGAACTGTAAAAAATACATTTCAGGCCGGGTGCAGTGGCTCACGCCTGTAATCCCAGCACTTTGGGAGGCTGAGGTGGGTGGATCATTGGAGGTCAGGAGTTCAAGACCAGCCTGGCCAACATGGTGAAACACCATCTCTACTAAAAATATAAAAATTAGCTGGCCACGGTGGCATGTGCCTGTAGTCCCAGCTATTTGCGAGGCTGAGGCAGGAGAATCACTTGAACCCGGGAGGTGGAGGTTGCAGTGAGCCGAGATTGTGCCACTGCACTCCAGCCTGGGTGACAGAGCAAGACTCTGTCTCAAAACAACAACAACAACAACAAGAACAAATATTTCAGTTGTTTGTAACCCATCCAGTCTATGGGGCTTCATTATAACAGCCCAAGACAATTGGCATAGTTCTTCTAATGACAGTCTCTCTAGTATCTTTCTCCTCCAAAATAAATTAAGCCAAGCTGTGTGGATTATAGAAATTGATTTATTTCAACTAGCATTTATTACAAAATGGTTAAGCATGAGTTCTGGAGTTAAACTGCCTGGGCTTGAATTTCAAGTCCACCACGTACTATGTATGTGACTTGCGCAAGTTACTTTATCTCTCTGAGCATCAGTTTCCTCATCTGTACAAAGGGGATAATAATAGAATCCTACTTTATAAATGGTTAAGATAAAATATGATAGTGTACCAAAAAAGATTCACAGACTGGAAACTAGTACACATTTGTTAAATATTCCTTATTACCATGACATGCTGGTGGTGACGGTGATGTAACATATATTGGGAATTCAGAGATGAATAAGATGGAATTAGCACCTGTCCTTGAGAAACTCAGAGGCTATTGGGAGAGATATTAATACCTTCAAGTGAATTAACAGTTATAAGATTAATTGATTCATTGAACAGGTAATTATTGAGACCCCTACAATGTTCCGGGTACTGGGGACGCAATGGTGAACAAAACATACCCAGATTTCCTGCCCTCATGGAGCTTGCATTCTAGTGAGGGAAGAGAGAAAATAAATTACAGAGTGCATAAGGTCAGTGTGTCAGGAGGTGATGCATGTTACAAGAGGGGAGGACAATAAGCCAATGGTAATGGAGATTAGGATGGGCAGAGGCAGCAGGGATGCAAGTTGTAAGCCTCACTGAGCAAGGTGCTTGGAGGCTGTGATGGACATTTATAATGAAGTCATCAATTGGGCTGCTATGGAAGTACATAAGTGGGTCATCCAACTTGGTCTGGCCATGAGAGAAGAAACAGGCTTGTTCAGGCCAGATGTGGTTGCTCACACCTGTAATCCCAGCACTATGGAAGGCCAAAGTGGGAGGATTGCTTGAGTCCAGGAGTTAGAGACCAACCTGGGCAAAAAAGTGGGACCCTGTCTCTAGAAAAATTAAAAAAAATTAGCTGGGCATGGTGGTGCATGCCTACCGTCCCAGCTACTCCTGATCACAGAATTTCTCACCCATGCCTGACTAATTTTTTATCACTTGATCACTTGAGGTGGGAGGATCACTTGAGCCCAGGAAGTCAAGGCTGCAGTGAGCCGTGATCATGCCACTGCACTCAGCCTGGGTGACAGAGCAAGACCCTGTCTCAAAAGCAAACAACAAACAAACAGAAAAACCGAGCTTGTTCAGGAAAGCCTCCTCCAGACTACAGGATGTTTGAGTTAAAAAGAACTAGCAGCAGTCCAAAATGTCAGTTGTGTCAAGGCTGCAGTGAGCCGTGATCATGCCACTGCACTCAGCCTGGGTGAAAGAGCAAGACCCTGTCTCAAAGGCAAACAACAAACAAACAGAAAAACCAGGCTTGTTCAGGAAAGCCTCCTCCAGACTACAGGATGTTTGAGTTAAAAAGAACTAGCAGCAGTCCAAAAGGTTTGCAGAGAACTGGCATGTGGAGAGAATGGTCAGGGTAGGGCTTAGCTTTGTGTTTTAAAGGAGGTAGTAAAATGTACCCTAGCATGCCCTTTTAAAACAAAACTTAGTTTTAAAATCGTATCACTCGACTAGTGCTTTCGAAAGAAATTAGGCTTTGTGTTCTCTCCCTTAAAAAAAAGGGACTGTGTTTTACAGTGTTTTTCATATTAAGTTTCTTAAAACTATGACTACTTTACCAAGTGTGAGATTTGCTGATATTATTATCAAGAAATTGGTTTTCTGATTGACTTGTCTCTTGATAGGCACTTGCTGTGCAAGAAGCATCAGAGCCCCACTTGGCTCAAGGTACTTTTGTTGGGGAATCAGATGGTTGTCTGTTGCACAGAAGTGCGGCTGTACGAAGGTACAGAAAGAAGAAAGGCCTTCCACCGAGGTACAGAGGAGCTCTTACAGGATCCACACCAGAACTAGACAGCCTTTCAATTCATTTCAAAATGGTCCCAGCTTTCCATTACAGAGAAGGTTATGTAAGACCACAGAAAGATGTAATATAAATGCAGACTATCTGAATAAATTCATTATAGCCCCCCAAACAATAAATCCATATACTGCTTAATTTAAAAGGTCAACCAACCAGGTCTGGAGACATTTTTGGTTGTCACAACTGGTTGGGGGAAAGGCTACTCCAGTGGGTAGAAGTCGGGGATGCTGCTGACTGCCTGCAATGCACAGGACAGCTCCCCTTCCTAAAGAAGTATCTGACTTGGCCGGGCGCGGTGGCTCACGCCTGTAATCCCAGCACTTTGGGAGGCCAAGGCAGGCAGATCACGAGGTCAGGAAATCCAGACCATCCTGGTTAACATGGTGAAACCCTGTCTCTACAAAAAATTAGCCGGGCGTGGTGGTGGGCACCTGTAGTCCCAGTTACTTGGGAGGCTGAGGCAGGAGAATGGCGTGAACCCGGGAGGAAGAGCTTGCAGTGAGCGGAGATCACGCCACTACACTCCAGCCTGGGCGACAGAGTGAGACTCCATCTCATAAAAAAAAAAAAAAAAAAAAAAGAAGTATCTGACTCAAAATGTCAGTTGTGTTGAGGGTGAGAAATAGTGATCATACATGGAATTTCAGCTGGGAAAGGGGACAAAGACATGAGGTAGGTGAGGGACAATAAAAAGTATTCTGATCACTACATAGTAGGGCCCAGTGAAGGGGAAGGAGTGTTGGAGTTGGGATAATGGGAATGAGATAGGAAGCAGATGTGAGGTTGAGAGTAGGGGTGCCTGGAATTGGGATTTTGGTGGGGTGGGGGTATCCCAGTTATTGATAATGACAAAGGAGGTTTATATGTTGCATACACACAGATGTGAACCTAAGTGTTTATTCCAACACGTAGTTTTGTGACCTTTGTTGACCTCTCTGAGTCTGTTTTCTTATCTGCAAAAGTTAGATTTTTTTTTTATTTGCCTGTTAGAAATATTGAATGAGATAGTGTGTGTAAGCTCTTAATATATTGCCACCTAGTACACATTAGGTGCTCAATAAATGTTAGATGTTATTATTGCTATTATGATGAAGATTAAACAGATGATTTTATATATATGTATATACAAAATTTTCACAAGGGGAAAAAGAGGGACAAGAAATGAAAGCAAAAGGGAAAAAGTGTAGCTGAAATATTTTCCTTGAATATTCAGCTTTCCTCTTAGCTCTACTGTTACATCTTTTGGTGGTTAATTATAATGCTAATTTCTATTTTTAGTGATGAAATTATATTTACATTTTCACATTTGGGGATGTCTGAAGGATTCTTTTAACTCTAGGAGAAGATGAGTTGGTGAAATTATTTCCTAGAAGGCTTTTCTGAAGCTGCTTTAGATAGAGGACTAAATGGAGTGTTCCTTTCACGATCTCATTTTTAGTCTGTTGCTTATGAAATAGAAAAGTTCTTATCCTTTCCCAAGTCTCCCCTATATTGAGCTAGTACTCTTCAAATAAACTATACATAGAATCTAAATTTCAGGGAAGCTTCTGTGTCATTTGAACTGTTGCACGTCAACATTGCCTATTCCTTCTGTTCGCAATGGCAAAATTATAGCTTCAAACACACACAGTAGTGTAAAATGTTCCCGTTCCCCCACAGATGCAGTGGGACATGACATTTTCTACTTTGTCCATTTACACATTTTTATTCTTATGTATGGTAGGATTTTAATTTTAACTTTCCTTGCTTGAAAGGATTGCTATTTCTTAGGTTGATAGGTAAAGCTTTGATTCTGGTGTTCTACACTATGTTCTGTTTGTTTGTTTGTTTGTTTGTTTGTTTGTTTTTGAGATGGAGTTTTGCCCTTGTTGCCCAGGTTGGAATGCCATGGCGTGATCTTGGCTCACTGCAGCCTCTGCTTCCCAGATTCAAGCGATTCTCCTGCCTCATCCTCCCTAGTAGCTGGGATTACAAGCTTGTGCCACCACGCCCAGCTAATTTTGTGTTTTTAGTAGAGACAGGGTTTCTCCATGTTGGTCAGGCTTGTCTGGAACTTCCGGCCTCAGGTGATCTGCCCACCTTGGCCTCCCAAAGTGCTGGGATTACAGGCATGAGCCACCATGCCTGGCTGGTGTTCTACACTATGTTCTAAAACACAGTGAAGCTCTTAAAATAAATGAAGTCAGTGTTTATGAAAAGGACCCAATAAAGAGAAGTTTAGAGAATTTAAAAATAGGTTTGTGCCAGGGTTAACTTTGTCCTGACAGTTCCCTACCTTATATATAGTTTGGGAAGAATTCTTTTTCTCCAAAATATATTTTCTTCTTTGGACCAACCTCCTACTTTCATTTGCATTGGTGAGTTAAAAGGATACCTTTTGATGTATGTCTTAGGATTTAATTTCTACACTGCTTTATAATTGTCAACTGTAGTCTTCTTCTTTTACTAGATGGAATTCCTTGAAAGAGGAGAAATTGTGTTTTATTCATACTGTCACTGCCACCCGCCCAACCCCCAACACGTGTGTGGCACAAAATAAACATTCAAAAATATATAATGAATAAAATTGAATTAATAAATAACTAATAAATAGTTATAGAGTTCTGTACCTGTTGCATTCTAGGTACTGCGCTAAGTTCTAGTGATTCTAAGACCTAACGTCTCGAGGTTTTCACAGTGTATTTAGTACAGGAGATCGTCAAATCCAGGAGAGCCTGGCCATTGTCAGCAGTCGGTGGAAGACGAGGTGCCAGAAGGGAAGAAAGGAGGAAAAACACATGTGATGTCCTTGAATAGCTTCAAAAAGACCAGTGTAGCTCTCAAGTGAAACCTATGTGAACTTGTAAAGCTGGCTTTGTGGATTAGTAAAATATCATTATTTCTAAATCTAATTTGAACTTAATGATAACTCCACCTATACTAAACTATCTACGCTAGAGTCTCCTAAGAAATTAACAGTGAAGCCATCATAGAGCTTCCCTTATACATCCTAAAGGAAGCAAATTATTCTATTTAATTATCAACTACTTGTATAAAAATGGATGGTGCTAGTGTCAGATCTTCCCTTAAAGCAGGGCTGATAGGGTTTTTGCTTGAAACTATTTTGTGTCAACATGTAGTTT
This sequence comes from Homo sapiens, assembly GCF_000001405.40. Lineage (NCBI taxonomy): Eukaryota > Metazoa > Chordata > Mammalia > Primates > Hominidae > Homo > Homo sapiens. Next base: position 104,427,548 of record NC_000007.14, read on the forward strand.
GAGTGGCTATGTGAATTTAAAAGATGCAAACCACATATCTCAAAAAACTTTCTACTATCGGTCTTTGTATTGCCACAGCCTGGCTTCTTCTCTGGCTGATTGGGTCCCCATTAGGACTTTTCTTTGCTGTGAGTTGAAGGCATGTACTCTCTCTCCATTTGGGGTTATGAGCAGACCAGTGGTTGATGTGGAATCAGAAGTTCTGAACTCTAGTTCAAATTGAAAACATCTGGTTCTTCAAATACTTAACATTTTTATACACAGGTCATGGACAAGTAGCTTAAATGTTTCAATTCAAGCAATCACAACTCAAAACACCTCGTGCATCAGTTTTTGCTGGTGATGAGCATCAGGAATGAGAAATATCACCGGCAGTCCCAAATGCTTCTTCAAAATATGAAAGCTGAGATTACATAGCATATGCCAGAGGAGAACTTCTCTAATTAAAATGGATGGAAAATGCCATCCCAGTAAATCAGATAATACCTCAGCATCACAGTGCATCAGGGGGGTAATGGTAACATTTCACCTTGCTCACTTAGTTTTTAAATGGTAATTCAGCCACTTAGAACATATTCAAATTATGCAGCCTTTGCCTAATAACATCCTAAGTGCAGCCATTTTTGTAGATGTCCGTCCACAATTATGTTAAAATCTACATATAACATCTGGTAATGTGGTCCATAATGCTAAGTTTTCTTCCACTTAGGAAGAGACAATTCATGTATGAAAACAGGGCCCTAAAATACTTATTAATTAAATTGTGTCATGCATATCCAAGAATGCATGCTATTGTCTAACTAAATTTTCTTGCAGTTAATGTCCTTTTTTCAGAGATGACAACAATGAAATCTTCTTGATGACTTAAGAGGTAACAAAGGAGCCGTTGTCTTTTCATAGTTGATAATTTATAAATCCTCCCTCCAATATATAACTATGTGTAGTTGGCACATTAATAGTAGCTGTCCTGGTTATATTTTCTGCTTGATGTTGAACCTAGAATTTTTACTTAATCAGATCCACACAGTGCTTCTTACAGTACAAAACGTCTACCTCAAGCCTAAGTCGTGGCTTATGGCTTGTCAGTTGTGACCTGTCTTTGTGAAACTATTAGAACTAATCACTTAGGATTTATAAAATAACTTGAAAACTCTAGAAACTATTTTACTTTTTAGTTATTTTCATATTTTTATTTTCCCTTATTTAGAAATGGATGACAAAATATGTTTCTACATCCAAAAACCTAGATTTAATATGATATCAGTATGATTTTCTCTGGAAGTCTAATAGATAATTATTTGAAATAACCCTATTGATAGGAAGATATCTTCGGAATCTACCCTTACGTACACATACTAGCCTCTAGGAGTTGAACACTGATGTCAGGGTTAGGTTCAAAATTTGATCAAAAACAAACAAGCAAACCAGCTAAATCCACCCTGAATTCTAAATGCTTATACAAAGGAAAAAAATCTAGCAATCCTCTGAGAATCTGAAAAACATAATAAAGTCAGTAACTACCAGTGGCATCTTGGTCATAGGTATTTTTCATTTTATTAAGAGATGTATATTTTTGCTGATGAAATTGGCAGTGTTCAAGCATTTAAAAAAATAAACTAAAGGAAAAAAAATTAACTTGGGCCCACAACTGCCCTATTTTAAAAACAGCATAAAAAATACCAGAGCGTAGCAATAATTTAACCTCCTGGGAAAGATCCAAGGATGCATATTTCGGAATCTACCTATGTCATTCCTTTTTTTTTTTTTTTTTTTTTTTGAGACAGAGTTTCTCTCTTGTTGCCGAGGCTGGAGTGCAATGGTGCAATCTTGGCTCACTGCAACCTCCTCCTTCTGGGTTCAAGCGATTCTCCTGTCTCAGCCTCCCAAGTAGCTGAGATTACGGGTGCCCACAACTATGCCAGGCTATTTTTTGTTTTGTTTTTTTTTTAGTAGAGATGGGGTTTTACCATGTTGGCCAGGCTGGTCTCAAACTGCTGACATCAGATGATCCGCCTGCCTCAGCCTCCCAAAATGCTGGGATTACAGGCATGAGCCACTGCACCTGGCTTATGTCATTCTTTAATTATTTCTTGCAAAAAGGTCAGAATCTTAGCATCACAACTTAGGCTATAGCAGTGCAACTCAGGCAAGCTACTCTGATTTTATTTTTCTTCATAAAGGTAGGATAATAATAAGTAACAGAGTTGTTTTGAAGTTTAAATGAAATTCTGTGTGTATATGAGTCTGAGAGGTGACCGGAGCAAATCAACAAAGAATAATGCAGGTAGACTTTGAAGTCCAAGCCAAGAAAAAAAAAGGAGAGTGATATGTGGACATGTGGACATGTGGTTTAGGAAAAGCAATGTGCCTGCCTGCTGATGTTTGGACTCTTCTTGAAAGACAAGTTTCTTGTTCTAGTGGAGATACAAAAGGACAAAATCAAGGAGAAATGGCTCAATGGCTCCTCAAACCGCTCTAGCTGCTCAACATCGTCTGAGTGTAATAGTGAGTTATTTAGAAAGCAGGAAAGAATAAAAAAGATAATAGAAACAACATAGGAAAAAACCAGTTAAAGACGTTCTTTTAAAAATCTCGTGCAGGGAAAACATCCTTAGTCTTTGTCCTGTCTACTTTCAAGTTGGAGTAATTGATCCTTTATCTAGGAGACATCTGTTCTCTATGAAAGATAATGAAGATACCAGAGTAGGAAAGTATGGACCAAGACAAGGACTTAAGGCAAGGCACCTCTTTCTTCTAAAGCCTGTTTGTAGCATCTGCAGGAACTCAGATTAGTGTTTCACTTGAAATTTGCATTTCTGTGGGTATATATATATACATATATATATATATATATATACATATATATATATACATATATATATATATATATATATATATATATATATATTTTTTTTTTTTTTTTTTTTTTTTTTTTTTTTGAGGCGGAGTCTTGCTCTGTCGCCCAGGCTGGAGTGCAGTGGTGCAATCTCAGCTCACTGCAAGCTCCGCCTGCCAGGTTCATGCCATTCTCCTGCCTCAGCCTCCTAAGTAGCTGGGACTACAGGCGCCCGCCACAATGCCTGGCTAATCTTTTGTATTTTTAGTAGAGACGGGATTTCACCGTGTTTGCCAGGATGGTCTCAATCTCCTGACCTCATGATCCGCCCACCTCGGCCTCCCAAAGTGCTGAGATTACAGGCATGAGCCACTGCGCCCGGCCCTTCTGTGGGCTGATTTTTAAGCAAAATGTTCTGTCTTTGAATTAGCTGCTAGGAAACCCAGCTCCCTCCTCCACCCCATCTTTGCAGGTGCATAATGTGTGTGTTTTGTATATCCGATGACTTTATTTTCCCACCTTCATTTCCCCTTTATCCTAATTTGCAAAACAGATTTGAGGTGGTTTTGAAATACATACAGACCAGATGATAAATAAATAAATAAAATAATAAATAAAATATCGTGACCAAATGATGATGAATAAAATAAATAAAAATGCTCAATTCCTTCTTATGTAAAAAGACTTTCCACAACTCCAATACTTCACCTACTTATTGTTTTTTCTCTCTCTTTTCCTTTACAATTTTTAAAACAGCTTTCTATATTTGCTGTTTCTTTATTTCTCACTCATTCTTAAATCCATTGCCATCTACTTTAGCCCCTACTGCTTTTGTAAATTGATCATCATAACAGTCAAGAAAAACATCCTTCATCAGATGCTTCTCAGGCTTTCTCTTGGCCCCTCTGCCATAATTATGCCATTCTTATTCTATTCATTTTTATAAAATTCTTAATATAGTACTGTCTATGTTTCCCCAATGAGACTCCTTCATCCTTTCAGTCCCTGCATGCCTACACCATGTTGATATCTTCTGACATTTAAAACTGAATTGTTTTGAGTCATATTCTTTTGTTTCTTTTCTTTGATCCTTGCTTTTTTAGAGGACAGTACACTTTTCTCACTTATTTGATCATTTTATTTCCTATATCTCTTGCAGTATTCTCCTGCATTTATTTTTCATCTTTTTAAAGTACTTTCTCTAAAAATGCTTCCAAAGTGGGCTCTTTTTTGTGGCAAACTTTTTGGGACATCATAAGCCTGAGAATATATTTATCTTACCATCACATGTATAAAATAATTTGTTGGATATAAATATGGAGCTTCAAAGTTGTTCCTTTCAGTATTTTAAAAGATTACTTTGTCTCTTTGCATCTAATATTTGTATTGAGAAATACTATTTCATTCAGATTTTTGTCTCTTTGGAGATCATAAACTCTTTCTGGAAGGCTTAGGGTTTTCCTCTGTCTTAGATTTCCCTATCATGTCAATCTCCTTGGTTTGTGGTCTGCCAGTCCTGGAGGTTTGACTGGGAGAGGAGGTAGAGGAATAAATGTCCAAGGGGCCAATGAACCTTGCTGGTATACTCCAGTTCCCTACCCCACTGGGCTTTGGGCTGCCTAATATTTAATATCATACCACAGGAACAAGGCTGTTGCTGCTGGTTTCTGTGATTTTCCAAGGCAATGCAGGTGGAGACTAGCGTGAAGTTTAAATGCTCTCCCTCAGCCTGCTCTCTCCCTCTGCTGTCTCTGGCTGCTCATAGCACCAGGCTCCACTTGGCCCTTCCAACTCATGACATCCTCTGGCCTCCCCAAGAGTTTCTCCATTTTTATGTCAGTAGTACTTTCTGCCTGTACATCCTGTAGCTTCTGTAGTTTCTTCAGGGTTGATTTTGGGGAAGGAAGTCAATAGCCAGGGTTGGCTCATTATCTTGTCAAGACCTAGAAGACTCCCTCTCATCAGTGTTTTACTCTGCTGACTTGTGCCTCCTTCCTAAAACACTCTTACCTTGACTTCCCCATAGCACATTTATAGGATGCTTCTTTTTCTTCTCCTTTGAAGATTCTTCCTCTTCGGGCCATTCCTGTTGGCGTCCAAGTCCTGCTCCTTTCTCACCCTCCACGTCCTCTGGAGATGATCTCATCTCCTTCAAAGGCCTCAATTGCCACCTACATGCTGAAGGTTTCTAGCCATCTATTTCCAGCTCCATACTCTGTTGCACTGTCTACTCATACAGCCAACTCACCATTGGCCATTACCAAGCAGATGCAAAATGCGTCACAACTAATCTCATCCCAATCTTGGCAGCTCCTCATAGGTTGCCTCTATCTGTCAGGATGCCACTTAATTTTCAAAGCCAGGATCTGAATGTCCTTCTTGATCTCTCCCCCATATCCCACCCCTAATTAATTTCTAAATTCTGTTGATTCTGCCTCCTCAGCATATCATAGATTCACACTCTTTTTTATCTTCCTGTGTTTTAGCCTTAATCTGGGCCATGACCACCCCTTGCCTGAGATGTGAATGACCCTACTAACTGTTCCAACATTGCCCTCTCCCTACCTCACTGTTTCATTCAGTACAGCTGGGGTAAAACCAATTCTGAAATTTTTTGGTCTCGGGTAAGCTTTGCACTGTTAAAATTTATTGAGGATGCCAAAGAGCTTTGTTTATATGGTTTATATATAGACATGTATTTTTACCTTGTTAGAAATTAAAACTGAGACTTTTTAAAAGCTTGCCTTTTAAAATGTTATTCTTTTATTTTATTATATTTGGATGAGGATAAAATGTTATCCTTGAATAACACAAGCACATATTCTAAGAGCCATCAGAACAGACCAATGATGTTGTCACTCATTATGTAGCCTTTGGAAAAGTTTACATGCTTAAAAGAATAAGTGTGAAAAAGGTAAACAGTGTCTTACTATTGCTATGAAGATAGTTTTGACTTCACAAATGCCCTGAAGATCTTGGAAACCCACTCCCCCCAGGGCTCTCTGGAGTCCACTTTGAGAATTACTGCTCTATTACAACCATCTGATCCCCTTACTTCCCAGCTAAAATCACTGTAATGCCTTGCAGTGGTCTCTCAGGATGAAGTCCAAAAACTCCAGCAAGGTATACAAGGCCCTTCATGACCTTGTCTCTGCCCATCTCTCCAGACTCATTTCCTGTAATGTCTTCTTTGAACTCTGCTTCTCTGCACTGAAAGCCTTGCAAGCCTCCGTGTTTGCCTTTTCCTTTCTTCTCTAGGCCATTGCACTTGCTTTTCTCTTGGCCTAGAATGCCTTTTGCCCCTACGGTTCCTTTTGGACTCAGCTTTGTCTTGAGCTTTGCCTAAAACCTTCCTTTAAGACCAGTCTCTTTCTCTGATTTCCTTGAACTTAGCCCTGTTTTATCATATATTATCTTTTTTACAACTGTTACTGACTTCTGTCTTCCCTTCTACACTGTAAGATCCTTGGGTCTTGATCATCATGGAGTTCCTAGCACAGTGCCCGGCACACAGGAGATGCTCAATAACATTGTTAAATCAATGGATAAAAATACATGCATATACTAATGTAAAGCATGGACTTTATATTATCTTACATTATATTAACTTATATGTAAGCCTATTACATTTTTCTTTTAAATGCTAAGTAAATTGGGGTTATTGTTTTCCATACCATGTATTAATCCATACCTTTTATTATAAAATTTCAATTTAAAAGCATTAGTATTTTACTAGCAGTGGATGCTAGTGGATATATGCTGTGGACTGACTTATTCAATGGTTACAGAGGACTAACTCCCCTTGATTGGATCCACCTTTACCCACCAACCAGGAAACTGGTATGATAGAGCTAGGGCATAAAAAAGGGAAGCGGTTGTATGTGTGACTACTTTATTGGCTATTTAGAACTATGGAATATTTGCCTGTGGGCTATCTTTCCATGCCAGCAATAGATTAATTTATGGTCAGAGGAGCAGAGGAGACACTGTATGGAAATTGTATGCAAAAGTTTTTGCATATGTGAATTTTTCTGGGGATGACATGCATCGCTTACACCTTTGAAGGGGGTCTAGGATACAGAAAACTATAAGAATCACTTCATGATTAATGGACTGGTTTCAATGTGTGATAGGCTATTTTATTTTCAACCAAAAAAAGTGAACTTAGATGCAAGATCAATCAGTATCCCAGGTCCACTTCACCATGGCATATTTATACCTACTTTGACTGTGATAATTTTTTATTGAACTTGTAGAGTCCTCTACTGCATGTAATGTAAGCTTCTGAGGATGAGAACCTTTCTAAATCAGACAGCTAGTGTGCAAATAGATTTGAAAAGTGATTATAGGCAAATTCAGACATGAATTTTCAAGGTAACTCCACTAAATCACATGCAAGATAGCCGTGTGCTCAGAAAGCTATTATGAAAGATCACATTTCAATTGCTGATCAATTCTACAGACCATTTTTAAAAACCTATTGATATTAATGGCAATATTTTTCATGTAGATATTAACAATATAATTATTTTTATTAGGCATTTGCTTACTTATTAATTTATAAATACATTTTCCATTATTTTTAAGTATATTAAGGGTTTATTAAGTGTTTTGTTTGCATCTGGAATGCATCTTTTTTGTTAAAGTTGTGACCCGCCCCCCTTATTGGGTGTCACAATGACATTAAATTTAAGGAAAAGAAAACATTTTAAAATTAAAATGAATGGAAAATAGGATTAAATGTTTTCCATAATGTTCTCTTTATTATTTATTTATTGAGACAGGTTCTTGCTCTGTAACCCAGGCTGCAGTGCAGTGGTGCAATTATAGCTTACTGCAGCCCCAAACTCCCGGGCCCAAGGGATCCTCCTGCCTCAACCTCCCAAGTAGCTGGGACTGCAGGCATGTGCCACTATGCCTGGCTAATTATTATTATTATTGTTATTTGTTAGACACTGGGTCTTGCCAGGCTGCTCTCGACCTCCTGGCCTCAAGTGATCTCCTTGCCTGGGCCTCCCTAGAATTACAAACATGAGTCATCACACCAAGCCTTTATTTATTTAAAAAAGACTTATTTTTTTATTTTATAAATTTTTTTATAAAATGACTTTTTATAAAAATATTTTTTATAAAAAAAGTCATTTTTATAAAATGACTTTTATATTTTTCTTTCTAGATTTTTTTTTTTTTTACTTTTATCACCCTTCCTCACTCAAGAAACACACTGTTACACTTTGAAGCAAGATATTTTCTGAGTTTATTAAAGCATAAAAGTGTCTTCAATTGATGGCCCCTTGCTTGGGTTGTTGAATATCTCTTCTCTTTTTTAAGTTCACCTCAAGAAAATTTATTCCCTATTTAATTCCTGTCTAAGTGTACATTTCCCTCTGCATTTGTTTCATGTTTGGGATAACTATAAAATGGCTATTTATAGACTGGCCCTTTGACCTGTGCTTTAATCTAGTAAGGCCAACTTGGTTCCTTTTGATTTTCAAGCTGCAGAAATAAGGCCATTTTCAGGATTCTAGAAGGGAAATGGCAAAGGTATAAATGTATTTGATCTGAGTCTATGTTTTGGATTTGCATTTAAGTGTGAGAATGAGAATGTCTAGTGTTTTGAGAATTATAGTAGTAGTAATAATAAAAATATTAGAAATAATAGCTATTCATTATAGTCTAGACCTGCACTGATCCATATGGGAGCCCCTAGCCCCAAGAAGCTACTGAGCATTTGAAATATGAATGTGTCACATGTTGAAAGGATAATATTTTGGAGATACATGGTTAAATATAATATATTGTTATATTACTTTCACCTTAAAATATTTTTTAATGAGGCTGCTAGAATATTTTAAAGTTTTGTAAGTGGTTTGCATTATATTTTTATTGGACAATTGGTCTAGGCATTTTGCATGCACTATTAACTCATTTAATCCTCACAACAACCCTATGAGGCATGTATCTTTAATATTCTTGCTTTTCGTGGAAAGAAACTGATCATCACAGAGAGTGAATAACTATCCCAGAGTTAATCATGGCAGAACCAGGACTCAAACCCAGTTCATGCTCTTAACCTGTAGTTTCTAGTCTTTTTGATAGCATATCCCATCAGTTCTTTTTGCTACCAGTGACAGCAGTATGATTGAATATGCTTCTTTATTTTTTAAAATCTTGGTTCTTACTTTGTGATATAGCAATCTGAAGATCATATTGATTTTTAAAATGCATGCATTTAATGAATCTGATGGCTGAAATATATAACTCACAAGGATATGGACATCTATATGAGGAAGGGCAGCATTATCGTTAGCTGCATTTACTAAATCATGATGCTCAGACTTTTTGCCCATGCATTATTTACTCAAAGGATTTCACTGAAACTTAGCTAGTAGATTTCTGTTTCTCTTGATATCATTAAATTGTACTTGCAAACTATTTAGATAACATTACATTTTAATATTTGTATTAAGTGATTCCTACTAAAATTCTTTGTTTAAAAGATTTTTAAACAGCTTTTAAAAAGTTTGAGACTTTTTAGAGGTGACACATACTTTTCATCAAGAGAAAAATGGAAATATCTCCATATGTTTATCTTTAAAATGCTTTCTGCCTTCATTGCTAAAAATGACATTCTAACCTTGAAGGGATAGATTAAGTGCGATTATATTTTTTCAGAAGTAGCTACTATGTGCATATTACTGTCAACCACTTATCACAGAGAAGTTAAGCTAATTTATAACACTTGTCCTTTGTCAAAAAGTTGCAACATCTGTAAGTTAAAAAACTTTCTCAACTTCTGTACTTTGTCACAAGGTACTAGAGGTAAAACAATTTTTATAGTTAGCAACAATCTTATTTGAAACTATTGTGGAGATTCTACCAGGTTCTACTTAAAAAATATTAACTTCATTGATGACTGAACATAGAGAACACAACAAATAAGTGGCTTCCTCCTGTTATACTCTCAACACAACACAGAACACTTCTGATACAAGATGTGTGAGTTTTCCCCCACATCTCGATTCTCTGATGAACAACAACGGGGTGTCCTACAATTCAATTCAATTCTGACACTAAGCAGAGTTAGCCCAGACCCCTTCCCCACAGGTTAAGGTTTCCGTCCCACAAGACTACCCCACACTTCAGATGCTAATCATAAGCAGTAGGTTCCCAGGTTATTGACAATTTCTGTCTGACTTAGCTACGAATCAAAAGTTCCTACAAACCCCTTCTCCAGTTTGATCATTTGCTAGAGTGGCTCACAGAGCTCAGGAAACTGTTTTTGCTTTACCATCACCCATTTATTGTAAAAGCATACAACTCAGAAACGTATAGGGCTGGTTATGGGGGTAGGGACACAGAGCTTCCATACTGTCTCTGGGGGCCTGCCCTCAGCACCTCCCAGAACCTCCATGTGTTCAGCAACTCATAAGCTCTTCAAACTCCACCATTCAGGGATTTTTTTAAATGGAGCCTTCATCACGTAAACATGATCAATTATTAACTCAATACTTAACCTTTCTCCCCTTCTCAGAGCATGAGGGATGGAGCTAAAAGTTCTAAACCTTTAATCATGGTTTGGTCCTTCTGGTGACCAGCCACCATACAGGAGTCCATTAAGAGTCATCTCGTTAGAGCTAAAGACCTTCCTGTCACCCAAGAAATTCCAAGGAATTGGAAGCTGTATGTTAGAACCTAGGGATACTGACCAAATATTAGAACAAAAGATGCAGGCAGCATCTCTATCACTCAGACAAATCCTAAGAGTTTTAGGAGCTCTGTGCCAGGAACTAGGGAGAGATATAATATTTATCATGATATGACACAGACATTCTGTTACACCATGCACTTTTAGCTTCTTTTCTTTGCTGCATCAGCTTGGCTGTGCAACGAATGAATTTCACATGTGGTGTTTTCTCTGTAATCTTACCTTGGAAATACTTTTTTCAAGATTCTAATTTTAAAAGTTACTCTGCCATTGGTTACACTTGCACAGGTTTCAGTAAAACACTATTCTCATAAAATAATTCATGCACTGTGTGCATATAGATTCTCTGGCATATCATTCCTTTAGAGACTTACAAAAATAATTCTTTATGAATTTTGTTATTGAGGTTTAATTTGTGCATGAGTGAAATTTTAAAATATTTTAAACTGATAATGAAAATACAACATATCAAATATTGGGGATGCAGTTAATTCAGTGCTTAAGAGAAATTTATAGCTTACATTGTATTATAACTTATGCTTACATTAGAAAGGAAGAAAGGCTTAAAAATAAATGATTTAAGTTTCCTTGTCAAGAAGGTAAAAAAAAAGATAAGCAAACAAATCCAAAAGTAAGTAGAATGAAGGAAATAACATATTAGGAACAGAGATCAATGAAATGAAATACAAACAGCAGAGAAATTTAACAAACCAAAAGTTGATTTTTTAAAAAAACAACAAAATTGTTAAATCTCTATCAAAACTGTGCAAGAAAAACAGACAATATATACTACCAACATCACAAAGAAAAGGAAATACTACTACAGATTCTAGAGATTAAAAAGAATAATAAATAAATAGTATGAACAAGTCTATGTCAATAAATTCAACAACTTAGATGAAATTGACAATTTTTTGAAAAACACAAATTATCAAAACTTAAACAAGATGAAGTAGAAAACATAAATAGCCTTATATCCATCAACAGTATTAAATTTATTAACAACAATTCCCTTACAGAACAAACTTGAGTTCTAGGCAGTTTCACTGGTGAATTAAGGAAGGAATTGTCAAAAAATTAAGGAAGGAATTGATCCTCCCACCTCGGCCTCCAAAACTGCTGGGATTACAGTTATGAGCCACTGTGCCCAGCCCTACAAACTCTTTTAGAAAACAGAGGATGAAGAGAAATTTCCTGACAAATTTTATGATGCTAAAATAACCCTGATAGCAAAACCAGGCAAGGATATTACAAAAAAGAAAACTATGGGTGAATATTCCTCATAAACATAGAAAAAAATCCTTTTAAAATTAGCAAATTAAATCCAACTATATATATAGTATATATACACATCATAACCTGGTGGGGTTTATCTCCAAAATGAAAAGTTAATGATTTAACATTTAAAAATCATACAATGTAACTTATTATATAAATGGACTAAAATACCATATGATTATCTCATTACATGCCATAAGATTATCAAATACCATATGATTATCTCTTTCTGTATTGATGCAGAAAGAGCATATGACCAAAGTCAATGTTCATTCATAATTTTAAAAAAATGTATCAGTAAACTAGGAAAAAAGTGAACTTACTCAATTTGGTAAACAGCATCTTCAAAAAACTTACAGCAAAAATAATATTTAATGGTAAAAAACTGAACGCTTTTCTCCTCAGATTAGGAACAAAACAAGGATGTCTACTTTTACCATTTTTATTCAGCCCAGTAGAGAGATCCTAGTCAATGAATAAGACAAGAAAAAAAGGTAAAACATAAAAATTGGCAAGAAAGATGTAAAACTGCCTTTATTCACAATGTGATCATTTGCTTAGAAAATTCTAGGAAAGGAGCTACAACCACCACCACCACCACAATAAAATATATTAGTACTGACAAGTGAGTTTTAGAATACAAGATTACTATATAATACAAAGCCTGGGGGGGGGGAGGGATAGCATTAGGAGATATACCCAATGCTAAATGATGAGTTAATGGGTGCAGCACACCAGCATGGCGCATGTATACATATGTAACTAACTTGCACATCGTGCACATGTACCCTAAAACTTAAAGTATAATAATAATAAAAAAATACAAAGCCATACACATGTACACCATGAAATACTCTGCAGCCATAAAAAAGGATGAGTTCATGTCCTTTGTAGGGACATGGATGAAGCTGGAAACCATCATTCTCAGCAAACTATCGCCAAGAACAAAAAACCAAACACTGCATGTTCTCACTCATAGGTGGGAATCGAACAATGAGAATACTTGGACACAGGAAGGGAAACATCACACACCGGGGCCTGTCGTGGGGTGGGGGGAGTGGGGAGGGATAGCATTAGGAGATATACCTAATGTAAATGACGAGTTAATGGGTGCAGCACACCAGCATGGCACATGTATACATATGTAACAAACCTGCACATTGTGCACATGTACCCTAGAACTTAAAGTATAATAAAACATATATATATATAAAAATACAAAGCTATAAACTCATCATACATAGAGTATGGTCTTAAATGAGCCATAGTATTAGGTTAGCCATATGAAATTGCTACTCAAACAGCAATTTATATAGTTTTACCTAAGGGGAAGTAAAGTTTGATGACATAGATTACGTAAATCAACCATTATTTCTAAGGAATGTTGGTTATCTACATGTAGAATATTTGCATGTACTAATATCTAATTTGTGACCTAAGTGAGACAAGCGGTTCATTTATATTCCTTTTTTCTTTTGGCTTTAAAAAGAAGTTTTTATTAAGGTATAATTGATATACAAAAGACCGTGCATATTTAATGCATATAAATTGATGAATTTAGACATATGCATACACTTATGAAACCATCACCACAATCAAGGTAATAAATTTATTCATCACTTCCAAAAGTTTCCTCATGCCTCTTTCTTTCTGTGTGTGTGAGTGTGTGGTAAGAACTCTTAACATGAGATCTACCCTCTTAATAAATTTTTAAAGTTCATTATACCATAGTGTTAAATATAGGCACTGTATTGTACAGCACATCTCTACAACTTACTCATCTTTCAGAACTAAAATTTTAAGCCCGTTGAACAACTCCTCTCATTTTTCTGTCCCCACAACCCCTGGCAACCACCATTCTACTCTCTGCTTCTATGAGTGTGACTATTTTACATGCCTCATATAAGTGAAATTGTGCAGTATTTTACTGGAGGATATTATGCTAAATGGAACAAGCCAAGGACAATTTCTGTTACTGGCTTGTTTCATTTAGCATAATATCCTTCAGGTTCACTCATGTTGTTGCATACGGCAGAATTTTCTTCCTCTTTAAGGCTGAATAATATTCAATTGTATGTAAATATTACATTTTCTTTATCCATTATCCATTAATGGATATTTATGTTGTTTCCATATCTTAGCTATTGTGAATAATGCTGCAATGAACATGGTAGAGACAATATCTCACTTTGAGATCCTGATTTTTTTATTTATTTATTTTTTTTGAGACAATGTCTTGCCCTGTCGCCCAAGCTGGGGCGCATGGCACGATCTTAGCTCACTGCAGCCTCCACCTCCTGGGTTCAAGTGATTCTCCGGCCTCAGCCTTCCAAGTAGCTGGGACTACAGGTGTGCGCCACCATGCTCGGCTAATTTTTGTATTTTTAGTAGAGTTGGGGTTTTACTATGTTGGCCAGGCTGGTCTCGAACTCCTGACCTCATGATCCGCCCACCTCGGCCTCCCTAAGTGCTGGGGTTATAGGTGTGAGCCACTGCGCCTGGCTGAGAACCCAATTTTAATTCTTCTGGATATCTGCCCAGAAGTGGAATTGCTGGAACATACGTCAGTTATATTCTTAATTTTTTGAAGAAGTCTCGGTACTGTTTTCCATAGTGGCTGCAACGTTTTACATTTCTACCAACAGTGTGCAAGGGTTTCAATTTCTCTACATCCTCACCAACACTTATCTTTTTTTTTTCTTTTTTTTCAGAATAGCCATTCTAACAGGTGTGAGGTGATATATCATTGTGGTTTTGATTTGCATTTCTCTGATGATTAGGGATGCTGAGCATTTTTTCACATATATATTGGCCATTCATATCTCTTCTTTGGAGAAAAGTCTATTCAATTCTTTGCTCATTTTAAAATCTGGTCTTTTTTTTTTTGCTGCTGAATTGTAGTGGTTCCTTATATATTTTGGATATTAACTCTTTGTTTCAATTAAAATAATTCTAATCTTACTGGAATCTTGTTCATTTCAGCCTATATATCTAGATATTGACACGACGCTTTGAGATGAGGTCTCTTGAATTTTAAAAGATAAAAGGAATGACATATTATCTGTTTAATTGAGCTAAATGGGAAATTTATGGAGGCTGAGGGGAAAAAAGTATCCAAAATCTAGAAGAAAATATGTTTAACTCAGTACATTGCTAAAGCTTTGTCAACTATTATCTTTTCATGTAGCAAGTTATATTTAGGAACCTAGATTTGTGGCCTACTGGGTAGAATCTGGGTTTTTAGGTTGATGATTCTCTGAATATTTCTTCAGCCAGATGGTTCTGCAGGCTGGGTGCCATCTGACCAGGCAATGTTTAGTTAGATTATTTAATTCTGTGTTTATTAAAGCTTGCTCTTTCTGGCAACATATTGTGCCTTTTTAAAGTGTCTCCTTGGCAAACTGCTGAGTTTTGGGTGGCGACTTTTCAAAGTATATCACTAGAACTGCCAGAAATCACCACTTAATCTCTCCTATACTCTAGAATGCCAAAGAATAGGCCTTCCTTAGTTTCGCACCTCACTGTATCCTAACATAGCTGCTTTTGATTTTTAAGCCCGATCCTTAATTTTCACAATATTTGGAGGTATCCTTTGGTATGATAATCATTAGTGATCTAGTGATTAGTGACCAAACACTGGATCCTCTCATTGACTTGCATTATCTTGGAAGAGTACCAATAGTTTATACCTGACAACTGGTAATCATGTCAGGACCCCATTTTCAAAAAGTGTGGTTGGGACAGCTTAAGGAGACAAAGATCAATGTGGCTGGTAGAAACTTGAGATTGTATGGTCTTGTACAGCTACTGAAGGGATTGGAAGACAGGCAAGATGCAGCCCTAAGCCTGTCTCCAAAGTTAACAGCACAGTGTTATGCAATATCAGCATCCCTCAGCTCCAACCAGAATACTGCGATAACACCCACACTGGATGGCACATTTGGAAAGAATGAATTGTCAGAAGAGACAAGAGGAATCCATGACCATTATCTCCAGTGCATGGATGTTTGGCCTTTAGGGTCTGTATTCTCCTGTGAGCTCTGATTATTGTGTAACTTATCAAGCGCCACTAGACATCTTGGTATGACCCCCTCCCCACCATGTCTACCACTCAGATTAGGCAAATGCTTCAGGAATGTCTAGAATTAAAAAGATCTCCATGCCAACCAGGAGAATAGTCAGAAGCATTTAAGACAAAAATAATGGAAGCTAGCTCCAGGGCTTCTGTGTAACCAACAAGGACATGTAGCTGTAAAAAATTCCATAATCCCAGAGCAGCTCTGACTCTTGACCCCTGGTAAGTGGTCGAAATGAGGAGCCTGGAACAGTGCTTCCATTTCATATCAGGTTGCCCTGACAAAATTCTTGTAGATTGCAGATGCTGATGCATCCTCACTTCCTGCATGTTGCTTGTGAAAATGAGCACAGAGATATTCTTCAGTGGTCAGAAAAAGCAGAATGGTTGTATTATTTTTGAGAACTGAGAGTGAAGAGGAGCATGCAGAGGAGAGCACAACAGAAATTATAGTGATAAAAAGATGATTTATCAAAGTCTAGCACCTTACTGGACTTATTGAACTGAGATATAAACTAATGCAGTATTCATTTCCCAAAAGTCATTGATCATCGCTGTGTAATATGGATTTGCAAATTGGCACAGCCTTTGGGCATTTTTATAGAGGATGGGAAGACTATCATTCCACATGCAGTTAAATACTTTCCCTAAAATTGGAATCTTTTAGTGAGCTTTCCTTCTCAGATGTGGTTTAGTATAACAGTGGAAGGGTAGATACCAGCCAGGGGCCATTTGTAACCAGCAGAGCAGCTGTAACATGCCTACAGAGTGACTTCACTATTCATTAAAGAAAATCCATGCATGTTGGCTCTGGCCAGGTGCACATCTCTGTAGAAAGCAAACAACAGCATTGGGGGTTTTTTTGGCGCTGTCAGAGAAATAATATGTGTCAGTTAAGCAAGTAGTAGGTTGTGATTGCACTGAAATCCCTTGAACTGAGTGTCAGCTTATCTGACACCTGCCTTGAACATGTTTTAGAAGACACCCCCCTGTATTTTTAGATAATTCTCCATATGGATTATGTTTAAAGGAATTTAAAAACTCTCCATTGAAAGAGCTCTGCATCTCTATTGTGTTGTTACAGAACACATTCCTTCAACCTAGCATTGTTCTTTTCCGGTAATTCTTAATTATGATTTCCAAATTACAGTCACTATATTTATCAAATCATAAATATGGACTGGCAGAATCTAACTATAAGACACCCATGGTTTAGAAGCTGATTTGGGATTACTTGTTAATTTTTTAAAGGAATATTTATAGGCTGGGCATGGTGGCTTAGACCTATAATCCCAGCACTTTGGGAGGCCGAGGCAGGCAGATCACCTGAGGTCGGGAGTTCGAGACCAGCCTGACCAACATGGAGAAACCCTGCCTCTACAAAAAATACAAAATTAGCCAGGTATGATGGCGCATGTCTGTAATCCCAGCTACACGGGAGGCTAAGGCAGGAGAATCGCTTGAACCTGGGAGGTGGAGGTTGCGGTGAGTTGAAATCGCGCCATTGCATTCCAGCCTGGGCAACAAGAGTGAAACTCCGTCTCCAAAAAAAAAAAAGAATATTTATCACAGATGTGGGACACTCTCTGATTAATTTGAATATACTCTAAAGTCCATCTGAAGTTTTGGGTTGCCTAGGCAGTTTTTTGTTAGTTTGCTGGTGGTGGTGGTTTTTCTTTTTAATGCTATATTGGTCATCTGGCTAAGATGTGTATATGTGGTGGTCTTGTGTATGCAATTGTCCTTAGAAATACTTAAGTGCCTTATGTTATGAAAACAGATTGGTCTTTTATGAAACTGAAAAATTAAATTCAGAAGCTTCAGTATATAGTGATATGGTACAGACATAAGAGTCAAGGACATCAGTTCTGGAATCAGAGTTCCTGGATCCATCTGCAGCTTCCCTTCTTACTACTTGTATCCTTGGGCAAGTTACCAAATCTTTCTAATCTTTGGTTTCCTCATTGTTACATGGGGATATTAAGAGTGTCTATTTTATAGGGTTGTTGTGAAAATTAAATGCAGTAATCAATCCAGTTAACACAGGGCCTGGCACACAATAAATGTTCAATAAACTTTTATCATCTATTAATGTTCTCACAGACTTGAGAAATGGTGCCTGTCCCTAGAATTATCCTTTCTTGTCTGGTTACTGCATTTACTTTAAGGAAGTATAATATAAGGAAGTAAGATACAAAAAGGCCAGACTTCAGTCTGGTTACCTCCTTTTTTATACAGAAACTTTTTCATTTATAACAATCAAACTTGTATCCAGGCAAAGTTGAAGATACGCAACTAAGGAAGTTAATTTTGTGATTTTATGTGTCTTTTTAAAGGGAGTATTGCACAGTGTAAAACTCCATCAACTTTTCACATCCCACCTATCTCAACATCTCTCCTGCATGCTAATAGCAGAGAAGCAAGGCTAGAACCAAGGCCATTTTCCTGTCCTTTGATTTAATCTGAACCTCCTGACCCTGATCCATAAAGCAGGATATTTCATCTTCTACTGGGGTTGCTAATGAAAGTCAAGTGTTACAAGACGTTGTTCTTATCGACAGGAAGGTTTATTAGTTGATGCCTTCTCAGTGGGACACAGGATAATTGTATAAAGCAGGGTATTTATTTGATAAAATGCCTTCTAGGTCAGTTTCTATGAATTTTTTCCTCAAGAGGCCTGGGAATTATCCCAAAAATGAAAAAGAAAAATTCACTGGGCATGAGCAGTAATTCTCAGTAGAAATTGACTTAAAGACAATCAATTCTGTTTGTATTTTCTGCCCTTTGATCATTTGGAATGGTCTCTTATAGGAGGAAGGGGGCAGATTGAAAAACAAATATAAAAACACAGTCACTGAAGATGTGGCCACTGGAAGACCTTGCAGAGCTGTGTTGTTACAGAACACACTCCTTCAACCTAGCATTGTTCTTTTCCAGTAGCTCTTAACCATGATTTCCAAGTTGTAGTCACCATGTTTATCAAATTGTAAATATGGACTGGCAGAATCTAAGACACCAGTGTATATGTTTTTTCTGTATCAATAAACTCTCTGAGCAGGAAGATTCTTCATCAAAACTATTTTATGTTTCATAGATTTTCTAGTTTTTTGTTTTTATTTTATTTTTTTATTTTTTATTTGTTTGTGTATGAGATGGAGTCTCACTCTGTTGCCCAGGCTGGAGTGCAGTGGCATGACCTTGGCTCACTGCAACCTCTACCTCCGGGGTTCAAGTGATTCTCTTGCCTCAGCCTCCTGAGTAGCTGAGACTACAGACGTGTGCCACCATGCCCAGCTAATTTTTTTATATTTTTAGTAGAGACAGGGTTTCACTGTGTTAGCCAGGATGGTCTTGATCCTCCCAAAGTGCTGTGATTACAGGCTTGAGCCACAACACCCGGCCGATTCTATAGTTTTATTTGGCACTTATCCCATCTAGATCTTAGCACCTTTAGTCTGAAAAACATTTTGTTTTTTAGATTTTATCACCTGGAATTTTGTCTTAATTATCAGTTACCAAACAATATGCTTGCTCTGATTTACTCATACTAATAAATAAATACATTCTTAACTTGCAGAGAATTTTCGGAAACACAGACGTGAAACAGTGTCACATTAGGGACAGTATTGGAATCTGTAGTTATTTTGCATTTGAGTATTAGCTGCAGCTCTGTAATACCTTTTGCCCATTTATACAATTCTTTTTCTAGCTTATTATATAATTGGATATAAAATTGCTTTCAGCTTGAGTCTCAGACTGCATGCAGAGTGTGGGGACTTTGCTATGTTGTTGGGGTAGACACTAGGAAGAAACTAGGCTTTTTCTCTGAAACTTCCAATGATAACTTACTTTAGTCTGCAGTAAAATTTTTAAGTATCTCTCCCAGCGGCCTTTGGGATTCATTTTCTAAATATTGAATTTAAAAAAAATAGTACTTTTTCTAATTGGTCAATCAAAACATTAATGGATGCAAACTATTGAACTAGGTGAGTGATTCAATTACTATACAAGTTTTTTATCTTTAAGATATTTTCCATGTAATTGGTGATACAAGTCAAAAAGGCAGTCAGTTTCTTTAATCAATGCCACCAATATTACTTAAATTTTCAAATCCACTGGCATTTTCTTAGTATTGTATTGTTTTTTGTTTGTTTCTTTGTTTTGGATCTCAGTAGTGTTTAGCACCAACGACTGCCATTTGTTCTGGGAACCCTAGGCTAGGGTTCTTACCTTTTTGACTTCTGTGTTTCCTAAAGAGAAACTTCACCAAGATTCCTATCTTGGACATTTAGGTATTCTCTGTTCTCTCTGAAACACTTGTGGGGATTTTTTGTTTATTTTTTAATCAAAATTCTTTTAAAATGTACTATATACATTTTATATCTATGGATCAGTCCATTTAAATAAATGGAAACATCCGTTTATCTGAAAGCAAATGTTCAGGACACATGTACTATGTTAAGTTGGACTACAAAAATTGCGATTTTTGTGGGTCAAAAATGATTAATGTTGGCAATTTCCTCTTTTTTTAAATTTACTTTTTCTACTCCTATGTAAGAAATTCATCTTCTGCTGTATATACTGAGATACGGTTTACCTCTAGACTTTCCAAAAGTTTAATTTAAAAAACACCATTTTCAACCAGATTGTTATATTTTGATGTTATATTTCCCCCCTCAAGTCATGGATATAGCTTCTATTATCATTAATATCAATAGTTAATTGGAAGCACAGATTCAACTGGTAAACATTTTTGTCTTCACCTAAGGAGTTTTGAATAATGAAAAATACAGGGAAATTCCTATTCTTCTTTTGCTTTCTTCAGTGTCTAGTTTATTCATTCCTGTCCACAGTGCCAGAGTTAGAAATAACTGTAGCCAAATTTCAAGGTCTTACTCTAGCAGGTTCATCTTCTTCCTTGGCAGGCACAGACAGTACATTATATGAAGACCCTATAATTACCCAGTTTTGGTAAACACGCATTATTTAGCCAATACAGCAAAATGGCTCCTTCAGAGCCATTACATTGCAGTTCATCAAGTAAATAGTGATTTAGCCATTTTCATGAAAAATACGTGTTATTTTGTTGATAGCCTGTCAATCCACAGCATTCAGCTAATTCCCTGTTCCCCTTTATGAGTATTTTGGAACCTCTTTTTGAAAACCATTACTATACTATATGAAAACTGTACAATGTTCTATTTCAATGTAAAAATCACTTAGTGTGATTGTTTTTGTAGATATTTCTATTATGAATAGTCTCTCAGTGTTAGAGATAACAGGACACAGCACTCCATGAATTGCTTTGGTAGAAATGAAAATGAATTCTTTTGATTGTCTTTAAAGAATGGAAAGAAATGATTTTATAATGTTTAGGCCCTGGAAAAAATGTTTACTTGATCATTTTAATCTGTAATAATTTAATGACAGAATTGTAAAACCCATTCAAGAAGATATGCTGATGTGTCTGTTGGTGCAGTTTGAAAGCAGGTGTGCACTGATGATAGTGTGCTTCAATACTAATAGAGTTACTTTCACAAACGAAGTGCCTTTCAGATTAAAATTAAGATGATGCCTTTACCTATCTTTCAAAAGGATTCATTTCCTTCAGGATAAAATTATAACATGGATTTTTGTATCTTCTCCTGAGTGACAAATGCCAAGAAGTAGACTTCTGAACTGAAAGATAGAATTCTGCGGAGACAGTGGTGAGGAATCTGTGCCCATTTGTTTTTGTAGTGATGCATCACACAAGGATTTCTAACAAAGCAATCCATTAGGATGTAGACAGAGTTCCTACACACTGTAAGAATGTTGTTGTTTCTTTTTTTCCCTGAAGGACAAAAATAGCTGCCTTGGCACACTGTGCTGCTAGGCCTTGGTGTAAAATGTCATGCTGTTTCTTGCTTCTTCCTTTGATAGCAAGGTACATATATTGAGTACAGGTGTGGCAATCTGAGTATACTGAGCCAATTTCTAAATGTACTTTATTTATAAGTAAATAAATAATTTATAGGCATTGAAGTGGGAAATTAAAATAGAATCTCATAAGGAGTTCAAAATGGAATCCCACAAACCACATCAGTCCCTTGTTGCATTTAGTAACTCTGGGAGGACAGGGCAGAGAGTAAAATCTCAATTTATCCTTACATATGAATTAATAGTGGCTTATATCTCAGTGTGTCTTTTTAGGACTTAGTCAGAGGGTTTGCCTTAATCCATTTACAGCCCAACGGTAATCCTTTGCTTAATACATGTGTGATTCCATCAAAGCACAGAACAGTTTGAGACCAAAGGACATCACTCCAGGGTGCTTTTCTATCATTTTTTGCCATGATAATGGACTCAACACCTTTTCTCTCCAGCTTGTGTCTCTGAGCTCTCTTCCCAAAAAATGCTGAAATGGTAGTGAAGTTTTCCACCTTGAATGGCCACTTGTTGATAATAAAAGGTGTCGGCCTGGATTTTCTTGGTTGGTGACACATGAAGAGGTCAGTTGTTTCACACTTCAGTGGCTTTCCCCAACTCATACCACTTTTTGCTTTTGTCTTTACATTTTTATTCTTCATTTGAATTGAAATATTCAAGAAGGAGAGCCAGAAGAGACCCCTCTCAGGATGGAAATATTGGTAATTTATTTTCTATACTTTTTCTTCTCAGAAACATCTGTGGTCTTGTGAGTTTTCCTGAGGACTCTTAGGGAAAAAATTTCCTGAGCCTATCAGAAATCTAGAGACTAGGAAGAGGAGGGGAGTGGACAGGAGGGAAAAACATTGTTTTGCTTATGGAGCTTGGTATCAAAGCTGCCACCCTTAGCATTAAAAGACCCTTCTTACCTTCAGAATTGTAAATCGTGCCCTTTAAGAAATGAGGTTATCCTTCTGGGTAGAAATGAAAAGGAAAACATGAACTCATCCTTTTTTATGGCTGCATGGCATTCCATAGTGTATATGTACCACATTTTCTTTGTTCAGTGCAGGGACATGGATGAAGCTGGAAACGATCATTCTGAGCAAACTAACACAAGAACAGAAAACAAAACACTGCATGTTCTCACTCGTAAGTGGGAGTTGAACAATGAGAACATATGGACACAGGGAGGGGAACATCACACACCAGGGCCTGACAGGGGGTGGGGGACTGGGGGAGGGAGAGCATTAGGAGAAATACCTAATGTAGATGACGGGTTGATGGGTGCAGCAAACCACCATGGCACGTGTATACCTATGTAACAAACCTGCACCTTCTGCACATGTACCCCAGAACTTAAAGTATAATAAAAACAAAAACACTGAAAAAAAACTAGCAACATTCTATTAAGTAAAAGACAAATATCTAATGTGATCTTTAAAATAAAAATGGAAAAGAAAAAAAAAGGAAAACATGGCAGCTTGTGCTCTGTGTTTGCCTTCATGACTTCCCTATGAATGTCCTTTCCCCATTCTCAGTGAGCTTTTTAGCGCTTTCGCTGTCTCTGAAAAGCCTTCACTAAATCAACAAAGCAGAGTGGAAATGAATGGATGTGGCTCCTACAAACCGTCCTCAACTTCTTCCCTTCACCCTTTCATACAGAGGATCCTCAGAAGTGGAAGGCTTGTGGCTGGACCAGAGTCCTGAGCAAGGAACCCATGACCTCTCCTAAAACCAACTGAGACTAGGACCAGAGAACTGAAAATGGAACGGAAACTATAGATGTAGATTTTTCTTCTCAAAGTGATATAATAGGCATGCAATGGCTAATTCGTTTTTTTCATGGAAATATCTGAAAGGGTGTTGAAAGAAAAGAAGGGATACCACTAACACAGAGTACTGCTTTTTAAAATATCTTCACGGTGATAAGCTGGCAAGGCTAGAAAGTAAGCTTGGCTGCCATGTTCGAGGTTAAGATAGCTGAAGAAGCTGGAATCAGTAAGGCAAGCCAATCAATTATAAATTGACTAAGCATATCTAATCTCTAAAGCACTGTGATATTGGGGAAGGAGGAGTGCTATAATGCGGGTGATGAAGAGTTTTGTTGTTCTCTGTTTGTCTTCTGCAATAGCGTTTTTTGGTTCTAGAAGTAATATACATAAAAACGATCAAACGATACAGAACAAGTATGAAGAAATTAAAAATGGGTAATCATACCACACATATCATAACTGTCAACATTTTGGTAAAAACATCCTTTTTTCTTCTTTTTCTATGCCTAAATATATATTAAAAAATGATTTTAGAGCATACATTCTATTTTTTAAATATTTTTGTTGTTTTGGTACAAAAGACATGTTTAGTGTCTAAAATTTTCTTTTTTTTCTTTCTTTCTTTCCTTTTTTCTTGAGTCGGAGTCTCACTCTGCTGCTCAGGCTGGAGTGCAGTGGCATGATCTCGGCTCACTGCAACCTCCGCCTCCAGGGTTTAAGCGATTCTTCTGGCTCAGCCTTCCAAGTAGCTGCAGCTACAGGCATGTGCCACCATGCCTGGCTAATTTTTTGTATTTTTAGTAGAGACGGGGTTTCGCCATGTTGGCCAGGGTGGTCTTGAACTGCTGACCTCAGGTGATCTGCCTGCCTTGGACTCCCAAAGTGCTGAAATGACAGGGGTGGGCCACCGCACCCAGCCTAAAATTTTCAAATAATATGGTCAAGTTCAGTAAAAAGAAAAGAAAAATTTCCCCAAAATAATCACCGAGAAATAGCCACTGCTAACATTTGGTATTCTTTCCTTAGAATCATCTCTGTATAGTATGCACAGGTATAGATTGATTTGTGTGATTTTTACATGAATGGGATCAGCTTATTTACTCAAAGTAAGGGATGGATGCTTCTGACATCAGACATCATTTAAAATATCTGTACTGTATATGTATATGGATGAATTTTATTTAACCAGTGCTTTATTGATGGACATTTAAGTTGTTTACACTTTTCATAGTATGCAGTAAGTATGCAGTATCCTTGTAACTCAAACCTTTGTTCACTTGTTTAAATTATTTCCTTAGGATACATTCCTAGAAGTGGAGTTTCTGGGTCCAAGGGCTTGCCCATTTTAAAGGCATTTTATATTTTTTATTGCTAAAAAAATCTAATGATCAAAAAATAAAATCAAAGGCACTTTATACCTAATGATGAACTGGTATTTATTATTTTAGTTGACATTTTTTTGTTTACCAGATAGACGACCTTTTCATATGTTAATTAAGCATTATATCTTTTTAATTGATTTTATTGATATTTCTTTCATCCTTTTATGTGTGTCTTTTTGTGAATTACCTGCTTATACTCTTTAATTTATAAAAGTTTCTTACATAGTAAAGAACTTCACTTCTAGGAATGTATCCTAAGGAAATAATTTAAATATGTGAACAAAAGTTTAAGTTAAAAGGATGCTTACTGCATGCTATGAAAAGTGTAAACAACTTAAAAGTCCATCAATAAAGCACTGGTAAATTAAAATTCATCCATAGACTGAGATACAGTACAGATGATTACATTGGTGTCTGATGTCAGAAGCACCCACCCCTTACTTTGAGTAAATAAGCTGATCCCAGTCATGTAAAAGTCACACAAATCAACCTATACCCGTGCTTATATACAGAAAGAACAGCCCTGTGTCTGTCATATGTATTTCAAATTCTTTTCCAGGTTACAATTTGTCTTAAAAATGTATTTAATAGTGCTTTTAAAGTTGGCTGGTTCTTGATCTGAGACTTGCTTGTGTAAAATAAAAATCATACTAGACCAATTAAACAGGCAAGACTGCTTCAACAGGGCAGAGAAGTTGAACTCAACTCTGCTGAAATAAAAGGTGGAGAATTTTTTTTTTTTTAATTATACTTTAAGTTTTAGGGGTGGAGAATTTTTAAGCACTAGGGGGAGATGGCGGGAAACTACTAGAGGCCATTTCAGGAAGAGGACAGGTGAGTTGATGTGATTAGGCCATCTGTGTTTGCTAACTGGTGCTAAGGGAAGTTAGACTCAGCCTTCTACAGAAAGTGGGAGATAGGGACCCTATCTTTCTTAATTACATTTCAAAGGGAAGGTTTTCGAGTCCTTGAGAAAGACATTCCTGGGTTGTAGAAAATTTACGTCTTAAAGGAGCAAAAAGAACTTACAATAGCAACTTTTCTAAAATAAATCTTCTAAGAAAAGGGAGGTTTAGGGACTGATGGCCAGGAAGAAACCTGTTGATATAGTTTGGAAATTTATCCCCAACCAAATCTCATGGTGCATGTAATCCCCAGCGTTGGAGGTGGGGCCCGGTGGGAGGTGTTTGGATCATAGGGGCGGGTCCCTCATGAATGGCTTGTGCCATCCCCTTGGTGATAAGTAAGCTGTCACTCTGAGTTCTCATGAGATCTGGTCATTTAAAAGTGTGCGCTGCCTCCCCCCTGCCCCACTTCCCTCACTTGCTCCTGCTTCAGCCACGTGATGTTCCTGCTCCCCCATCGCCTTCCACCATAATTGTAAGCTTCCTGAAGCCTCCCTGGAAGCAGAGCAGATGCCAGCACTGTGCTTCCTGTAAAGCCTGCAGAACTGTGAGCCACTTAAATTCTTTTCTTTATAAACTACCCGGGCTCAGATATTTCTTTATAGCAATGCAAGAACTGCCTAATACGCCTGTCTACAGTTTAATTGGGCTCAGGGGAATGTTAAGGCTGTCTTGTTCACTTTGGGAACGGTAATACCATTCTCAGGAATAGGGAAGCTAACCAAAGAGGGAGATGGAGATTGGGGAGAGATGAACAGCTCCACCTTTTTCATACTGAAGGACTTCTTAGGCAGAGCAAAAGACTAGAATTGGTGTTATGTGTGTACAAGTTGTTGAAGTGAAAGGAATGTGGAGGTGGAGCAGCATTAGTCAGACCATAGGTAGACCAATTGCTTGTCTCACTGAAACCTTCCACAAGGTCAAGTTGTAAACAAAGCAGGCTACCAAAATACTTGTTGTATTGGTCCTTACCTTATGAGAAATGGGTATTATTGTTGTCACTGGTCACTCAGAATTAGGATTCTGCTAGTCCCTACTTGAGTTAGTACATCCTTGCCTGCCACAAACTGTAGCTGTCAGGAGTACCTAGAGGTAATATGTGTAATATTAGGAAGAGCCCTGAGGCACACAGGCCCAGGTTCTAATTTCAGCTTTACTGTTTATCAGTAGCTGTAGACAAGTAATTTACCTTCTGTGAGACTCTGTCTTCACCTGTAAAATGGGGATAGTAACTGTTCAGGGTTATTGGGGTAAATCAATGAGATCCCATATGCAGAGTACCTGGCCCAAGTCCCTCCCATAGAATGAGCTCCATTGTTTGTTTCCTTCTCTACCATCTTTCCTCCCCAACCCATAAATGCCATTCCACTGCTTTAATTAAAAGACAGAAGGGGCATAATTGCCTAACTGTTCAATTCTTTAATTCCTATGTTATAATTTTGTTCCTATATTATTAATTTAATTCATAAAGTACAAATTATTTAGAAATGCTGTTCTTTGTTACCACTGTCTTGTCTGTACTGTATGCATGCTAAATGGAAAGGAAATGAGGTGTATAGCCTGCCCCTTCCATCTTGTCTTATTAGCTGTGATCAATGAGCCGGCCTCCTTATTGTGCCTGTCATTTTGCCTCAGAGCCTCCTCAGTGTTTTTCCTTTATAGTTTCATTTAATCTTGATGCACAAATTAGGTATGGATTGCAACTTTTCACTTCATCACCAGTATCAACATTGATGTATAGGCAGCCCTGTTCGCCAAAAATGGATCTTGTGATTTAAAAATGCACATTAATTAGCATTTGCTTTTAATGAGTCATTGGTGATGAGGCATATTAATTGAATCGTGAAATGCTTATCTCAGGTCTACAACGTGCAAATTAGTTGATTCACAATTAATTGAAAAATCTCTGATCTTAAAATTTGGACAATTATACATGGTAAGCGCTTCTAAAAAACAGAATCTAAAACCTGAGCTATAAAAACAGGGACTTAGACTTTCAATTCTATATGTTTAATAGTTATTCCTGGCTAGGCGTGGCAGCTCACACCTGTAATCCCAGCACTTTGGGAGGCTGAGGTGGTTGGACTGCCTGAGGTCAAGAGTTTGAAACTAGCCTGGCCAACACGGTGAAACCTCATCTCTAATAAAAATACAAAAATTAGCTGGGTGTGGTGGTACACACTTGTAATCCCAGCTACTTGGGAAGCTGAAGCAGGAAAATTACTTGAACCTGGGAGGTTGAGGTTGCAGTGAGCCAAGATCATGCCACTGTACTCCCACTTGAGCAAAACAGTGAGGCTCCATCTCAAAACACACAAAAAAATAGTTATTCCTCTCAGATTGCTAATAATTAGCAGCTCATGACAATGACAAAGTATATTCCTTATAAGACTGTAGAAATATTAAGACTATTTGTAAGAAAAATATTCAAAAAGTCAGAGCAATCTCTATTTTCATAAACCATTGCGTGTAATTTTTCAGAGGTAATTATTTTATATTTTAAGTGTTTACAATGGAAATGTATTTAACTGAAGATGAGTTTTTAAAATTATTTTTTTCTGATGTCCAGTTCAGCATAGAGCACCTGAGTACCAGAAATATGTTTGTTTTCTGTATCTGTCAGTGTATGAGGTCATACAGTTAGTTTTCAGTGAGTTGACTGTTTCGGCTCTACATAAACAAATAAAATGTGTCTTTTGCAATCTTATGTACTCTACAAATAATGAAAGAATAACGTAACTATGTATATACCTTTAATTTTTAAAGTTGTATTTATACAGTGTGATGCTTTATGATTTTGTAAGCTCAAAAATTATGACTAGATAATTAACTCAAGATAGAGCCGTCAGCTGCTTACTTTCAGAATTTTAGGTTGCCTAGAAGTTTGAAGAGTAAAAGGCCGAAATGCATACATGGAGGATTACTGATATATAACTTTTAAAAAATATTTAAGAAACTGAAACAATAGAGACACATTACATAAGTGAGACTAGTCAGTGATTCCAAAACACAGCAGTGCCCTTCTAATTTCCAAGACCCCCAGTGGATGCCTGAAACCTCAGATAGTACCAAACCCAATATAAACTGTGCGTGGATTTCTCTTTCTTTTTCTACAGTTACATGGATGGAAGATTCGTTCTAACTGTAGATCCTAGCAACCTCAGTATATGATATTTTTCTTTCCTTATTAAGTGGAGAACTTTCACCTCTTCACTTAAATGACGCACTTCATGGCTTTTCTTTGGCGTATTTGAATTGCAAGCATCACTACACTTGTACTTTGGTGCCCTAAATAAGAAAAATAAGAGCTTTTTGAACGCAAGCACTATGATACTGTGATAGTCGATCTGATAACCTACAAGGCTACTAAGTGACTAATGGGTGGGGAGCATCTACAACATTGGACAAAGAGATGATTCATGTCCCAAGGTGTGAGATTTCATCATGCTACTTAGGTGCACCATTTAAAACTTATGAATTGTTTATTTCTGGAATTTTCTATTGAATATTTTTGGACCGTAGTTGACTGCAGGTAACTGAAACCACAGAAAACAAAATTATGGGTAAGGGGGGACTGTTGTACATTCCAATATGGAAACTCTGATTAAGTTAGGAGATGTTGCCAATGAGATGATAAAAAATATACAGTGGCTGTATATTTTAGCTTTAAATACTTTGTTTTCAGCTTTTATGCCCACTACATTTTTATTTTATTATTATTATACTTCAAGTTTTAGGGTACATGTGCACAATGTGCAGGTTAGTTACATATGTATACATGTGCCATGCTGGTGTGCTGCATCCATTAACTCGTCATTTAGCATTAGGTATATCTCCTCAAGCTATCCCTCCCCCATCCCCCCACCCCACAACAGTCCCCAGAGTGTGATGTTCCCCTTCCTGTGTCCATGTGTTCTCGTTGTTCAATTCCCACCTATGAGTGAGAAAATACGGTGTTTGCTTTTTGTTCTTGTGATAGTTTACTGAGAATGATTTCCAATTTCATCCATGTCCCTACAAAGGACATGAACTCATCATTTTTATGGCTGCATAGTATTCCATGGTGTATATGTGCCACATTTTCTTAATCCAGTCTATCGTTGTTGGACATTTGGGTTGGTTCCAAGTCTTTGCTATTGTGAATAGTGCCGCAGTAAACATACGTGTGCATGTGTCTTTATAGCAGCATGATTTATAGTCCTTTGGGTATATACCCAGTAATGGGATGGCTGGGTCAAATGGTATTTCTAGTTCTAGATCCCTGAGGAATCGCCACAGTGACTTCCACAATGGTTGAACTAGTTTACAGTCCCACCAACAGTGTAAAAGTGTTCCTATTTCTCCACATCCTCTCCAGCACCTGTTGTTTCCTGACTTTTTAATGATTGCCATTCTAACTGGTGTGAGATGGTATCTCATTGTGGTTTTGATTTGCATTTCTCTGATAGCCAGTGATGGTGAGCATTTTTTCATGTGTCTTTTGGCTGCATAAATGTCTTCTTTTGAGAAGTGTCTGTTCATATCCTTCACCCACTTTTTGATGGGGTTGTTTGTTTTTTTCTTGTAAATTTGTTTGAGTTCATTGTAGCTTCTGGATATTAGCCCTTTGTCAGATGAGTAGGTTGTGAAAATTTTCTCCCATTTTGTAGGTTGCCTGTTCACTCTGATGGTAGTTTCTTTTGCTGTGCAGAAGCTCTTTAGTTTAATAAGATCCCATTTGTCAATTTTGTCTTTTGTTGCCATTGCTTTTGGTGTTTTAGACATGAAGTCCTTGCCCATGCCTATGTCCTGAATGGTAATGCCTAGGTTTTCTTCTAGGGTTTTTATGGTTTTAGGTCTAACGTTTAAGTCTTTAATCCATCTTAAATTAATTTTTGTACAAGGTGTAAGGAAGGGATCCAGTTTCAGCTTTCTACATGTGGCTAGCCAGTTTTCCCAGCACCATTTATTAAATAGGGAATCCTTTCCCCATTGTTTGTTTTTGTCAGGTTTGTCAAAGATCAGATAGTTGTAGATATGCGGTGTTATTTCTGAGGGCTCTGTGCTGTTCCATTGATCTATACCTCTGTTTTGGTACCAGTACCATGCTGTTTTGGTTACTGTAGCCTTGTAGTATAGTTTGAAGTCAGGTAGTGTGATGCCTCCAGCTTTGTTCTTTTGGCTTAGGATTGACTTGGCGATGCGGGCTCTTTTTTGGTTCCATATGAACTTTAAAGTAGTTTTTTCCAATTCTTTGAAGAAAGTCATTGGTAGCTTGATGGGGATGACATTGAATCTAAACCCACTGCATTTTTAAGGCATCTTTCTTTCTTAAAAAAAAAAAAAACCTTTATGTGGTGTTATTGGCTAATTCACCTTCAGCCATTCTACGCCCTTCTAGGTCCCAACATTCTCAAACTATGTTTCTCACATCCTGTTGTCAGCTGGCTTTCCATTAGGTTCTGCTAATAGGAGACATTGTTCCATTGTTGGAGGATTGGGAAGTCCGGTTTCTGGGAGATTTCCAGCAGTGCAATAGTGGTAACAGCACTGTCAGCCGTGGAGGTGGGAAAGGATCTTGGCACCTAAGCTTTCAGCAGCAGCCTCCTGTGCTACAGCTCACACAGTCAGGCTGTGGCAGGCAGCTGGAAGCTTGCAGCATAGCACCAGGACCTCTGGGTAGCGCTTCTGCTCTGGCAGCTCAAGGTGGTATTGATTTCCTGCAGTTACTAATCTTTGAGTGACTTTACCTTGTTCACTTTGGTTTCTTAAGTAACTTCTACCACCTGTGTAACCAATTTCTCTTTTAAATGTCTTATTTTTGAAATATCTAGAGTGGTTCCTATTTTCTGATAAGTTTCTAATGTAATGTGTTCAACTCCACATTTAAGTATCATTCATTACCTGTTAATGTGTCCCAATTTCAGGATATTAATGTACTCTTTGAATGTTGCCTGAAGTAACACATTTCCAACCAAAATGAAATTGTAACCTTGGGCATTGGACTTGATTCTGAATCTTCTTCAGAGGAGTCAAGATAATAAGATACATTGGCCAGGAATATTCGTGTGAGGAAATCAAAATTGATGGCGCAAACTGCTGCCATGGACCATCCAAAGTATACTTTATTTAATCTGCTATGGGGGATGTGGAAGGCAGAAATTTATAGGCACCTAAGTGTCTTTCTGTCTAGCTGTACCCCATGTTGTTCCTAGCTGTGTAACACATCACTCAAGCAATAGTCAGAAAACTGGCTGAAGGCAAGGGACCTCTTCGTAACAGGCACTGGAGAGGAGATAAATAGCTAGAGGGCTTTATTCTTGTCCTTTTGTTCCTGGATTAATGATGGGATCCAACATTTGAGTAAGGTATACTCCTTTTTTATGCATTTGATTTTCCAAGGCAGTATTAACCTGTTAACCTTAATTTTAAAAAAGAATTCATCTTAATTGCTTGAACAGATTTTTCTAACTTTTATTTTAGGTTCAGGAGTATATGTGCAGGTTTGTTATATAGGTAAATTTGTGTCACAGGGGTTTGTTGCACAGATTACTTCATCACCCAGGTGCTAAGCCTAGTACCCAATGGTTATTTTTTCTGATCCTCTCCTTCTTCTTACCCTCCACCCTCAAGTAGGCCCCAATGTCTGTTGTTCCCCTCTTTGTGCCCATTGGGTCTCATCATTTAACTCCCACTTATAAGTG
The DNA here is from genome assembly GCF_000001405.40 of Homo sapiens. Lineage (NCBI taxonomy): Eukaryota > Metazoa > Chordata > Mammalia > Primates > Hominidae > Homo > Homo sapiens. Next base: position 104,460,097 of record NC_000007.14, read on the forward strand.
TGGTATTTGGTTTTCTGTTCCTCATTAGTTTGCTAAGGATAATGACCCCCAGCTCCATCCATGTTCCCATAGAAGACATTATCTCATTCTTTTTTATGACTGCATAGTATTCCACAGTGAATATGTACCACATTTTCTTTATCCATATGACCGTTGATGAGCATTTCAGTTGATTCCATGTCTTTGCTATTGTGAATAGTACTACAGTGAACATTCACATGTGTGTGTCTTTATGGTAGAATGATTTATATTCCTTTGGGTATATATTCAGTAAAGGGATTGCTGGGTCAAGTAGTAGTTCTATTTTTGGCTTTTTGAGGAATTGACACACTGCTTTCTACAATAGTTGAATGAATTTACACTCCCACCAACAGTGTATAAGTGTTCCTTTTTCTCCACAACCTCACTAGCATCTGTTATTTTTGACTTTTTAATTATAGCCATTCTGACTGGTGTGAGATGGTATCTCATTGTGGTTTGATTTGCATTTCTCTAATAATCAGTGATATTGAGGTTTTTTTAATATGATTGTTGCCCACATGTATGTCTTCTTTTGAAAAGTGTCTTTTCATGTCCTTTGCCCACTTTTTTAATGGGGTTATTTGTTTTCTTGTAAATTTAAGTTTCTTGTAGATGCTGGATATTAGATCTTTTTCAGATGCATAGTTTGCAAAAATTTTCTTCCATTCTTAGGTTGTGTGTTTACTCTGTTGATAGTTTCTTTTGCTGTACAGAAGCTCTTAAGTTTAATTAGCTCCTGTTTGTCAATTTTTGCTTTTGTTGTGATTGCTTCTGGCATCTTTATCGTGAAATCTTTGCCCATCCAGAATGATATAGCCTAGGTTGACTTCCAGGGTTTTTATAGTTTTGGGTTTTACATTTGAGTCTTTAATCCATTGTATTAGTCTATTCTCACACTGCTAATAAAGACCTACCAGAGAGTGGGTAATTTATAAAGAAAGAGGTTTAATTGACTCACAGTTTCACATGGCTGGGGAGGCCTCAGGAAACTTACAATCATGGTGGAAGGGGAGGCAAACACATCTTTCTTCACATGCTGGCAGGAGAGAGAATGAGAGTGGAGTCAAGGGGAAGCCCCGTATAAAACCATCAGATCTCCTGAGAACTCACTATTACGAGAACCGTGTGGGGGAAACTGCCTCCATGATTCAATTATCTCTACCTGGTCCCACCCTTGAGACATGGGGATTATTACAATTCAAGATGATATTTTGGGTGGGGACACAGCCAAACCATATCATCCATCTTGAGTTTATTTTTGTATATGGTGTAAGGAAGGGGTCCAATTTCAATCATCTGCATATGACTAGCCAGTTATCCCAGCACCAATTATTGAATAGTGAGTCCTTTCACCATTGCTTGTTTTCGTCAGCTTTGATGAAGATCAGATGGTTATAAGTATGCAGCCTTATTTTGGGGCTCTCTATTCTGTTCCATTGGTCTATGTGTGTGTTTTTATACCAGTAACCATGTTGTTTTCGTTACTGTAGCCCTGGAGTGTAGTTTGAAGTAAGGTAACATGAGCTTCCATCTTTGTTCTTGGGCTACTTGGGCCCTGGAGTATAGTTTGAAGTCAGGTAACATGATGCTTCCATCTTTGTTCTTGGTTATTTGGGCTCTTTTTTTGGTTCCATATCAATTTTAAAATACTTTTTTCTAGTTCTGTGAAGAATGTCATTGGTAGTTTAATAGGAATAGCACTGAATCTCTAAATTGCTTTGGGCAGTATGGCCATTTTAATAATATTGATTCTTCCTATCCATGAGCATGGAATGTTTTTTCCATTTGTTTATGTCATCTCTGATTTCTTTGAGGAGTGTTTTGTAATTCTCCTTGTAGAGATATTTCACCTACCTAGTTAGCAGTATTCCTAGGTATTTTATTATTTTCATGGCAATTGTGAATTCCTGATTTGGCTCTCGGCTTAGCTGTTGGTGGTATATAAGAATGCTACTGAATTTTGTACATCGATTGTATATCCTGAAACTGTGCTGAAGTTGTTTATCAGCTGAAAGAGCTTTTAAGCCAAGACTATGGGGTTTTCTACATATAGAATCATGTCATCTGCAAACAGGGAAAATTTGACTTCCGCTCTTCCTATGTGATGCCCTTTATTTCTTTTTCTTGCCTGATTGCTCTGGCCAGGACTTCCAATACTACATTGAATAGGAGTTGTAGGAGAGGGCATCCTTGTCTTGTGCCCAGTGCTTCCAGCTTTTCCCCATTCAGTATGATAGTGGCTGTGAGTTTGTCATGGATGGCTATTATTTTGAGGTATGTTCCTTCAATATGTAGTTTATTAAGAGTTTTTAACATGAAGATGTGTTGAATTTTATTGAAAGCCTTTTCTGCAGCTATTGAGATAATCATGATGTATCTATTGAGATTTATCTTTAGTTCTGTTTATGTGATGAGTCACATTTATTGATTTGCGTTATGTTGAACCAACCTTGTATCCCGGGAATGAAGCCTATTTGATCATGGTGGATTAGCTTTTTGATGTGCTGCTGGATTCAGTTTGCAAGTATTTTGTTGAGGACTTTTGCATCAATGTTCATCAAGGATATTGGCCTCAAGTTTTCTTTTTCTGTGTATGTTTCTGCCAGGTTTTGATATCAGGCTGATGCTGGCTTTATAGAATGAGTTTGGGAGGAGTCCCTCCTCCTCATTTTTTTTGTCATAGCTTCAATGGAATGGTGCCAGCTCTAATTTGTACATCTACTAGAATTCGGCTGTGACTCCATGTGGTCCTGGGGTTTTTTTTGGTTAGTAGTCTCTTTATAACTGATTCAATTTCAGAGCTCATTATTGGTCTGTTTGGGAAATTGATTTCTTCCCAGTTCAGTCTTTGGAGGGTGTGTATGTTTCCAGGAATTCATCTCTTGTAGTTTTTCTAGTTTATATGCATAGAGGTATCCATAGTAGTTTCTGACAATTATTTTTATTTCTGTGGGGTCAATCGGGATAATATCATCTTTGTCATAATTATGTTTATTTGAATCTTCTCTCCTTTCTTCTTTATTAGTCTAGCTAGCAGCCTATCTTATTACATTTTTCAAAAAACAAACTCTGTGATTCATTGATCTCTTGAACAGTTTTTTAATGTCTTGATTTCCCTCAGTTCAGCTTTGAATTTGGTTATTTCTTGTCTTCTGCTAGCTTTAGAGTTGGTTTGCTTTTGCTTCTCTAATTCTTTAAGATGTGATATTGGATTATTAATTTGAAATCTTTCTAACTCTTTGATATGGGTGGTTAGTGCTACAAATTTCCCCCTTAACACTGCCTTAGCTGTATCCCAGAGATTCTGATGTGTTGTATCTTTGTTCTCAATAGTTTCAAAGAACTTCTTGATTTCTGCCTATATTAGTTCATTCTCATGCTGCTAATAAAGACATACACAAGACTGGGTAACTTATAAAGGAAGAAGTTTTAATTGACTCACAGTTTAGCATGGCTAGAGAGGCCTCAGGAAACTTACAGTCATGGCAGAAGGGGAAGCAAACACATCCTTCTTCACATGGCAGCAGGGAGAGAAGAATGAGAGGGAAAGCAGAGAAAAGCCCCTTATAAAATGATCAGATATTATGAGAACTCACTCACTATCATGAGAACAGCATGAAGGTAACTGTCTCCATGATTCAATTACCTTCCACTGGATCACTTCTGTGACACATGGGGATTATGGGAACTACAATTCAAGATAAGATTTGAGTGGAGACACAGCCAAACCATATTGTCCGTCCCCAGCCCTTCCCAAATCTCATGTCCTCACATTTCAAAACACAATCATGCCCTTCCAACAGTCCCCTAAAGTCTTAACTCATTCCAGCATTAACTCAAAAGTCCACGTCCAAAGTCTCACCTGAGACAAGGCAAGTCCCTTCTGCCTATGAGCCTGTAAAATCAAAAACAAGTTAGTTACTTCCTAGATACAATGGGGTACAGACATTGGGCAAATACACGGATTCCAAATAGGAGAAATTTGCCAGAATGAAGGGGCTACATGCCCCATGCAAGTCTGAAATCCAATGGGGCAGTTATTAAACCTTAAAGTTCTAAAATAATCTTTTTGACTCCTTGTCTCACGCCCGGGTCACACAGATACAAGAGCTTGACTCCCACAGCTTTGAGCAGCTCTGCCCCTGTGTCTTTGCAGGGTACAGCCCCCTTCCTGGCTGTTTTCATGGCAGGTTTTGAGTGTCTGTGGCTTTTCCAGGCTCATGGTGCAAGCTGTTGGTGGATACCATTCTTGGATCTGAAGAATGGTGGCCCTCTTCTCACAGCTCCACTATGCAGTTCTCCAGTGGGGACTCTGTGTGGGGGCTCTGACTTCACATTTCCCTTCTTCACTGCCCTAGCAGAGGTTCTCTGTGAGGGTTCCACCCCTGAAGCATACTTCTGCCTGGACATCCAGGCATTTCCATGCATCCTCTGAAATCTAGGCAGAGATTCCCAAACCTCAATTCTTGTCTTCTGCACACCTGCAGGACTAATAGCATATGGAAGCTGCGAAGGCTTGGGGCTTGCAGTCTCTGAAGCAATGGTTGAGCTATACATTGGCCCCTCTTAGCCATGGCTGGGATGCAGGGCACCAAGTTCTGAGGCTGCACTGAGCAGCAGGGAGGCCCTGGGCCCAGCTCATGAGACCATTTTTCCCTCCTAGGCCTCTGGGCCTGTGATGAGAGGGGCTGCTGTGAAGATCTCTGACTTGCCCTGGAGACATTTTCCTCATTGTCTTGGTGATTAACATTTGTCTCCCCATTGCTTATGCAAGTTTCTACAGTGGGCTTGAATTTCTTCCCAGAAAATGGAGTTTCTTTTCTATCACATTGTCAGGCTGCAAATTCTCTAAATTTTTATGCTTTGCTTCCTCTTAAATGCTTTGCTACTTAGAAATTTCTTCCACCAGATACCCTATATCATCTCTCTCAAATTCAAAGTTCCACAGATCTCTGGGGCAGGGGCAAAATGCCACCAGTCTTTTTGCATAGCAAGAATGACCTTTACTCCAGCTCCCAAAAAGTTCCCATCTCCATCTGAAACCACCTCAGCCTGGACTTCATTGTCCATATCACCATTTTGTCCATTGGACTTCATTGTCCATATCACCATATGGACTTCATTGTCCATATCACCATATCACCATTTTGATCAAAGCCATTCAACAAGTCACTAGGAAGTTCCAAACTTTTCCACATCTTCCTGTCTTCTTCTGAGTCCTCCAAAGGGTTCCAACCTCTGCCTGTTATCCAGTTCCAAAGTTGATTCCACATTTTCGGGTATTTTTACAGCAGCACCCCACTCTCTGCAGTACTGAATTTACTGTATTAGTCTGTTCTTATGCTGCTAATAAAGACATACCCAAGACTTGGTAATTTATGAAGGAAAGAGATTTAACTGACTCACAGTTCAGCATGGCTGGGGAGGCCTCAGGAAACGTAGCAGAAAGGGAAGCAAGCACTTCCTTCTTTACATGGCAACAGGGAGAAGAAGAATGAGAGCAAGTGGGGGAAAGCCCCTTATAAAACCATCAGATCTTGTGAGAACTCACTCACTATCATGAGAACAGCATAAGGGTAACTGCCCCCATGATTAAATTACTCCCACTGGGTCCCTCCCATGACATGTGGGGATTATAGGAACTACAATTCAAGATGAGATTTGGGTGGGGACACAGCCAGACCATATCACTGCCTTAATTTCATTATTCACCTAAAAGTCATTCAGGAGCATGTTGTTTGATTCCGTTGTAATTGCAGGGTTTTGAGTAATTTTTTTAGTTTTGATTTCTGTTTTAATTTCACTGTGATCTGAGGGTATGTTTGGTATAATTTCAGTTCTTTTGCATTTGCTGAGGATTGTTTCAATTATGTGATTGATTTAGAGTCTGTGCCATGTGGCGAAGAGAAGAATATATATTATGTTGTTTTTGGGTGGAGAGTTCTGTAGAGGTCTATCAGATCCATTTGTCCAATGTTAAGTTCAGGTCCTGAATATCTTTGTTAATTTTCTCCCTCAATGATCTGTCTAATACTTAATAATACTTTTACCCAGCAACAACTTACATATCTGAAAATTTATATCTGTTTAAATATTGGTATTGAAAGTGTGCAAAAAAACTAGTATTATTGGTCCATGTAGGTACATTTCTCACCTCAGTTTTGTAAAAATGTTGTTTTAAGAGACCTCTTATATGCTACGGATACATTTGAATTGAAGGGCTAAAGTGCAGAAGCTCATCATGTATTTTTAGGCAATACTGCATCTTTGCCCTTTCCCAAGTTGTAAAAAATGATAACATTGGAGACAAGAGAAATATGTCAACTGTGTTACCATACTTCAGACAGCTACGTATATTGGTGCTACTACTAAAAATATCTAGTAACTGGAAAATAATCTGTTGTTCCACTGCTGAAAAGTGACCATTGTATTTTCAAATTCTGCAGCTTTTAGTTCATTCCCTATATTGTTGTCAGGCCTGGTTCAGCCACTCCTCTGCCAATGTTTCTATCAGTTATAACTGACTGAAGCAAACTGGCTTTATGTTGTTTTTGTTGGGCCAAGACTTTACAGATAAGTAGAACTGAGTGTTTGACCTAGTTATAATCCCTGCCTATGGATTAAAATGGATTTTAGCTGAAATTGAAATCTTCTGGTGAGAATCAAATGAAACCATGCTGTAGGGCTCCACATGTTTCCAGCAGCATAGCATTTGCCCAGAATCAGCATCTGCGGTAAGAGTTCTGATTTCCATGCTTTTCTTTCTGAAGAATCATATTTCTGACATGTTCCTTTAACCCTTCTTCCTGCCATAACTGTCTGTCTCTTTCCAAAGTGCTCATCACTGCTAGGAATAAACTCATCTTGATGGTTCTCCAGTGGTCAACATCCTTATTAACATCTGTTTCCTCTTTAGCTTTGCATTCGTGCACCTTTCTTAACATTTTATCTAAAACAATTTATTTTTTACTCCTTTACTTGCATCTATGAAGTTCAATAGCACCTACAGTTAGTCACAAGACAGGGCATAGTCAGTGACATCGAGTTTATTGTTCTCTGGTGGTGTTAATAACATTCAATGTAAAAAATGGGAGCGGGGCTGGTTCTTGCTCTACCTATCTCACATGTTTGGTGCAACAGTCAAACAAGAGAAGACAGTAGGCAGTCTGGGTTAATGGAAAAGACCTAGGATTGGGTAGGGGCATAAAAGTTTAACTCACATCTCAGCAACTTAATAACATGGGGTCTACTCGAGTGTCAGTTTCTTCAACTGAAAAACAGGAGTAATAATAGTTCCCACCCATCTATTTTGCAAGAGTGTTGAGGAAAAGAGATATGGTTTGGGAATGTAGTTTGTGCACTGTAAAGTTTTGTGAAGTGCAGGTTGTACAGGCTTATTACTGTTTAAGAAACAAGTGGCAAATTGACTCTGGGGGATTAATCTCTTTTATTATCCCCGTATTAGATTGTGTTGCATGACAAACATGCTATCTTCTGTTATTTGGCAGACTGCATATAGATGCGTATTCAATTTAATAATATTTCCTGGATTAATTTCTCCTCATCCAATGAAGAAATTAGATACACTCGGACAGGATTATATTTGGGAATATACAGATTAAAAACATGGATTGATAGTAATTGAGGATTTGCACCAAAGCAAATTATCAACTTGGATACCAAGTCATTTGGTTTATTTATTTTCTCCTCTCCTTCATCCTGCTCCTCCTTCTCTTCCTTCTCTTTCTCTTCTAAATTGTTTTCCATGTCTTTCACCTTGTAGGCTGACCCATGAATTTCCTTACTGTTCATTGTTTTGCCTTCCCATTACGTTAGAAGTATGGGTTAGGTCTTTATCTGGCTCTAACTCAGGAAAGAGGTATCTGTCTGTTCAGTGTACCCTAGATATTTTAAGCAGAAAGATTTAATGCAAAGAATTGGATGCTTATAAAATCACTGAAATTACTAGAAGAGCAGAAGTTATCTGAACTATTGATTTCAATATCAAACTGCCACTGCTGCAACCCGGAGGTCAGGAAGCTGCTAGTATCGTATCCTCCTCTACCTCAACTGGCTTGTACCCTTGAAGCTGGTGACTGGACACTGGAATATGGAATCCAATTACTGAGGTCATAACAACTTATCTAGCCAACCAAAACTCGTATGAGGGTGTCACATTGACAGAATATATGCTGCATCCAGAATCCTAGCTGCTAGGGAATCTAGAAATGCGATTTTTAATTTCCCAACCTCTAAGAATGGAAGCCAGTGCCAATAGCCAGTAGCTGCAGCTTGGGAGGCAGGTTGGCTGGTGTTGTCAGGTCATTCCAAGGTTTTCAGAAAGAAAGGGAGAAAATAATTGTCATGGCTTTTTGGGGGTAAAAACCATGACAATAAATGCATCATTTGTGCCCTTGCAAGTGGGAGCAGAGATGTGCAGATCTGCTCTCAGACTGAGAGTTGCATACAGCATATTTTGGCATGGCACAGTTTCCATGGAGAATGACAAATTTCCCAAAGTAGAAAGGTCTTGTATAAACCTTTTTTTTTTTTTTTTCCGAGTTGGAGTCTTGCTCCGTCATCCAGGCTGGAGTGCAGTGGTGCGATCTCGGCTCACTGCAACCTCCACCTCGCGGGTTCAAGCAATTCTCCTGCCTCAGCCTCCCGAGTAGCTGGGATTACAGGTGCCTGCCACCACACCCAGCCAATTTTTTTGTATTTTTAGTAGAGACAGGGTTTCACCATGTTGGCCAGGCTGGTCTTGAACTCCTGACCTCATGATCCGCCTGCCTCTTCCTCCCAAAGTGCTGGGATAACAGGTGTGAGCCACAATGCACGGCCTTGTGCAAACCTTTCTTACCTTTAACCATTGAGGTGCTTTATGGGGAAGAGAGCTTTGATTCACTCAGCTCTGGTGTCGTTCATTCCATAGGAGGCTCCAATTTAACAAGCTCACATCAAACCTTTGCCCAGTGGACATATGGATGGTTTGATCCAGCCTCGGTCACTGGAGTAAATAGAGTGAGTGCAACTTCTCTGATTTATTTCTGAACTGGCTGCTGCAGATTATTATAAAGGCTGTCTAGGAACAGAAAAGCATTGTCCTGATGAGGTCTAAAAGCTGACTTTTGTTCTATCCCCAGCTCATCAGCAGTGTGTTTTATGTAAGTGGGAAAAGGACTCTGTCACCTTTTGTGTAAATACCCTCCTGAAATAACCATATCTCATGGTGTGGTTTTACAGCATTATACAGTGCTACTCATTTTGTGACTGTTTCCTGGTAGGCATTAGTTGGGAATGGTGTCAAACTGGACTTTATTTGTTTGTGTCTGTTTTCTCTCTTTTGAAAGTTTTTTTCTAAAATAAATAGACTAAACTGTTCTTAATATTAACCAGGTTTAGCTAAATCATAAAATTTGGTATGAATCTTCTCCAGTGGGTGGCCACACAACTGAGGCAGCTAAATGAAAATTTGCATTTCTTATCAGTTTTCCTGCTTACCCCACCTGGACTTAGCCCTGGGGGATTTCCAGGATTCATGGTGTTCTCTCCTTCTAAATTACCTTTAACAGTGGTAGAATTCTGTTTCCGAATAACAAATAGGAAATTTTGTTTCTGGTTTCTAGGAGTCCAGGAAAAATGGTTATCAGAGAAACTTGAATCCATGTAGCATTATTTTTTTTGTTGGTTAGACAAAGGTAACATTACTTAACTTCCAGAGCATTAATGATATACAATTACCATCCTAAATGTGAGATAAATGATATATTAATATTAATATCTATATCTAACCTAACATTCCCTCTGAGCACAGTTATAGCACAATCATAGAAAACTGTACGGAAATAGGTGGTTGCGCTTGAAATGCCACACTCTGAGAATGTCAAAATCCCAGGTAATGATGCTGTGTGAACTTCGGGTGTTTACTGCCTTGTGCTTCATTCTGAATGGAAAGAATGGTAGTGAGAGGTCATAGAATGAACCAGCTGAGAGACAGTGAGAGGAGAAGAAGAACATGGGTGTTGTTGGGGATTCTTTTCCCCCTGTTCTTAGGATCTGGCCACATATTTTCAAAAGCAAGAAATGGAAAAAAATGATCAGTCAAAATGGCTTTAAGCCTAACTGGCTTTTATTGATAATTCTATTCCACTTCTCTCCTGTGGGATAATTCTGAATTTGAGAAAATGAGCTATGTCACAGGCAGAGGCTAATCCATATTCATCCTCTTATTTTTAATAACTGCTCATTCTTTGCAAGCCTCTGTTTCCCACATCGACCCATTCATGTAGCATACTGTGTGTAACAGGATTTTAAAGCATTTGTAATATCTCAATTTAAACTAAATTTGGCTAAGATAAAGCAAGACCATGACCATCTCCATGCTTTGTCCACGAACAGTACCAGCATGTTATATTTCACCAACATTTTGAGTGTTCACTCTGTGCAAACGCTGACAGCTCTACAAATATTAACTCACTGATTCTAATAAAAACCCTATCATTCCCTATTGTACAGATGAGGAAACAGAGGGGCAAATAGGGTAAGAAACTTGACCCAGGTCACACAGGTAGTAAGGGCCCAATAGAAATCTGAACCCAGGAAGACTGGCCCTGGAGTCCGTGTTCTTAACTAGCCTGAAGCTCCAACATGACTACATGTAGGAGCCTTTGCCTTGATGCTTTCTCTTCGCAATAGGTCCTCTGGCTTTTCCATCTCTTCCCTTTCATTCCAGCTCTCATTTCCGTCATCTAGTTTCTGGGGGCATGGGGTCCTTTTCTGTGCAACCTACATATCACATCCAGGAGAATGCCCTCCTGCCAGTCCCCCTGCCCCTAGCTCACAGAGAGGTTATTCCCATCCATTGTCTTATTGAAGCTTTCTCAGTTTCCAGTGAGTTCAAAAACTCCCAATTTTTCTACCAAGACATCCTTGGCCTATAAGAAGGGAATTTCTCCCTTTAAACATGGAATTCTCGTGATTTTTTCATTTACCATATTACTAATACATGAAAAAGACAAACATTTCTTTCTATACGGTGTGTGTATTTGTTTTTGGTATATTTTCTATGTGTTGGTGTTAATGGTTTCTTGGACTCTAGAAGTCATGAATGATACTTGCAATTCAGTTCAAAGCACCCCATGGAATTTTCTTAATTTTCTTTATGTCTTTGATGGAAATAATAATAGTTATTGACCTTGACAATAGTCAGTTGTGGGATGGAAATGCTATATTTTGCTTTCCCTGTTGAAACAAAGCAAGGTGGCTTCCTCATCTATGACCATGTGCTTATAGTGTGCTAACTATAGTTCTCATATACATTATTTTAAGCCTCATCTGCAATATAAGGTAGATATTATTACTCTCATGTTACACATGAGGAAACAGATGTTTAGGTAACTTGCCCTAGTTCATACATGGCAAATACCAGGATTCAAAACTAGGACAAAGAGTTTAAAGCCTGTGGTCTTGAAAATTACTGAAATTAACTTATAGAAACCTTGGTGAATCTCAGATAAAATGTTTTCTACTCTACTGTGTGGCCTTGGGCAGGTTACATAACCATTCCATGTCTTGTTTTTCTTGGCTACATTTTATTTTAATTAATAGAACCAGAAAGCTGCATAATGTAATTTCACGTTTATTATTTTCCGTTTGGATTCATACTTTGAAATTGAATTATATTAACAAATGTTTATAGTTGCTATGATTGAGAAATATTACACTGAAGTTGGATCATTAATGCTTTGCTCAAATATTTTAACTTAATATAAAAATTTCTGCCACATGCAATGGCCCTTGCTTGTAAACCCAGCACTTCAGGAGGCCGAGGCAGGAGGATTGCTTGGCCCCAGGAGTTCAAGATCAGCCTGGGCAACATAATGAGAACCTGTGTCTAGAAAAAGTTCAAAAATTAGCCGAGGGTGGGGCGTGTACCTGTAGTCTCAGCTACTCAGGAGGCTGAGGTAGGAGGATCACTTGAGCCCAGGAGGTCGAGGCTGCTGTGAGCTATGATTGCACCACTGCACTCCAGCCTGGATGACAGAGTGAGACCCTATCTCAAAAAAAAAAAAAAATCACTACTCAAGGCTAGTAAATATATACTTTTTTAGTCACTATGAGCAAAACAATATATATATATCACCTTCATGCCACCGATGAGTTTTCAGAAGCAAAGATTGATAGGTGGAGAGAAGCTGCATTTTTAGGAATCCAGACTCACTTCCCATCAAATGGATAACACGAAACACTATCCTCAAAGGCTACTTCATTCTATTTTTATCAGCCTTTAAATACTGCATGTACTTTGTAGAATATTTGAAAATATATGCAAACAAGAACAAAGAATAAAATAAAAACATCACATTTCTACCACCCAGAGATCACTACTATAGCATCCTCATGCATAGATTTCCAGGCCCTTTTACATGCATATGTATGCAGGAACGTGGGTTCCTGAGAGGGTATGTGCGTGAGTATTTGCAAATATTCATTTATAATTAATCAAAATGTTATCCTATTATACCCATTATTATGTAACTCGTTTTTTTCAACCAATAATTTCTTTTCCATTTAAGTAAAATTCTGTCTCATCTAAAACCAAGTCCATGTTCATATCTCCCCAGCTAACCCAGTTTTTTTCTGCACATTTGGCATATCCTATTCAGTATCATTACATTTGGTTACTATCCCTTAAGTCTCTTTTAATTTAATCAGTTCTGTTTTTATGACTCTGTCTTGTTTAGAAATGCAATTTTATCATAAAATGTCATAATTCAATCCTTGGTTAAAGATTTTGAGCCTGATCAGAATAAAATTTCATGTGACATTACAGAAACATCTTTCACTGGACCCTCTGGGAGACCAATAACAAATATTAATGATACTAATAAAAGAAATTCAAAATTTCAAATGGCCATAATTGTAATGAAATCAAGAGTTTACTCTTTGTGGAACTAAAGGCAGTGAAATGGAGAACTGTTTTCAAACAAATGGCTCAGCATTACACTGACATATTCTATGAAATATAAATCCTACCAACATACTGTCAATGGTGAGAACAGCTACCAGAACCCTGTAGAGAATAAATGCGTCTTTCAAACATAAATTTTACAACCTGTTAAAATGGTTTCCTCTTCAATTTATGGTTGGCTTTTCTAAAGTTTTCCCTTAATGACAATAAAGATTTTCTTCACACAGATTTCTCCAAGTTTGACTTCTCAATAGAACACCTAAATAGCCTACACTTTCTTTTTACTTGTATCTCTGATAGAATGAACAGCAAATGGCATGCAGGTTGCCTAACATCATAAAAGTTTTAATTTAATTATGCCTTATTATTATAATCTTCTCCCTGTCTCATTATTTACCACCACTATTTGCCATGAAAACAGGTACTTATTCAGTGCTAACTTTGTGCCTATCTATCCATTCATCATGGTGGAAAATTTGGGCTCTGGGAGTCAGAACAGCCTGGATTTAAATCCCTTCTCTACTGTGTGACCTTGAACAAGTTACATAACCACTCTGTGCCTCATTTTTCCTGGCTGTAAAATTAGAATAAAACAGTCTCTATCTGATGGGGCTGGTGTGGGAGTTAGATGAGACACTACATAAAGCATTTAGAATAGTGCCTTGCACATAGAAAGCACTAAGTAAATAGAGTAAATTTGTTTTTAAAATTGAATTTCACAAACCATCTGAAGTCACTGCTCTGAAAAATATCCCTTGATATTCCCTCTTCACTAAGAGAATCAGTAAAAGTAAAAAGTAAAACATTTACTTGGGGATAAATATTTATAAAGCTCTATGACACACATATCCCCTTTCTCCTGCATGTGCGTGCACACACTCTTTTCTACAATTTTATTTTCATGTCCTCAATGTGTATTATTTAAACACAAGCTCACTGCTCTGCCCTCAAACCTGCCACTCTCATGGAGTAGGAAAATGTCCCAAGCTAGGGGACACATGTGATCTACTCAGTGGAGAGTTATATAAAATGAATTCAAAGACCTCCTGCTTCTACCCAAGTCCACCAATTGTATAAGAAAATCATTCCAGCCTAGTTTAGTTCATCACCTGTCTTCTAGAAGGCCCACATATAAGTCATCCCCTAACAATTAGAATTTTATCTGCTTCAAAACACCTACAAAGAAGGTGTATTTGGGGAGCCAGTTCAATTCAACTGGACAAATATTTGGGTGTGTATTATGAAAGGACACTGTGTTAGGCCTAAGGTGAATAAAAGGATTAAGAAAGGGTCTTGGCCGGGTGCGGTGTCTCACGCCTGTAATCCCAGCACTTTGGGAGGTCGAGGCAGGCGCATCACGAGGTCAGGAGATCAAGACCATCCTGGCTAACATAGTGAAACCCTGTCTCTACTAAAAATACAAAATAAAATTAGCCGGGCATGGTGGCAGGTGCCTGAAGTCCCAGCTACTTGGGAGGCTGAGGCATGAGAATGGCGTGAACCCGGGAGGCGGAGCTTGCAGTAAGCAGATATTGTGCCTCTGCACTCCAGCCTGGGCGACAGAGCAAGACTCCATCACAACGACAACAACAACAACAACAAAAAAAAAAAAAAAAAAAAAGAAAGGGTCTTGACCTCAAAGACCCTGCAGCTTCAGAATAGGGGATGTAGATAGTAGAATGAAATAAATACTGAAAAGGCAGAAGAAGGTGTTATGAAGAGGCTTTATTTCCTGTTGCAGAGAGAAGGTGGGTTCTTCTTAGTGAAGGGTATAGAGGAAGCACACGCCAAGATACAATCATGAAAAAAATAAAAGCACAAGCATGTAAAACTAGTGTACAGAATGGCTGAAGCACTGGGTATGGTGAAAGAAGACTGAATCACAAAAGACACAGAATCCTTGCAAAGAAGACTGTACTTCATGTTTTAGGCCATGGGAGCCATTGCAGTTTGTTGAGATGAAGAGAGACAAAATAGAATCAGTTTAACAGCGTTCTTTTCTGGGAATCCTTCCTCATATTTAAAACACCGCTTGTAAGCTATTCATTTACTAAGTTCTTAGTACAGGTGGTAAAACCATGGTTTCTAATAATATCTAAACATTACTTTCTGGTTTTTATCCTCTGATCAATAGGCATTCATGGGAATAAAATGGTGCAGACAGAAAGTCAAAAAGATGTGACTCATTATCATTAAATAAAACCTCTGAATATGTCTGGTTAACCATCCCTTATCCCTGTCTTGGTGGTTTTAACCTTTTAACTAAACCAGAATTCCTTAGCATATTACTGGAACATTCTGATTCTTTGGTATATTAAAAATAATGTCTTAAAGCAGTAGAAAGGTGGTTACCAGAAGCTGAGAAGGGGAAAATGGGGAGTTGTTCAATGGATATAGAGTTTCACACTTATAAGATGAAAAAGTTGGGTCTGTTGTGTAACAATATGAATATACTTAACACTACTGAACTGTATACTTAAAATGGTTGAGATGGTCGATTTTTTAATCACAATTAAAAATTATGTCTCACAGAAAGGGCTCTGTGGCCAAGTATGTCTATGAAACATTCATGCTTATAATTTCATGTTGATGATTTACAGTTCACAAAGTCCCTGAGTAGTTCAGCAATAAAGAAAACCATTTAACTTTGTTTAGAGTGGAATTTCCAAATGCAGTAGTAACAAATTTGGACACAGTTTTTCTCAAAATGATTTCGGGGAAGGCTTGTTTAGACACTATGACCAGAAAATGGTGAATAACTGTTTTCTATTCTTTCTTGAATGAAATAACATAAAATTTATCAAACGATGATTTTTTTACTAGCAATTGTTTAGCCTCTTAATTTTGAGAAAAACACTGAACAGATACTGTCACTGACTCTAGTCTATTTTAGAAATGATTTTTCTTCTTGCCTGGGTGTAGCATGCCTTGAGTCTCTGCTTACTGAACTTAGAGAAACTGGAGTAGTAATATTTGTTTATTGTTGGAAACACTTATTAAATGCTGTCCGAAGCATTTGTTCATTGACAGATGTATAGCCACTTCCATCTAAAATGGGCATACTCAAGCCTCTTTGTCAATGATGATTACAGGAAAATAAAACAAACACAAAATCCCATCAAAGGTTTTCCGACTTGAAGATACCACACAAAAGATGTAAAATAGCAAAATAATGTGACAGAGCTTTCTTTGTATAAAAGAATTGGGGAATTAGATTTCAGATAATGTTGATTATTAATATTGTTCTTGACTGTTGTTGCCTCTTCAGTATGTAAGACCCACATGTTGAAGGAAATAGGAGTATATAAATGACTTACACTGAAATGACAGAGTTCCAAGAAATCAATGCTCTTTAGCTTCCCTCTTTTTTTTTTTTTATTTTTATTTTTGAGATGAAGTTTTGCTCTTGTTGCCCAGGCTGGAGTGCAAATGGCACGATCTCGGCTCACTGCAACCTCCGCCTCCTGGGTTCAAGCGATTCTCCTGCCTCAGCCTCCTGAGTAGCTGGGATTACAGGCATGTGCCATCATGCCCACATAATTTTGTATTTTCAGTAGAGACGGTGTTTCTCCATGTTGGTCAGGCTGGGCTTGAACTCCCTTCCTCAGGTGATCTGCCCACCTCAGCCTCCCAGAGTGCTGGGATTACAGGCATGAGCCACCACGCCCGGCCAGCTTCCTGCTTTTTTTTATTGCTAAATGAAAAAAAGAAATATTCTGGAGAAATTATTTGCACCAAAATTTTCTTATCAGCTAAGTTAGAAACAAGCATACTCCATAGAAGCACGTATCAGGGCAATATTAACTCCTTTAAGGCAGGAAAGGGATCATTTGAGGAGTTATTGTTGATCTGTGTTGAACATCTCATTGTGATGCCAATCTCCATAGGACAAAATTCTGCTTTTTTGTTTGTTTGTTTTTTAATACAAAGTCTTGCTCTCTTACCCAGGCTGGAATGTAGTGGTGCAAACACGGCTCACTGAAGCCTCCAACTCCAGGGCTTAAGTGATCCTCCACCTCAGCCTCCCAAGTAGCTGAGACCACAGGCTTGTGCCACCATGCCCAGCTATATTTTTAATTTTTTTGTAGAGAGAGAGTCTCACTTTGTTGCCCAGGCTGGTCTTGAACTCCTGGGCTCAAGGGATCCTTCTGCCTCAACCTCCTGAAGTGCTGGGATTGCAGGTGTGAGCCAGTGCGCCCAGCCCAAGAACATAATTCTTGATAGGCATTTTCTCTCAGTTATTCACTCATTCAATAAATATCTATCAAGTGTTTGCCACATGCCAGGCACTGTGCTTGGTGATAGACATAAAATGATGAGCGACTCCAATGTGGTCTCTGCTCCCATGCAGCCTACCATTAAGAGGGGAGGATAATCATTAATCAAATAATCACATGAAAGAGTGGATGATGATTAAAGCAATAATGTGTTTCAAAGAAAGGTAAGTAGGAGCTAAATCATGAGAACACATGGAAACATAGAGGGGAACAACACACACGGGCCTTTCGGAGGGTGGAGGGTGAAAGGAGGGAGAGAATCAGGAAAAAATAACTATTGGGTACTAGGTATAATACCTGGGTGATGAAATAATCTGTACAACAAACCCCCATGACACAAGTTTACCTATGTAATGAACCTGCATTTGTACTCTGAACTTAAAATAAGTTAAAAAAAAAAAGAGAAAGGAATGCATTCCTACATACAAAAGCATTAACCAAAGAACCTAATACATAAAGAAAAGTTTCACTGAGGAAGTAGCACTTCACTGAAATCTAGAGGATGAGCAGGAATTAGCCAGATGGGGAGGGAGGGGGAAAGGCTATCCAGACACGTGAACAGTATTTACAAAAAGCACTAGGGGTTAGTCCATGTTGAAGCTCATTTCACAGAGAATAATTGCTGAAATCCCCAAAGTGCTCTCTGTATTTTGCATGGAGAAATGATTGGAACAATAAGCATTAAAATGTTAAATGTCAGTGCTTTGTATTTTCTTTTATGATTCTGTTTTTATCCTTAATTTTTTGTGGTGAAGACATAATATTTTAAAAGTTAAATTATTATTGAAATCCCTGTGAGTCAAAAAAGACTTTTTTTTATTGGATATTTTTATAGAAACCCTTTTATGAGTCTCCGTTGTTTTAATAAAACTCCTGATAGGTTGAGAAATTATTTCAACTTCTACAAAATTACCTGGATGGAAAGATATATGGTCTGCCAGTTTCTGGGTCTTCAGTCATCAGGGATTACTGGCAGCCATAGCTCCTGAATGAGTAAGAGCCAAGGCCATGGACTTTGGGGGCTCTTGGGGGTAGTTTTGATGTCTGCTTTTTCTGTCCTTTCTCCTCTTCTCTCCACCGCTCCATTCACATGGACCCAGAAAGTCTTAATTAGGCATGGAGTCCTCCTCAAGCAAAATGGCAGCAGGGTGGGAGTGGGGAACAAGCAAAGCCTTGAGCTCATCTTCATCCATCTGTGGCCAGTGGCTTATCCTTTCACTTCTGCTTATACCATCCATGTCTCTGGTGTGAAGATCCCTGGATCTTCTTTGAATGATACAGTGTGTTCCATGCATTCCATCCCTGCATCTTAAATCTCTTTCTTAGGGAGACTCAGATAAATACTTAATGGCTACTAATCAAAGAGCCTTGCCAAGTTTCAGGCACTTGTTGGTATGTTGCTGCAGACGTAGCTCTCAACTATTAGGTCTTATCTAAAGCACAAATAAAATGTCTTTGGGGATAGCAGGAATGTCATGTGGACACAGTGAGCACTGACTGAGTATTAGGCAGTACCAGGACAACATTGCCCCGGAACACAATTTAGGGGACAAGAATCTGGCTAAAATAGTCTTTAAGAGTTGTGCAGAACAACTCATGAAACCACATGTTGAGCTGTAGTGAGAGATTTCCCCCTACTCTTTACTAGCACCACTCCTAAGAATACCCAACTTGACTGGAGTCTGTGGTTTGCTGGGGTTGACTGAGGCTGGGGTGGCTGTTATCTCTAGCTCATGTGGTGGGAAAGGACTTCCTGCTGGAAGAAATCTCCAAGCTCATAAGACCCTTCTCTGAGAGGGGAGAAAAGAGTGGGCTCAGTTTACTGAAAGCTAATCACTGTGTGCCCTTCATAGTCAGTGCTAACATACAAACACTAACAACTTTCATAGGATTTATTGTTTTCATCAGGCATTTAACTCTCTAATGGCCATTCTGAGGGACGCCATGGGAGCTGTTAATCCTGCAAGTTCTATTCCACATCCTGGACTACTGTGAGATGTTGGGGAGACATACAAGGTGCTTCTTCCACTTCTTTTTTTTTTTTTGAGACAAAGTCTCACTCTGTCACCCACGTTGGAGTGCAGTGGCATGATCTCGCCTCACTGCAACCTCCGCCTCCCAGATTCAAGCGATTCTCCTGCCTCAGCCTCCTGAGTAGCTGGGATTACAGGTGCCCACCACCATGCCTGGCTAATTTTTGTATTTTTAGTAGAGACGGCGTTTCACCATGTTGGCCAGGCTGGTCTCAAACTCCTGACCTCATGTGATCCACCTGCCTCGGCTTCCCAAAGTACTGGGATTACAGGCATGAGCCACTACGCCCGTCCTCTTCTTCCACTTCTGCAACTGTTAAACAGCCCTGGGAATATGGGTTCAGCCCCTACACTGTCTGTGTCCACCAAACCTGCAAGATTCTTGAGGCTTCCCTGCTCTAGCATCTGTTTTCCGGTCCAAACCTCATAGTGGTACTTACTGCGTACCACACACATATTAATACTTCCTGTTGGTGGAGCAGCTTATTCTTTTCTAAAAATTTCTCATTGATCATCTCATTTATTCTCTACAATTAATGTATAAGATTGGGTAAATAGGTTTTATTATTTTCATGTGCAAAACAGAAAACTGAAACTTTAGGATGAAGGTTATGATGTTTAAATGGTATATATTCATCAGAGTTTTATACCAGATCAGACATCTGGAATCATTTCATCATGGATACACGTATGAGAAGAAGAAAGCCTTGCATAGTAGGTAGATCAGGACTTTGGAGGAAGACAGACCCCAGTGTGAATCCTGGTGCTGTGAAATCCATGATTAATCACTTAACTTCTCTGAGCCTCTTCCTTTAACTGTAAATGGGGATAGTGATTCTGCCTCACAGAATTGTGAAGATTAAATGAGGTTACATTTGCAAATCATCTAGCTCAGTACCTGATGCACAGCAGATGCTTCATAAATGACACCCCCCGTCCCCCCACCGCCCAGATTTCCAGAAGACAGAAAGTGGAACTCAAGTGAATGCAAAACTGTGAGTAGCTGGTTGCACACCGGCATGTCCAACTGCAGATGAAAATCATAGAGAAAATTCCCTGTATTTGGAATAGAAAAGAGAATAAACAGCAACTTTACTTGAAAAATTGGTGTGGAATATTCTCAGAATATTTCAGGGACATGTAATTGTGCAGTCTGAACATTAGTTATTTATTCAGGATTGCCAGGTTGAGGGTTGCCTCTTTGTACAGCTCTCTGTTGTAAGCTGCTTTGAATCACTTCATTAGAAAGTTAAGTGTCTGGAAAAAAAATAACAAATTGTGGAACATATCCACTATTGTTCTATACACAGTGTACCAGAGCTGAAATTATGGCCAGAAGAGGTCCGTGCATAAAACAGGCATTTGGTATGCAAATAAGCTAACAGTGATGAAATCTTGAATAACCCATGGGTAAAATCAAGAATTTATATCAGTAGGTATTCGCTGCTGACCTTTAAACTAGAGTGGCTAAGGCTGGAATGGTAGGAATTCTGATGTATTTAGCGAACAGTGAGACTTACCTGTTTGTGAAATAAAGACCCAGGACTGGTCCTTTAGGGAACCACCTGTGGGGAGTAATGGGGTGAAGCAAGGAGACCAGCATTCTAGTCTCATTCCTGCCACTGGTCAGTCACATCACTTTGCCTTGCTGGGTGACACAGTCATCATCTATTAAATGCTGGGCTGCCCTAACACAGACATTTCTACACTTGTGCAAAGAAGGACACTCCTTAACAACTGAGAAGCCATCTGTACTTCAGTGTTTGTGCCATGGCTCCTCCTAAGTTCATGGTCCTGTCATTTCCCACCCAGATTGTTATAATACTCCTGAATGAGTTCTTCTCTGCCTCCGGTCTCACTCCCGAAAACCCATCTACCACATTGTTTCAGAAAGAATCTTTCTGAAATGCCAAGCTCTTCAAGTCACTTCCTACTTTCATGCCTCCCATGTCTTTTCACTGATCTTGAGATAAAGCATTCATGTGACATACAAGGCCCTTGGTGACCATACTCCCACTTGTCTTTTGTGCCTCATCTCTCACTTTCCCTCACCCTAGGCTCCAACTACACAAAATCATTTGCAAATCCCCAACACACCTGGACACTGCTTGCCTCTGGGCCTTTGCTTATGCTGCTCTCCCTGCATGGGTGGTCTCCCTATTGTTCATGTCTCCCTGTAATAAACTATAAATCCCGGGAGGATATTAACACTGTCTAATTCATCTGTCTCGGTGCTCGGTGCTGAATCTAACACATAACAGTGCTTAATATTTGGTTGATGAATAAAGGTAGATGGTTCAGATTTCAGGCTAGATAGTCAAAAGGGTATTTTATTTTCAATGCTCCTGAAATTATAGCCATAGACTACTCACATAAAAAGCTAGCCCTGCCTCTAGCATAATCAGAGACATTGCTTATGAACATAGTTCTTTTAGAAAGGACATAGGCTCAAGAAGTAGGTGACTGAAGTAGGTGACTGACCTTGCAGTCTAGGATATGCTACTGTGTGGTAACAGCTGTTGGTGCCTTGCTCACCTCTGTAACGATGCATCTAATTCCCCCTTCCACTCCGTGAGTGTTGCCTGCTAATGGCTCTCAGTTATACTTTTCCCTGGAGAATTACCCTTATTGGCTTGCCTTAGTGATTACATCCTTTCCTCCCCTCAGAGGTGGCCTGTGACTGGCAGCTGATTGATACAGAGGTACAAAAGCCCCACTCCTTTTCCTCAAGGTGAAATAACTCTGTAGTGCCTGCTACTCACACTGGACTCCTGGGAAATCCCACTGAGGTCGGATTTCCATTAGCCACATCCTTGCTTAGCTCCTTCCTCTGCTGTTACCCACTTCCCTCAATTCCTTACAAGTTTTTCTCTTGAGAACACTCTCTATAAGTCATTTACCAAATCACTTGGCTTGGGCTCTGCTTCTAGGAACCACATCTAAGACATCCTGGTAGTCTAGAAGCCCTCTTGTGGGGTCAGACTTTTCCTTATTAAGGGGTCCAACAGGGTTAATGCCAATCATGTATTTGTCCATATAGAGCCTCTTTCAAGCCATCATTCCTGCCCTGCACAGGTGTTCCACCAGTGGTGTAGTTAGCAAGGCTCTTCTTTATGTTGAATCTGTCCTTTTAGACTCTTATGTGTTTATACTGTCTGTGATTTGTCCCTACATCAATGTGTGTAATAGAGTGAGTCAGTCATTTTTCACAAATGGAACTAAAAGAAGATACTGCCTTTCTCGGTTTTGCTTTTCTTGTTGTTCCTTCTCCCTGCCACCTCCTTGAACATTAAAGCAGCAATTGCTTGCATCTCATGAACAGTGAGCAGATTTAGAACCCAAAAGGCAGCTGGCAAGTTGCCCAGTGTGCCATATGCCACCTTTTCCCACTGCAGGTGTTCTCCCTCTTGACTGGCAGCTCCCGGGCTGGCTGTGGTCCAGTCTGAGGGAGACAGAAGATCTGAGAAGATATGCTCAGCATAATTCCTCACAAGGCCAAGTCTCCATGTGGGTTTTTGTTTGTAGGACAATGTTTATTATCTGCCCGTATTGACGTACGTGGGATTTCAGGAAATACGTTGGACAAACTTAGTGCCCTCATGATGTGGACACAGGTGGCACCACATGGATATTCCCAGCCTTGGTTTTGCAAAGAGTTTGAAGTGATTGAGGAATTGAGGCACTGACTCCAAAATGGATGGAAGTCACTAAATTCTGTGAAAATATGCTCAATGTGATTTTTAAAAAATGGAAGTTCTAGGATCATTCCTCCAACTGATCGATAAACAGGAACCAGTCATTTGTTCTCACTGTTACTCCTGGTTTGTTTTGCAGGATCAGTTTCATTCCCTTACATGCCTTTCTCATCCTACAGTGGGATGGAAAAAAATTTCCCACAAGTGGTGATGCTTGGATGCTGAGATTAAACAGGAAAGGTGTAAAGCACTATGGCTGCTATTCTAATTCACCATTTTATAAATTTTATGTTCAGTTGTAATTTTCTTTCCTTTCCCAAAGAAAAAGGCTTTTAAATTGATGATCTATGGACTTTTAAAACTACATAGTTATTTTTACTGTTTGTCTCAAGAAATAAAGGTATCTCATGTAAAGGAGATGTAAAAGTAAATACATGGGTAAGATACTCCTGATACACTTTGAAATATTTATACTTCCTTCAAGTGATGTAGTAAGAATTCTTAAACTTGTATTTTATGCATGTAGTCATTTTTTAAGAAACAGATACAGGGTCTCACTCTCACTGTCACCCAGGCTGGAGTACAGTGGCGATCATCACTGCAGCCTCAAACTCCTGGGCTCAAGCAATCCTCCCACCTCAGCCTCCTGAGTAGCTGGGACTACAGATGTGCACCACCATGACCAGCTATTTTTTTTAAATTCTTAAATTTTGTGTAGAGACAGAGTCTCACTATGTTACTCAGGCTTGTCTGAAACTCCTGGTTCAAGCGATCCTCCCACCTTGGCCTCCCAAAGTGTTGGGATTACAGGTATCAGCCACCACATGTCCAGCCAACATGTAGTCATTTTATATAAGATTCAAGTTATATAAGATTCAAGTTAATGAACAGAGTTGGTTTACATGGCAACTTTATTAGTAGGTCCTTATACAGCATCCTTAAGATTTTCAAGCCAATTATAATATTCCTGGGGATTTGCATTTTTAATTCCTTTCCCTTTCTTCCTCTTAAATGATTTGGAGACTTATTACAATTCTTATTTCCTTTCTTCATTAAGAAAACCCCTTTAGCTGTGCTGTAACTGTGTCCTACCTCTTCAGCCATCAGATTTTTGAATGTGTCCTATTCGTTTACCTGTGGCTCCAAAAGATTAAGGGAAGCAGGACTGAACAGACAGGTGCTAGTGACATACTCAACCCATCAGGGATCTCAAAGCACACTCCCTGCTACACTTGCCCCACCCTCACAAAGAAACACCTTCCATCCCCTTTCCCTCCTTCCCTTCACTTCTCAGCATGGCCATTGCTGGGCCAAAGTGCTGAGGATGGAGCATGTTAGTGAGGGGGCCCGGGAGAAGGTCAAAAGCCTTCTCAAAAATCAATGGGGTATGTTTTCTGTTGAGCTCCTTGGCTTCTCATTTACTTTTAGACTTACCTTCTTAGAATCTCTCTTCTTCCTGAGGCAGATGAGGCAAAACATCTAAAGTACCTCACACAGAGCAGGAGGGTGTCTTGGTCCATTTTGTGCTGCTATAACAGAATACCTGAGACTGGGTAATTTGTAAAGAACAGAGATTTATTTCTTATAGTTCTGGAGGCTGGGAAGTCGAAGATGGAAGGGCCTGCACCTGGTCAGGGTGTTCATGCTGTGTCATCCCATGAGGGGGGAAGGCAGAAGGGCAAGAGAGCATGACAGAGAGACAGGAAGGGGGCTGAACTCATCCTTTTATCAGGAACACACTCCTGCAATGAATAACCCACTCCTGAAATGGTGGCATTAATCCATTCATGAGAGCAGAGCCCTCATGACCTAGTCACCTCCTAAAAATCTCAACTCTCAATACTATTACATTGGGGATTAAGTTTCCAACACATGAACTTTGGGGGACACATTCCAAGCATAGCAGAGGGGCTCTCCATAGGTGACACTGGGTGGGGAGAACAGGGGAATGAGGTCCTGATGAAATGGTCTTTTAAAAAATATATTGTTCATATAGTTTTTCATAGGTAATTTATTCATATAACTTGAACTTTATGAAGTATTTAAAAATATACAGTGAAAATCCTGTCTCCCGTATCTTATTCTCATCCTCTCATTTCCTAGGCATGATGTTGACTTTTGCACTAAAAGAGATATATTTTATCATGCAAAGGCAGTTTTTGCATGATAATCCCTATTTTATGGAGTGTTCTTTAAAAAAAATCAGAGATTCTCATATGTTTTATTTTCTTGGAACTACTGGTATGATGAATTATATTAATATAATTCTAAATATTGGACTGTCCTTTGGTCTTTATTTTTTTAAAGTGCTCTCAGAGTCTAGTTACTATTGTGATATTTTACCTAGGATTTTTACATTGGCATCCATAAGTTATATTGGTCTGTAATTCTGGAATACTTTGTGCACCTTTTATCATCTTTATCATCCTTTGGTACTAAAATTATGCTTGCTACATAAAAAGAATTTGGAATATTTCTTTTGTATTTTCCCTTGATGCTCTGGAACCATTTAATGATTAGATTTTCTATCATTTTTTATTATTATACTTTAAGTTCTAGGGTACATGTGTACAACATGCAGGTTTGTTACATAGGTATACATGTGCCATGTTGGTTTGCTGCACCCATCAACTCATCATTTACATTAGGTGTTTCTCCTAATGCTCTCCCTCCCCCAGCCTCCCACCCCTCTGACAGGCCTCGCTCGGTGTGTGATGTTCTCTGCCCTGTGTCCATGTGTTCTTGTTGTTCAATTCCCAACTGTGAGTGAGAACATGAGGTGTTTGGTTTTCTGTCCTTGTGTCTATCACTTTTTTAAAAATCAAAAATGTTTTTGTTTGTTTATGTTAATGCACCAAGATGCATTGTTTCTTTAGTCAGGTAAACGTCTTCAGTAATCCTTTCAGGGAAGATCATTTAGTCCAACCTTATGAAGTCTATATCCTTCAAGTACTGATGGAATCATTATGGCACATTGAGTTCATAATTCTGAGTCAGATCATGTAGTTTGAGCAGATGTGGCAAGAGTGACAAAAGATTTCCTACTGCTTTTAAGCTAACTTTGGTAATTTATGTATTCCTGTAAAACATTCATTTCATCAAAGTTTTTAAATATATTTACATAGACTTGAGCAAAATGTTCTCTTATGAGCTTTGGTATGTTTATGATTCTGTGGCTAGTTCCCCTTTATCATTTCTCATTTTACTCATTTGTACTTTCTGCTTTCTTCTTGATTACGACTGTGCTATAGTCTATTTTGGTTGCTATAACAGAAATACTATAAACTAGATGGCTTATAAATGATAGAAATTTATTTTTACAGTTCTGATGGCTGGGAAACCCAGGATCAGACACTGGCAGATTCAGTGTGTGATGAGGGCCCACTTTCTGGTTTACTGGTGATGCTTTCTGGCTGTGTCCTCACATGGTGAGAGGAGTGAGGAGTCTCTCTCAAACCTCTTCTCTAAAGGCACTAATCCCCTCCAAAGGCCCTACCTCCTAATACCATAACCCTGGGATTAGGATTTCAGTGCATGTGGAGAAGGGGTGCAGATGTAAATATTCAGCCCATTGCAGTTAGTAAGCAATTTATTATTTCTTAAAAAATGAACAAACTTTTGATATTATTAGTTCTACTATTTTAATGTTGCTGAGCTATTTATGTCTGCTTTTATTTTTATTAATTTCTTCCTTTGCTTTCTTTAAGTTTATTTAGTTGTTTTTCCCTAACTTCATCTGGGATGCTTTATTTATTTTTCAGTCTTTCTTATTCATTGCTATAAATATGTCTATGAATTTTCCACTTTTCTTATTTATTGCTATAAATATTTGCTTGTGAATTTTCCACTTTGGCATTGCTTTAGCTCTATTATTTTCTCATTAATATTTAAAAATCATTTTGGATATGTTTCATTTCTCCTTTTTTTCATCCTGTTATTTCCCTTACTGTCTTTCGTTTTTCCTGCAGTATCTGGCCTTAAATTTCTTCCAGTTTCATTTTCATGTCTGTAATGGTTTTAGTTTTTCTTCCACATTTTTCTTGGAAAATGTGACTAAGTGAAATGATGTATAATGAAACCAGTTTTATCATAGGCCAATTGATATGGACAAGAGTTAAGTTCTGACAGCCTATTCCTGATTACACAACCATCACCAAACTTCTAAAGACCAAAATACTTCTAATATTAAACATTGAAATAAAGGTGAGCTATACATACAGTTAAGAAAAATTAGTAAAAACAAGTAAGATAATTATTTACCAAATTATTCCAGCTCAGGGTCTCAAGTGGCCAGAGCCTACTCTAGTAGCTTAGGGCACAAGGCAGGAGCCACTGCTGAACAGGATATCATCCCATCGTGTGGTGCACTCACACACACCCCACACTCACTCAGACTGAGACAATTTAGACATGCCAGTTAACCTAACGTGCACATCTTTGGGATGTGGGAGGAAGCTGGAGCACCCAGAGAAAACCCATGCAGACACGAGGAGAATGTGCAAACTCCACACAGACAGTGGCCCCTGGCCAGGAATCATTTTTCTTTCCTCATTAACATCATAATAAGATGGCATGGAACAAAATGAAACTATTCAGGGACGTGTTGAGTCCTTCTGAGTTTTATTCTGTAACATTGATCTTTTCTTGTCTTTTCTCCATCACTTTCTGAATCCTTGCATTTCTGTTTTATGGTCTTCCTTCACTCCATATATGATGTTTGTTCACAATTTTTATATGCTTCCTGGTAATATTTTTCTAGACAAATTGTTTGCAGGTGGTTCCTATATGTAGGGAGGGGCAAGGGTACTATTACATGTTAGTTGGGATTCACAAACTTGGGGCTCTCTTTTTGTTGCCAAGAGAGGCTCCTTCTTGTAAATACAGCTTGTCTCCATGAATGGTCATGAAGTCCATATCTAGTTTCTCTCTGTTTCTCTGAATTAAACCTGGTTATCACTTTCTCATTTCCACCCTTTCTATTGCAAACTCTACTGGCAATGGGACTCTTAACGTCAGAAAATGTATTTTTTGTCATTTTCTAAGACCTCCCACAGCTTAATTCTTGCCATAGAGATCTCTGCTTGGCACCTCTTCAGTCTCCTCCTTGCAGCTCCTAAGTGAACTTGATTGCTTTTGGCAACACTTACAAATATTTTGGAGTTTCTCTCCTAGTTTTGCCAAAAATTGAGGGTGCTTTTGGATGGCTTCCAAGAGAAGAGGTAGAAATACTGAGTAACAGAAACATGTACATATCAAAATTCCCTGTTGCTCTTTAGGGAGGACTGCTCTTTTCATTGGTTCACTTTTCCTTGGAGAGTGGTAAGATCTTTGAGATAAAAGGGCCAAGAAGGCAGTCATACCACTTTTTATCTGGTCCACTTGATTTTTGGATCCCAGGACATATATTTTCACTTTAGAAGTATGATTGTATAATCTGTCTCTCTCTCTCTCTCTCTCATCTTCAGATCCTAAGAATTTAAAGGTCCAGGAGCTGAATTATACCTAGCCTGTCATCCCCTCTGTGGGATGTCATTTGGTCAAGGGATAAGAGTAAGTTCAGCTGACCATGAAGGAGGTCCAGGATGTTCAGACAGTGTAGAGCATCTAGACGGATAGCAACAGACTGCAAGCGTAGTTGAGGTGTGAATGCAGGGTCAAGGAATCACAGCCACAAGGACGCAGCATGTTGAGAATCCAGAGCACACAGCAAAGTTCAAAGCAGGCAAAGTCTGTTGGCACTAAGAAGGATTCAGATTTTGCCACTGAGAATGAGTAGAAAGTGGCAAGAGAAAGCAGGTTTTGAGTTCTTGGAAGTCTAGGATTTCAGGCAAAGAGAACCGGGGTTGCATGACCAGGGCTGGCTTCATGGGCATGTGACCCGTGTAGTCACTCAGTGTCCCATGCTCAGAAGGGACCCCCACTTGGTTTACTGCTTTATTCTCACTGCCTTGAAATCTTGCTGCTCTACTCTCACTGTGCTGAAATCTTTTTTTTTTTTTTTTTTTTTTGAGACGGAGTCTCGCTCTGTCGCCCAGGCTGGAGTGCAGTGGCGGGATCTCGGCTCATTGCAAGCTCCACCTCCCGGGTTCACGCCATTCTCCTGCCTCAGCCTCCCAAGTAGCTGGGACTACAGGCGCCCGCCACTACGCCCGGCTAATTTTTTGTATTTTTAGTAGAGACGGGGTTTCACCGTTTTTAGCCGGGATGGTCTCGATCTCCTGACCTCGTGATCCGCCCGCCTCGGCCTCCCAAAGTGGTGCTGAAATCTTAAGTTTTGAACAAGGGACTCTGCATTTTCATTTTGCACTGGGTCTTGCAAATTATCTTGCAGATGATGTACATTACTCAGCACAGAGCCTAATGAAGTCTTACTTATGCTTTCCATTTCAGCTCCTACCCTCTAATACCCTCTTTCCTTTGCATCCCCATCATCTAGTGTGTCTCCATAAATATTTATTTAATAAATTAATGTACTGGCTACCAGAAAGGGAACACAAGGTCCAAAGAACTGACCTGCAGCCCTTTCAGATCCCCCTTGCCAGGAGTGAGATCAAACCAGAGTCTGAAGGTGGGAATGAACCAAAGGTTACTCCACTCTAGGTACTGAAAAGTGTGAGGACAGGGAACTGGCCCAGTGAAAACCGTACATGGATGATATCCATAACATGACCATAACCTCCCAAATTTAGGAAGATTTGGCTTTCTGATTCATTGGAATAATTTGGAGACAAGGAAGTTTTGTGGAGGATCAGTTCAGTTTTATCTGGCGTGTGGCTGGGTACAAACAGCTATGCAGATTTCATAGCCTCCTCACTGCTGACACCGTAAGTCTTTATAGTTCCTACCCCCTCTAACTGTGGCCTACTGCAGGTCTAACTGATATGTGCTTATCAGCATAGTCTTTTTATGCACACCAACCATCCAACAGGATAGCATAGGGCCTGGGGAGGGACTGGCACCAAGACCTCTGTGCCTGTCTCATCATTATGTCCTTGTTAGGCAGTTTTGCAGTTAATTGAAAGCAATTTTAAATTGTTTTCATGGTTTTACCGTCAGTTCCACTTTTAACTTCCTAATAGTCCAGAGTTTTTTCTTTAGAAATGAGATATTCTTGCCTAACCCTTTCTTCCTAATTAGTTTAATAAATAAGATAAAAATGACCTCCAAACAAGTGACCAACATTTCCTTATCCTTTTGGGTACATCTGTTTCACTCCTCTTCTACTGAGTGACTTTTGCATGGAAGCAGCCCAAATCATCTTCAGTAAAGTACTATCTCTTCCTAATGCAGCTAATCATAAATAATGATCATAAATTTATGATCCCTAATCATAAATAATGATCCCTCTTCAGAGACACCAAAGGGTACAGCAAATGCATGAGTTCATTAATTCTTCTTGACCTGTAGCAAAATATCCGAAAATCAACCCCTGAGTACCCAGATCCAAGAATTCTCTCTGGTACCATTAGGCGCCTTAAAACAAAACAAAAACAACTCTAGTTCTCCACTCTCCATTGGGTATACAGAGAACCACAAAAGGGCCCACAGATCTAAAGCGACGGATATCAACTAAACCCCCATATGTTTAAGACATAATAATAATGATCAGAAAAGTAAATGGGAAAAATTGATTTTAACTATCTTGCCAAAAATATTGCTCAAATTCTTTTTTCAGATAGGGCAATGTGTAATATGAAAACTGAGGCTTCTCTATCTAATAGCACTCTCTGGAATTCACTATTCCCTCCTCTCACAGGTTTCCTTTTGGGTGCCACCTCTTTTTTTCGTAAAGCCTTTCTTATGAGCTGCAGTTAAAAGAGCCACAGCCATCATTGGTCTTCTTCATTCCTTTCCCTAAAACTAGGTGTGGGTGAGCCCTCCAGGACCCTAGGCTTCCAAGTTCCTGTACAGAACTTGGAATCTTGGAATCTAGATCTCAAGGGTGCAGGGTTTACTCCTAGAAGATCCTGGTCTGGAAGAGCAGGTCTCAGAGAACAGAAGCCATGGGCCTCAGTCCAACTATGACTCTGGAAGACAACTTAGGGTTGAGATTAGACCAGAGGCTGTAACACTGTGTTGCATTTAAATCTTGACTTCACAGACTTACCTTTTGCATCAGCAATCAGATGACCAGGAATTCTGGTCATTTCCCTACAGAATACACAACTGGGGGAAACTGAATGGAAAATGATAACTTTTGGGCAAGCTTTAGGGAATTTAAATGTGGGTATAGGTGTGTTCCCCCTCCCCTACCCCCCAGCAGGCCCTGGCAGATTCCAGCTGGAATTCCACCTTTATATTCCTTTCTAGGTGTCTTTGTTAAGCATTACAAGTAATGTCCCTGTCACCCTTGGCAAATAGCAAGAATTTTTCCATGTAAAAAAAAAAACAAATTATAGGTGGAAGAGGGAGGGCTGGACATAAAAACAACAGCCCACACATTGCCTCAGGGTGAGCAGGAAAATATCAGGGCAGTACCAGATACCTGCAGGGGAGTTAATCAGATCACAGTAGGTGAGAGCTGATTGACCAGCCACTCTAGGCTGTCCCTCCACCCACTTCCCATTGGAAGTGCTAAGCAATGTGCAGGTAGGAGGAGAGCAGCATAAAGCAATGTGCACAGAATTATAAAAGCACAGAATTATAATCCCTTTACATTTGAAAGTGCTTTCTATTGTAGTCAATGTCTATATCATCCAAATTAAATGTTAAAATATACCCAAAATAATCAATAAAACATTTTCCCATCCAAATTAAAATGACCAACACAGAACACAAAATACAAATTTTCCAATTAGAACTGTCTTTACATTGTCTAATTTGCAATACTAAGTTTCATTCCAAACACATTTTTAAAACAACTATTCCTCATTCAAAGTCACACAAAAACTAGGTCTATGTTCCAAGGAAATGTGTGTGCATATACAAGTGTTGTAAGGTTTGTGTGGAGATCATTAATTTGGGTTCGAATGTTTCTTTCCTTTAGTATGTGCTGATTCACCAAGAGTTAATGTATTTTAAAACTATTAAATATTTTTATGTTCTAGCATAAATTCTCAAACTACAGGGTTACTTGCGTAACAATGCTATTATGAATTGAATTTGATTATAAAATACTTGTTATGCATGTGATGTTCCACTAAATGATTTTTCCCCTTATTAATGACTAGTTAACAGGAAATAATATCAGAATTCCAATAATAGCAACAGAACGGTGGCACTCTAAAGCACTGGACCATCAGGGCAAAGAGGAGACCAACTTGCCTTAAGTTACTTACTAAGTAGTTTTAGGGAAAAATGGTTGAGTTTCAAGCTGGTTATCTCTCGAATGGATCTGTTCAAGACATGTCAGACCCGGGACCATGTTGCATTCACAAAGAAAATGGTACCATGTCAGGTGTATTAAACAATAGCCCAGGCTTTGCCTGGCACATCCTAACTATTTTGATGGCCGTGTTTTGCATTTGGAACCTTCCACATTTAGCACAGAGGAACTTCACAAATATTGTACACCAATAAGTACTCAAGACATATGTTTGAAATTTTTATGTAAATTTTATGAAAATTTATTCTGCTTTCACATTCATTTATAACTATTACGTTCACTAATTTAAAGGACATTTGTCTTATAACAGTCCTCAAATTCCTTGCTTTCCAGTTTAAAATAGTTTTATTTTAACCCACCCTCTCTCCTTTCCTTTCTGTCTTAGAGGAGGAGGGAGATGCACACCTCATTTCTTTCTGTTGCATCTTTGATCCCACTCGTTCCTGCCTCTTTGGGGGCCTTCCACCATCCATTGCCACTCCCTACTTTCATCTCTTCTTTTCCACTAGATTCTTCTCTTGAGTCTGTAATTAGGGACATGTCCGACTGATCTTAAAACTTCACTGTATCTTTCAAGCAATTCTCCTTTATTCCATATTTATTTAACCTTCAAATTTCTGAAAAGAATAATATTTATGCACTGTTTAACTTTATTTTCCACATACTCTTTAACCCTATGTCATTTCACTACTGTTCCTGCAATGCCCTGGGATCTCAAAGGTTGCTAATTACCTCTTTTAAAAATTCCTCTTGGATCTTGGTATTTATCTTCCTCACTCGAGGGAATCTGGCCCCCCACTTTCTTAAAATGTGCTTCCCCTTGGACACAGTGCTTTCCTAGTTCTTCTACTTCTTTGATTGTTCCTTCTCTATCTTCTCTTCCTACCCTACCCCAGGGAGTAGGGAGTATTTTGATCCTTAGCTCCTGTCTTCTTCCCTTCAAGACTCCCTTTTCTGAAATGTCATCTAGTATCAGAGTTTCATTGTCTTCTCTCTGTGATGGCCTCCTGATCTAAATTTCAGTGCTCATCCTCTCTCCTTTACAGCGCATGTATCTCAAGAGCCTGCTGGAGTTTTTCAGCTAGATGGCCTCCAGTCACCTTCAAAACTGAGTCCACTAACTCATTCCCCACTTATGTCAGCCTCTCCTGCTATATTGCTGGGCCTGCTGATGGCCTCACTTTCCTAGTCTTGGAGTCAGTAGGATCAGCATTGACTCCTCCATCTCCTTCTTCCCAATGTCAATTAATTTTCAGATATCATTGGTTTTACTTGTGCAATAATTCTTGTCTTTTTTTTTTTGCTTTGTTCTCACAAACACTATCTGAATTCAAGCCCTCCTTACTTCTCTCCTGAGCTATTATAATCACCTCTTAACTAATCTCCTCTCCTGGTCTCTTACTTCTCTGTACCATGCTACACACCTCTGCTATCCAATAAGGATAGCAGGTGGCTAGTAAGCACTTGAAATATAACTAGTCCCACTTGAGATGTGCAGTAAGTGTAAAAAACACACCAGATACAGAATAATTTATACTAAAACATTTCAAATTCCTCATTAATAATTTTTATATTGATTACATGCTGACATGATAATATATTAAAATTAATTTCATCTCTTTTGTTATGACTAGAAAATTTAAAACTGCATATATGGCTTTAAATATATTTCCATTAGCTAGGGCTGCTAGAGAGCATAGTAAGGCTTGTCTTATTTTTCTTCTCAACAGCTTTGACTGCTTCTCATTACCATAAAATTATATTAACAATAGAAGCAACAACTAACATATATTATTTTACAAAATAATATGTGTAATATCTGCGTACTTCAGTATCAAATGCAAATCTATTAGTTCAACATTTCATGCCCTGAGCCATCTGGTGCCAACCTATATTTTCCATTCATTCATTCACTTATTCCACAGATATGAATTCTCTGCCTCTATTCTCTTATTTATTCTTCACATCCTTCAGAACCTTGTCTGCCACATTCATTACCTTGCTTTCACACTGTTCTCTCTTTGTTAATTATGTTCCTTTTGCTGAGATCTCTCCTCTCATTTTCACATGTTTACATCCTTTCCTTCTTCATCATCTTTAATAAAATCTTCCACGCTTCACCCATGCTAAGAAAGAACTCCCTGCCCCCAAAACGTCAGCACTCTGTAGTGTGTGTGAATGGCTCCATAATCAGAAAAGCCATGCTTGCTTTCTTATTCATCCATTCAAGTCAAATCAAGCCTGCTGACCTCTCTCCCACCAGACCTGGTAGGAAGCCACATCTCCCTTCCTTGCTTGCACCCTCATGGACCCATACAAGAATTCCAAGGCTTAGGTGGTCTTGGTAAATAGGAAAAGACTTGGCGACAGATAGTCCTGGCAGCTCCTCACCCAGGCCAGAGTGGTGTTGCAGCAGCACCATGGGTGGCCTTCATGCTTCACACAACCCCCAGCTGGGGTACAAATACTAGATCCCCAACAAGACTCTGTAGTTCTTCTCATCTGGAACTCAGCTCTTCTGATCCGACCATCCATCCCTTGAACACAACACACCAGTTTCCACTTCCAAACCCCCCTCCAGATCAATCCCCTTCCTCTTTCAAAATCCATAGCAAGAAGCAGAAACCAAGATTACAGTTGGTTTCCCAATATATCACTCTGTTTCCTCTCTACTTCTTTCTCTCCTAATGGGTTTCCATAGTCCAAAATTTCTTCCTCAGAGAAGGTTCAACCCCTTCCCCTTCCAACCCCCACTAGCCAAACAGTCACTACCTTCTTTGGGCTTTCACAGAATCTTTTTTCTTTTTAGAGACAGAGTCTCACTCTGTTGCCAACGTTGGAGTGCAGTGGCTCAGCCATGGCTCACTGCAGCCTTGAACACCTGTGCTGAAGTGATCCTCTCACCTTAGCCTCCCAAGTAGCTAGGACTACAGGTGTACACAGCCATGTCTGGCTATTTAAAAAAAAAATTTTTTTTCTTTTTTGAGACGGAGTCTTGCTCTGTCGCCCAGGCTGGAGTGCAGTGGCACAATCTCAGCTCACTGCAAGCTCCACCTTCCGGGTTCACGCCATTCTCCTGCCTCAGCCTCCCAAGTAGCTGGGACTACAGGCACCTGCCACCACGCTTGGCTAATTTTTTGTATTTTTAGTAGAGATGGGGTTTCACCATGTTAGCCAGGATGGTCTCCATCTCCTGACCTCATGATCTGCCCGCCTTGGCCTCCCAAAGTGCTGGGATTACAGGCTTGAGCTAACGCGCCTGGCCTAAAAATTTTTTTGTAGAGACTGGTGGCGGGGGTCTCATTATGTTGCCCAGGCTGGTCTTGAACTCCCGGCCTCAAGTGATTCTCTCACCTCAACCCCCTAAAGTGCTGGGATTACAGGTGTGAGCCACCACACCTTGCCAACATCTTTATTAAAGCATTTCACTTTGTTTTGTTCTCAATACATGCTAGATACTCTGTGTACATTATCTCATTTAATCCTCATTTATTACTTTACTTAGGATAAGCTAATTGTCTGAGATCACACAGCTAGTAAATAGAGGAACCAAGATTTTTTTTTTAATACTTTTAAGTTTTAGGATACATGTGCACAACGTGCAGGTTTGTTACATATGTATACATGTGTCATGTTGGTGTGCTGCACCCATTAACTCGTCATTTAGCATTAGTTATATCTCCTAATGCTATCCCTCCTCCTTCCCCCCACCCCACAATAGTCCCCAGTGTGTGATGTTCCCCTTCCTGTGTCCATGCGTTCTCGTTGTTCAATTCCCACCTATGAGTGAGAATATGCGGTGTTTGGTTTTTTGTCCTTGCGATAGTTTGCTGAGAATGATGTTTTCCAGCTTCATCCATGTCCCTACAAAGGACATGAATTCATCCTTTTTTATGGCTGCATAGTATTCCATGGTGTATATGTGCCACATTTTCTTAATCCAGTCTATCATTGTTGGACCTTTGGGTTGGTTCCAAGTCTTTGCTATTCTGAATAGTGCTGCAATAAACATACGTGTGCATGTGTCTTTATAGCAGCATGATTTATAATCCTTTGGGTATATACCCAGTAATGGGATGGCTGGGTCAAATGGTATTTCTAGTTCTAGATCCCTGAGGAATCGCCACACTGACTTCCACAAGGGTTGAACTAGTTTACAGTCCCACCAACAGTGTAAAAGTGTTCCTATTTCTCCACATCCTCTCCAGCACCTGTTGTTTCCTGATTTTTTTAATGATCGCCATTCTAACTGGGAACCAAGATTTTTAAACAAAGCTGCGCTGGTTCCAAAGTCTGCATTTAGCCATTAACTTGTATTTCCTTAGCTTAAATATAATGAAATGAAGCCCCTGAATATGTATCTCATCATCACTACCAGATGTTAGGAGCACTGCACTTCCTGTGCTTAACTTAGAGATGTGAATGGAAAGTATTTGTGGGATCCCTTCCTCCCAGAAGGGAAAACTTGGAGGAATTTTAGTCTAAGCTCTTAAACTCTCCAGTACCCCAAAGTATTTTTAGATGTCATTTCTGCCTCTTTATGATATAAAATTAAAGGCCTAAGTGAAGAACAAGGTCCCCTTTGCTCATTCCATCATTCCTGCCCTAAATAGCCCTTGTCTTCCTACCACCAGGAGAAATCATTCCTTGGACTATATGCTGGGTAACTTCACTGGGGATGCTGTGATGGAAAAGTAGATTATCTGATTACCATTATTATCATACTATCGTTCTCGAGTTTGACTGACAAAACAAAAAAAAAAGCATTCTTCCCAGAGCATGTCTTATGCATTGATAAGTTTCACTTATGTGTCAGAACAAAACATTGCAAATTTACCCAGTAAAGAAGATTCATATGTACTCCTGAACCGAAAATAAAAGTTGAGAAAAGGAAAAAAAAAAAAAAAAAAGAAGAAGATTCTTAGGTTTCAGCTCCAAAAGTAAAGTTTTCTTTTGAACATTTTAATTTAAACACACACACATACACACACACAGGTACACATATAACGTGAGGGGATATATGCAGTAAAGGTAGAACAACAATAAAGCCAACTGGAATCCACATGAGAAGTCTTTGTCTTCATCTGAGAGCTGACAGATCTGCCACTTTCAGTAAACAGCCTCTGATATGCATTTTGGGGGTGAAATCTCATTTCTCTTCTGCTGTTACTATGGTTACCATCCTACAGAATCCCTGCACACACCAATTAAAAAAAAAAAAAAAGGAGGAAAGGAGAGCACAAACATAAATTAAATATTAACACACCCCCTCCAAGCTGGAGGAGTCACTGCCGGGAACTTGCCTGGAGTCTGGTTAGGAATCTTTTGGCCCTGATATCCCGGTGTTGCCCATTAATCCCATTTCCAGTGCTACTGTGGAAGGCACCAGATACCTGGAGTGGGTAGAGAGGCTGAGCCAGGCTTGGCTTCTTGTAATCACAGAGCCCTGACACCTGAGTCACAAGGTCCTAACCTTTTGTAGACTGATGCAAGTGACTTGTGAGAAGCCAGGAGCCAAAGGCCTGGGTTTTAGGGAGGGGAACCCTAGGTGTGGGGTGAACCAAAGGCCTGGGTTTTAGGGAGGTGGGAACCCTAGGTGTGGGGTGGAACAAGCATAGCTGCCCAAGGCCCAAATAATTTTTGCCAGATTTCTTTCTTAAGGCAGATCTATCATGGATCCTCAGTTTCTTAAACTCTTACATAAGTACAAAATAATAATGCCTGTACCACAGGGCTATTGTGAGAATTAAATATAATAGTCACAGTGAACATATCTTGGGAACTCATGGTGCTACAAAATGCAGTTTCTAATCTTTGTGGATATGTGACAACAAAGTCAGCCACCGCTACCATGACTGGAAGAAATTTCCCATGAGTCTACAAAAGGTTAGGACCCATGAGTTCTATCAAACTGTCTGCAATGAGGCTTCCCTTGTCACTCATTTCTGCCTTTCATTCTAGATATCTTGTCTTCGTGCTCAAAGAAGAACATTGGGCCAAGAACATTTAATCGCCAGTGAATTTCAGTCCTTATTTGTTGCATTCACATATACTTTACCTGCTGTACATGGAAGCAATGTTTTTTTTTTTTTTTTTTGAGACAGGGTCTCACTCTGTTGCCCAGGTTTGAGTGCAGGGTCTCACTCTGCCTCCAGGTTCAAGAGATTCTTGTGCCTCGGCCACCCAAGTAGCTGGGACTACAGGCGCCTGCCACCACGCCCTGCTAACTTTTGTATTTTTAGTAGAGACGGGGTTTCACCATGTTGACCAGGTTGGTCTCGAACTCCTGACCTCAAGCGATCTGCCCACCTCTGCCTTCCAAAGTGTTGGGATTATAGGTGTGAGCCACAGCGCCTAGCCAGAAACAGTTTTTAATAAAACTTTATTTTCCCTTGGCAATAAGAATGCTTAGAAATGCCAGCTCTCAGGACACAGATAGGTCCACAATCAATTCTCAGCTAAAAACAGAACATTTAAGTAAATTTTAAAATGGAAAGTTGTATTCAACCTATTCTTCCTTTGAAGACCAATTCCAAAAATGTTCAAAGATTTTTTTTTCCATGAGGACAGTGGGTCTAATGTTTGGGCATGGGTATTTCCAGGTGCAATAACTCATTTAAACTCATTCATAAAAATGAAGCATGATTGGAAGTCATTTTTACTCCAAAAGTAATGGCACAGTATATGACTTTTTATTGCCTTAATTTTATTTCTGAGGGAAATGGTGTCATCTTAACTACCTTATGAGGAAAAGAGGAATATAAGGATAAGAGTCAGGAGACAGAGTCTAGTTTTCACTTTGCCATCAACCTGTTGGGTAATGTTAGAAACACCACTTAACCTTCATCTACCTATTTGCTCATTTGCAAAATGAATAGCACTTTCCCTTTTCACCTTGCTGTAAACAAAATGATTGATGTCAATGTGCTCTGAACATAAAGATTGTTTAATGTTATGCCAAGCCTGCATTGTTTACATTTTTGTTAGCATTTGCTCTTAAAGGAAGAAACTGTTAAGGTTGCAATGAAGCATGACCGAGCTCTTATATTCAAGATATTATCTTGGTACCACCCTTGTGCAGGCCATGTTGGAAAGGTCTGTCTACTGCCAGCCTGGTTCCATGACTCAGAGACCTTTGGAGAAAGTACTTCAAGAGAATGAGGGACTTCTTTGTGTTAGCTTTTGGTGCTCCAATATTGTATCATTAATTACAGACTGTTTTTCCTCCCCAAAGAGACCTAGTGACGAGTAATAAGATGAATTAGCTCAATCTGTTACGTTAATTTCTTTTTATTGGGACGCTTAAATCATTAAACTAATGATCTCATCCATATTTTGAAGCAAGTTAATAAAATGCATGCAGTTATAATCACATTTAACCCCAAAACTATATAGAACTTGGTAATTTGCTTGCTTTAAAAGATTCCATTTATTTCAGTTGTGCTTTCTTACCAGTAGAAGAAAAAAAGGAAAATACTGCTGGAAATAAAATAATAAAACAAGCCAGCAGATTAAAAAGATGTTTTACAATTTTTGTTTTTCCAAATGCAGTAAATGTATTATTCTTTAACGTAAGACTGAGTCAGAAAGATGAGCACTGTATATGTGGATGGGTAGATGTCTACAGTGACTATGCATTGCCTACTGATGTGATGTCTGTTTCCAGGACTGATTCAGTCCGAGAAGAGATGGGAAAGTCAGTAGATATTGAAGCCTCAGAGGTTCCACAGGTAACCAACCCTAAGCCTTTCGTTTTAATAGTGACGTCATTCTTCTGAGGTTTGTCCTCAAAAACAGCTGAGGCAGCTAGACACCTTCTGGGAGTTTATTTCAACAAACTGACAATTTTATCAATATCTCCGTGATTCCTTCTAATCAACTGGAGATCAATACTTGATACTTTAAGAAACAAAGTTGAAAGAATTTTTTATAGCTTAGTTTATAATTTTACCAAGTAGTGCTTACTAAAATTTGCTTTATAAAGCTGAAAATGTCAACATTTCACCTTTATGAAGGAAACAAGATAATTAGTGAATTCAATGATAAATAGACATATCTACGAAACCGCAATTTCAGTGCTGAGAACTTTGTGTGTTTACAAAGGCTGAGGTCCCTGTGGTTTTTGCGCTAATATCTCTTCAGTCCACTCATCTCCTCTCTCCCAGTTACTCTTGGCTACTTCAAACTTCCATTCCCTCTCACCTGGACCATTATAATATTGCTTTTTGGTCCCCTGCTTCACATCTTTTGCACTTTTACCACCTTTCCCTCGCCACAGAGGGCAGAGTGAATTTTCTAAACACAAATCAGATTATTCGCAAGCCTAAAATTCTTGAGCAAATCCCTGCCCATACAGTAAACCCTCCTTTGTGTTCAGATGTGATTGCATACAGTTCTGTAAATGCCCTGTCCTCCTTCACGTCTCCCAGCCTCCTCTCCCAAGAACAGCCCCACTGGCCTTTCAAATGCCTTCTCATCCTTCAAGTGGCAAATGTCCCTGAGATGCCCTCTCAAACCTGCCGCATCTCTCCTATAATCCCAGGCAGCTTTACTCTCTAGCTTAACCTGTATAGAGTTATCTCAGTATATACACTTGTCATTTTATATTGCAACTTGGTATTTACCTCTTGCCTCTGCATCTTTATCTTTAATATATCTCCAGGGTTTATCACAATATCTGGCAAAAAAAAATGCTCAATAAATGTTTATTGATTGAAGGAAGGAAAGAATAAAGGAAGGAACAAGCTGTATAGTTTGGTGTATCCTTTTGAATTCCAAATATTATTCCTTGGTTAATCATAGGTATATTTCCACAGACTCTTTACAATGTAATAAACCAATATCATATACCATTTTAATGCTGCTTTCCTTTCAACAGCATTCGTTCTACTAATTTAAAAGCTATTAAGTAAGATGAAGCCTCAAAACCAGTCAACTGAACAGCTGCAGTCACTTGGGAGCAGTTAGTGCTCTATACAGTTGCTAATATGATTTAAACTAAAGGCAAATCTTTTTAGTTTTTAAGTTAAGAGTAAATAAGATGCTAATAAAATTTGGAGTTCTATCTAAAGGCACTTTTTTTTGCATGAGTTTTTATTGCTGTGAATTGTAGAACTAAAGATACACCTCTATCCCCTAAACATAATGGTGAGTCATACTGATAGTCACTCATGCCTCTTCTGGAGGTTTGAGGCTGTATTTCCCAGGCCTTGCTTTTCTCTGACGTCCACCATAAACTACCCTGAATTGAAAGATTGTGGATTGGTTGACCTGATACAGCCTGGGGCTCAGATATGTCAAGAGACATATCTGAAAGAAAGTTTGAAAGAAAGTTCTAGAAATGATAGATTCCAATTTGAAATAGGGTGAAAAGGAAAACCTGACAGGAAACCAAATATATTCTGCAGCTATGTTTAGACTCTGCGATTGAATTAGCAGTAGCATAGCTGATTTGGTGATTGTTGTCTGTTTTCTTTTTCTGGCTGTAATAACTAGATTTCTGAAAAATAAGTTAGATCAATTGTACTGTTCTAGGAATCAAATTAACTGAAAGGAATTTCAAAATAATCAGATTGTGCTCTGCTTATTGTAAATGCATTTGGACAATGAGGTGGAAATTAGATTCCTGAAGATACCTACAAGAAAAAAATGATTTTGTGAAAATAGACATGAATCATCTAACCTTTACATACCAATATTGAGATTGTATGGATATCAAAAATTAATTCAGATTTTTTTCACATCCAAAAGAACTGCAGATGTAGTCTCCTAACTGTATAGCACATTGCTTTCTATGTTACATGAGGAAGCAAAATGCAACTTGCTTGCTAACACCTGAAAGAGTTAAAATTTGTTGTCTTTGTCCCATGGATTGGAATTTGGAAATAAATTCCTCTTTTACTGGAAGAATAGGGAAGAAGTCACTGTTGAGTGCTTCAGTTTAAGAACTGTGCTTCAGTTTAAGAAGCATAAAGCTATTATGCTTACTACCAAATTAAGGGTTAAGAAAAAGGTTTTACATTCTTATTTGAAGTAAAAATGATGTGCAGCAAAAGAGTATAGAAATGGCATCTACATGTTGGCTAAGCCATCTGGACTGTGACTACATGAATTCTTACTGCCCTGGGTCCCATTCTCGAGCTACATGAAGATTACAGAAGATTGTGCTTGTGGTTCAGGGTGAACCTAGGATGCTGTGTTCTACCTGCCCCCCATCACACACCACCTCCCAATGTATTTGTGCAAGATCCTTGCCAGGAAGATAAAATGGACTAAGAAATGTGACTTGCCTAAAGTGCTTTCCCAGCCCTCACAACTCAGAGGATTTCCAAGAACATTTATTTTTTCCAATGTCGGTATTGTTAGGGCATAAATAGTATTCTTATTGTTTACACAACTCTATTCCATACTAACTTACAGGATGGTTCTGATAAGTCTAGTTTTCAGGGTATTAGCTTATAAAATGATAAGACTCAGTAATATCTGGGTTCTCAGAAAAGGGCATTCTTTTACACTGTCAGTGATAGTATAAATCATTTCAAATTTTCTGGAAGTTAATTAAAAAATAATAACGCCTTAAAATTTTCCAAACTCTCGACCCAGCAATTTATTTCTAGAAACTTATATTAAAAATGTAACAACATACGCTTGCAAATATTTAATTATACAACTGCTCACCACATGTTTTGTTAAAAAAAAAAACTAGTAACAACCAAAATACCTCCTAATAGGGCATTGGTTAAATAATATTAAGCTTTATAAGATAGTAGAATACTAAGAAGGTATAAAAAGATGTTCACATATAATTTTAAGTATAAAGCAGGTTAAAAAGCAGAATGAACAATGCTATCCCATTTTGGTAAAAAGAAGCAAACACACGCACACATATATGAATGTGTGTGTGTATGTGTCTGTAAAAAATGACAGGAAAAAATTAGCTGTCTCTGGCTTGTGGAATTGTAAGTACTTTTTATATTTTTCTTTCTGCTCACCTGTATTTTTCTAGATTTTCTACAATGAATGTTTGTTTATATTATGAGAAACAAAGA
Source organism: Homo sapiens (assembly GCF_000001405.40). Lineage (NCBI taxonomy): Eukaryota > Metazoa > Chordata > Mammalia > Primates > Hominidae > Homo > Homo sapiens. Next base: position 104,503,466 of record NC_000007.14, read on the forward strand.
AAACATTTTTATTTGCTCAAGGCAATTATTTCCCAAATATTCTTGAGTATTCTATTTCATAGTTGGATCATTTCCATGTTTAAGAGTTTTTTATTTTAATTTTAATATTTTCTTTTTCTTTTGAGACTGGGTCTCACCCTATCACCCAGGCTGGAGTGCAGTGGCATGATCTTGGCTCACTGCAGCCTCCACCTCCAGGGTTCAAGTGATCCTCCCACCTCAGCCTCCTGAGTAGCTGGAACCACAGGTGCGCACCACCACACCCAGCTAATTTTTGTATTTTTGGTAGATATGGGGTTTTGCCAGATTGCCTAGGCTGGTCTCAAACTCCAGGGCTCAAGCAATCTGCTCACCTCACCCTCCCAAAGTGTTGGGATTATAGTCATGAGCCACCACATGCAGCTGAAGTTTTTTTCTTAAGTCCACCCAACATTTATTTAGCATTTATATAAGCCCATCCCTTTTCATTTGACTTTTGCTTTGTAGATCTTATTTTGTTTTTATTTGGTTGATATGGAAAATAACTGCTCATCACACTTATGCAATCCATTCTGTACTAGAGAAGATAGTAGTCAAGTCACCTGTTTTTCATTTTTCTCTCCAGGCCAGACTCCATTCCTTTCATCTGTCTTCGTGAATCTATTTTCTATTCCTTTCATCTTTATTTGTTATTCACCTCTGAACGCTCTCTACTTCTTTATGTGGAATTTAAAATGCAGTGACCAAACTGAAGAAAATCATAGAAAAATATGACTTAGGCAAACTACAATGGAAGGAGTTGTCCTTAACCCTTAGCTATTGAAGAGCATGATATATTTTTTATCTTTTAAGTCATTGTCAATCACGTATTTACCTTATGTTTATAAACAGGATTTCCCAGGATTTTCTATTTTATGGATACATTTTCATCTTACATTTTACTCCAATTTTTAATGTCTGCTGTTAGATTTTCATCCTAAATCTTTGATCACTTATGTGTTTCCCTTATGACATTAAATTACATCCCTTGGATGGGAAAATTTCTCAAAAATATCAATGTTATTTTGAATTCAGCAGTGATGTTAAAAGCAATAGCAATCCTCCTGATTGAGAATTCTCTGCAGGTCTGATGAATGCATTCCTGATTCTGGGTTATGAATATTTAATACAAATATAGGGGTCTCAGGGTTGATTCCAATACACACTACATTATCTTCTCCTTCAGGTTATGTGTTTAATTCAACTATCTACCCACATTATACTAGGACAATAAACACCTTATTTCTGCCTTACTGATGAGACAAGGTTTGTGATACCATTAAAACCAGAATTCAAGATAACTTACTCAGGTTACTATCTCTTTGTTTTCACTGTGTTGCAATATTATAAAAACAAATATAATTGGTTCAGCTTGCTTTGTTCTTCATAGACTTGTGGTGGAAGCTTTTAGTTGGCTAATCATCAACAGTGGAACAGCTGGCCTGATGAAATTTTTTTAGCCTTCAAGGATGGCAAACTCACACTGCTTGTGTATACATATATGTGTACACATATATACTATATACATGCATATACTGTGTATACACATATACTGCTATGTATACACATATGTGTATATACATACTATGTATATGTAGAAGTTAGCACATCAAAGCAGAACTCTTCATCATTTACAGTTGCGTCAGAGTGGCACTGGCTTCCAAAATCAGTATTCTGCTAGATAAGCTTTAAAGGAAATGTATATTACTTTTCTGTCCCATGGGACATACATCATATAACCAGTGGAATTTTTGTCTTCTAACTCCATGATTATATTCAATGATGAACAGGGGTAAACATTTTACCTGGGCTGCATTTATTTTTAAAGCCGTCACATTCAAATGAGATATGGAAATGAAAAGCTTTCACATTGCTGATGCTGAAGAGCAAATTAGAAGCAAATGATAACTATAAAGTTCAACCTTGTGTTCTCCTGTATATGCCAAAAGGTAATGAGAATGAAGAGGATAAAAAGTTGAATCTGGTAAAGATGAAGACTGGTGAGCTGTCAGTGAGTTCCAGACAAAAGAGGCATGATAACGCACTGGGTTTCATGGAGAAAATTGTCTGAGCATGGATGACTGAGTTGTTTTGTTTGATAGGAAAAAAAAAATTTAAACTCTTTGGGAATATTGCAATCAGTTAATTATCATATGTAGAAAACATATTTATATGTCGAAAAAAGATAAGCACAAAGTGATGAATGAATGACTATAGTAGAAGAATCCAATTGAGTATTCAAATATGAATAAATGCAATTAATGGAATTAGTCACTGTTCCAATTACCAAAGCATGTTATTGTAATATAAAAGCTAATCTCTTTCAAGTAGATTAATGAGAAGTATTTAAAAAGTTACTCTTCTCCATTTTCCAAGGTCATAGGTATAGATCAGAAGTTATACATAGAAAGGACGTCTTGTATATATCTTTCCCTCCACAGACAGTAAACCTAAAATGGACTTAATTACACATAATACATAGGCATTTCTTTGAAAATGAATGTAATGAACTCACTGGAGTAGCATGAAAACTGATTTTTTTTTTTTTTCTTGAGACGGAGTCTCACTCTGTCGCCAGGCTGGAGTGCAGTGACACGATTTTGGCTCACTGCAACCTCTGCCTCCTGAGTTCAAGTGATTCTCCTGCCTCAGCCTCCCGAGTAGCTGGGACTATAGGCATGTGCCAACACACCCAGCTAATTTTTGTGTTTTTAGTAGAGACGGGGTGAAAACTGATTTTATAAGGAAATCCCCGCCCCCGCTGCCCCCACCCAACCCCACCGCCGCAATACCTCAAAGTATACTAAGCACATTCCATCCCATTTGTTATTCCATCGCTGAACTCCTACTCATTCTTCAGGACTCAGCTTAGATACACCTTCTCTGGGAAGCCTTGCCTGAGCCCTCAAGGCTCCCAAGTGTTCCCATGACATTGCTGTGCATATCATGTTCTCTGCCACTTATCCCAGGATATGTTCACTTATTTGTCTCTGCCACTAGATTGTGGTCAAGTCCTGAGGCTGTGTTATACTCTCACCTTTGTATACCCAGCACCTACTGTGGTGCCTGACACTAATTAGTGCTCATTAGATACATGTAATCTCACTTGAGCCTCAGTGCAACACTAACAGATATAGATCAGGATTAAACTCCCTATTTAGTAATGAAGAAAATGAGGCTCTTGGATCTTCTGTGATTTGTACAAGGTCATACAGACAGTGAAATAGCTGTGATTCAAACATTTGGTCATGGAACGCAAGGAAGGTAAAATTTTACCAGGAGTATCCAAGCAATTCCAAATGCAGCAGATATTTGGATTTAATTTAAAGAAAAGGGTATGGGAGTAACTAGTGATCTTTGAAAGCAGTCTCAGCAAAAGACTGAGGAATAGAAGTACAAATCCAGGAGATTTAGAAAAAACAAATTGTGATTAAAGGGAAGTAATATAAGTAGCTGACTAATTCACAAAGTATTCTATTGGAGACCACAGATATGTGGACAGTCTCTAAGATAGCATATTAAGAAAGTTTTTTTTAGAAGAGAGAACTGGTGTCTCTATTTATACATTGCATTAAATGGAAATAAAAGATATCAAATTTTGTGTGAAGCAGCAAACAGTGCTGAAAGGGGAGTTTATAACACCAAATACATTAGGAAAATTGCCAAGTCAATCCTAAGCCAAAAGAACAAAGCTGGAGGCATCACACTACCTGACTTCAAACTATACTACAAGGCTACAGTAACCAAAACAGCATGGTACTGGTACCAAAACAGAGATATAGATCAATGGAACAGAACAGAGCCCTCAGAAATAACCCCGCATATCTACAACTATCAGATCTTTGACAAACCTGAGAAAAACAAGCACTGGGGAAAGGATTCCCTATTTAATAAATGGTGCTGGGAAAACTGGCTAGCCATATGTAGAAAGCTGAAACTGGATCCCTTCCTTACACCTTATACAAAACTCAATTCAAGATGGATTAAAGACTTAAACGTTAGACCTAAAACCATAAAAACCCTAGAAGAAAACCTAGGCATTACCATTCAGGACATAGGCATGGGCAAGGACTTCATGTCTAAAACACCAAAAGCAATGGCAACAAAAGCCAAAATTGACAAATGGGATCTAATTAAACTAAAGAGCTTCTGCACAGCAAAAGAAACTACCATCAGAGTGAACAGGCAACCTACAAAATGGGAGAAAATTTTCACAACCTACTCATCTGACAAAGGGCTAATATCCAGAATCTGCAATGAACTCAAACAAATTTACAAGAAAAAAACAAACAACCCCATCAAAAAGTGGGTGAAGGACATGAACAGACACTTCTCAAAAGAAGACATTTATGCAGCCAAAAAACACATGAAAAAATGCTCATCATCACTGGCCATCAGAGAAATGCAAATCAAAACCACAATGAGATACCATCTCACACCAGTTAGAATGGCAATCATTAAAAAGTCAGGAAACAACAGGTGCTGGAGAGGATGTGGAGAAATAGGAACACTTTTACACTGTTGGTGGGACTGTAAACTAGTTCAACCATTGTGGAAGTCAGTGTGGTGATTCCTCAGGGATCTAGAACTGGAAATACCATTTGACCCAGCCATCCCATTACTGGGTATATACCCAAAGGACTATAAATCATGCTGCTATAAAGACACGTGCACACGTATGTTTATTGCGGCATTATTCACGATCGCAAACACTTGGAACCAACCCAAATGTCCAACAATGATAGACTGGATTAAGAAAATGTGGCACATATACACCATGGAATACTATGCAGCCATAAAAAATGATGAGTTCATGTCCTTTGCAGGGACATGGATGAAATTGGAAATCATCATTCTCAGTAAACTATCACAAGAACAAAAAACCAAACACCGCATATTCTCACTCATAGGTGGGAATTGAACAATGAGATCACATGGACACAGGAAGGGGAATATCACACTCTGGGGACTATTGTGGGGTGGGGGGAGGGGGGAGGGATAGCATTGGGAGATATACCTAATGCTAGATGACGAGTTAGTGGGTGCAGCACACCAGCACGGCACATGTATACATATGTAACTAACCTGCACAATGTGCACATGTACCCTAAAACTTAAAGTATAATAAAAAAAAATATATATATATACACATTAGGAAAATTTATGCATACATTAGAAAAAAGGAGACATCTCAAATCAATAAATCTAAGCTTCCATCTCCAGAATCTAGAAAAAGCAGAGCAAAATAAACCCAAAGCAAGCAGAAGGAAAGAAATAATAAAGGTAAGAGCATAACTCAATGAAATTTAAAACAGAAGAAAAAAAGAGAAAACCAAAGAGCTGTGTTTTTTTTAAAGATCGATAAAATTGACAAACCTCTAGAAAGATGACAAAAGTAGAGAGGAGAAACAAATCAATATCAACAATGAAATAGGTATATCAACACAAGCCCTGCAGACATTGAAAGATTAAGAGTATACAATGAACAACTCTATATGATAAATTCGACAAATTAGACAAAATGAACCAATTTCTGAACAAACACAAATGACCACAACTCAAGCAATATGAATTAGATAATTTTAATGTCCTATAACTATATAGGAACCTAAATTCATAATTTAAAAACTCCCCTGTATAAGAAATTGTTAGGCCTAAATTGTTTCACTAGAGAATTCTACCAGAAGATAGAAGAGGAGGGAACGCTTCCTGATTTATTTTATAAACCTAGTATCATCCTGATACCAAAACCAAAGACAGTACAAAAAAGAAAGGAAGAAAGGAAAAAAAAAAAGGAAAGAAAGACAGAAACTATGGACCAACACTTCTCATGAATATCAACTCAAAAGTCCTAAACAAAATATTGACAAACAGAATTGAACGATATGTATAAAGAATTACACACCTAGTGGGACTTATTCCAAGGATGCAAAGCTAGTTTAATATTTTAAAATTAACCAATATAATCCACCATATTCACAGGCTAAAGAAGAAAAATCACATGATTGTATCAATAGCTATAGAAAAAGCATTTGATAAAAGTCAACACCCATTCATGGTCTAAAAAAAAAATCAGCAAAAAATGTTAGAGTGAAACTTTCTCAACGTGATAAAAAACAGATGCAAAATCCTTACAGCTAGTATTATACATAATGGTAAAAAATTAAATGCTTTGCCTGTAAAACCAAGAGCAAGGCAAGGATGTCTACTCTCACCACCCTTATTCAACATAGTGCCAGAAGCTGTAACTGGTACAATAAGGCAAAATAAAATAAAATAAAATAAAAGACATACAGATACAAAGAAAAAGTAAAAACTTTCCCTATTTTTAGAGGATGTGACGATCTATGTAGAAAGTCCCAAGGAATCTACAAAAATACTCCTAGAACTAACATAAGGTCTACAAGTTCACAAGATATAATATAAACATATAAAAATCAATTGTATTTTACATATTAACAATCAACATGGGATATCAAAGTTAAAGTGCAGTACTATTTATAATGACTAAATAGAATAAAAAATATGAGATACTTTGGGGTCCTAAAACATGTACAGGACTTGCATGCTGAAAACCAAATAATGCTGATGAGTGAAATCTCAAAACTGAATACATGAAGAGACATACCATCTTCATGGGTTGGAAGACTCACTATAGTAGAGTTATTCTTTCCCAAATTGATTATAGGTTTAGCACAATTTCTATCAAAATCTCAGCAAGACTTTCTGTAGATACAGAAAATATTATTCTAAAATTTATATTGAAAGGCAAAGAAACTGGAGTAGCTAAAACAACTTTGAAAAAGAAGAATAGAATGGGTAGAATCCATATATTCAATCTCAAGAATTATTTTCTAGCTAAAGTAATCAAGACTGTGGTATTGGTGGAGGGACAGACACACAGATCAATGGAACAAAATAGAGAACCCCAAATAGACAAGGTTGCAAAAGTATTTTAACGGATGGGCTTTTCAACAAATGGTACTGGAGCAACTGGACATTCCTAGGCATAAAAATGAATCTTGACCTAAGTCTGACACTTAATACAAAAATTTACTCAACATGGATTGCAGAGTTAAATATAAAACTGTAAAACCTTTAGAATAAAATCATAGTGAAAATTCTTTGTAATCTAGGGCTAGGCAAAGAGTTCCTAGACTTGACATAAAAAACACAGTGCATAAAATGAAACACTGACAAGTTGAATTTCATCAAAATTTAAAACTCTTGCTCTGTGAAAGACCCTGTTGAGAGAATTAAAGTATAAGCTACCAAGTGGGAGAATGTATTTGCAAACTACGTATTTGAAAAAGGAACAGAAAACCAAATACCACATGTTCTCACTTATAAGTGGGAGCTAAATAATGAGAATACATGGACACATAGAGCAGAACAATAAACACCGGGGCCTATCAGAGAGTGGAGGGTGGGAGGAGGAAGAGGATCAGGAAAAATAACTATTGGGTACTAGGCTTAATACCTGGGTGATGAAATAATCTGTACAACAAACCCCCATGACACAAGTTTATCTTTATAACAAACCTGCACTTGTACTCCTGAACTTAAAATAAAAGTTAAAAAAGAAAGAAAGAAAAAGGACTAGTATCTAGAATATATAAAGAACTCTCAAAACCCAACAGTAAAAATACAGACAAACCAATTAGAAAATGGACAAAAGACATTTCACTGAGGAAGATATACAAATGGCAGATAAGCACAGGAGAAAATGTTCAATGTCATAAGCTGTTAGTGATATGCAAGCTAAAACCACAATGACGTATCACTAGACACCTATCGGAATAACTAAAATAAAAAATAGTGGCACAACAAATTCTGGCAAGCAGGTGGAGAAACTTAATCACTCATACATACATTGGTGGTGGGAATGTAAAATGGTACAGCCACTCTGGAAAACAGTTTGGCAATTTCCTAAAACACTGAAACATGCAATTACTATAGGATCCAGCACTTGCACTCCTGGACATTTTTCCCAGAGAAATGAAGACTTGTGTTTACCCCAAAACCTCTACGTAAGTATTCATGGCAGCTTCATTCATAATAACCAATAATTGGAAGCAACCCAGATGTCTTTCAGTGGGTGAATGGTTAAAGCAAACTGAGGTACATCCATACCATGGAATACTGCTTATTAGTTTGAAGGAGCAAATTGTTGATACATGCAGTGACCTGGATGAAACTATGCATAAAAGACTATGCATTGGTTACAGTGTACATTGCTTGGGTGATGGGTGCACCAAAATCTCAGAAATCACCACTAAAGATCTTATTCATGTAACCAGACACCACTTGTTCCCCAAAAACCTGTTGAAATAAAAAGAAAATTAAAATTTTCCATTTAGAATCACTCAGTGTTAAATAAATTGAGATTCTAAGTATGTCCTCTGAGAAACTAGAGTGACTGGTTCTAACGTTCTAATAGTGATATTTTTCTTTCCTTTTCTTTTTTTTTTTTTTTTTTTTGGAGGAGGGGAACAGAGTCTTGCTCTGTCACCCAGGCTGGAGTGCAGCGGTGCAATCTTGGCTCACTGCAACCTCCACCTCCCAGGTTCAAGCGATTCTCATACCTCAGCCACCTGAAGAGTTGGGATTACAGGCACGCTCCACCACACTCAGCTAATTTTTGTATTTTTACTAGAGACAGGGTTTCACCATATTGGCCAGACTGGTCTCAAAGTCCCAGCCTCAAGTGATCCACCCGCCTCAGCCTCCCAAAGTGCTGGGATTACAGGCATGAGCCACAGCATCTGGCCCCAACAGTGATTTCTTTATAGAGTATTTTAAACAAGGGTAGGTATTTAGGGGTCATGTAATCGTTTATCAGATATTTTTTTGTGTTACTACCATGGGTCAGACATCTCCAAGCACTGGCGATTCACACCATAAACTCATGCGCTGCCTTCAGAGAGCTTTTCATCTAGCAGGCTCTATGTTGCTGTGATTAAAGTGGGACACATGAGCGTGGTGGCTCATGCCTGTAATCCCAACACTTTGGGAGGCTGAGATGGGTGGGTCACTTGAGATCAGGAGTTCAGAGCAGCCTGGCCAACATGGTGAAACCCCGTCTCTACTAAGAATACAAAAATTAGCCAGGCGTGGTGACAGAAGCTTATAATCCCAGCTACTCGGGAGGCTGAGGCAGGAGAATCACTTGAACCTGGAAGGTGAAGGATGTGGTGAGCCAAGATGGTGCCACTGCACTCCAGCCTGAGCGACAGAGTGAGGACACCTTCTCAAAAGAAAAAAAAAAGAGAGAGAGAGAGAAAGAAAGTAGGACACAGGAAAAGGCAGCTAGCCAGCTGACCTGAGTATCACAGAAGGCTTACCAGTGAGATGATGCTTGAGTTATATCTTGGAGGATGAGCAGTTATTCTCTTTTAAATTGGCGATGAGGCAGCTCTTTTCTCTGTCAGTCCAGCTCTTGGCTGGTTAAACAGCTCTTGGCCCTTCCTTAAGCTTCCTTTAGAAACCCTAGGTATAATTTGACATCTATGGATATAGTTCTCTTTCAGTGACCTATGGAAGACACAAAACTTGTTTCCTCTAACTTGATTCCCACAAGATGATAAAAATAAAATATGTATTAAAATAAAAACCATCTAGAGGCTATGTGCCAAGCTGACCTTCATCCACTTTTAATTTGTTTTCTTACTCAGAAAACTTTATTTTTCAATGTATATTACAGTTATAAGAAGATTGAAATACCCAGATTACTGGAAAGTAGACCAGCAGTTCTCAGCTGGTAGGTAGGATGGTAGGGGTGGGGTGAGAACAAGTGGAGTGTAACTTCAGCCCATATGACTTACTTGTGCAGAAAGGTTCCTAAAGAAAATGTGTGGTACATGTTCCAGTGCTGGGAAAAATGGTTGATAACTCCCAGCATGGAAGGTGACCTATTGTGGAATCTGTGAATTTGTACATTATTAAATTAACTACAGCCAGAAGAGAGAACGTGAGGGAGAAACAGAAACAGGGAATTTCACTTTTTATTTTGGAACTGTCCCTGGTGTTCCTGTGGTTTTAATTCCAATCCAGCTGTGTATGAAGAAGTTATAACATAGGGGAGATCCCCATTACATGGTCAGTCCTAATGCATCAAGCGGAGGCAATAATTAAAGACGGAGAATGACAAATTCAAATACAATTTCTCTCTCCCCTCCTAGTATTCACCCTCCTCCTGTTTTCCCAGAACAGCAGTTCTCCATTTTGGCTGTACATCAGGGGAGCTTTAAAAAAATACCAATATCTGGATCCCATCCCCAAGAATTCTGATTAAAGTGATCTTGGGTATCTGCTGGGCAACAGCGTTTTTAAAGGTCTTCAAGTGATTGCAAAGTACAGCCAAGGTTGAGAACCACTGGTTAAACAGAGGTGCACAGCCTGTTTGAATCTCATTTGTGGGTACACTTATGTTTGTTTCAAATAGAAACTGACAGGACAGGGTCAAGGTCAAGGTGTGTGTGTGGATCGTGTCACTGTGGCTGTAGTGATGAGGTTAAGTACATAATGGTTTTAAGGTAGAGGATTTATTAATAAATGAAATTGATTAACATTTTTGGTTATTAGCTCTCTTAACATTTCCTGCCTCCCTGGCCGTTTTTCAGCTCCTGAAACACATTCCATGTTTTCTCCAGCCACAGAGCTTTTCAGCATATGCCATTCTCTGATACAGATTCAAGAAGCTCTCTCTCTCTTTCTTTGTCTCTCTCTCCACCCAGCCCCCATTCTTCTCTCCCTATTTTGCCTAATAAATCTTCTACTTCATCAGATCTCATTCAGCCTTCACTTTTTCAGAGAAGTCAGCCTCTTAGGCTACCATGAACTTCTCCTTCCCAGTACTTACCACAGTTATAATTTTATCATTATCTCATTAGTATCTATCTCTCCCACTGGACTATAAACTCCACGAGGGAAGAAATCTCATCTGTTATTGCTCACAATTTTAGCCACAGTCACCAGCCCATTGCCTGACATATTGTAGGTGCTCAATAAATAATTTGTTGCCTGAATGAACCAGCCAGTCTGTTTAGAAACATGATGGGAGCAGGGGTCAGCAGAGCTAGAAGATATAAAAAGCAGTTGGCTGGGAATGGTTCAGCTGAAAACTGGTTAATCTGACCTTGGCAGGTCACAAGTCTCAGGGAGCTGGAAACTGGTGTGAACTAGGGATGGTTCTCAAACCTGATTGCAAATTAGAGCTGCTTGGGAAACTGTAAATACAATGTCTGGGACTCAACCAAGATGTCCCCATTTAACTGGTTTGAGGTGAGATTCATATATCGGGCATTTTTAAATTCTCTAGGGTGATTGAATATGCAAAGTTAAGAACCAGGAGACTGAGCTTAATGATATCTAAAATCTGACACAATTATATATATTGTAGGATCTTATGAAGCAACCCACCTTCTTTTGAAACTACCCTTCTTTTCTGTTAGAATAATCTGCACTCAATGGAAGCCCAGCCCATGATAACTTGGGAACAAACACAAAGTCAAAGATATTTGCAACCCACTACATTAATTTTGTCCTACTTCTTTCACTTTTAACAGTAGCATTGTTTGCCTGCCGTTTCTCCCCAGATGTGGCCTGCTGGCATCCTATGAAGTGAAATTGTGAGATGGTGCTATGTGAGATATGGTTAAATTGGGAATTAATAAAAATTTACTCTTTTGATTTTTAACTTTCTCATTTTCAAAATAGCAGTTTAAAAACACATCTTTCCATCCAAATGCCCAGGGGGATTAATCTGCATTAAAGATTAATTCCCTGAGATGTTTCACTCTTTAACAGTCTCCTGGTTCCATGTTTAATATTCTGCACTAAAAATAAAATCTTGTGCCAAATTTCATTTGTTGTCACTTTTTAGCTATAATTGACTCTAAGATCTAAAAGAACTCATCAGATTTCATGACTTTTATGCACAACAGAGCAGTGCCCCTGTTCAAAGAACTAAGATCACAAGATGCAAATAAGGAGAGCGTATGTTACCCAAGCATGTGGGAAGAAGCTCTAGCAGTGAAAAGCCAGCGTTACCTCCTCCAGTTCCTCCAAGTTGTATTATTTTTTGCTGTTATTCATGGGGTTGTGACATAAACCTCAGTTGATTAATAGAATGACTGGAATTAAAAAGGAATTGTGCTTCGAAGTAGTGTGTTCCATTCCAACTAGAAGAGTTTATTGGCATAAGTAACAAAAGCAATACGAAAAGGAGGAAATTTTTCCACCCCTTTGCAGCCTTTGAGATTAAGTACACTTTCAGAGTTGGGTCTGTAGGTAGGGTGTGTAAGAGTTGCCTGTGGAAAATACTGAGGCAATTTAAGTTGTTAGGTTGCAAGATCATTGTTCAAGGATGAAGAGTTCTTCTAGGAAGTTCCAAACTTTCCCACATTTTCCTTTCTTCTTCTGAGCCCTCAAAACTGTTCCAACCTCTTCCTGTTACCCAGTTCCAAAGTCGCTTCCACATGTTCAGATATCTTTACAACAGCACCCCACTCTACTCTACTGGTTCCAATTTACTGTTATTAGTCTGTTCTCATGCTACTAATAAAGACATACCCAAGACTGGGTAATTTATAAAGGAAAAAGGTTTAGTTGACTCACAGTTCAGCATTTCCTGAGGCTGAGGAGGCCTCAGGAAACTTACAATCATGGCAGAAGGGGAAACAAACACATCCTTCTTTACATGGTGGCATCAAGGAGAAGTACAGAGCGAAGCGGGGTGGGGAAAGTGCCTAGCAAAACCATCAGATTTTGTGAGAACTCACTCACTATCACAGGAATAGCATGGAGGAAACCACCCTTATGATTCAGTTATCTCCCACTGGATCCCTCTCACAACACGTGGGGATTATGGGAAGTACAATTCAAGATGTGATTTGGGTAGGGACACAGCCAAACCATATCAACAAATTTCCATTTTTTAAGATCTTCTAAAGGAGAGCACAAATCATTAAAATTAATTTTAATAATTATTAGCATTACATGTAATTAATTTTATTTGCCAAAATTAATTAATTTGATTGGTTGATTTAATTAATTAATTGAAATCAACATGACTGATCATTAGGGAAATGTGAATCAAAACCACAGTGAGATATCCTCTCACACTAGTCAGAATGGCAATGATTAAAAAGTAAAAAAATAACAGATGCTGGCGAGGTTGCAGAGAAAAAGGAATGCTTATACACTGTTGGTGGGAGTGTAAATTAGTTCAACCATTATGGAAGACAGTGTGATGATTCCACAGAGACCTAAAAACAGAACTACCATTAGACCCAATAATCCCATTACTGAATATATACCCAAAGGAATATAAATCATTCTATCTTAAAGACACATGCACGTGTATATTCATTGCAGTGCTATTTGAAATAGCAAAGACATGGAATCAACCTGAATGCCCATCGATGGTAGACTGTATAAGTAAAATATGATACATATACACCATGGAATACTATGCAGTCATAAAAAATGAGATCATGTCCTTTGTGGGAATATGGATGGAGCCGGAGGTCAATATCCTTAGCGGACTAATGCAGGAACAAAAGATTAAATGCCACATGTTCTCACTTATAAGTGGGAGTTAAATGACAAGAACACATTGACACATAGAGAGGAACAACCCACAGTGGGGCCTATCGGAGGGTGGAGGGTGGGAGGAGGGAGAAGATCAGCAAAAATACCTAATGGATACTAGGCTTAATACCTGGGTGATGAAATAATCTGTACAACAAACCCCCATGACACAAGTTTACCTATGCAACAAACCTGCACATGTACCCCAAACTTCAAAGTTAAATTTTTAAAAAAATTGTTAACCTTAAAAATAATTAATTAAATTTACTTTCCAAAACATGAAAATTATTTTATTGAATTAGGTGATGTATTAATTTTATTAATATGTTATATTATTAATTATATCAATATATTATTTAATACAAATGTTAAATCAATCATCCTGTGATTTTTAACATATGACTCAAATTATTCAAATAATTGATTGGCCTTTTTTTTTTTTTTTTTGAGATGGAGTTTCACTCTTGTTGCCCAGGCTGGAGTGCAATGGTGTGTTCTTGGCTCACTGCACCCTCTGCCTCCCAGGTTCAAGCGATCTTCCTGCCTCAGCCTCCTGAATAATTGGGCTTACAGGCGCCCACCACCATGCCAGGCTAATTTTTTGTATTTTTAGTAGATACAGAATTTCACCATGTTGGCCAGGCTGGTCTTAAACTCCTGACCTCAGGTGATCTACCCACCTTGGCCTCCCAAAGTGCTGGGATTACAGGCATGAGTGACCATGCCCGGACAATTGCATTATTATAACACAATTTCATGTACTTATTTTTGTGAGCAACACTCTTGTTACAGGGTGGGGACCTGGGGGAGGGATAACATTAGGAGAAATACCTAATGTAGGTGATGGGTTGATGGGTGCAGCAAGCCACCATGGCACGTGTATACCTATGTAACAAAACTGCACATTCTGCACATGTACCCCAGAACTTAAAGTATAATAATTCAAAAAAAACCAAAAGTCAAATTGATGCTGATCCCAATGTCATCCTAGGAATAAGTAGTATTAGTCTAGGCTTACATGAATTAGATCAACAATAGGAATAACAACAAACCACTAGTAACACTAAACCACTTTGATAATTTATCAAAATTTATAATTTATACTGTTTGTTTTGATCATTTGTATACTACTAACAGTAAGTTTATATTACTACTAATAATTATAATTCAGAAGAAAAATTTTAAACTTTTTGCAGCCTTATTGCAACAGAATACTTTTTAAATTTCCAATTTATATTTTTGTTTGCTTTAGAGAAGTATGATAGAATAATCAATTAAAAGTTTTCCAGGGTAAAAATATATTAAGTTTGAATAATAATAGCAGAAATAGAAGAAGAAAAGGAATGGTATAAAATCTTTGACTAAGAGGTTGTACCTTGTTTTTTAAATAAATGATAATGGATGTCCAATCTCTATGGTGTTTAAATTCTACTACTGGACACATTTAAAAGTGCAATGCCACTTTGGGAGGCTGAGGCAGGCAGGTCACCTGAGGTCAGGAGTTAGAGGCCAGCCTGGCCAACATGGCGAAACCCTGTCTCCATTAAAAATACAAAAATTAGCCAGGCATAGTGGCAGGCACCTGCAATCTCAGCTATTCAGGAAGCTGAGGCAGGAGAATCACTTGAACATGGGAGGTGGAGGTTGCAGTGAGCTGAGATTACACCACTGCACTCCAACCTGGGCAACAGAGTGAGACTCCATCTCAAAAATAAATAGATGATAGATAGATAGATAGATAGATAGATAGATAGATAGATAGATAGATAGAATAAATAAAAAAACTGTGATGCAAGAGCTTTATTTTAGAATATTTACATACTTCCTTTGTAACTAATAAAAATTTTGGATGTTAATCTGAAAAATGTGAAAGGGGTACATATTTTTTCAAAAAGTATTTTGGGGAGATACATGAGGAAAATACACACATTTTTGCTTGTCTTAGAGCTTTCTCTTCTCTTCTCTTCCAGCAAAACTCTCCATCTTCTGTTCCCTCAGGATCGTCACTGTTCCCTCTCAATCTGACATACTAAAGCTCATTTCAGTGTGGGTGACTGTCAATCACTTACTCTTCCCAAAAGACATCTGTGCTGTACAAAGATTTCCTGGAAATAACAACATAAGCTGAAAAATGGTGTTAGAGTGGGATTTTCAGCTAGGATTGGGGCCTTTGAGGGAAGCAGGGAGGTTTCAGAACTCATGCTGAGTGCACTGAGATTTGCTAGGCCTGCTCTGGCTGAAGGTGATACAGGACTGTGAGGAGAGCCTAGAAAGAGGGAAAGCATTGGGAACTTTTGGATCAAATAGAATTTTGGTCAAATTCATGTTTAAGGAAATTAAACTTTATGTGTTGCTTTTTAAACTTAAATGATGACATTCCTGACAGTGCCAGCTCCAGCATTTTGATAGATGTACATCCACACCCAAAATAAGATAGAAACCAGTTTAGGGAGGGAGAAGAAGGGAAACTGGCACCTTTAAAAAGAAGCTGATCATTTGCATTTGGTGGTTTGTTTGCTTAATTCATTTGTATTTACTCCTCCAGCTGATCTCTTGTGTGAAGAAAACATTTTTATTCTTTTTCCCATTATAAAAAATCTGCTGAACAGGACCAGGTCATGGCGTTAATGACTGTTTTGACTATTAACACTGTGGTACCTGGGAGCCATAGATTATAATTGATGCAGGGAAACAAGCCAGCTGTGTACAAACACATCTGTGTGCTTCTAGGGAAGCAACTGTAGATGCCATATTGGGGGTTGGTCAGGAATACCATGTTTACAAATGAAGAATTATAAAGTAGAAATGTGGTTGTCCTTGGTGCAAGTGGAATTTATCCTGCCTATTTCTCGGGACTTCTGCATTGTCAAAGTCTTGGTGAATGTTAAGTTATCAACACACCGAGAAAAGAAAATTAGTGGTGAGAAAGGGCATCCCTGTCTTGTGCCGGTTTTCAAAGGGAATGCTTCCAGTTTTTGCCCATTCAGTATGATATTGGCTGTGGGTTTGTCATAGATAGCTCTTATTATTTTGAAATACGTCCCATCAATACCTAATTTATTGAGAGTTTTTAGCATGAAGGGTTGTTGAATTTTGTCAAAGGCCTTTTCTGCATCTATTGACATAATCATGTGGTTTTTGTCTTTGCTTCTGTTTATATGCTGGATTACATTTATTGATTTGCGTATATTGAACCAGCCTTGCATCCCAGGGATGAAGCCCACTTGATCATGGTGGATAAGCTTTTTGATGTGCTGCTGGATTCCGTTTGCCAGTATTTTATTGAGGATTTTTGCATCAATGTTCATCAAGGATATTGGTCTAAAATTCTCTTTTTTTGTTGTGTCTCTGCCCAGCTTTGGTATCAGGATGATGCTGGCCTCGTAAAATGAGTTAGGGAGGATTCCCTCTTTTTCTATTGATTGGAATAGTTTCAGAAGGAATGGTACCAGTTCCTCCTTGTACCTCTGGTAGAATTCGGCTGTGAATCCATCTGGTCCTGGACTCTTTTTGGTTGGTAAGCTATTGATTATTGCCACAATTTCAGATCCTGTTATTGGTCTATTCAGAGATTCAACTTCTTCCTGGTTTAGTCTTGGAAGGGTGTATGTGTCAAGGAATTTATCTATTTCTTCTAGATTTTCTAGTTTATTTGCGTAGAGGTGTTTGTAGTATTCTCTGATGGTAGTTTGTATTTCTGTGGGATCGGTGGTGATATCCCCTTTATCATTTTTTATTGCGTCTATTTGATTCTTCTCTCTTTTTTTCTTTATTAGTCTTGCTAGCGGTCTATCAATTTTGTTGATCCTTTCAAAAAACTAGCTCCTGGATTCATTAATTTTTTGAAGGGTTTTTTGTGTCTCTATTTCCTTCAGTTCTTCTCTGATTTTAGTTATTTCTTGCCTTCTGCTAGCTTTTGAATGTGTTTGCTCTAGCTTTTCTAGTTCTTTTAATTGTGATGTTAGGGTGTCAGTTTTGGATCTTTCCTGCTTTCTCTTGTGGGCATTTAGTACTACAAATTTCCCTCTACACACTGCTTTGAATGCATCCCAGAGATTCTGGTATGTTGTGTCTTTGTTCTCGTTGGTTTCAAAGAACATCTTTATTTCTGCCTTCATTTCGTTATGTACCCAGTATTCATTCAGGAGCAGGTTGTTCAGTTTCCATGTAGTTGAGTGGTTTTGAGTGAGATTCTTAATCCTGAGTTCTAGTTTGATTGCACTGTGGTCTGAGAGATAGTTTGTTATAATTTCTGTTCTTTTACATTTGCTGAGGAGTGCTTTACTTCCAAGTATATGGTCAATTTTTGAATAGGTGTGGTGTGGTGCTGAAAAAAATGTATATTCTGTTGATTTGGGGTGGAGAGTTCTGTAGGCATTACCATTCAGGACATAGGCATGGGCAAGGACTTCATGTCTAAAACACCAAAAGCAATGGCAACAAAAGACAAAATTGACAAATGGGATCTAATTAAACTAAAGAGCTTCTGCACAGCAAAAGAAACTACCATCAGAGTGAACAGGCAACCTACAAAATGGGAGAAAATTTTTGCAACCTACTCATCTGACAAAGGGCTAATATCCAGAATCTACAATGAACAAACAAATTTACAAGAAAAAAACAAACAACCCCATCAAAAAGTGGTCGAAGGACATGAACAGACACTTCTCAAAAGAAGACATTTATGTAGCCAAAAAACACATGAAAAAATGCTCACCATCACTGGCCATCAGAGAAATGCAAATCAAAACCACAATGAGATACCATCTCACACTAGTTAGAATGGCAATCATTAAAAAGTCAGGAAACAACAGGTGCTGGAGAGGATGTGGAGAAATAGGAACACTCTTACACTGTTGGTGGGACTGTAAACTAGTTCAACCATTGTGGAAGTCAGTGTGGCGATTCCTCAGGGATCTAGAACTGGAAATACCATTTGACCCAGCCATCCCATTACTGGGTATATACCCAAAGGACTATAAATCATGCTGCTATAAAGACACATGCACACGTATGTTTACTGAGGCATTATTCACAATAGCAAAGACTTGGAACCAACCCAAATGTCCAACAATGATAGACTGGATTAAGAAAATGTGGCACATATACACCATGGAATACTATGCAGCCATAAAAATTGGCGAGTTCATGTCCTTTGTAGGGACATGGATGAAATTGGAAATCATCATTCTCAGTAAACTATCACAAGAACAAAAAACCAAACACCGCATATTCTCACTCATAGGTGGGAATTGAACAATGAGAACACATGGACATAGGAAGGGGAACATCACACTCTGGGGACTGTTGTGGGGTGGGGGGAGGGGGGAGGGATGGATTGGGAGATATACCTAATGCGAGATGACGAGTTAGTGGGTGCAGCGCACCAGCATGGCACATGTATACAAATGTAACTAACCTGCACATTGTGCACATGTACCCTAAAACTTAAAGTATAATAATAAAAAAAAGAATAAAGAAAATTAGTGAGTGCTAGTATGTACAAAGTGTAAGGAATTTTATGTGGCAGAAGATATGGTTCCTAGCCTCAAGAAACCTAAAATCCAGCTGAACAGACAGGATTTGTTCTTAAAGAAATGAAAGACAATACAGAAGGTCTTTCTTGCCATTTGTCCTGTGCTCCAGTTCATGTAAAGAGGATTTTATTTGAAGCTAAGCCCACTGGGGAAGGCTCACAGCATGGTGCAGGATTTGATCAGGGCCTTGAAACAGGGTAAGACTTTGAAAAAAGAAGGAGAGATCAGCAGGACCTTCCAAGCAACAGGGACATGCACAGAGTGTTCAGAGTATAAGAGGTAGACCAGGCTGCTTAGCGGCAGTGAGTTTGTGGAAGTAACAGGGTCATCTGCTGTCTGTCTCTCTCTCTATATATATCTGTGTGTGTGTGTGTGTGTATGCACACATATATGTATATATGCACATATATACATATACACACATATGCACATTATATATACATATACACATATATATACACATATGCATGTTATATATACATATACAGACATATGTGTATTTTCTAGTTGTTTACTCAAAACTTCATATAAAGTATGCTTCTCAAATTGGTCCTGGTTAATAGCATCTTTCTGAGTAATAATAATCTCCACCATCCTAGAACCCTTGCCATGTGTCAGGTACTGTAATACAGCCTTTAAATAAATAAATTATTTCTAACTCTTTAATGATCTCATGTGACAAATTTGTCTGTGGACTATATAAAACACACATACACTGGAGAATCTGAAAAGAGTGTTTTCAAACCCCTTTGAGAATGCAATAAATCATTACCTAGGATAAGGGAGAAAAAGTTATAATAAAAGTTAGTTTTCCCTTTACATCTGTATCATATGTGTTAACTCTGCCAAATATATGAAGTAAAATACAATTTGCTGCATGACTCATTAACCAAAGCTGATCAGGAGACACTTAGGTGTTGTCTGTCATTCCTTCACCTTTCTGTCCTTCTAGTCTATAGGCCAGGCATCTTTTCTATCTTCTCCATAAAAATTCTTGAATGTTTAGTACACATATAGTCACTTAGATATAGAAATACATGATGCATGCACATGCCTCACTAGCCATGTTGAGGTACCCTCCGAAATTGAAATAGATGATCACTCTTCAGTGAATAACTGCAACAGTAACAGCAACACAATAAAAGTCCAAGGAAATCCAGGTTCTTGTTATCTTCCTTTTGATTTAGTAATAGAGTAACAGTGCCTCTAAAATGGTAATCCACCAACCTGGCAATGCTCCTCAGGAAGGTTTAAAATACTCAGATTCATGGTGCTCATCCAAGACTTACTAAAGAAGCATCTCTCAGATTCATCCTAGGAATCAATTATTTAAAAAATTCCTTCAGATGATTCTGATGCCGTCAATTAATCTGTAAACAGGTGTTTAGGAACGATTTATATCAATTAATATAATAGAATCTTGACAGACTTAATAGGATTGCTTTTCTCTTTTGCCCTACACTCCAGCAGTATTATATTTCTGTTAAATAACAATTATTGAGATGTATTTATGGAATTTAGTCACAGTATCTAGCACAGAGGTAGATGATAGGAATGGTGAGAGAAGTTAGACAAGGCAAGAAGGATGGCAGGCCAAGACGCAGGATTGATGGCAAGAGAAGGAAAAGGTAGACATACCCAACACAAAACCTTGGAGCTGAAGCATGGCCTCCAGAAAGAGTCAAACTCTCGGGAAGACAGTCAAGGAAGGCCGGGCAAGGGACTCCAAAGTTAAAGAGATCTTGACCTCGAGAAGCTGAGGCTTAAAGCATGCAACTCATAGGAAGCCACTTTGCTTCCTAATTTTATGGGGGCCAGCAAGTGGACCGGCTGGTACTAACATCAGTGAAACCATCTGCTTATCAATCTATACTTTCCAGTCAGCTTGGAGTGTCTAAAGTACAAACCCTGTATCTATCTCTTCCTTTATCCTCAGGCCTAGCCCAGTGCTTCTCAAGTGTTTGTTGAACTGAACTAGATTGATCCAAGGACTCCTGATAGACTGACTCACAGTATTGTTCGAGTCTTATAAAATCTTATCCACAAAAAAGAAGTGTGATTTAATTTTGGAGCACTAATTACGATGCTACTTTGAATTTTGAATAAAGACCAGGAAAAATGGAAATGCTTTAAGGCTGAATTGTATTTGACCCACAGTCCCTCAGATTTCCTCCAAAATTTACTGGTTCTACATCTCCCCTGTTAATCTCCTACTATTTGTTCTTTTCTATTCTCAAGAATTGGCTAAAAAACAGAACCAAAAAATGGTTTTTATTCATTTTTTTCTGGTTTGGCTTCTGCATTGCTTCAAACCACTGACAAATTATATACACCTAGTATTTCTGTTGTAATGTTGGCTTTCTAGAGATGGGAAATGTGCTGTGACCATATGCGTCGTCGTGGAAATATGAGAAGGTGGTGCTGATTTAACAGCTCCTTTAGCTTGTGTTGGAGTAACAGTTCTCCTTAAAGTAATAGTGGGTGTGTTTGTTTCCCACTCAAGAGTTGAGCTCCTCAATGTGTATCACACATCTTAAATCTCAATATGCTGCTCACTGTTTTAGCTCCAAAAACCACCAATTCAAATCATCTGAAGAGAAACAATTCCTCCACTTTTTAAACTACTCATGTCACTGTGTCTACATGTACTTATTCAACTTATAACGTGACATAATGGCATCAGGCATTGTAAATCTGAAGACTTCAGTATAAATTTGTGTGATAAAATATTCAAGGGGCCTCCTGAGTTTATTATTTTCATGGGTACTGATTTATTCTAGGATAATGCAGATACTTTTGGTTGCAAGTGACAGAAACCCAAGTCAGTTAATTTAAGCAAAAGAAGAATGTATTGGTTCATGTAGCAGAAAAGGCTGCTGAGGTAATTCACAAGATTAAAAGAAGAGCTCAAGGAATTAGGCCTCAGGGACTAGTCCAGAGTAATGATCCTCCAGGTTTCTGTCTTTATCTTCTTGGTTTTTTTGTTTTTTGGGTTTTTTTTTTTTTTTTTTGAGATGGAGTCTCACTCTGTTGCCCAGGCTGGAGTGCAGTGGTGTGATCTTGGCTCACTGCAACCTCCGCCTCCTGGGTTCAAGTGATTCTCCTGCTTCAGCCTGCAGAGTAGCTGGGATTACAAGCGCGTACCTCCACGCCAGGCTAATTTTTGTATTTTTAGTAGAGACAGAGTTTTGCCATGTTGGCCAGGCTGATCTCGAACTCCTGACCTCGTAATTCACCTGCCTTGGCCTCCCAAAGTGCTTGGATTACAGGGGTGAGCTACTGTGCCTGGCCCTTTATCTTCTTTTGACTCTGCTTATCTCTCCTTGGCTTTATCCTATAGGTAGGCACACTCTCCCAACTGAATGAAGAAGGGCACTGCTGGAAGAGCCTTGTTCCCTCCTTCTCTACTTGGCAGCCCCAGTAGAAAGAAAGCTTCTTTCTCCCAGAGTCTATTTATCAATTCAAGAAAAGATTTTGATTGATGTCACATGAGTCCCATTCTCATTCCTTTGATTTGAGTTTCTCACCCCTTATGGTGCATGAAAATTCCCTCAAGTGTTTTTGAAAATTCAGATTTGCAGGAACTACCACCAGAAATTCTAAGTCAACAGTTAGGAAAACCACATGGATTGGGGAAAAGTTGGTTTTCCAAAAGAAAGAGACACTAGCCAAATAAACAAACAAAATATAACCACACAAGAGCCTCATCTAGGACTTGTGATTCCATGAAGATGCCCACAAGCATCTATGTAGCACAGCAGTGATGCTGTGAAAATATAGGGGCTGGCAGAAAAGATGGAGCATTTTGCATAAAAATATCATAGCAATCCAAGCTCTGTAGTTACAAATGGCAAATTCATTAGCTACTTACATGACTTATGCCTTGTCTATGTAAGTAAATAATGGCCAGTGCCAACTTGAAAATGAATTTTTAAAAGCCCACGGCAATCTCCATTGCTGTGACATACCTCTTAGTGACATTAGTTAGGCATTTCTTCAAAATAGTGATGAACAATCATATTGACTTAAGAAATGTTACCCAGACTTTTGTTGATGTTGCAATTCAGACTTTTTGGTGCACTAACAGCAAAGGCTAGGAAACAATCTTGAAATTCTAGAAATGAGTTTGGCTCTGTGAATCTAGCATTAATCACATGAAATTCTTATCAACAGGGACAGACACCCACTCATTCAACAGTTGTTTAGGGTACCTATTAAATGAAAGACCCTATTCCAATAATGAAGAAGATGTTCAAAGTCCCTGCCCATATGGTGCATACACTCTAGTGGGGAGACAGAAAATAAATAAACACATACCTTTGTAATAAAATATCAAATAGTGGTACATGAAGTGAGGGAAATAAAGCTGGGTAAAAGGAATAACAGGGGGTGCTATTTAAACAAAGGGTCAGGGAAGACCATTCCAAGAAGATAAGCCTGGAATGAAGTGAGAGCCACACAGAGGTCTGGAGGATAAGCACAAAGGCAAAGGCCTTGAGGTGAAACCAAGCTTGGTGTGCTCACCCAGTGTTGCTGTAGCAGTAGGTGGCAGTGATAAAGTTGGAGAGTTGGGCAGGGGGCGGATATTGTAGCACCTTGTAGGCTATGTCATGGAACTGTGGCTGCATTCTAGTTGTGGTGAGGAGTAATCCACTGGTGAATTTGGCAAGAGGGGATGGTGAGAGCCACTTTCAAAGTTCTATAAGATCGCCCAGGTTTCTTTGTGCGGCAGGGATGATGTGGCCCAAGTAGGAGCTAAATAATTGAGTAGGAGTTCATGAAAGTGTGTTCTTACGTGGGAGCAGTGGAGGTGGCGAGGTGTGGACAGATTTGGGATAAAATTTGAAGGGCAATGCACTCGATTGGAGACCAAGGGGAACAGAGTTTCTGCAAGAAGAGGGGAGGAACTAGTGTTAAGAATCCCCAGAAATAGGAAGAGTGATGACTGAGAAAAAGCCTTCAAATTGGACAATAGGTCAGTTCTTATGTTTAAGTGGAAAGAAGAATATCGGTAATGATCTGTGAGAAAGGACTAGGTGGAGTGCTAGGGAGGAAGCTGGATAGCAGAGGAGTGAAGGAGGGGGAGGAAGCCCAGGCTACAGACCCAAGAAGGACCCTTTGAAAGTCCTGGCCTCACAATGGCCATGCAGTCCACTTTGCCTTCAGGTATATGTCTGAATGAATACAGAGGGAAATTCACTTCTTTTAAAAAACTTTTTAAGGAATATCCATTTACTACTGTCTCCCCACCCAATAGAGGACAGAAATCAAAACACTGTAACAAGGGCAGAAACTATACTTTTAATATTCAAAAAGTGAGACCATATTTATTTCTATGTAAGTTACAAATCAAAGTTTATGCCTGGTTATCTTTTGGGACATTGATCTCTATCTTCCTCCATCTCTTGGAAATGGGTGTTCCAAATTAATTAAACTCTGAAGAGGGTGCGAGATTCATGTGGAAGGCGAAAAATTAAATTAATAGCTTCTTAGACCCTGTGATACATTTTCCACAAAGGAAACAGAAATAAGTTGCTTTTACATCAGGAATTCTGTTGATTTGATCATTTCAAAGGGATTGTTGTTTTCCTTTTGGGTATAACAGCCACCAGGGGCTTTGTCAACATATTTCAAAGCAGTTGGATGAGTTGCTATGATTGGAAGAAATACACACAAAAATAAAAGGACTTTGGAGTTATGTAAATAGAATCAGTTAACTTCCCCTTGAAGTATAAACAATGTTGTAATAAGGAAATTGAATTTAAATTTGGTGAGAAGTATTTACAGACTTCAATAAGAGGAGCTTTCCTTCTCTTTCTCATCCTTTTCTTTTACCCCAGGCAGATAAGCAATTAAAAAACACCTTCTGTATGCTCAGGACTATGTGATGCATACAGAATGATGGTCCCTGACATCAACAAGGGAAGGGAAGAACTAGTTGAATGAACAAGGCAAACCACCTAAGAATCAATACTAAACCATCTAAGGTATTATAATATATAATTAAGGCTAAATCATGTTCAACAGAAAATGTTTTTAAAATGTTCCAATAATGTGGAATTATTTAGTGTTCCCTGAGAATACCAAGCTTTTTTCAAGACTATGGAAGTCAGTTAAGACTTCCATAGTAATTAAGAGTCATAATTATGTGGATTCTATGCCTCCAAACCACACCTTTTTTGTTTTCTAGAGAATTAAGCTTAAACACCTTAGCTCGACATTGAAGATGTATGGCTAAAGACTCTTTTTGGTGTAAGGGATAGGAAATCCAACTCAAACTGGCTTGAACAGAAAAGGAAATTCTTTAGGTCATATAACCACAGACTAGGACTGGGTCACTTTTATGCATGGCTTGCTCTAGAAACTCAGTTTCTTCTAGATCTCAGTGAAGCCTTTTCCTGCACTGTCTCCAGCCTCAGGCTCTACATGATAGCTCTTGACAGCTCCAGGCTCATAGGACCAGTGGGAGAAGAGCAGGTGCTTCCTTCCCGAGAGGCCCAGGAGATGGCTTATTACCTCTTTTGATTCTGATGGGATCAAATGCCCATCTCTGAACCAATGACTATGGTCAGAAGAATGTGATGCTCTGATTGGCCAGACCTTAGTAACATGGCTTTCCTTAGATATTCTCTTGCTGTCCTCAGGAAAGCAAAACAACAGACACCTCAAACACCAGATTTCTCACAGATAGGCCCTGTATCCTCAGCTTCATCTCTTGCTACTTCTTGTTCTGCCCCCAATGTCTCCATCACGAGGAATTATTTCCAGTTCCCTAAGAAACCTAGGCTCTTTTGAGGGTTATGAGTGCATGACTGTGCCGTTCCCACTGCCTGTAATGCCATTTCTTCTCTTCAGAAAAACTCAATCTCATCATTTAAGACATAGCTCCTGCCTGATCTAAGCTGATGAAGGGTCCTCCATGAAGCGCGATGAGAACGTATGTCAAATATTGGCCATAACACCTGCTTCAGTGAAAGAAATAGTCAGCTGGTTCCCATCTCCCATGTTAAAGTAGTCATCCCTCTTTCTCTACATAAGACAGAAAAATCATGTTGATTAATGGCACAGTTGGATATAGAAACTAATTGAAGGGGTGTCAGGAACCGGGCTGGGCCTGAGAGTAGCATGGTGAGTCAGAACAGGGATGGGCAGTGCCTATGTAGCGCCATTCCAGAAAAGGCTGAATCATCACAGAGGATGGAGGCACTGGGTGGAAGTCCAGAGTCAAAGAGGCCAGGCTGGATGAACCAACAAGGACAAATCTGAGACAGAGATGCAGGTAAAATGAGTCAGGTTCTGAAGGCAGTGTGGATATGGAAAGAGGGGCAAGGATATGCAGGTACCAAGGCTCAGACAAAATTGCTCCATGAGAGAGGATTGCTTCAACTGCTTTTCATCCAAGAATGGGGGCTATGTTGTATTTTTATCATCCTAGCCTAAATTGTCCTTGGTACAACTTCTGTTGGAATGTTAAAAATAGTGTGATGTTTGAGTGAGGCATTGAGATATTTGGAAATAAAAGATGATAGGACTGACTAATCATCAGTATGATTGCAACTCAGAGATTTCTACTTGGATCCTTAATTCTAGATTGAAATCATTTTACATCTGACAGAAAGGAAAACAAGGTAATTCCCACAGACTTCCAGAAGGTAAGATATTGATTCTACTTTTCAGTGACTCAAATATAGCTGAAATCACTTTGTGCTGGAGGCCATGTGGCTCTTTATGGCCACAAATGATAAGCATATGTCCTAGAGAGTGGTTTTCTCCCCAGCAGTTATATTTCCAATACACCCAGGGCCCAGCAAAGCCACAGCTGTAATTGGCAGACTGAGAGTACGGATGGTTGTTTGCTTGTCCTCGTAAAATTGAGCGTGACAAGTCAATGAGGAGTGGAGTTGTGCCTGTTGTAAACACATTTAGAATTCAAGGAAAGCAAAGTGTATATTTGAGAATTTGATTTGTGAAGCTCATAACTATTCATTCATTTCTTAACCATAGTTCGTTAAATTTAACAGTTGTGTGACTCGGAATTCACAGATGACAACTGCAACATATTTTGGGTAATAAATTACTAGCTGCTTTAAGAAACGGAACTGATTTAACAGCGTATTGTGCAGTTGTAATAGAAGCACTAAAATCTGTCTTTCTACCTCCAAGGGTTTATTTTAAAGGTTTAGATTGCAATGATAAACATTCTTTTAATCCTTCACCATGCAAGCAAGTCCACTTTCTGAGGCAGTCATTTACTTGTCTGGTAATAAACAGTAATTTATGTACACGATATCGATTTACACATACACTTTTTCTCCATGGCAGGGGCAAAATGCTCTTCGATTGCTCTAGTGGGAAGTGCTTTACAGTTATCTCATTTCTAAAACAAAAATATTGCCTGTATTTAAAAAATAAATAAAGTTCTGAAAGTTGGAACAGGGCCTGGAATAGTTCCGTTGCAAAGGCTAAGTCAGCATCAAAGGATGCTCACTTAACATTTGCTCCTTGAGCTAAATACCACAAATGGACATTTTTTAATGACAATTATTGCATCTTTTCATTTGATTTTATTTCTATCAACAATGAGTTCTTTTCTTTCCCTCCACAACCCTCTCTTCTTCCCAGAGGTGTCCAGAAAGATCAGCTCACTTCGTCAGCTAAGAGCTGCAGGAAGCAGGAAGACTCCAGTGAAAATATAAGCAGCTCTGGCAAGCTAACAATCACATCTGTTAGCCACTGGATAAAATAAGAGTTGGCAAGGACCGGTGTGTCTGAACTGACTTATTTTCTAGTGGGAGGGGTAAACTTCTGCTGATTAACCACTCAGGATCCTAACTAACTTTCTGGCATGGTGTTTACATGATTATGCCATTGGCCTTGAAATGAGAGTGACTTTTAGGGATACTTCAAAAGGCAATTCTTTTACTGTTCCTGGAACCTAAGACCCCTACAAAGAAAGCCCGGCCCACCTACTGTGTGCAGTCATGTCTTCTAGGACTTCTGCAAGAGTTACTCCCAGGTGTATGACATACACCCAGGTATATGACAAAGGGATCTATATGGGAAATCACTTATATAGTGAGTATGAACAGAGAGCCACAAGCTCAGGAGCACAGTAAATATCATATTTCTTTACTTTTCAGTTAATAATTTCATTCTGACTCTGTGATACACCATGTTTTGGTGGGTTATAACCTCATTCTTCCATGGGGCTCTCCTCCTGGTGGTTTTGTCAAGGTGCTGGGGATCAGGATCTTTAATCTGGCCAGCAGGCACCTATCCCTCCATGATCCCAGCCATGTCATCAGGATGCAGATTGGTGGCTTTGGTTTAACACTGGGCACACGAGAAGCCATGTCAAGGCTGGGTGTTCTGGGCCGTGATTCCTTCTAGGTTCTGCTACTTATTGTTGCTGCCAGGCACTGACTTATAGATCCTGGTGCTCAAAGGACTACACACTTCTTTTCTCTCCTAGCCTAGATAATCTGTTTTTTGCATTTCTTGTTTATTTTTTATTTTTATTTTGAAACTGGGTCTTGCTTTGTCACCCAGGCTGGATGCAGTGCTACAATCATAGCTCACTGTAGCCTCAAAGTCCTGGGCTCAAGCCATCCTCCTGCCTCAGCCTCCTGATTAACTGGAACTAAAGGCATGTGCCACCATGCTTGGCTAATGTTTTTTTTTTCTTTTTTTCTTTTTCTTTCTGTCTTTTTTTTTTTTTTTTTTTTTTGGTTAAAGAACGAATCTAGCTATGTGCCCAGGCTGGTCTCAAAATCCTGGCCTCAAATGATCCTCCTAACTTGGCTTCCCAAAGTGTTGGGGTTATAGGCATGAGCCACTGTGCCCTGCTAATAATCTGTTTTTAATCTTGGAAAATATTCTGTTTATCCATATTTCTATCCAAAGCATGCACATAGACTTCTCTTTCTTCTCCCTCTGACCCTGGGGAATTTACTTTTATGTTGGGGAAATCCTTCTCTCTCTCCATGTTTTCCTCACAAGTACCCCATCTTCCTACACCTCATTACTCTCTGTGGAATTTTGCTTCTGGAAACAAAAGCCAAGAAGGGAAGTTTTTGCAGGCCATCTCTATTTCTTTCTCTGAAGGGGAAAAAATAGAAAATGTAGGGTGAAAATTATACATTACTATCACAAAAATTATCTTAGCATAGACATATACATACATTCTCAAAGGCCTGCCTGGTTAATTTAGTTTTGCACTGGTAAAACAAACAAAAGACACACTAGACAAAAGGATCTGCAAATCTTATGAGTTGAGTAATTTATGAATTTGTCAGAGTGTCCAATGTAGAAGATGAACTATATTCAATTTGGTTTAATGTGTCAAGGAGGAGAGAGTGAAGAGGAGATCACCTTCCCAGAATTCTTCCAAGGGAACTATAGTCGTCATACTTCCACTTGCAAATTATACTACATTTACTCATGGCTATATATAATTCAAGGATTTTTATGGTCATCTTTTATTGATTAGCATCAGCTAAATTCTCTGCATTAAAATGTTTTTTGTAGAGAACTATGTTTACAAACAGAAACAACAGAACTAATGGACATTACCTTGACCTCTGCCAGCACTGGATATGAGTGACCACTCTTTCTGAAACTCTCTTCTCCACTAGATTCCATAGAAGCACTCTGTCATAGTTCTCCTCCTCCTTTCTTATCTTACCTTTTTGAAATTCTTCATGAGGTTTTTTCCTTCATCCACATGGGAGTACTTATCCATTTACAGTTCCCCACTTCCATTCTTTGTCTTCTGTTCCCCTCCCAGGATAATCTCACCTACTCTCAGAGTTTTAGCCACCAGCAATCTGCTAATGACTCACTCATCCCTGCCCAGATCCCTGCTGGACACCTTCATCTGAATGTTCCATAGCACCTCAAACTCAACATGTCCAAAGCAGAATGCTTCAACTTCTCTTCCACTAACCTGTACCCCTCTTTCTGCTCCCTTTCATAATCCACACAGTAATTTCCATCTCTGCTTCTTAATCTTGACCAACTCACCCAGGCACACAAAATCAGTGCCTACACAAGGTAGTTGCTACAGCAGCTCCAGCTTTACTCTCAGCCTTCTGGTTACTGCTCTTGTCCAACTGGTTCAGGGACTCCAGATTTGACTGCACTGTTTGCTTCCATCTCTGCTAGTTTCGTGATCTTTGGTCTCCCTTTTTGCTTCTTGGACTTCTACCTCCCTTTCAATACTTGACTCTCTTCTCTCTCTCTGATGATATTGTCCTATGAGGTCTTGGAAGAAAACTCCCTCAACCACCCAGGCTAACTTTTTAGGCTTCCCTCCGCTGGTAAAGGATGAGACAAACCCCTACGTTCCAGACTGCTTGAGTCCTCACTTTCCTTCACCTCTTCATACCGAGTTAACCACTAAGCCATCAATGAACATGTCCTGCACTCTCCTTATCAACCCTGCTGATGCTGCCTTAAATTAAGCCCTCATCTTCTTTTCCCTGCATTATTCAAACAGCTTCCTAACGGTCTCCAGTCTCCTATTTTGTTCCTCACCTGGCAGCCAGATTATTTGTTCTATAACACAGTGTGGGTCTTTCCTTTGCTTAAAACCCATCAGGAAATATCTGCAACCCTGATCTCTCATCAGAAAAAAATCCGTGAAATGCTTAAAAGACATAGATTTTGGCATCAACTCTAGAGATCATAGCTCAGTGTGTTTGAGACAGGGCTATGACGTCAGAACTCCTGGGGTAACTCTGATGTGCAGCCTCCACAGCATGGCACCCCAGTTCCACTGTGGCATGCTTCTACCCACACTTCCATCTCGGCTCCTGCTTCAGCAGAGCTGGAGGATGTCTCTTACCTTTCGGAATCTTAGGATCCATTACAGTGCTTGATGGTCATTGACATTAACTAGACCACTGCATGATGACAGCAAATATTATCAAAGAACCAGAGGTGTTTTTGAGGTTGTTAAGGGCCCTGGAGCTACAGTTTAAAGAATTCCTATGTAACTGTTCTCACTAATTCAATGTATTCCTTTTCTTAATTCCATATTCAGTGCTATTTCTGTAGAGTACTAGACAAAATAATTTCTCACCCTACTTGGTATTTACACCTTTAAAGTATTTATAGATTGCTTTTATATCCTCACGTAGTCATCACTTAACCAAACAGTATGCATTTTAGTTTTACACTATTACTTTAGAAATTCATCCCTCCATAAAGTGATAGCTTTTCCTGAATTATTCTATTTCTTTATATATTTCTTAAATTGTAGTATTTCTTCTTTGAATAACTAGATAACGAGCCTGTTGAAGATAGCAATTCTGACTTACAATTACGACTTTGCCTTCACTGTTGCCTCTACCATGATTGACACAGAACTGGGCATAAAATATGGGGAGAGGAGGAAAGAGTGGATTTGCCAAGAAGCTGTAGGGACAGAAAGTTCTGAACCCTCTTTCTGTCATGTTTTTGGTCCTCCTAACCCATGTTCCAGCTGTTCATTACTGCTACCACCAGATGTTTTAGGTATACATATTTCTCTGATTGAACTACAAATAAGCTAATTCATTATCCCTCAGTAAGAAAGAAAACCTAGGAGAAAATGGAACACTTGGTATTATTTCACGTCTCTGGAAAAGGATTGCTCACATTATATAACTTGATGAGAATTTGCCAAAACTCCAAATGATACTTCTGTCAGGCAGTGTAAATTGCCATTCTGGATCTCTATTACAAGAAGTTGTATTTGGCTACAATCCAATGAAATGTATCAAAATGCAATTTCCAAGGCATTCAGAACTGTACCCTTCATTTGATTCTGTGCATGCCCACATAGGAGCTGGAAAAATATTCATTAAGTTTCTATAACCAAGTGAAATAACTCAGGACCCACTTCAATAAATCCTTGATAACTCATACACACCCTCCCCACCAAATAACCCCCTCAAGCATCCTGTTCTGTTCTGATGGGGAGTAATCCTTTATCCCAGCAATATTGAAAGGCACAGAACACCTAAATTTCAGGCACAGAAAACTGTGATTTGTTGTTTGGCATATTAGAAACAAAAAAGCCCTGTGCCCGTGGAGGATGTGCATACAGACCAGGCTAGCCTTTGAGAGTTAAGGAACCTGGGAGAATCATTGGCAACCAATGAGACAAGAAAGAAGAGATGCAGAGAGAAAAGAGTAGGGGACATTTAAAATAGCAGCTGTAGAAAGAGTAAGCTTGTGATCAATGTTGGGATGGATGCTACGGGAAAAACAGAAGAGAGAATAGTTACATTGTCAGAGAGTGGGAGCGAGTGCCATCGGCACATACCTCAACGACCTTTGGGACCACCTGTGTGTGCTCATTGGCACAGTCAGTACAGCTCTCCCATCTGGAGTGTGCCATCACTGCCCTACAGCACCACGGGAGGAAGCCGCATTTTCTCCCTGTGACCCATGCCCTCCACACCTGCATCTGTAGCTGTAGCTGCACAGAGGGCAGAGTACACACTTTGTAATTATAAGGGAGAACCAAACTCATATCAAGATGAAATGGCATATAGTTTTTCTCTGTTGAAGAAGGCATGGAAGTATATAGTACATGTCTTAAAGGTTTCTAAGTTTAAAAACATTTAATATAGACCCTCAATAAGAAAAACAGAACAGAAACACATAAAGTCCGTGATGCAACTGGGTGACATCTGTAACTCCAAGCTATGAAAAAATGATCATGGAAAGCAAATGGATGTGAGAGGATGGTGATATCAAATACAGATGAATTCATATATTTACAAATGGTTAGCCCAGCCCACGAGTATTTTGCCTCTACTTTAATACCTAGCATTTCATCCCCAGGCCGATTGGAACATCATTTTCCCCCACGTATGATTTTCCACATCATTACATCAAATCTGCCCCTAAAATAAGAATAAATAATTGGCTTTTTCTCAATATCAATTAAAGTTGTAGTTCTGTTGGAAGAACCTATCGATCTAATCTTCTGTGATCTGATCTTGCTGAAGAAACATGAAATGTAGTTTTTGACCTGAGACTTCCGGAGTGTTTCCCCTCGGGTGTCAGCCTCAAGTTTTCCATTTTAATTTAATTCTTTTACACCAGTAAGATGCTCCTACCATTTAGTTCCCCTCTAGAGCCTTTTTGTTTGTTTCAGAATGGTAAAAAATTAAGCTTGCATTTCCTTTTTACACAGAAGCTCTTCCACTAATTCAAGCCAATACATTTACAATAGAACATGCCAGAAAGTGCCACAAAATTTCAATAACAGGCAACACCACTAGGCTTCAGTGACCACTGATTTCATCCTCCTTCTCCTATATTCTTTCCTATAGTCCTTATACATCAATGTCATGGACTATTTAATCTTCTACCTCGGATTAACCTTTTTTTAGGTTGCAGAAGATGCTTCTGTCACTCAGGATGTAAAGATAAAAAAGAATTTTAACTGCTGAACCCTTGCAGCTTCTTTAATGAGCCTGGCTGATCTTTAACCCAAAAAACTGGTAGTCCATCTGTTGAAGTGGGGCTCACCTCCTGCAAATGGTTGGCTCTCATCACAGAAGGCATTTCAACACCCCATCTCCATCTGGTCACTGCTGCTTGCTAATCTAAAAAGAGACTTGGAGATGTGGGGGAGAGTGACATTTCCAGTTAACAGTAATTATTTCTAAAAACTCTCTGTTTCTTTTCACATTTCCTCCCCCTTCTGACACTTCCATTTCCCATGGAGGACTTTTAGAAAATGAGATTATCAGTAGAATATTTAGACTATTCATAAGAAAGTTATTCTCTTGCTAAACTTCCTCAGTTAGGCAACCTTGGTTTTGTTTTTTGTTTGTTTGTTTTTTACCCCTTCTACTCAATTATTATGGGTTCCAGCCCCTATTATGTTTCTAGGTGCATCACTCATATCTGAAGCACATGTGGTGAAGCAGAGTGATCTCACTAAGCCTGCATCTGACCCACTGCCCATCTTCTCTGGCTGTTTTATCTGTCCTGATAATCAATAAAGAGTAACACATGTAAATTCAAAATGCATCTGTCAATTTTGATTAGCATGGATAAAGTTATTGGGTTCCCTACTTCACAGTCATGAACATTTTGGAACTCAGTCTTACAATAGATGAAGGATTATCATCAATGACAGTGCTTTTGCTAATCTAAATCAGGACAGCACTCTTTCTGTTGTGGTCTCTAATGCAAATGGATGAGGGAAGTTGAAGAGATTGTCTAAAATAACTTATATACAGTCCTGCGCATAAAGAAATGATTACTTTCCATCAAGGTCCTTCTTGGGCAGGTAAAGGCTACTCTGAAGCCAGGGATTGTCTGACCACCTCAACGGGCTATACAGATCATAGTGAATAGAAGTCAAGGCAAGGTTTCTCCTGTGAGGGATGGTTTCTCCTGAGCCATGCTAGAAAAAAAACTCTGAACTTCAGGTTTCAGTTCAGTGGTAATTAGTGATGAATTCTGCCACAAAGACCTTACTTACCATGCACTATTATATTAATTAAGCCTTGAAGTTCTCAATCCATGAATCACCACTGCATAATCAATGCTAAAATTTTAAACAAAAATAGCCCCTTCTATTCCACAATGGCAAATCTGAGCACTGTAACAGCTAAAGGGGAACTTGTGAGAAATGTGTCCTTAGATTAAAGCTCAGGAAGCCTAACCATGAAAGTCCCGAGGTGCTAAAAATACACTGACACTTAGGGATGAGTGTTGGTTGCCTGACTTTGCAGAGCTGAGTTACGAAAGCTAGAGCCCAATATAGAAGAGACTGCCTCTTAGAGGTCTTATGGGGCCATGAATGCTTGTCTTTGAACACACAGCCATACATTCACTGGATGTTGGAGAAAACATCAATACATTTTCAAATATCGTCTGAAAGGTATGTCAGAATAACACGTTTTCCACAGGGTGGCCATCCACTACACAGGGCAGATGTTTGCCATTGTTTTCTTTATCACAACAGTGTTAGAAGGAGGTACTTGCCCAGACATGGGTTAAAATCTTGACTCTTTCATTTATTATTTTTATTATATTAAGTTTCAGATGATGAATAAAGAGTGAGGAATGTAGATTGATAAAGAATAGCAAAAGTGGGTATGGTGGGCAGAATAATAGTCCCTGAAGATGTCCACACCCTATTCTTCAGAACCTGTGAATATGTTAGCTTACGTGGCAAAAGCAACTTTGCACGTGAGATTAAAGCGAGGACCTTAAGATGAGGAAATGTGTTACCCTAGGTTATACAAGTGGGCTCAATCTATTATCATGGGTTCTTAAAATCAGAGAACCTTTCCTGTTGGAGTTCCCAGCCAGAGAGAGATGTGACTGTGGAAGAATGGCCAGACAGTTGCAACATTACTGGTTTTGAAGTTGGAGGAAATTGGCCACAAGTCAAGGAATTAATATGGCCTCTACAAGCTAGGAGAGTAAAAAACCAGATTTTCCCCTAGAGCCTCCAAAAAGTAATACAACCCTGTCAACACCTTGATTTTAGCCCTGTGAGGCCTGTGTCAGGCATCTGACCTCCAGAACTGTAAGATAATAAATTTGTGTTATCTTAAGCCACTAGGTATGTGATAATTTGTTATGGTAGCAATAGAAAACTAATGAAGTGGGTATTCCACGTGGAAGGAATGGAGAACCCAAAGTTAGAGACAATCCAAACACTAAATTCAGCAAATATTTACTTGTGTGAGGTCCTTTTCTACAAAGGTGAGAAGATGCTGCTGATTTGGGCCTATATAAAAACAACTCCAAAAGGTAGAATATAGTAAGCCCCTCAAGAAGTAAATTTAGTGGGGAGAAGGATTACCTCTGTTTAGGGCATAAAACTTAATACTTAATGGCTTTTTTCTACTTAATATCTTATGTTGACTTCGAAGGAATAGATTTCCAGGCAGAAATGGGTGGGAGGAGGGTATTCTGACTGGAGATATACAAAGACCCTGGGTTCAGGTCAAGGAAGAAAATAGCCTTGTCAACTCTGGTTGGGCAGGAAATGAGTGCAGTGGTTCCCAAATGCTGGTCCATAATGAAATCCTCACCAATGTTTTCCTAGAAATGAGAAAAACAGAACAATGTAGTGAGTCTTTTAACAAAGCTAGGTTCTTTTCATTTAAATTACTTTCTTTTAACCTGAGATTATGCTCTTTTCCACTTTTTTAGTATAAAAGTTACCTTTATTTAACAAAGTGATGGCATGATAGTTTTTACTGCTGCTGCTCTTGCTGTTGTTATGAAACTTTCTTATCTCACAAAATAAAAAGTTGGGAACCCTATATTGGTTTTCTTTGTGTGGGTGTGATAGGATGGAGAGGGTTCCTGATGCACGAAATGCAGAAGTCTGGAAGGCAGAGTGTTATAGGAATGGGGAAATCATAGGAAATAATGAGATCCCGCTGGAGAGTGAATGGGGAGAAACTTATTGCAATGTTTACTGCCATACTAGGAGTTTGGGCCTTAATCTCTCAATGGTAGAAAGTTAATGAATGTATTTGAAAATTCATTCAGTGATGTGCTATAGGCATTGTGCAAGATACAGTGAAATTATACGCTGTGATAGGAGAATGAGATTGTAACCTACCTTACTCAGCTAAAATCCATGGAGGAAAGTAATAAAAAAAAAACTATAATGTTGAGCATGAGATATGGTATTGAAAGTATGGTTGGTAGGGGGACAGAAAAGTCTAGAGCAACAGTTCTCAACCAAAGCTGATTTTGCCCCCCAGGTTACAGGGACATTTGGCAATGAGTGAAAATATTTTTCATTGTCATAACTAGGGATGGGGTGCTCCCAGCATCTACTGGGTACAGGCCATCCTATAATGCACAGGACAGTCCCCCACAACAAAGAATTATCTGGCCCCAAATGTCAATAGTGCCAAGGTTGAAGAACACTGGTCTGCAGAAAGTTAATTTCGATATAATAAAATAACAGGGAACTGCTATGCTTTCTGGGGTAGCGAATTGTAATTTCAATATAATGTTTGAGGAAGGAAAGAAATGAGCATTTATTGACAACTTTCTATATGTCAGGCATTCTCACATATAGTAAGTCATATTTAACCATCACAATGACCCTGAGAGTTAGTTATTATATCCCTCTTTCAGGTGGGGAAACTGAGGAAGTTTGTGATAGGCCTGTAGTCAGTCAATGGCCAACACCAGATTTGGACCTAGCCCTGTTCAATTTAATCACTCACCAAGGCCAGTCACTTATTGATTATTCTACTTCTGTCCATCCCCACTTCCACTACTTTAGCTCAAAGCCATCATTATCTGTTGCCTAGGTTACTAAATGCAACGAACTCTGCCAGCATTTTTTCTCATGGCTTCTTCCAGTTGTAGTTAGAGCTTTCTAAAGAGTACTTCTGACTTTATCACTTTTCTGCTTAAAGCCCAGATTCCAGAAGGGGTATGACAGTTCCTCTACTTCATTATGCTTCTGCTTATTTTCCATATACACATCCTCCCCATGACACACACACACACACACACACACACACACACACACACACACACAACCCTGTGGCTAACTCCTTCAGTTCCAAAGGGAGAGCTTCTCTGATCTCCAAGGCTGAATGAGGTGTCCTTCCCATGGCTCCCATGGCACCTGGGAATATCCCATCATTGCTTTTACCACCCATTGCATTAGTGGTTCACTTACTTGTCTGTCTCTTCCATTAAAATGTAAATAACTTGGGGTCAAGGACAGTGTGATTCCAGTCTACATCCTCAGCGCTAGGCACAGAGGAGGCACCAGATGATACATGTTGAGTAAGTGACTCCTGCCATCATTGTGTCTGAACAATGAGTTGGATTCAGTATTCCCCAGACACAGGAGAGCCAGATAAAAGTCCATGTTCTCCCCCTAGGTACAAGGTGATGAGGC
This sequence comes from Homo sapiens, assembly GCF_000001405.40. NCBI lineage: Eukaryota > Metazoa > Chordata > Mammalia > Primates > Hominidae > Homo > Homo sapiens. The sequence goes on from NC_000007.14 coordinate 104,541,518, forward strand.
TCTCAAGTAAGGTTTTGACCATGAGGAAGGAAAGGAAAGCTGTGAAATATGCTGCAGAAACAAGTCTCTATGGGACTTGTTGACAGATTGGCAATGTGGGAGGATGGAGCAAGATTACTGGAAAGGATTCTTAAGTGATTAAGTGTATAGCAGCAAGATGCAAAAGTTGCTCTAAATGATAATATAGTAACATGCTTCTGTACTGCAAATTCTCAGTAAATGTTGAATGAATAAACTTGAATGATTTTTTCTCTACATTTGAGAGTCATCTAAATAAAGTCCGGATGGTATTTGAAACCCTAGGAATTAATGGGATCCCCTAGGGACAAAGCCTAGCAAGGAAGAGAAAACATCCCAGGACCCAGCCCAGGGAAGCCCTAACAATGATAGGTCATTAAAGGAGGAGGACCCTGGGAAGGGGATGATAAAGCAGATGTGGAAAGATAGGAGGAAAACCCTTGACGTGAGAGCATGCTGTGAGAGCCAGGAGAGGAGGGTATTTGAAGCAAGAAGTGGGCATCTCAGTGCAGTGCTGCTGAGAGGCCAAGTAAGATAAGGGCAGAGAAGAGCTCAATTCACAGGGCTCTCCTTCCTGGCAAGCAGAAGAGCCGAGAGTGTCACTGGACACTGAGAGCAGCAGAAATGACTGCCAAAACGAGGCGTGGCTTGGGTTTTTGAGGCCCCAGTTCCAGGACCTAGTCCTAAAAGTGTTTTCTGGCCCATGAAAACCTGACCTTAAAAGTGTTTCCATTCCTTATTTAACTTTGACTTTGTTTCCCTAAGCAAGATAAAGCAATATAACTGGTGAAGACCCCTGCACTTGTCTCAGTGGTCTTAAGGATCCAGTGAATGGCTTATTTATCATCCTTCAGGGATGGGCCAGTAAGGAGTTCTCTCATCTTCTGATGAATGTAAGTAGGTGTGGGGACTGTTATCCAAAAGCCCGAGACCTTGTCACAGACTGGGGCTGCTTTTTGAGACTTCCTAAATTAGTCCTATAGAGAATATGCTCTGATACCCAATTCTATTGCTCTACCTTCCCCAAAGTGGAATCTTGGCCAAGAGACCATGAATAGACAAGTCATAGTCCTCAATAAGGCATCACTGAGATGGGATGTCTCTTCTCAGACACACCCATCGCAGGTGAGAAGTTGCTAAAACCACCCAGTGCATGGGGGGAGAGAAAAGACAATTGATGTTGCTTCCTTTTTCATCTACTTTGCCCAGTGCAAGGGCCCTTTAAAAATACCTGGTATTCATTTGACTCAGCAATCCCATTACTGAGTATATACCCAAAGGATTAGAAATCATTCTACTATAAAGATACATGCACCCGTAAGTTTATTGCAGCACTATTTACAATAGCAAAGACTTGGAACCAACCCAAATGCCCATCAGTGATAGACTGGATAAAGAAAATGTGGCACATATACACCATGGAATATTATGCAGCCATAGTAAACAATGAGTTCATGTCCATTGCAGGGACATGGATGAAGCTGGAAACCATCATCCTCAGCAAACTAACACAGGAACAGAAAACCAAACACCGCATGTTCTGACTCATTAAGTGTGAGTTGAACAATGAGAACACATGGACACAGGGAGGGGAACATCACACACTGGGGCCTGACAGGGGGTGAGGGGTCCAAGGGGAGGAAGAGCATTAGGACAAATACCTAATGCATGCAGGCCTTAACCATCTCACACCAGTTAGAATGGCGATCATTAAAAAGTCAGGAAACAACAGGTGCTGGAGAGGATGTGGAGAAATAGGAACACTTTTACACTGTTGGTGGGACTGTAAACTAGTTCAACCATTGTGGAAGTCAGTGTGGTGATTCCTCAGGGATCTAGAACTAGAAATACCATTTGACCCAGCCATCCCATTACTGGGTATATACCCAAAGGATTATAAATCATGCTGCTATAAAGACACATGCACACGTATATTTACTGCGACACTATTCAGAATAGCAAAGACTTGGAACCAACCCAAATGTCCAACAATGATAGACTGGATTAAGAAAATGTGGCACATATACACCATGGAATACTATGCAGCCATAAAAAATGAAGAGTTCATGTCCTTTGTAGGGACACGGATGAAACTGGAAACCATCATTCTCAGCAAACTATCGCAAGGACAAAAAAACCAAACACCACATGTTCTCACTCATAGGTGGGAATTGAACAATGGGAGCACATGGACACAGGAAGGGGAACATCACACTCTGGGGTCTGTTGTGGGGTGGGGGGAGGGGGGAGGGATAGCATTAGGAGATATACCTAATGCTGTATGATGAGTTAACGGGTGCAGCACACCAACATGGCACATGTATACATATGTAACAAACCTGCACATTGTGCACATGTACCCCAAAATATAATAATAATAATAATAATAATAATAATAAAACCTAGATGACAGGTTGATAGGTGCAGCAAACCACCATGGCACACGTATACCTATGTGACAAACCTGCATGTTCTGCACATGTATCCCAGAACTTAAAGTAAAATTAAAAAAAAAAAAAGCTGGTATTAGGAGTTTGCAATTCATTCAACTCATAAAAGTGAATGCCTGATTTTAATTATTCTAACTAACCTAGGTGCTATTCAGAGTAAATGGAATTCAGTATAATATATTCCAAATGCTTATCGTCATAAAACCTCACTAATAACTGGATTTTCAGTCCCTTTCAGTAATTATTCCAATGAATTTTAAGATTCCATTTTTAGTAAATGAAAATAACTCCAATAGTACACTCATATTCATAGGTTTTGGGGGAAAATCTGTATGGCCCCATAGCCATCTCAGGATATAAGCTAACCACTAGCACAAGACACTTTGTGTAACAAGTGGTGATTAGGCAAACACCCACATGATTATAATTTGCCTTCACAAAGACAAAAATTTGAAACATTATGGGGTTAGATGCAGTTTCATGAGACATCTGTTGTCCTCTCCCTTAGAAATGTAACATTTTCTTCTCCAGTTAATCCCAAACCTTGAAGTCATTTCTCTTTCAGTTCTTTCTAGGGCAACCAGGACTTTTCATTGAGCAGTGGTGGTGAGTGTAGCTCAGCATCAGCAAAGAGATCTCTTCCCTAAGATAGAAAGAGTCCATCCCATAGGTCAGTTCCTCTCCACTCAGCCCTTCATAGTGCATCTCTATATATCTGCAAAGATGATTTTTTTAAGAAAATGGGTGTATTTTTATATGGTAAGTAGAAAATGATTTGGGGGAAAAGGGGAATGTACAATTGTAGAATTCTTCAAAATCACAAGTCCTTTTCCTGCCCCTCACTAGAAATTGAGCTGTTACAAAGCTGACCCCGGAGAAACAAAGAAGTTATCTTTTAGCCTTTTGGAAAAGTATCTGGCTTAATTAAGAACAATGTCATTTGAGTCTCAAATTTAGGATTTTTGGATTAGGTGCATTAGATAAAACCTGACAGTTTTTTCGTAAGGATTTATGCCAAAATGGGTACTTGCACATCTCGTCTTGAATTCAAAGCTTTGTGTCTTTTCCCCTCCTAATATGCTCTCAGATCATTTTTGCCTTTGAATGTTGTCCAATTACTTATTTGGTTTGATTAGGGCCAACTGACTAACAAGAAAATCATTCCCACTTACATTATTCCTATAAAATACATGCTTCTCCACAATCACTACCTTAGTATCCTCATATTTCTCTAGCTTTGTTATATATCACTGAAGACAGGAAGGCCAAATTATCAAATAGACCTCACCATATGGCATCAGCCCAGCACAGCTTCCTGGTTGTTTCACCTCTGAATAGGCTATTCTGGACCTTCTCTCTAATGTCCACCCCTGCCAATTTCCATCTCCCAGAATCATTCCCAGGTTCCTGCACTCGTCTAGTGCTGGCCTTCAGGAAATATCCAAATTTATTACCAGGCAGATTTTCTGCATCTTTGCCCTGTTTGCTTGAATTACAGTATAAAGAAGGGCTCTGATACCACAGGGCAGTGTGAAGAAGGGCTCTGATCCTCAGAGGACAGTATGAAGAAGGGCTTTGATCCCTATGGGCTTTCCTCCAGGTGAGTTTGTTCTGATTGGCTCCAGTAGAGCACTGTGCGATCTATCACCTCCTCTTCAATTGCTATGTGCAACCCCTTGAGATGCTCCTGTGCAGAAGGTGAGAGCAGGAACGTAGTCTAGCCATTTTCATCCTTCAAACCACCAATTCCTTTCTACCATCCTTCAAAGGCTCCCATAATTGGAGCTCACTGCTTTAGCAAATCTATTTGAAAAGTTGAAGAGCAAAAAAACTGCTCTATCAGTCTTCATGGGTCAGCATCCTGCCTCCACCAAGCCTGCTTTCCAGATGGAGCATTGCACAATAGTCAAGCATCTCTCTCTTCTGCAAGGTATAGAGATGCATTTTCCCTTTCTATCTCTGCTTTTGTGAATATGTCCAGACACTAAAATTTAAAGAATTGTTGGCTGCCTATGAGCTTACTGTGAACTAAAGATCTTACAAATAATAGTTGCCAAAAAAAATGGAGGAAATTCTGGCCTGGTATCAGCAAACTAAATTTTTGTCTCAGAATCTAGTTCTGAGCTATTGAGCCATGCTGATGTAATGACATAAATAGTTTAACTAACTTTCTGACAAGACTGTATTTAGAGGATCTTTAATAGATGTATGCTGTTTGCATCCTGACTTTGAAAGAAATATCCCAGGGAAACAACCATAGAATTTGATTTAATACCTCACTTGTAGTTTGTATTTAATTGTAAATTCTAGTGGAAATACATGAATCCATAGCAATATATTTAATCTAGCACCTTCAGATCAGTTAAACTAATTTATCTTTAAAATTCCCTTGATACATAGCCAAGACTCCTTGCCAACTATTTATTAACCACACATTGTGTAGTGAAGGTTCATAAAGCACTAGATAACAAATGTAACTTTGTGGAGGGAAAAGACAAAAAGACACTCAAAAGAAAGTCAGATAATGAAACTAATACTTGGGATGAAAACTGCTCTCTTAAGGAAGGAGTCCCTCATTGTAATGTGAGTGACAGTGTTTAATTCATTGTAGTACAAATTGTTACTATTGCTAATGTTCTTAATATAGCACATTAAATTAAAGAGTCACTGTAGCTGTACAAAATCATATAGAGAGCTCACCACTTTCAATTAATTCGGGGATCCTCCCAAGGCTGCATAACTGAGCTGGGAGAGTTCTTCCTTTGTCACTGGAGACCTGGGTTGAAATCCTGGAGACCTGGGTTCAAATGGCTTGCTGTGAGAAAGTTACATGACCTTGAACATTACTCTGAGCCAGTTTTCTCTTCTGTAAAATGAGAATAATCATCTAAGCCTGTTAATGGGATTTAGGAGAAAATGTAAGGTTTCTAGCACAAATGTTAACAAGCTCTTAAGAAATAGTAGCTCAAGGCCGGGCGCGGTGGCTCACGCCTGTAATCCCAGCACTTTGGGAGGCCGAGGCGGGTGGATCATGAGGTCAGGAGATCGAGACCATCCTGGCTAACAAGGTGAAACCCCGTCTCTACTAAAAATACAAAAAATTAGCCGGGCGCGGTGGCGGGCGCCTGTAGTCCCAGCTACTCGGGAGGCTGAGGCAGGAGAATGGCGTGAACCCGGGAAGCGGAGCTTGCAGTGAGCCGAGATTGCGCCACTGCAGTCCGCAGTCCGGCCTGGGCGACAGAGCGAGACTCCGTCTCAAAAAAAAAAAAAAAAAAAAAAAAAAAAGAAATAGTAGCTCAAAATATGTATAATCAACAATAATTAATCATCCTACTTCTAAGTGGAATTAATGTATTCATCTGTCAGTGTAGATAGTTGCATTGGTTACTTCAAAACACTCGAGGGGTAGAGGGTAGTTCTTTTTCAGTAGAGCAGTATATTCCAGGGGTTGAAATCTGGGCTTGGGACCACGAGAATTATAGAGTATGAGTAATCAATAGTGATGTAGTCCAGGGTGATCCTTGAGGTTGCAGTCAATTAATATAAAAGCAGTTTTAATATAAAACTTTAATATAAAAGCAGCTTTCGTGCATGTGTATCCTATATAAGTCATGGTTGCTGATGATGGCAGAGGCAGACTGGGTTCTCCAGCTGTCCAGAGAGCCATGTTTCTGTACCCTATTCTCAGGTTTAGAAAACTTCCAGACAGCACATGAGCCCACCACTTCATGGCCCTTTCTCATAGCAAAAGGCATGAAAAATAGGAGAATGAAATAGAGATGTATGCTCTTCCAAGTTTTAGGGACCAGACAAGCTTTCAGAAGGAATATTTTGGCCATTCCCACCTCAGTTTTCGTTTACATCAAATGTGTCTAGTGAAAGGTAATATGATGACCAGCTATAGTTTCAAATTTTTAGAAAATAAAAATCTTTTCATTTGATCTCACAGTAAATATCATCAAGTACAAGTTAGATCTCACCTATTCTAAGTCTGGGAGGAAGTGGTACAATAGAACATGATTTTTCCAACATGCATCTAGGCAAATATGACAATATGCACAATTAATTAATACTTAAAGATTAAAAGCTGGATACATTTTTAAAGTGTTATCTTATCCTGATCAATATTTTTGTCTTATGTTTAAACAAAATATGAAGCAAAATGTCTGAAACCAAAATTCTTTAACCATGAAATTTTCTTTCAGATAATGAATGCAGTTTTCCTCTCTGTCTTGATTTCTTGTTTTATTTTAAACATGTGTTCTCCAGTTGCATGTGTGTACACAAGCACATAAATAGTTCTGTGTTCAATAAAATGAAAGTAAGAGAAAAAAAGTAACAAATGGAGAGTTTGAGTAAACAGCAATCCATATACATCCTAAATTGATTTTTAAAATTGGGGATTTTAAAAATTAAATGGGATAAAGTTACAGTATTTCTTACACATTCTAGATGATTTACAAAGTTTATTTGCCATCAAGTTCCACGTCTTGCAAGGAAATTAACTGGATTTCTAGCCAACAATCTGATTGGAAGATTCTTGGGATATACTTTATCCCCTTAAAATAGAGTATTATATAAACAAATACGAAATAAAGATGGAACGAAATAAAGAACTTTTTGCTGGAGAAAAATACGTTCTCTAAATACACCACTAAGAATCCCTGTCAAGGAGGGCTATAGCTTGGCCAACCCTGGATTTGTTAGCCAGCCCAGGTGAGTGTCAGGAATGAGGTACTTACCTCCCCTTTCTGTATCTTTCTATGAAAGAGACACAAAACAATGGTCCTCAATAAGTCAGAGCACAAGTACTAACAGCCAACTATGAACCAGCCTAGGGAGGATTTGAGGCAACTGCCATTGTTTCTGCCTCAAGGACCCTTCAGCCTGGCTCCCTGCACAAAACAACAGGACCACAGCTTGGTACATGTGTTTTAAATGTGTTTTGATTGAAATGTGTAGCCTCTAAGGGATTCTTTGGGCAGAATTTCAGTCAGGAAATATGTGGGAGAAATGGACATTACTTCAACTCTGAAGAATCCAGTAATTGGACTTGTGGAGAAAAGGGACCTCTACAGGTTGAGATAGGAATTTATAAAACTTGAACAGGAAGTAATGAAGGAACCTGGTACGCTGGTGGAGAAAGGAGTAAATAGCAAATATGACTTTAAAAGTAATGGGAAAGTCCACACTCCGTGCAGTAACCAGGAGGGCTGCTGAAGATTCCAGACCAGGATAGAGGCTAAGAGACTAACTTCTCTCTTCTCTCTCCATATGCACACATACATATATATATGTTCTCACGACAATCTGAGAATATATATATATATATATCAGTGTTACGCACATGGTAAATATTATTGATTAGGACAAATAATCATAATTCATTGAAATAGGGCTAAAGGAATCAGTAGCCTATTATTTTTTTGAGCTATGCTCCTTTTGGCACATGCCCTTAACCCAACACACACACACACACACACACACACACACACACACACACACTTATGTATACACTGCATTATAATTTGCTATGCACTTCCTCTACCCAAATATGTGTTGGAGTGGTAGGGACCCACAAGGGACATTTCTGTCAAGATTTTGCTTTTATAATTGGCAGATAACAAGGAGGAAGACATGAGATAAGAGAACAAAAATTATAACAACTTTGAGTAACCTTCTGAAGATATCTATTACGTGGTGAGGAACGTTTTGCTTAACATCTGTGTTCCTATATCTATCTGGGGACCTTGCTTATTTATAATTCAACTTATTATGTTGAGTGGGCACTGGGGATACATTGATGAGGGACAGAGCCCCTGTGCTCCTGAAGCTTGCAGAAGGAGGACAGAGATGTTAACCAATAAATATGATATGCTAGCTGTAATATCATAGAACTGTAAAAGGTACAGCAGAGGCCAAAGGGAAGGGGCAATTGTATTAGTCAGGGCTCTCTAGAGGAACAGAGCCAATAGGATGTGTGTACAGAGGGAGATTGATTTATTTTAAGGAATTGGCTCACACAGTTACGGAGGCTGAAAAATCCAAATCTGCAGGACGAGCCAGCAGACAAGAGACCTAGAAAAGAGTCCGTTTTGCAGATTGAACCTAAAAGTGGCCTACTGCAGAAACCCTTTTTGCTTGGAGAAGGTCAGTCTTTGTTCTACTAAGGCTTCCAAAAAATTGGATGATGCTCACCCACATTAGGAATTTGCTTTACTCAAAGTCCACCAATTTAAATAATAATCTCATCCAAAAAACACCATCACAGAAACATCCAGAATAATGCCTGACCAAATACCTGGGCACCATGGCCCAACTAGGTAGACACATAAAGTTAACCATCACAGCAGTCATTTTTGTTCTGGGGAGAAGAATAGAGAGTGGGATGGGGCTGTCAGGCGGTGGGATGATTGGAGGAAATGACAGTTCCAGGGCAAGGAGGAGACCACAGGCAATGTGGGAAAGGACACTCTGTCCAAAGGCAACCATTACATCATGAGTCATCTGAAAAGCCACAGAATACATGAGAGGAAAAAGGTGGAAGAGAAGCTGGAAATGTAATAATCGGCCAGAAAATGAAGAGCCTTGATTGCACCACAAAGGGGTTTTGGACTTTCTCCCAAAAGCCATGATGAGTCACTGGAGTTTTCAGCAGCAGAGTATCCCAGTCAATTGCGCATGTTAGGAAGGTCACCCTGACCTCTGTTCTTCCCAAACAGCATAAGATTACCAGCTCCATTGAAACCTATGAAAATGATTTGCATTTCTTAGAGAAAATATAGACTAGGGGAACATAACATCATTTTTATGATTTTAAACAGTGAGAAATTATTCTAGATTTTCCTTTAAAGTTATTTGTATAAGAAGTTATAGTTGTCCTTGATACTTCTTTTTTTCAGCCACACACTTCATAAAGAATGAAATCCCTTCAAACAATCTTCTTATCTTCCAAACAGTATGAAAGCCTCCCAAAATTTTCCAGAGCTCTCCTTGCTCTCTCTCACCAGGTTATATTTAGCTCAGCTATAGACCTTGACCTTTTCAATAGACTGCAAGACACAATGCGCTAATCAGAACATTTCTTAATAGACTTCAATGAGGTTCATGGCCCCAAACTCATCCTTGTGTACACACACACACACACACACACACTTCATGTTTGCGAGCATTTTATAAAAAAACAACTATTAAGTTGATTCAGGGGAAGATATTTTATCATTCTGCTAACAAAATGGGCTTTAAATAGGCTTTATTTCTTTGAGCTTAGGGAAAAGAATAGATTTGCATTTCTTCCTTTCTTAGGAAATTTTTCTGTTTGAATAATGTTGGCATATTTCCATTTGCTGTAAATCTTACCTTGAATAGCTCTCCGTGGGTTCTCTTTCTCTAGTATGGCTTGGTTTGCAGGCAGGATCTGTATGCAAAGACTGACATGCAGAGGTGTGGAGTGCAGTGTTCTTCTTAGGAACATGAACTCTTCCCTTTTTTTCTGCCCTTCCACCCCTCCCTTGGCTGCCTCTGCTTCTGTGGACTGACTTTGAGGTCTCTATCATGTTATCAAGGTATTTTGAACACAGAATAATTTATTCACAAATGCCTTCACTATATTATTTATTATAGTATTAATAGTAATAATAGTTACAGTGCCAGTGACAGAGTGGAAAACCAGGCATGTTCTCCTGGCCCTTGGCAACAACCACTCAAAAAGATTAGCCTAAATTTGGCCATCCTACTTAAATTAAAGATATTGGTGATTCTTAGAAATAAGAATAGAAGAAAACTAAATAATTATGGAAATGCTGGATAGTTCTCCCAGGGAGAAGCAGGAGAACGGAGGGAAAGACACCATTTGAAGCACAATCTACAAGAGGAGATCCTTATTTTTCAGCAACTTGGACATCTGGTCATTTACTTGTTTCATGGTGTGCTCTGCTTATCAGCCATCCTCTTCTCTCTAAAACTTTCAGTGTTGCGGCCTACTACCTCCAGCCTGCTTCTGTGGAGGACTACCTCAAACCTTGTTGGCCCTTGTTCAGAGAAGTGGCCTGGCTGGGTTCGATTTCATACTTATAGCTACATGCCTTGGGCAAGTTACTTAATCTCCCTGTGCCTTGATTTCCTAATCTGTAAAACCCTGCCTAGACCAGAGCCATAGGTTCTAAAAGCCACTGGGCTTAAAGGAGTCTTCAGCAGCATCAAAGACGCACCAGGCAGCAACCAAGTGAGCAAGGCATGAGCCACATAACCAAGATGTGCAGGAATAAACACTGGTAGCAAGACCAACGCCTAGTGACTGGGTTTAGACGTGTCAGCACCATGGACAGCTCAACGTGAGCAGGAATGTAGCCTTTCTAATAAGGGAGGGTTCACTTCCTGACTTATTACTATAGCCATTTCCTCCTAATTAATTAGAGCTCAGTGGATTTGCAAGGAGACTAGAGTGTCACCCTGTTCATGGTTGGGCTATTTGAGACCTTCTAATCTGCAGAGACATTGCAAGGGTCCTGTGAGAAGGATTTAGATTTCCTAGGGGTGGGGTAAAAATGGGAAGGCATCTCTTACTTCCCTCAGAATAATCATCTTTGGGAATCACCATTGCTTTTGAGTTAAACAATAGGGATCTGAATCAGGGTTGGAGTTTTAGCAGGAATACATTCAGTTCTTGGCCATTCCTAAGATAGTGCATGAATTACCTGTAATTAATCCCTGTCATGAAATGTGTATATATGTAAATTTTATAATGGAAATATTTTAAGTGTAGAGGATTTTTAAGCTTGCTGATTGTAATTTACAGAATCCAATGAAGAAAATTGCTATCTCCTAATTTTCTTATTTTTAAATCAGGATTTCTTAAATCTGGAAATAGAAAGTAGGAATTAAGCTCATGGGTGCAGACCCTAGTTCTGCCTTTTACTAGTTGTGTGACCTTGGCATGTTACTTAATTTCTTCATGTTTCAGTTTTTACTCTTTAAATGAGGATAGGAGTGGTACATATTTTATAGTGTTACTAAGATTGCATGTGCTAATATCCATAAAGCCCTTAGAGTGCTGCCTCATTGATAACATGTATTATGATTATGATTTTTTTATTATGTTTCTTTGTTGTAAGGTACTCTTCACACCTTCAGCTCAGAGTTACTGCAGCTTTCTACATGTTATTTTGATCTTGAATCTAAAATAAGAATGCAGATCTGCTTTTATAGATGTTTTGCAATATCCTTTCCCAAGAGAAACAACATTTCACATTCTTAGAGTTCACACCCTTTGAATTGAAGCCAGGATTTGGCCTTCAGATTAATAACTAGGGCAGAAGGCAGCCCACAGCAACTGTACTGTAAGGCACAAAAATATGCTCTTCTCTGCTGCTTTACCACCTTTCCATTTTAATAAAAAGTTATAAAGAGTCTAACATCCTCAACCTAAATAGAGTTAGGACCATCTTTTGTTGCCTAACATGGGAGGAGGGAATGACTTGAACCACTTGCCACCTTTGTAATCTCTAAGCACTTTCCAGAAAAATTTTTAACCCTAGCTCTCTTGGTTGGGTATGAAACTGCCTCTAGGTCCAGTAAATTTAGGAATATGAATCTAAAATGCAAGCAGTTTAAACTCATCTATTTCCCATTTCTCTTTTCAGTTGAACTTTTCTTTTGCTGTGCCTTACCGATTTACATTACAGTCCTCAGGAGCCTTAAGGCAACTTACAGATTAAAACCACAGAATATTGAGATCACTTCACACCCTACAAATAAGCAAGTCCCCTCTTTTGCCATACTAACATCCCAGCTGTTATTGACATTTCATGCTGAGAAGTAAACACTGAAACTTAATTAGTCCAGGCCCAGAGGAATCCTTCTTTTGCAATAACTAGTGTCTGGCTAGACTAGAGGCTCAGGTGTTGGCTGTGTGAATGTGAGTTATTGTAGATTGTGAAGTCAGAGTCATTCTGATTTATCCCTTCTCTCAGTGATCGCTCATGATGTCTCTGTCCCAAAGTGCTTCCCAAGCACGTGATACCCCAGATTCTTCATGATGTGACTTTTTCCTGGCTGATGACAATTTGTCAGTAAAGAACTTCCGATCTTTTGTACACTGCTTTATATTGCCTGTCAATATTAAAATGAATCATCCTTGTCTCTTTTATTTTGACAAACAGCTCAATATTTTTGGTGGCAGGGCTGGTTCCTTGTGTTTGCTTGTTTTGCTTTTTTGTGGATTTGTTTGTTGGCATCCTCTTCCTAATCTCAGTTAATTCAACATTCTTGTCTTCATTTAGGAAATGGATTATAATAATGTTATAATTATTTTCATTAATATTTATTTTTCTTATGCATTCTAGATGATTTGCAAAATTTATTTGCCATCAAGTTCCACATCTTGCAAGGAAATTAACTGGATTTCCAGCCAACAATCTGATTGGAAGATTTTTGGGATATACTTTATCCCCTTCAAATAGAGTATTATATAAACAAATATGAATAAATGTGAATTAATAAATTAGCTCGTGTTATAGACTAAATGTGTGAGTCCCCCAAAACTTCATGTTGCTATCCTAATCCCTAATGTGATGGTATTAGGAGATGGGGCCTTGGAAAGTATATTAGTCAGAATTCCCCACAGAGGCAGAACTAATAGGATAGATTAGATAGACAGATAGATAGATAGATAGATAGATAGATAGATAGATAGATAGATAGATAGACAGACAGATGATGAGAGGGGATTTATTATGGAAATTGGCTTATGCAATTATGAAGGCTGAGAAGTCCCACAATAGGCTGTCTGTAAGCTGGAAGCCCAGGGAAGACAATAGTCCAAGTCCAAAGCCTCAGAACCAGAGGAGCCAATGGTATAACTCTCAGTCCAACCCTGAAGGCCTGAGAACACAGGGGGACCACTAGTGAAAGTCCCAGAGTCAGAAGGCTGGAGAACCTGGAGTTCTGATGTTCAAGGGCAAGAGAAGATGGTGTCCCAGCTCCAGGAGAAAGGAAGAGAGCAAATTCACATTTCCTCTGCCTTTTGGTTTTATCCAGGCTCCCAGGTGACTGGATGGTGCCTTCTCACACTGAGGGCATATCTTGCCTACTCAGTCCACCAACTCACCTGCCATTCTCCTCTAGAAACACCCTCACAGACACACCCAGAAATGACGCTTTCCCAGCTATCTAGGTATCCATTAAGCCAGTTAAGTTCACACTTAAAATTAACCATCACAAAAGGTGATTAGGTCATAAGGTGATTAACCATCACAAAAGGTGATTAGCCCTCATTAATGGGATTTGTACCCTTATAAAAGAGAACCCAGAGAGCATCTGTATTAGTCCGTTTTCACACTGTTTATAAAGACAAATCTAAGACTGGGAAGAAAAAGAGTTTTAATAGACTTATAGTTCCACATGGCTGGGGAGGCCTCACAATCATGGCAGAAGGCAAGGAGGAGCAAGTCACATCTTACATGGATGGCGGCAGGCAAAGAGAGAGACTGTGCAAGAAACTCCCACTTTTAAAACCATCAGATCTCATGAGACTCATTCACTATCACAAGAACAGCACAGGAAAGACCCGCCCCCAAAATTCAATCACCTCTCATCGGGTTCCTCCCACAACATGTGAGAATTGTGGTAGTTACAATTCAAGATGAGATTTGGGTGGGGACACAGGCAAACCATATTATTCCACACCTGGCTTCCCAAATCTCATGTCCTCACATTTCAAAACCAGTCATGTCTTCTCAACAGTCTCCCAAAGTCTTAACTCACTCCAGCATTAACTCAGAAATCCACAGTCCAACATCTCACCTGAGACAAAGCAAGTCCCTTCCACCTATGAGCCTGTAAAATCAAAACCAAGTTAGTTACTTCCTAGATATAATGGGGGTACAGGCATTACAACCATTCCAAATGGGAGAAATTGACCAAAACAAAGGGGCTACAGGCCCCATGCAAGTCCAGAATCCAGCAGGGCAGTAAAATCTTAAAGCTCCAAAATGATCTCCTTTGACTCCATGTCTCACATCCAGGTCACACTGATGCAAGAGGTGGGCTCCCATGGCCTTAGGCAGATCTGCCCCTGTGGCTTTTCAGGGTATAGCCTGCTTCTAGCTGCTTTCATGGGCTGGTGTTGAGTGTCTGTGGCTTTTCCAAGCTCATGGTGCAGGCTGCCAGTGGATCTACTATTCTAGGGTCTGGAGGACATTGGCCCTCTTCTCACAGCTCCACTAGGCAGTGCCCCAGTAAGGAATCTGTGGGGGAGCTCTGGCACCATATTTCCCTTCCACACTGCCCTAGCAGAGGTTCTCCATGAGGGTCCCCCCCCTGCAGCAAACTCTGCCTGGGCATCCAGGTGTTTCCATATATCCTCTGAAATCTAGGCAGAGGTTCCCAAACCTCAATTCTTGACTTCTGTGCACCCACAGGCTCAATACCATGTGGAAGCTACCAAGGCTTGGAGGTTCCACCCTTTGAAGCAACAGCCTAAACTGTACCTTGGCCCCTTTTAGTCACTCACAGCTGGAGTGGCTGGGATACGGTCAAGTCCCTAGACTGTATACAGCAGAGGCACCCTGGGCCCAGCCCACAAAACCATTTTTCCTCCTAAACCTCCACTTCTGTGATGGGGAGGTGCTGCTGCAAAGGTTTCTGACATGCCCTGGAGACATTTTCCCCATTGTCTTGGTGATTAACATTTGGTTCCTGATTACTTACACAAGTTTCTGCAGCCAGTTTGAATTTCTTCTCAGAAAATGAGATTTTCTTTAACATCACATTGTCAGACTGCAAATTTTTCAAACTTTTATGCTCTGTTTCCCTTTTAAAACCGAATGCCTTTAACAGAAACCAAGTCATCTCTTGAATGCTTTGCTGCTTAGAAATTTCTTCCACCAGATACCCTAAATCATCTTTCTCAAGTTCAAAGTTCCACAAATCTCTAGGGCAGGAGCAGAATGCCCCAGTCTCTTTGCTAAAACATAGCAAGAGCCACCTTTGCTCCAGTTTCCAATGAGTTTCTCATCTCCATCTGAGACCACTTCAGCCTGAATGTCATTGTCCATATTATTATCAACATTTTGGTCAAAGCCCTTCAACAAGTTTCTAGAGAGTTCCAAACTTTCCAACATTTGACTGTTTTCTTCTAAGCCCTCCAAACTCTTCCAATCTCTGCCTTGTTCCCAGTTCCAAAGTCGCTTTCACATTTTCAGGTATCTTTTCAGCAACACCCCACTCTACTGGTACCAATTTACTGTGTTAGTCATTTTTCACACTGTTGATAAAGACATACCCAAAACTGAGAAGAAAAAGAGGTTTAATGGACTTACAGTTCCACATAGCTGGGGAGGCCTCACAATCATGGCAGAAGGCAAGGAGGATCAAGTCACGTTTTACATGGATGGCAGCAGGCAAAGAGAGAGATTGTGCAAGGAAACTGTCATTTTTAAAACCATCAGATCTTGTGGGACTCATTCACTATCATGAGAACATGAGAACAGCGCAGGAAAGACCCACCCACATAATTCAATCATCTCACACAGCATTTCTCCCACAACACATGGGAATTGTGGGAGTTACAATTCAAGATGAGATTTGGGTGGGAATACAGCCAAACCATATCAGCATCCCTGCCTGTTTCACCATGGAAGAATACAGCAAGGAGACTTTAATCTGTTTTTTATTTTTTATTTTTATTTTTATTTTTTTATTTTTTATTATACTTTAAGTTTTAGGGTACATGTGCACATTGTGCAGGTTAGTTACATATGTATACATGTGCCATGCTGGTGCGCTGCACCCACTAACTCATCATCTAGCATTAGGTATATCTCCCAATGCTATCCCTCCCCACTCCCCCCACCCCACCACAGTCCCCAGAGTGTGATATTCCCCTTCCTGTGTCCATGTGATCTCATTGTTCAATTCCCACCTATGAATGAGAATATGCGGTGTTTGGTTTTTTGTTCTTGCGATAGTTTACTGAGAATCATGATTTCCAATTTCATCCATGTCCCTACAAAGGACATGAACTCATCATTTTTTATGGCTGCATAGTATTCCATGGTGTATATGTGCCACATTTTCTTAATCCAGTCTATCACTGTTGGACATTTGGGTTGGTTCCAAGTCTTTGCTATTGTGAATAATGCCGCAATAAACATACGTGTGCATGTGTCTTTATAGCAGCATGATTTATAGTCCTTTGGGTATATACCCAGTAATGGGATGGCTGGATCAAATGGTATTTCCAGTTCTAGATCCCTGAGGAATCGCCACACTGACTTCCACAATGGTTGAACTAGTTTACAGTCCCACCAACAGTGTAAAAGTGTTCCTATTTCTCCACATCCTCTCCAGCACCTGTTGTTTCCTGACTTTTTAATGATTGCCATTCTAACTGGTGTGAGATGGTATCTCATTGTGGTTTTGATTTGCATTTCTCTGATGGCCAGTGATGATGAGCATTTTTTCATGTGTTTTTTGGCTGCACAAATGTCTTCTTTTGAGAAGTGTCTGTTCATGTCATTCGCCCACTTTTTGATGGGGTTGTTTGTTTTTTTCTTGTAAATTTGTTTGAGTTCATTGTAGATTCTGGATATTAGCCCTTTGTCAGATAAGTAGGTTGCGAAAATTTTCTCCCGTTTTGTAGGTTGCCTGTTCACTCTGATGGTAGTTTCTTTTGCTGTGCAGAAGCTCTTTAGTTTAATTAGATCCCATTTGTTAATTTTGGCTTTTGTTGCCATTGCTTTTGGTGTTTTAGACATGAAGTCCTTGCCCATGCCTATGTCCTGAATGGTATTGCCTAGGTTTTCTTCTAGGGTTTTTATGGTTTTAGGTCTAACGTTTAAGTCTTTAATCCATCTTGAATTGATTTTTGTGTAAGGTGTAAGGAAGGGATCCAGTTTCAGCTTTCTACATATGGCTAGCCAGTTTTCCCAGCACCATTTATTAAATAGGGAATCCTTTCCCCATTGCTTGTTTTTGTCAGGTTTGTCAAAGATCAGATAGTTGTAGATATGTGGCGTTATTTCTGAGGGCTCTGTTCTGTTCCATTGATCTATATCTCTGTTTTGGTACCAGTACCATGCTGTTTTGGTTACTGTAGCCTTTCAGTGTAGTTTGAAGTCAGGTAGTGTGATGCCTCCAGCTTTGTTCTTTTGGCTTAGGATTGACTTGGCGATGCGGGCTCTTTTTTGGTTCCATATGAACTTTAAAGTAGTTTTTTCCAATTCTGTGAAGAAAGTCATTGGTAGCTTGATGGGGATGGCATTGAATCTGTAAATTACCTTGGGCAGTATGGCCATTTTCACAATATTGATTCTTCCTACCCATGAGCATGGAATGTTCTTCCATTTGTTTGTATCCTCTTTTATTTCGTTGAGCAGTGGTTTGTAGTTCTCCTTGAAGAGGTCCTTCACATCCCTTGTAAGTTGGATTCCTAGGTATTTTATTCTCTTTGAAGCAATTGTGAATGGGAGATCACTCATGATTTGGCTCTCTGTTTGTCTGTTGTTGGTGTATAAGAATGCTTGTGATTTTTGTACATTGATTTTGTATCCTGAGACTTTGCTGAAGTTGCTTATCAGCTTAAGGAGATTTTGGGCTGAGACGATGGGGTTTTATAGATATACAATCATGTCATCTGCAAACAGGGACAATTTGACTTCCTATTTTCCTAACTGAATACCCTTTATTTCCTTCTCCTGCCTAATTGCCCTGGCCAGAACTTCCAACACTATGTTGAATAGGAGTGGTAAGAGAAGGCATCCCTGTCTTGTGCCAGTTTTCAGAGGGAATGCTTCCAGTTTTTGCCCATTCAGTATGATATTGGCTGTGGGTTTGTCATAGATAGCTCTTATTATTTTGAAATACGTCCCATCAATACCTAATTTATTGAGAGTTTTTAGCATGAAGGTTGTTGAATTTTGTCAAAGGCTTTTTCTGCATCTATTGAGATAATCATGTGGTTTTTGTCGTTGGTTCTGTTTATATGCTGGATTACATTTATTGATTTGCGTATATTGAACCAGCCTTGCATCCCAGGGATGAAGCCCACTTGATCATGGTGGATAAGCTTTTTGATGTGCTGCTGGATTCCGTTTGCCAGTATTTTATTGAGGATTTTTGCATCAATGTTCATCAAGGATATTGGTCTAAAATTCTCTTTTTTTGTTGTGTCTCTGCCCGGCTTTGGTATCAGAATGATGCTGGCCTCATAAAATGAGTTAGGGAGGATTCCCTCTTTTTCTATTGATTGGAATAGTTTCAGAAGGAATGGTACCAGTTCCTCCTTGTACCTCTGGTAGAATTCGGCTGTGAATCCATCTGGTCCTGGACTCTTTTTGGTTGGTAAGCTATTGATTATTGCCACAATTTCAGATCCTGTTATTGGTCTATTCAGAGATTCAACTTCTTCCTGGTTTAGTCTTGGGAGAGTGTATGTGTCCAGGAATTTATCCATTTCTTCTAGATTTTCTAGTTTATTTGCGTAGAGGTGTTTGTAGTATTCCCTGATGGTAGTTTGTATTTCTGTGGGATCGGTGGTGATATCCCCTTTATCATTTTTTATTGCGTCTATTTGATTCTTCTCTCTTTTTTTCTTTATTAGTCTTGCTAGCGGTCTATCAATTTTGTTGATCCTTTCAGAAAACCAGCTCTTGGATTCATTAATTTTTTTGAAGAGTTTTTTGTGTCTCTATTTCCTTCAGTTCTGCTCTGATTTTAGTTATTTCTTGCCTTCTGCTAGCTTTTGAATGTGTTTGCTCTTGCTTTTCTAGTTCTTTTAATTGTGATGTTAGGGTGTCAATTTTGGATCTTTCCTGCTTTCTCTTGTGGGCATTTAGTGCTATAAATTTCCCTCTACACATTGCTTTGAATGCGTCCCAGAGATTCTGGTATGTTGTGTCTTTGTTCTCGTTGGTTTCAAAGAACATCTTTATTTCTGCCTTCATTTCGTTATGTACCCAGTAGTCATTCAGGAGCAGGTTGTTCAGTTTCCATGTAGTTGAGCAGTTTTGAGTGAGATTCTTAACCCTGAGTTCTAGTTTGATTGCACTGTGGTCTGAGAGATAGTTTGTTATAATTTCTGTTCTTTTACATTTCCTGAGGAGAGCTTTACTTCCCAGTATGTGGTCAATTTTGGAATAGGTGTGGTGTGGTGCTGAAAAAAATGTATGTTCTGTTGATTTGGGGTGGAGAGTTCTGTAATTGTCTATTAGGTCCGCTTGTTGCAGAGCTGAGTTCAATTCCTGGGTATCCTTGTTGACTTCCTGTCTCGTTGATCTGTCTAATGTTGACAGTGGGGTGTTAAAGTCTCTCATTATTAATGTGTGGGAGTCTAAGTCTCTTTGTAGGTCACTCAGGACTTGCTTTATGAATCTTGGTGCTCCTGTATTGGGTGCATATATATTTAGGATAGTTAGCTCTTCTTGTTGAATTGATCCCTTTACCATTATGTAATGGCCTTCTTTGTCTCTTTTGATCTTTGTTGGTTTAAAGTCTGTTTTATCAGAGACTAGGATTGCAACCCCTGCCTTTTTTTGTTTTCCATTGGCTTGGTAGATCTTCCTCCATCCTTTTATTTTGAGCCTATGTGTGTCTCTGCATGTGAGATGGGTTTCCTGAATACAGCACACTGATGGGTCTTGACTTGTTATCCAATTTGCCAGTCTGTGTCTTTTAATTGGAGCATTTAGTCCATTTACATTTAAAGTTAATATTGTTATGTGTGAATTTGATCCTGTCATTATGATGTTAGCTGGTTATTTTGCTCGTTAGTTGATGCAGTTTCTTCCTAGTCTCGATTGTCTTTACATTTTGGCATGATTTTGCATTGGCTGGTACTGGTTGTTCCTTTCCATGTTTAGTGCTTCCTTCAGGAGCTCTTGTAAGGCAGGCCTGGTGGTGACAAAATCTCTCAGCATTTGCTTGTCTGTAAAGGATTTTATTTCTCCTTCACTTAAGAAGCTTAGTTTGGCTGGATATGAAATTCTGGGTTGAAAATTCTTTTCTTTAAGAATGTTGACTATTGGCCCCCACTCTCTTCTGGCTTGTAGGGTTTCTGCTGAGAGATCCGCTGTTAGTCTGATGGGCTTCCCTTTGAGGGTAACCCGACCTTTCTCTCTGGCTGCCCTTAACATTTTTTCCTTCATTTCAACTTTGGTGAATCTGACAATTATGTGTCTTGGAGTTGCTCTTCTCGAGGAGTGTCTTTGTGGCGTTCTCTGTATTTCCTGAATCTGAACGTTGGCCTGCCTTGCTAGATTGGGGAAGTTCTCCTGGATAATATCCTGCAGAGTGTTTTCCAACTTGGTTCCATTCTCCCCATCACTTTCAGGTACACCAATCAGACATAGATTTGGTCTTTTCACATAGTCCCATAGTTCTTGGAGGCTTTGCTCATTTCTTTTTATTCTTTTTTCTCTAGACTTCCCTTCTCGCTTCATTTCATTCATTTCATCTTCCATCGCTGATACCCTTTCTTCCAATTGATCGCATCGGCTCCTGAGGCTTCTGCATTCTTCACGTAGTTCTGGAGCCTTGGTTTTCAGCTCCATCAGCTCCTTTAAGCACTTCTCTGTATTGGTTATTCTAGTTATACATTCTTCTAAATTTTTTTCAAGTTTTCAACTTCTTTGCCTTTGGTTTGAATGTCCTCCCATAGCTCAGAGTAATTTGGTCGTCTGAAGCCTTCTTCTCTCAGCTCCTCAAAGTCATTCTCCATCCAGCTTTGTTCCATTGCTGGTGAGGAACTGCGTTCCTTTGGAGGAGGAGAGGCACTCTGCTTTTTAGAGTTTCCAGTTTTTCTGTTCTGTTTTTTCCCCATCTTTGTGGTTTTATCTACTTTTGGTCTTTGATGATGGTGATGTACAGATGGGTTTTTGGTGTGGATGTCCTTTCTGTTTGTTAGTTTTCCTTCTAACAGAGAGGACCCTCAGCTGCAGGTCTGTTGGAGTACCCTGCCGTGTGAGGTGTCAGTGTGCCTCTGCTGGGGGGTGCTTGCCAGTTAGGCTGCTCGGGGGTCAGGGGTCAGGGACCCACTTGAGGAGACAGTCTGCCCATTCTCAGATCTCCAGCTGCGTGCTGGGAGAACCACTGCTCTCTTCAAAGCTGTCAGACAGGGACATTTAAGTCTGCAGAGGTTACTGCTGTCTTTTTGTTTGTCTGTGCCCTGCCCCCAGAGGTGGAGCCTACAGAGGCAGGCAGGCCTCCTTGAGCTGTGGTGGGCTCCACCCAGTTCGAGCTTCCCGGCTGCTTTGTTTACCTAATCAAGCCTGGGCAATGGCGGGCGCCCCTCCCCCAGCCTCGCTGCCGCCTTGCAGTTTGATCTCAGACTGCTGTGCTAGCAATCAGCGAGACTCCGTGGGCGTAGGACCCTCCGAGCCAGGTGCGGGATATAATCTCGTGGTGCACCGTTTTTTAAGCCCGTCGGAAAAGCACAGTATTCGGGTGGGAGTGACCCGATTTTCCAGGTGCCATCCGTCACCCCTTTCTTTGACTCAGAAAGGGAACTCCCTGACCCCTTGCGCTTCCCAAGGGAGGCAATGCCTCGCCCTGCTTCGGCTCGCGCACGGTGCACGCACCCACTGACCTGCGCCCACTGTCTGGCACTCCCTAGTGAGAAGAACCCGGTACCTCAGATGGAAATGCAGAAATCACCCGTCTTCTGTGTTGCTCAGGCTGGGAGCTGTAGACCGGAGCTGTTCCTGTTCGGCCATCTTGGCTCCTCCGGAGACTTTAATCTGTAAACCAGGAAGTAGGCCCTCACCACACACCAGATCTGCCAGCACTTTGATCTTACACTTCTCAGACTCCAGAACTATAAGAAATAAATTTCTGTGTTTATAAGTCACCCAATCTGTGATATTCTGTTATAGTAGCCTGAACAGACAAGGACAGCTGGATAAACAGAAATATTAAATTTGCCATTAAATAATAGCTTAATATTAAGCAAATGGAGTTGCATAAACTGATCTTTCTGCCATAGAAAATACCTAATAACAATAGTAATAGCTACCATTTATTGGGTGCTCATTATGTGCCAGGCATTATGTTAAACACTACACATACAATATCTCATTTGATCCTCTCAACAATCCTATGATGTGGCTACTATTATTGTATAAAAGAGAAAACTCAAGAATAGAGTGACCCAGTAACCCATCCTAGGTCACACACCTGACAGAATCAGGATTTTCACTTATGTTTGTTTCACTTAAAACCTATGCCCATAACACCATGTTATGGGTTCTATTACCACTGCTTCTACTGAATGATGTTTGGAGGACTGAGTTAGGGTCTTAGCTTTGCTAATCACATCCCAGATGCAGTAATTCTTGATATAGTAATACACTTTTAGAAAATCCTTCCCTGAATTATAAAATATGCCACTAGGGTAGATAAAACAGCCAGCAGTAGGAACTGATGGCATTCAATTCTGTTTCATTCCATTCAACAAATATTTACTGAGGGCCTGTGGTGTGTAAAATCTAAAGCTGGTTATTGCAAAGGATACCACATATTTGAATAATATTATGAATCCATCTAGATACCTCATATAATCTGATCATCTAAATAAAAGTTAAGTTTTTACATGAGAAAGAAAGTAAACAGGCAGATTTTGATGTAGAGAACTATGTTGCCCTGAATGTCTTTCTGTAGACTCTTTTGGCTGGCATGCCCATGACTGAGGCAGTTGGATGTGAGTATGAACCCAGTTTGCTTTGGAAGGCAGTGGAAAGTAGCTCAGGATGGGCCCATTTCCCTTTAGATAACAGACCACTGCTGGGACCTCTGCTTCTGAAACCTGACAGCGCCACTCCAGAACACCCATCTGGGCTTTCTGTGGGAGAAAAGTGTGCCGGGATTCACATGGGGTTGAGAGACTAGGGAGGGGAACACCATCTTCCTCGCAGTGCTAGAGTAGAGACTTAGTTGTTGGCCATGTGAATGTGAATTACTCATGCTCACTGCTCCCATCAGCAACGACTCTCCACTAGTGATCCTGAAATGTAAGCCAAAAGAAGTCAGTGATGGAATCTTGTGAACCTGGAAAATTAAATAACTTTGTGTGGCCTGCATTGATCTGGAAAGTCATTTTGCAATGGCTTAATTTATCATCAATAGAAAATATAATGAGTTAAAATAGTGGACCAGTAGATTTTAGAAAAGTACAAATAAGTCTTTGAAATCACCTAAGCATTCAAACATATAAGATGACAGATTTACTGAAAAATATTAAGTCCTGTGGAGATAACTTTATTCAGCTCTGTGGCTCCTAGATATTTTGAAAGAAATTAAAAGCTCTCCAGAAAAATCATAAATTTGAGTCCACCTCCTAATAAGAAAGTTCTGTGCTTTAAATAGTACATTTAAGATGCTAATGCATGAGAAAAAATGTTGCTATTTATTTGAGCAGTCTTCAAAAAGCTGTATTTAAGAATCAGGACTAATCTGGTCTATTAGTTAAATTGGTCAACATTTCCAAAACAGTTTTTGTTCAGCAGACACAAGGGGAAATTGTGTTAAGAGAGAAGAGAAGGAATTGACAGGAAATTGAGGAAGAGAAATGAAAGCTGTTAGAATGTTTAATCCTAGGTAAATACTAATTTAAAATACAGATTACTTATGGCCTGGTACTTTAATGAAAACCATTAAACAAATGCATGCACTTCATCTTACTGGATAACAGTTAGACTTTTTTTTTTCAATTTCTCAAGTTTCCCTGCACCTTCCTGTCTGTCTGTCTATCTATCTATCTATCTATCTATCTATCTATCTATCTATCTATCTATCTAATCTATCTATCTGTCTAATCTATCTATCATTCCCCACAATTTTGCCATATGACCTATCACTCCAAATGTTCGATTAGTCAACAGAAACTCTCGGCTCCCATCCTGGAGTAACCATTGTTAAGTGATGACTGTGATTATATGTGACAGAGCCAACAAGCATAATGCACTGTTAAGGCCCACGGCCAGCCATTCACCAGAGGGAAAAGGCATTTTCAACCAGAAGAGCCAAATAGAGGTAGGAACTGGGAGGAAAGCTCTAATCAGTTTTGTGACTCGGAACTCACCTTCTCATGGCTGGGCATGATGGCTCATACCTGTAATCCCAGCATTTTGGGAGGTCGGGGTGGGAGGCTTTTGGGCCCAGGACTTTGAGACCAGTCTGGGCAACATAGTCAGAACTAAACTCTATAAAAATAAAACCAAAAAAATTTGCCTGTCATGATGGCATGCACCTGTAGTCCTAGCTACTCAGGAGGCTGAGGTAAGAAGATTGCTTGAGCCCAGGAGGGTGAGGCTGCAGTGAGTCGTAACCACATCACTACACTCCAGCCTGAGTGACAGAGCAAGACCCTGTCTCTCAAAAACAAAAACTCACCTTCTTCCTACACATCTCACCCTCAGCATCCACATCTGGAAATAAAAATACCCTGACCTCTCCTGACAAGTCATTTTATTCATGTTTAGGAAATGAGTTGTGAATGATAAATATTTATACAAGGGCATCCAGGGCTTTTTTAATATTAAAGAGGAAAAATGATGGGTTTTCACATAAGAACCAAAGATGGCTCATGTTATTAAAACAGAGATGTTAGAAGCCCGTACCATGAGTCTGACCCTTGTCCTGATCTCTTTCCCACTAGTCAGTTGACACCCCTAGGCATCATACCTTTCTTTCCCAATGATGAAACTGGACCAGTTTTGCACCCTATTCAATGAGAATTAATTCATATTTTAAAGCATTTTATGAAAAGTCTAAGGAAATACTACACAAGATTGAGCTAGCCCCCTTTTGTGCCATTCATTTCTCTGTTTATTCAAGCACCAAAGGAAAACATTATTTCTCAAATGTAACTCCCCATTTCAAATCTAGGTTCATGAGGTACTTCATAAGAAGAAAATGTTATAACCTGTCAAGTAAAACTAAAAATTATCCTTGGCTTTGTTAGAATTTCTCTTCTTAATGTATTTGTGGCTCATTTCTCACTCTTCTGTCAGCCTCCCTTGATGACTATTGTAATTCTTGGCAAACTTGGCTTCATTTGCAAAGCTTCTTCCAGGACAGCTATATATTTTCCATAGCTTGAATACAAAATAGAGTCAGCTTTATATCAAACGAAGTGTTTAGATGGTACTGTCTTTCACTTAACTTTTGTGAAAGCAGAGTTTCCAATGTGATTCCTAGTGATTGAGAAATCACTCATATTTTTATAAATTTCATTTCTTTTACCAATGTATTACATTATTTTGTCTCAATAATTATATTCAAAAGAACACATGTGCCATGGGGCAGTGTTTAATCATAGAGCCATTTTAGGCCCCCTAGATACATTGGTCATTCTCAGGAGATGCTACTGGCTTGACAGAGACTTCTTCAGGAGGTGCCAAGGCAGCTTTCATTCACTTTGGATATACCCATGTGTTTAGGGTGATATGGACTTTGTATATTCTTTTCTTTGAATGTACTGGCATCCTCAAAGCTGGTGCATTGATCCAACTGTAGCATCAGGTGAGCACCTGGATGAGCTCTCAGGTCAAATCCAACGGATGAGTAGGATAAAGGCATTCCTCTAGTCACAAGATATGTTTATCCATTCCCTTTTTGGTGACATTCCAGAATCACTTTAGTCAGTCTAAGAAAACTGTCGTGTCAGAGACACCATCCACAGTGAAGAAAATGATGACTAGGGCTGGTGTTGAGGAAAGGGGACTTCTTTCCTTTCGGCTTGCTCATGATGTACCCAAGGACTTAGTTCAGGCTTGCACCTGCTCCAGTTGATCCTTGCCTCCTTCAGTAAAGGAAAAACCCTCAGCATGGACATAGTGCTACTGCAGAACTAATGGTCATGCCGCCTGCATTGACCTGTGGACCCTCCCACCTCTGCTATAACTGAGATACTTTTTCTCCCGTGTCTCTGAGCCCTAGACCCCAATGCACGTCTACTGCTCTCTCAGTCAAGTTTCGGGGCACCAACTATGGCTACCCAAGAGCTGTGCTTTTCCATGCTGTAGGTTCAAAGATGTCAGAGCTGGAAGGAGCTCAAGAGGATGAGTCTAATTCCCTTCTTTAAATTACCCTCCTCTTCAGTTCCGCACCTCTCCTATGGACTCTTAAGGAATCCTGGAGATCAAGACTTTCTAATAGGATTCTTAACAGATTTGTACCTGAGAATCACCTGGGGAGAATTTTCAAAATTTTCACATTCAGACTCTATAAAGAGCTACTGACTTGGTAGGTATGGAGGTGAAACTCCCAAGGTGATTCTGATGTGCAATCATAGTTAAGCTTCTAATGCTATGTGGCACTTTTCATCTTGTGCTAAAGGCACTTGTGTTTTGCTCATCTTCCTCACCAAATTATAGCCCCTTGAAGGCAGGGACCAAGTCCTGTTCTTCCTGAATCTTAGTACTTATATTATGGTATGTACTCAGTATTTGCAGAAGAGATGGGAAATTCTTCCACTGAGAAGGCCATGACTGGTAAATGTTAAATAACTTAGCCAAGGCCACATAATGAATTTGTTGCACAGTTAATACTAGGTCTTGGATCATCTCACTCCCAGTCTACTGTTCTTTCCATTATCCCAGAAAGTCCAATGCAGCCTTAGCTTCTAGCCTACTGGTGTCTGTACAGCCTCCCTCTGGTGGGACCTAACTCCTGATTGCAGCCTATATGCTGTGCTGAGAATCATACTGCCCATCTGTCAGCTCTCCTTTCCAGTTGTCTCTGTCCTCCTACCACCCATGACATGGCGCAGAGTGTATTCTCCCAAAAACTCACTGGTGGTGCCCTTCCAGAGGTCAGAGAAACCAGAATTCATCTCCTAAAGCATTGTAAAACAATGCTCAGTTAGTTCTTCAGGTTGCCATTAAATTTCCCATGACTGGGCTTCTTTGGGATGTAGAATAGCAGAATGTTTTGGCTAAATATTAAAGCATGTATTTAATTATATGAAAGAGAAAGGCTAACATAATTATGTTTGAACAAAAGCAAAATAAGATCTCCCAAAGAATTAATAAATGTGGTGATTGGTCTTCATTAGAGGATTCAAAAACCTCTAATGCTGCTTATTACATTTTTTTCAACTCATCTTTAGTGTTCTAGCTCTGGATAGATGGACAACTGTAGGCAATATAGTGATTGAAGAACAGAGAATTGGAAAGTGAAATCTTCCTATATCTTTATCTTCTTCCCTTTGGCCATGGTGTCTCTTATGTTTATCTCTAGTGTAGCACCCATTACAGTATGCAATAAGTATTTGTTTTTATGACTGTGTCCTATTAAGACTCCAGGCCACATGAGGGCAGGGAAATGTATTAGTCATCTTTGTATCACCAGCATCTAGCTGATACTCAATAAATATATTTAAATGAATGAATGACATTTGACCTGCAAACTACAGATAAATATTCTCACTCATGGCAAATGTAGAAAGAACTGCACACCGTTGTATACACCTTGTCATTCAGTGATCTCTCTTATTTGGGGGGAGGGGTAAAAATAATTTTTATTGTGTGTATTTGAGATTTACAATACGATGTTATGGGACACATATAGATAGTAAAATGTTTACTATACGAAAATAGATTAGCATAGCCATCATTTCACATAATTACTTTTTTCAATGATCTCTTAATAAAAACAGTTGTAAATAATATATTCTTAATGATGGCTAATATTTTTATATGCCGGGCACAATGTTCAGTGGTGGCTATTATGTCATTTAGTTCTGACAGCAAGCCCTATAAGGTGGATTCTACGGATTCCCTGTTGTATAGAACACAAAACTGGGACTTAGTAATGCTGAGTAACTTGCCCCAGGTCACGTAACCTGTAAACAATGGAAATAAGATTCAAACCCAACTCTGTTTGACACCAGAGGCTATATGCTCAACCACTATGCCATACTATCCTCTCTCCACAATGACTACAGTTTCCTGATTATCTTCAAGAATAATCATAAGCTCATGAGAAGCATAAATATTTGCTCTAACAGAGACATGATTCATTGTGTTTTGAAGCATTAGAGTCTTATGCGAAAATGCTAATTTCTCTCAAATACATCTGCTCTTACATTTTTTTAAGTGCTGGCTTAAATTAGACTGTTTTTGTGTTATGAAAGCTATACTTTGTATCAGCCATTGGAAAATTGTGGGGTGGATGAAATTTGGTATTACAGAGTAAATGCCCAGTCTATATTGATTGATTGATTGAAGCCTTCCTATTTCCATCTTTTGCCTGCTCTTGTTTGCCCTGGCACATGCTCAGCAGTTAGCATTGCTTACACCCCTCCTGGTGGCACCACACTTTGGCCAAATGTGGCTCATGTGTCAGCTTTTCCTTGGGTGACTTTCAGATATGAGGGTGCTTCACCCAAAAGAATGACCTTCAATAGTGGAATTTCAAGAGCTCCACTCTTTATGTACTCAGTGACACTATTGTCTACTAACCATAGATAGACCTGAATTCAACCAGAACTTAGACTTGATGGCATGATTTGTACATGTCTATTATGTCATAACGCAAAAATAATGGAGCAATTTTCTTGAACTTCAGTTTCCCTGAGAAATGGACAAATTCTCTATCTGAAGCAAACTTTTTTCCAGTACCTGTCGCTGTTTGTCTTGGAACAAATGCCTAGCAGCTGTCTCTGCTATCATCAGTGTCCATCCACCAAGAGACTGTTCTTTTTCTTTTTTAACTTTTATTTTAGGTTCGGGGG
Source organism: Homo sapiens (assembly GCF_000001405.40). Lineage (NCBI taxonomy): Eukaryota > Metazoa > Chordata > Mammalia > Primates > Hominidae > Homo > Homo sapiens. The sequence goes on from NC_000007.14 coordinate 104,570,714, forward strand.
TACCTGTGAAAGTTTGTTACGTAGGTAAACTCATATCACGGGGGTTTGTTGTACAGATTATTTCATCACTCAGGAATTAAGCCCAGTACCCAACAGTTATCTTTTCTGCTCTTCTCCCCAATAGGCCGTACTTAGTAAGCTCTATGCTGCTTTCTTATGCTCTCCTAAATGTAAATTTACACCCTACTTAAATAATCCTGCTTTCCCATCTAATAATCATTCTGGAATATTGGCTGTTATTATTTTGTAAAGACTCAGACATTTTCCTATTACTCAAACATACTGCCCTTAGTGTTCACCTGGTAAAAAGAGCTTTTTTGGAGAACCCAGCAAATGTGAGTCAGAATAGCATCTGAATTAAATGTTAATTTGATTATATTTCACATTCAGCTTAAATTCACCTTGCCTAGGTGTTAAAAACCTCTTATGAACCCTTGCATCAACTTTACCCTAAATGGATTATAATGTTAGTAATTCATACTTCTCATTTTTACATGATGCCCTGAAGTATCTACTTTAGACTGTAAAATGAAAAGGCCATGAAAAAATTAAAAATTTATCATTTCTTTCAGTCAAGAGACCGTAAATGATTCCTTCATTAAACCAAACTCTTTCCTCAGTCTTCAGTTTTTTTTTCCCAATTTTCAAAGAGCTTCAATAGTCAGTGGCAAAGGATGAGGTGCGGGATAGAGTTCTGTGTTTCAGCATAAATCACAGCATCTTCTGTTTAGAAGGAGCCTTAACACCCCTCCTTTCGCCAGCTTTTCTTCCTCACCATGCAGCCATCTCATCCTTGAAGTTCCTGGCAAGTGACTTACAAGCCTTTTCTGGACACAATACTGAAAAGCAGCTCACTCCTTTGAATGATGCCAAATCCACTGATGGGTCGGGTTATATGAAAATTGCTCCTTGGATGGAGACAAAAACCTGCTTCCCTGTTATGTTCACTGATTAACCTGAATTCTGCCTCAGAAGAAGCATCACACATATTTCATTCCTTTTTTTCTCCCCTGCCCTTGCAGCCCTGTAGGTATTTGCAGACAACCAAGTCTTCACAGGGCTAAACCTTCTCACTATTTTCATTCTCCCAAGAATCCCTCAGAGGACAGAGGAACAGAGTTCAGAATATTTGGCATCCTGATGATTCTCTGGATGCATTCTATTTTGGCAAAATCTTTCTAAACTTTATGTAAACACACACACACTTTTTCTTATTTTTAAGTATGTAAAGTAGAATATAAAAACCTTCTGAAATCTTCCCCCTTTTCTCCCAGAGTTAACCACCCTGAGCCATTTGGTGGTTATCCTTCTGGTCGTCAGTCTGTTTTAAAGTGCAGATTTTAAGTGAACTATTTTGTTCTTTTCAAAAGATATATCACCTGACTTTGAAGAAACAAATGTACCAGATCAAAAAGTGTGGTGGTGTTTTCAAGTATTTTTCACACAGATTTGAATCTATTTGTGTTGGTGCAAAAGTTATTGCGATTTTTGCCATTGCGTGTAGTGGCAAAAACTGCAGTTACTTTTGCACCAACCTAATATATTTTGTTATAAAAGACAAAAGTTCTCAAAAGAACATACAACTATAATTTTAGGCTTATCTGTGGTTAGCCTTTTGGAGATGTGGCTTTAGAGCAAGAGAGAAATATGAATTTAGGCGAGGTAAATGATCAAGTCTGTTTTATTTCAAAAGAATTAATATTCTAGTAGGGAGGAGGAAGAATTTTATGGATTCATGGACTTAATTTTATGGCTTTATGGACTTAAATCAAGACTTTTGGGAGGTTTTCTTTTATTCAAGCAGTGGGAACATTCTTAATAATAGTCAACAATTTTTATATAACCCAATTTTATAGAACTACATCTATTTCTTTTTGAAAAATGCAATCTACTGTGTTGTATATCTGCTTGATGATTTTGGAAAAGAGCCAAAGGTTCTATAGTACTCTATTAGCTATCTCAAAAATGCTCTGCTTTTAAGGGTTGATCTTCTATAGGGACTAAAGTAGGTCAGTGTTTTCCTAAGTCTGTAATTTCACTGCTGAGTAGGCATTTTAGGGTCCACATTGAATAATACTGAATCATAAATGAGAAAGGTATTTCCTCCTCAATTATTTTCCAATCCTGCTAAAAGAGAAAAAGAGTCTCAAGTTGATGCTAATATGTCTTAAACACCTCTCTAACATTAACCAGTTCCCTTTTAAATAGAAATAGCAGGTCTAAAAGGACAGCTTTTGATTGACCACTAAATTTAACTAGAATTAAATAGGATTGTTTCATTTTCATGACATTTACATTAACAATCTCTTTTTATTTCTGGCAGCTGATATCCATTTTTCATTAAAGGTACTATAGGAAGTTTCCTTTCAATCGATTCATTTGGGGAGGGAAAATGGGTTGATTTAAAGACAAATATTGGCCAGGTGCAGTGGCTCATGCCTGTAATCCCAGCACTTTGGGAGGCCAAGGCGGGCGGATCACCTGAGGTCAGGAGTGCAAGACCAGCCTGGCCAACATAGTGAAACCCCATCTTTGTTAAAAATACAAAAATTAGCCGGCATAGTGGCGGGCACCTGTAATCCTAGCTACTGGGGAGGCTGAGGCACAAGAATCACTTGAACCTGGGAGGCGGAGGTTGCAGTGAGCCGAGATCACACCACTGCACTCCAGCCTGGGTAATAGAGTAAGACCATCTCAAAAAAAAAAAAAAAGAAAGTAAGAAAGAAAAGACAAATATTAAGTAAACAATGCACAGGTAGTGATTGGCTATTAAATGGTATAGGAATGAACTTAGGAAACTTGAGACATAAATGAAATACCAACTAGTGTGAGATCATTTTCCCATTGGAGTTATTTTGCTCCCTTTGGAATTATTTTGTCACCCCTGTTCACAGCTACATTCACACCTACATCAGTCGCTGCAATGGCTCTTTCCTCCTAACAGCCAGGGCCTGGGTAAAGGTTGGGAGATGCCTGTTACTGTTTTGGTCTTCCTTCAATCAGCTCACCTCAGTGGCCAGTCCTGATAAACAGGTGGTTAGTGAGAGACAGTCCCCTCTTCTCTCAACATTATCATTTATTCTGGTCGCAATGCTTTGCTTTGCACACTGTATATTGCATGGTCCCTTTCCCATTATGAATTCCCCATCTAAGCTTTCTCCTTTGTCTTTGTTAAAAAGGAATAGTATTCCACTTTAATTTTGGTGTCAGTGAGGATGACATTCGTACACAAAAGAGCACAAATTGAAAGAGGCAGAGAGTGGAATGATTGACATTTGGAATAGGAGATTATTGTGCTGCAGCTTGGAAATATTTACTGCTAAATCCGATCTCTTGATTGTGTCCAAGTAATACAAGTGGACTCAAGAATTAGGTAATTATGAAAAAGCCTGACAAAATTAACAAATTATAGAAATTCCCTAGGTGTCATATCAAGTGAATTTTTCAATTATATTTGCCACTCATGACTGTCAATCAGAGAAAGTCCAACTAAGAGAGATGGTCTAATTGTCTACTCAGAACACCACTGCTTCAATTCTCACTGAAAAGGAACATGTCACATCAGTCCACCAGCATGTGCCTGCATTCACTTAAGTTCTACGAAGGGGGCAGGGACAGGGACAAGAACAAGCTCTGCTGGATAAGTAACATAAAAGTCCTATAATATCATTAATGGATTACTAATTTTTAGAGAAGTAGAATAGAGGGGCTTATTCAGAAAGCCCTTTAAAGGACTTTACATTTTTGAAGTAAGAATTTTGGCAAATGCTAAATCTGTGAAAGACTGCTCAAAGCAAATAGCAGCTTTCAGATTTCCTAATCCTATTGGAGTCTTTAGGGGAGAGGAAAGAGGAACTAGAGAGATGTCCTCTAGAAAATACAGTTTTCAAAATGCTTTGAAAATGTGAGAATTGCAAACATGGGTATTGTCAAAATTCGTCTATATTATACATTTTTGATAAATAGAAACCTAACTACCTACTCTAAAATGATATATAAGGGATCTTTTATAAATTGTATTTTATTTAAGAATTTATGTATTTGCTTATTTGAGATTTTTCCCCAGTCCCATACACCCTTAGGGTTTTGATACTGGCAATATTTTATAGATATTACTGTTCTGAAGGAAGAAAAGGCAGAACTGGAGTTAAAGAAGAGTGACAATAAAACACCAGATGGAAAATATGACACTCCATGTATGCAGATCCTGGAGAAAGGACAAAAAAGGGTACCCTGTACATTTTAAGTAAAATATAATCCATGAGAGTTTCACTAGACAATGGTAACTGCTTTTGATGACTAAGTAATTCATTAATCATTATAAATGTCTAATGGATGTAATAAATGACTTAAGCATACTTTGGTTTCTGAGTAAATGGAACACAAATAACAGAAGACTAAAGAGGTTAAGAATATTTTGCAAATGACCGATTATTTCAATGTCAATGTTGGAAGGAGTCTTAGAGGGAATCCCATTTTCTCCATTTAGCCTGACCCAATTAACCACTGAACCAGAGCTAGATATCAAGACCCCTGGTTTTCAAACTATTGCTGTTTCCACTGTACCATTTTCTCATCTCCCTTGCTTCTAAGAATTCTGTTCAAGGGTTTTCATTAAGTGTCTGATATGCCTCTACTTACTTTGAGAAGAATCAACCTCGAAAATAAATTCTGAGCTTACTTTATTTATAGAATATAACAGAAATTGAGTATAAGTAGCTAGACGCTTCTGACCATAAAATTCACTAAAAGTGTTATGTGCAATTTTTATATATTATTGGCAAATAGGCCTATTTTTAATATATGAGAAATGAGTGAGAACAGCTGATAGTGTCCAAAGAGATCTAAAAAAAAAAAAAAAAAAAAAAAAAAACAGAAACAAGCAACCTGCCCAGAGAGTCCCAATGGTGGGCTTCTTTGCTTTATTATTTATTTATTTATTTATTTATTGAGACAGGGTCTCACTCTGTCACCCAGGCTGCAGTGCAGTGGCTCCATCACGGCTCACTGCAACCTCCACCTCTCCGGGCTCAGGTGATCCTCCCACCTCAGCCTCCCAAAGTGCTGGGATTACAGGCATGAACCACTGCATCTGACCACTTTACCCTTTAAATATTAAGGAGCCTCCTTTCCTCCTACCTGCAAATGGCATTCCTGAAAGCAGTGTCACCAGAACTTCCATCTAGAAGGGGCTTCAGGGAGGTAATCTTTTTGGAAAGGGTGGCTAAGGAATTTGTCTTGTATTCCTAGCTCTTCCATCTGTTTAATATGTCCCTCTCCTGAGGGCAAGAACCAAGTCTTTATATCCTTAGAACTGCAGTGCCTAATTTACGTTTGACATTCCTAAGTCAATGAATGATTTTATAGAATAATAAGAAGAGTACAATGAGAATAAAACCCTGGGGGAAAATTCACATTTGAGGAGCAAGCACAGAAAGAAGATCCAGGAAAAAAAAATTAGAAAAAAGAATAGTTTAAAAGATCTATGGACTCAGGAAAACCAGGAGACCATAGGGTCATGAAAGCCAAGGAAGGAAAGAGTTTGAGGAAGGAAAACATCATCACCGATTTGAAGTTCAACAGAGAGGTTAAAGACCAAAGGGTGTTCATTAGATTTTGTAAGCCAAATGTGGGAGGACATTTATTAAACTGGGGAAGGGGACAGGTGAAAATCAGGACTGCAAACACACTATTTATACTTAGATTGTATGTTCATTTTGAGTGAAGGGAGCTGGTGGTGATTATAAGTAGACTCAAGTACCCTCAAAACCCCTTCAAGCCACTGCTTGGCATTGCTATTAGTTCTTAACCTTCCAGACTATCTAAACAAAGAGTAGATTCACCTACCTTAGTACCATAGTGAACATAGATCTTCCTCCCAGGGCAGACCTATTGATCCTCTGTCCTGTCTGAGAGAGTTGGGTTTTTTTGTTTGTTTGTTTGTTTTGTTTTGTTTTGTTTTTTGCCATGACATACACTGTTTCATGGACCCTGTAGCCCCCAGTGCCTTCAGTCATCAGTCTTATACCTTGACCTACAGGTCTCTCAAGAAACAAACAAGTTATGGCTATAAACAAATCCTGGGATATGTTATAAAAAGGAAAGTATTACCGCCCAAATTCCAAAAGCCATCAGTCTTGTCTGCCATTGCTTCCTGGGGGTCTTTATGAATGTGGTTATCTCCCTTACAGTCTCTCACTGGGTCCTTGTCCACAATGAATCTGTCACCAGAGTTTATCTTCTTACCTTTCTTGGGCCTTGGGCTCTATCTCCATTCTTCTTTTAAATCAGTTACCTTCCAATGACTTTCACTCTTATAAGGCACTTCAAAATCAGCAGAATCTGATAGCCTCAGCTTTCTTATATTTCATGAAAAGGATCTAGCATTTCACTGATTGATTCAGTCAATACACATTTACTGAACATCAAACATAAATCAGGCACTGCAGTTCTAAAGATATAAAGACTTGGTTCTTGCCTTCAGGAGAGGGACATATTAAACACATGGGAGAGCTAGACATATTAAGTGGGTAATCAAAAACAATGCACTCAAGGAGAGGCACAAACCTTAGCAATAGGGGCGTGTGGAGAAGCAGGTGAGGGCATGGGAGAATGTCAGGGAAAGCTTCCTAGAAGAAGTTACTGTTAACCTAAATCTGAAAGAATAAGTAAGCACAAAATAGTGATTAGAAAGAAAGATATCTAACAGGAGGAACAGTGTTAATCCTGTTAGTGTAAATATATATACACACACACGTATATATACACATACCTATATATATGTGTGTACAAGTATAGAGTTGTTTATAGATAAATGCCTATGTATGTATGTGTGTATGCAAGTGTGAGTGTGTATTCCTCCTAAACAGAGTGAATTTTTATTTCTTATTAAAGTTATTAAACCTAAAGATTGTTTCCCCTAGTGTCACTCTGATATTGACTGTTTTGCTAGATGTTCTCTGGTTTCATAAACTATGCCTTCTATAAATGCTAATGGCTAGGCAGGAGATGGATTTTATTCTCCATAATGTAAGGCATATTGAACTGTGGCTCCGTGAGTGGTCATTCTCATTATTACCTTGTATTTTCTGAAAACCGTCCCAGTGCCCATTCTGGCCCAAGACTCCTAATGCATTCTGACATCTTTAATAAGTGCTTAAAGCATCTCCACAGTAATACAGACTTTCTTTTCCCCCTCAACTATGGGAAAGTGAGAAAAATACATTTGGATCTGTTTCTCCACGGAAGAACAAAAAAGAAATTCTAGAAGGAAATTCTGTCGGTTTATCATCTTGTGTTGCGGCATGTATAGGATGTCAGGAAGAATGGTATCCAAGATAAAGAAATGCAGTAAAGGAAAATTATTTAAGGTGTTTTTCTAAGTCACTTATATTGGTTGTGTCCCATGTGTCAAAAAAAAGTTATAGGCAGTTAGCTTTTCTAAGAAAGAGGTTTTGGAAAGTCACTGATTTATGTCTTAGGATTCACAGTATCATAGACTTGTTCTGAAAAGGTTTTCTCCAGGTGTGGGTAACTCCTAGAGAGCCCGCTGCTTAGCTGCGCTGTGATGGGCCTGCTTCTTTTATAATCCTTATCATTTTCCATCCCTCTTCAGGAGGCATTTGAACACTGGGATTTCCCATCAGGATAAACAGATTTTGCCTTTACTGCTACATCCATACTTCCCCTCTCCAGCCAGGGGTATCCCCTGCCTTCACCTGTGGGTTCTAGGCCCCAGGCAGGTAGGCAAGAGTGTTCTGAGGATCAAATAAGGCACCTGAAAAAATTTTAAAGACTTGAAGAGTTTGATATTATAATGTATGATATTACATTATATTATATCATGGCATATCAAATATTTTATATTGGGATCTCCTGTGTTGTACTCTTGACCTTGCTTCAGCTTTCCTGGTGTCCAGTCCTGAGCACTGATGGAGCCTGCCCACCTGTGCACCCACCCTACCGTGATAGATTGTGCTTGACAGTACCCCCCTACCCCCAACCAGTAAGGACCACTATACCCCTTAATCTCTTCACTCTAAATTCAAGGCATGGCCCTGAAAATAGTTAGAATTGATAGATGACAGGCCATCAGATAAAGTCAGATTCAACTGAGATACAACTCACTTGTATCGAGAGTGGTCAGTCTAAGACCATACTTAACTACTTCTAAAATTAAGGTAAAATTATATTTTAAGTCTCCTAATTTGACTTTAGGGCCTTGCCCACCAGTGTTCTGGAACATCCTGTCATCTGGCCAAGTGTTTGAAGATGTTAAATAATGCATTTTGGAAGCATTTGAGAGCCCTAATGGATCTTAGCTTATGGTACAAAACATACTGCTTATGTTGCCCCATTTTCTTAAAACATTTTTAATCTTGCTTTATTATTTTAACTGTAGTATTCAGAGGAAATCTGTATACTATTGGAAGGCAATATGCTTTATTCTGTCTTTTTAATTTTAGATTCGGGAGTACGTGTGCAGGTTTGTTGCATGGGTATATTTTATAATGCCAGGATTTGGGCTTCTATTGAACCCATCACCAAAATAGTGAACATAGTACCCAACAGGTAGATTTTCAACCCTTACCCTGTTTCCTCCCTCCTCTCTTTTGGAATCCCCAGTGTCTGTTATTTCAATCTTTATGTCCAGGGGCACCCAATATTTAGCTCCCACTGACAAGTGAGAACATGCGGTATTGGGTTTTCTGTTTCTGCATTAATTTGCTTAGAATAATGGCCCACACCTCTATCCATGCTGCAGCAAAGAATATGGTTTCATTCTTTTTTATGACTGCCTAGTAGTCCATGGAGTATATGTACCACATTTTTAAATCCAGTCCACCATTGATGGGCTGCCCCACTTCCTAAAGGCCCAGATAAATTGGCCAATCAGTGAACATTAGCCATTGTTACAGTCATTATTATTGAGCACTTTCTTTGTATTTTGTAGATATCTAAATTACTCCATTTAGAGTTAAGCTACACAAGCTGAGATTGGAACTCTAATGAGAAAACTGAGCCCAACCCATAATATTACCCTGTCAATCAATACAGTAATTACTGAGCACCCATCATGAACAAAGAACTATGCTAGCATTTAACACAGCAGTGAGTTCAGACAGTTTCTGCCCTCTTGGAGCTGACTGCATATCTAAACCTAGAGCTAGAGCTTGCTCCCATGGCATGTTATAGCTCTTGGAGGTTGAGGCTTAAGTCTCCTTGCTGGTTGATTGCAAGACTTACAAACTCAAAATTTAGCTCTTTGTAATGGAATTCTTACTCAAATTGTTAACTATCGACTATGTTTTGAATATAAGAACTTTCAATGTTCTACCCTAGGTTGAAAGGTGAAATACCTAGCAATGTACTTGCAGAGACCCTCAGGAGATTATAGAAATTAAAATACTCACTCATCTTTAGTAAAAATAATTTCTGAGAATGTTTTCATGCTTAACAAACTTCTCTCAGCTGACCATTCAGGTTCCCTCTGGAGTGTTGATGTATGTAACACTGATGTATGTAATTACTGTGACTATTTGTAAAGGCCCAGGAGTACAGTCTATCACAGGTGATAACTGAAGTACAATGTTATTTTTTTCTTTTCCCAAACATTTTATTATGAAAATTTTCAAATGCAAGAAAAGTTTAAAGAATTGTACAGTGATCACCCATGTACTTGCCACCTAGATTCTAGAATTGTTGACAAATTTGTGCTTTATCAGGTATCTTTCCTTCTATCCAGTCATCAAGCCATCTTATTTTTTATATATTCCAAAATAAGTTGCAGTCATCAGTGGCCTTCATGCCTAAGCACTTCAGCATGCATATAATTACCTAGAGTTCAATATTTCATTATAATGTAATGCATAAAGTTAGGCATATTATTCAATGAATTTTGACAAATTGGCACTCCCCTGTAACTCAAACATCTATAAAGATATAGAACATTTCCATCACCCCAGAAAATTCCTCATACTCATCGCAGTCAATCTCCACCCCTACCCTCAGCAACTTGTCTTGATTTTTTTCCACTACAGATTAGATTTGCTTGCTGTAAAACTCCATATACATTGAATATTACTCTTTTATGTAATCCTTCTTTTACTCAGCATAATTTTTTTAGATCCATTCATGTTGTTGCATGTATCACAATTATTTTTTATCTTGAGTAATATTCCAATTTATGAATGTACCATTTTTAAATCCATTCTCCTGTTGATGGACATTTAGGTTATTTTCAGTTTATGAATATTAATAAAACTGCTATGAACATCCTTGTACAAGTCTTTTTGTGGATTTGTTCCATTTACCTATGGTAAGAAGCTAGGAATGGAATTACTAGATCACAGGGTGGGTGTTTATTTAGTTTTATAAGAAACTTCTAGAATGTCTTCCAAAGTGATTGATCCATTTTTACACTCCCCTCAGCAGTGTATGAGAATTCCAGTTGCCCCACATCTTTGCCAAAATTTGGTATTGTCTAGTCTTTTGAATTTTAGCCATTCTGAGAACGTGTAGTGATATCTCACTGTGTTGTTTTAAAATCCTTGAAGACTAATGATGTTAAGCACTTTTTCATGTGCTTATTGCCTGTTCAGAGATCTATTTTTGTGAAGTGTTTGTTCACACATTTTGCCCATTTTTATTATTTCTTTGCCAAGCATGTTTTTACATGTTCTGGGTACAAGTTTTTGTTAGATATATGTTTTGAAAATATTTTCTCCTATTATATGACTGGCCTCTTTATTATCTTAATAGTATAGTTTGAGGAACAGAAGTTTTTAACTTTAAGGCAGGCTAATTTATCAATTTTTTATTTTATGCCTACTATGCACTGTGTCTGTTTAAGAAAACTTCCCTGCCCTCAGATTGTGAATATGTTTTCCTATGTTCTTTTGTAGCTTTATTGTTTTACCTTTTACATGTGAATCTATAATCTATCTCAAATTAACTTTTTTATATGTTGAAGTTTACTTTTTCCATATAGATATCCTGTCATTCTAGCACTATTTTTTGAAAAGGCTTTCTTTTCCCATTGAATTATTTTGGCATGTCTGTCAAAACAGTAAATAACCACGTACATGTGGGTTTATATTTCAGCTCTCTATTTGGTTTCATTGATCAGTTTGTCTATTCTTACGCCATTACCACACTGTCTTGATTAATGTAGCTTGATAATAGGTATTAAATTCAAGTACTGAAGTCCTTTAACTTTCTTCTTATGACTTTGGATAGTCTAGATACTTTTAATTTTCATATACCTTTAAAAATAAGTTTGTTCATTTTTATCAGAAAGCCTTTATGGTATTATTATTAGCATTGGATTGAATATATGACTGATAACTATACTAAATCTTCCAATTCAAGAACTTGGCGTGTCGCCCCATTTATTTAGTGTTCTTGAATTTCTGTTAGCAATATCTTATAGTTTTTAGTGAAGAGATTTGTACATCTTTTTAAAATTTATTCCTTTTTTCAAGTTCCTTTTTAATATGTTTGTTTTTTGACACTATTATTAATAAAATTGTTGTTTAATTTTATTTTCCAATTGTTTGCTGCTAATATATAGAAGTGCTGTTGATTTTTGTTTGTGGATCTTGTATCTTGCCAACTTACTAAATTCACTTATGAATTCTAATAATTGTATTTAGAATTCTTCAGTATTTTCTACTTAAATAATTATGCCATTTGTAAATAGAAACAGTTTTCCCCCTTCTTTTCAATCTCTTTGCCTTTTATTTATTTTTCTTGCCTTACTGCACAGACCAGGATCTCCAGAAAAATGTTGAACATGAGTAATAAGGGTAGACATTCTTTGTTTTCCTAATTATAGGGAGAAAGTATCAATATTTCACCATTGGATATAATGTTAGGTACTCTTTACTAGGTTAAGTAACTTCCTTTCTATTTCTGTTTTACTAGCATCTGTTTTGAATGGGTGTTGAATTTTGTCAAATGCTTTTTCTGCATCCATTGAGATTATCATGTGATATTTCTTTTTTGGTATGTTAATATGATAAATTACACTAATTTTAAATGTTAAGCCTATGTTGCATTCCTGGAAAAAACCCAATATGGTTATAATGCATTATCTTTTTAATATATTATTTGAATCAATTTGCTAATGTTTTGCTAAGGATTTTTGCATCTAGTATATATTATTTTTTAATAAAATTTAAAATCACAGAGTACCTGGTCTGGCACTTCTGGAGACATTTCAGAAAGTATCTGAATAGATGAGGTTTTAAAATGCTATCAAAATAGATTTGTTCAAACAAAAACACTGGGAATATCCATGTTCCCCCTTCAGTCAAGCAGCCAAATAGAAAATAGAGATCACCAGTACCATGCTGTTTTGGTTACTGTAACCAGCATGGTGCTAGTACCAAAACAGAGATATAGACCAATGGAACAGAACAGAGCCCTCAGAAATGATGTCACATATCTACAACTATCTGATCTTTGACAAACCTGACAAAAACAAGCAATGGGGAAAGGATTCCCTATTTAATAAATGGTGCTGGGAAAACTGGCTAGCCACATGTAGAAAGCTGAAACTGGATCCCTTCCTTACACCTTATACAAAAATTAATTCAAGATGGATTAAAGACTTAAATGTTAGACCTAAAACCATAAAAACCCTAGAAGAAAACCTAGGCAATACCATTCAGGACATAGGCATGGGCAGAACTTCATGTCTAAAACATCAAAAGCAATCGCAACAAAAGCCAAAATTGACAAATGGGATCTAATTAAACTAAAGAGCTTCTGCACAGCAAAAGAAAGTACCATCAGAGTAAACAGGCAACCTACAGAATGGGGTAAAATTTTTGCAACCTACTCATCTGACAAAGGGCTAATATCCAGAATCTACGAAGAACCCAAACAAATTTACAAGAAAACAAATAACCCCATCAAAAAGTGTGCAAAGGATATGAACAGACACCTCTCAGAAGAAGACATTTATACAGCCAAAAAACACATGAAAAAATGCTCATCATCACTGGCCATCAGAGAAATGCAAATCAAAACCACAATGAGATACCATCTCACACCAGTTAGAATGGCGATCATTAAAAAGTCAGGAAACAACAGGTGCTGGAGAGGATGTGGAGAAATAGGAACACTTTTACACTGTTGGTGGGACTGTAAACTAGTTCAACCATTGTGGAAGTCAGTGTGGCGATTCCTCAGGGATCTAGAACTAGAAATACCATTTGACCCAGCCATCCCATTACTGGGTATATACCCAAAGGATTATAAATCATGCTGCTATAAAGACACATGAACATGTATGTTTATTGCAGCATTATTCACAATAGCAAAGACTTGGAACCAACCCAAATGTCCAACAATGATAGACTGGATTAAGAAAATGTGGCACATATACACCATGGAATACTATGCAGCCATAAAAAATGATGAGTTCATGTCCTTTGTAGGGACATGGATGAAGCTGGAAACCAGCATTCTCAGCAACCTATCGCAAGGACAAAAAACCAAACACCGCATGTTCTAACTCATAGGTGGGAATTGAACAATGAGAACACACGGACACAGGAAGGGGAACGTCACACACTAGGGACTGTTGTGGGGTGGGGGGAGAGGGGAGGGATAGCATTAGGAGATATATCTAATGCTAAATGACGACTTAATGGGTGCAGCACACCAACATGGCACATGTATACATATGTAACAAACCTGCACATTGTGCACATGTACCCTAAAACTTAAAGTATAATAATAATAAAATTTTTTAAAAAAAGAAAATAGAGATTACTTACTTCATCTTTATTAGAGAAGTTTTGCCACAATTTCATACCATTTCCTAGAAATTAACTAAAATATCATCTAAGTGTAACCAACTAATAAGCTGTTCTCCAAAAGTAGACTTCAGTTGTTATATATCAAACTAGAAGACTAACCAAATGAAGAAAGTCTCACTGAGTTCTTAGTGTAGAATCTTGAATAGTTAGAACGAATGCATTTTCTTAAGAAAAAATGCTCATAGTGCCACTTCAAGGAAGTAGTAAAACCCATAAGTCGTCAAACTAAAAGAATCAGCAGGCAGCAGTCCTTAAGAGAAAGAACTCATGAGTCATAGTGGTCTACAGAGTAAACAGAAGTCAGCATGGTAATTCGGTGATCTCAACTAACCCAAATTTACTAAGAACTGTTGAAATCCACTGAAATCCAGGATAGGCAGCATCTGGAGTTATGATTTTTTGCTTTATGTTTACATATGTTTTATGTTTATACTGAAGCCTCATACACATTCATGAAGGATGGCTATTCTATTACACTGCAGTCCTTCCATGCCACCTAAATGTTGTGGCCCTCTGCCATGATTGGCACTTTTTCCCCCTCTTGTCCTCTGTCCTTCTCCCTACTCCCAGCACTCTTGAGTAATCTTCTACCTGTCCTCCTTTTCCTCCTCCTACTGTCTGCCCTCTAGCCCGACGCTGCATGGGCCTGTCACAGCCTTTTATGGTACCTGGCGACTACCACAAGGACCATTTTGCCTAGAGGGATGCCAAGGGCTAAAAGGACTCTACCCAAGAAAACCTCCTTATAACCAACTATTTGATCCTTTAAAGAGAAAGTTTGACATTTACCATAAGCAAGTATTATTTTTGTCAAGATCCGCACAGGGCTCTTCAGCATTCGTCATCATCCCCCTCATCACTTTTATCCACAGCCACTTTCTTTGACTATAATGCAGCTAATGATGAAAGTGGAAAGTGGAATAAGGCAACACACACAAACACACACACACACACACACACACACACACACACACACACACGGCCTTGTCCCTGATAAATGTTTAAGAGAACAGAAGCCTTTGCATGGTGAGGATTTGGGCAGGCTATATTGTTCTACAGTATGTCAGTTGATAACTTTCACTGCCTCCAAGTCATTGTGCTTTCCCAAGTGAAGAACCTTTGGCTGAGCCCTGGAAATATACATGCTCCACAGAAATGAAAAGTTATTAAACTAAGACTGCAGGGGAATGCAGAGGAATGCTCTGTTTGTAATTCTGGGGCAAATGCTTTGTAATGTACTTTTGAAAGCTTAACAAAATTACTTAAAATCATGCAGGGAAACAACAACCTTTTTAAAAATCTGGTACCCAAGGATTTCATTTATCTTTTAAATCTAGTTGCTGCAAAATACTGATAATGCGCAAAATTTTCAAGATGTTAAATCTGCAGCTACCAGTGGCTTGCTGAATTAATCAAATTACCTTAAAGTTCATGCAGTCAGTGAGAAAAATTTAATGATATTCAAAACTTTCATGGTAATAATTACAGTTGAAGAGTGTCAGTCAGTTGAGAATTACGTGAAAAATGAATAGAATGAAAATCTGAATTAGGATATCAGAACGTCCATAAATTGTGGGGAAAGTGAACCATGAAAATAAAATTCACTTATGTTCATTTAGAAGGAGGAAATAAAAGAAAGTATGTTGGAATTTGAGCCTAGGGAAAATTTAAGGATGGGGTAGTTCTAATGGAGTAAGAGAAAGAGGAGTTAAGGATGGTTGTGAAAGCAAGATGGAAATGATAGGACATTATTTCTTCTTATATACCAGCTTCTCTCATTTTAGGGTGCCAAAAACAGCTATTATAATTCACCTATTCCTTCCACCCACAAGTTTCTTCTCCCTGATATCATCTGTGTGCACAACTTTTATTTTTCCTCCATATTTTTGAAAGAAGAGGTAACATAGTCTATGAAGTATTTTTCCTGTTTAAAAAAATAATTGATTTTTCAAAGCATTACAACATAGGAAGCTGAGATAACTTTCAATAAAATACATTTTTTTCTATTACCTCTCACCTTACACAGGTCCCCTTTCTTAAAAGTTGGCAAGGTATTGGATTTTTTAAAAAATAAATTGACTTTATATATTTTTTAAAGACGTCTAGTGGGTGAAAACATCTTTCACATTTCAAAATTAGCATTGTCTACACACTGAATTTTTATAGAAGGCAGCCACAACAGATGGTACTGTGACTTTTTAAAAATTATTGACTCAATAAACAGGTGTGTGTCTTCCGTGTGCTACGCCACACAAATGTTTTATAAAACCCCTTCTGGCCAAGCACATTAACACAATCTGGAGGCTGCTGGAAGACTACCGGAAAAGTCAATAGAGCTTTCTGGGAATATATGAAATGTTGAAAAGACCCTTCTTCCAAATGTCCCTGTTGAAAGATTATGTATCATTTTTCTCCATTTCAGAGGCATAAGACAGAAACTTACTGTATATGAGTGTGAAACAAAGAGAAAAAGAAAAATTGCTCCCATTGTGATGCCAAAAATAATAAAGAGAAAAACGCTCATTGAGTTATTCATTCATTCATTTAGCCTGTTTTTTTATATTTTTATTTTATGTATTTATGTATTTTTATTATACTTTAAGTTCTAGGGTACGTGTGCACAACGTGCAGGTCTGTTACATATGTATACATGTGCCATGTTGGTGTGCTGCACCCATTAATGCATCATTTACATTAGGTGTATCTCCTAATGCTATCCCTCCCCTCTCCCCACACCCCACAATAGGCCCCAGTGTGTGATGTTCCCCACCCTGTGTCCAAGTGTTCTCATTGTTCAATTCCGACGTATGAGTGAGAACATGCAGTGTTTGGTTTTCTGTCCCTGCGATAGTTTGCTGAGAGTGATGGTTTCCAGCTTCATCCATGTCCCTACAAAGGACATGAACTCATCATTTTTTATGGCTGCATAGTATTCCATGGTGTATATGTGCCACATTTTCTTAATCCAGTCTATCATTGTTGGACATTTGGGTTGGTTTCAAGTCTTTGCTATTATGAATAGTGCCACAATAAACATACATGTTCATGTGTCTTTATAGCAGCATGATTTATAATCCTTTGGGTATATACCCAGTAATGGGATGGCTGGGTCAAATGGTATTTCTAGTTCTAGATCCCTGAGGAATCGCCACACTGACTTCCACAATGGTTGAACTAGTTTACAGTCCCACCAACAGTGTAAAAGTGTTCCTATTTCTCCACATCCTCTCCAGCACCTGTTGTTTCCTGACTTTTTAATGATCGCCATTCTAACTGGTGTGAGATGGTATCTCATTGTGGTTTTGATTTGCATTTCTCTGATGGCCAGTGATGATGAGCATTTTTTCACATGTCTTTCGGCTGCATAAATCTCTTCTTTTGAGAAGTGTCTGTTCATATCTTTTGCCCACTTGTTAATGGGGTTGTTTTTTTCTTGTAAATTTGTTTGAGTTCATTGTAGATTCTGGATATTAGCCCGTTGTCAGATGAGTAGATTGTAAAAATTTTCTCCCATTCTGTAGGTTGCCTGTTCACTCTGATGGCACTTTCTTTTGCTGTGCAAAAGCTCTTTAGTTTAATTAGATCCCATTTGTCAATTTCGTTTTTTGTTGCCATTGCTTTTTGTGTTTTAGACATGAAGTCCTTGCCCATGCCTATGTCCTGAATGGTATTGCCTAGGTTTTCTTCTAAGGTTTTTATGGTTTCAGGTCCAACATTTAAGTCTTTAATCCATCTTGAATTAATTTTTGTATAAGGTGTAAGGAAGGGATCCAGTTTCAGCTTCCTACATATGGCTAGCCAGTTTTCCCAGCACCATTTACTAAATAGGGAATCATTTCCCCGTTGCTTGTTTTTGTCAGGTTTGTCAAAGATCAGATGGTTGTAGATGTGTGGTATTATTTCTGAGGGTTCTGTTCTGTTCCATTGATCTATATCTCTGTTTTGGTACCAGTACCATGCTGTTTTGGTTACTGTAGCCTTGTAGTGTAGTTTGAAGTCAGGTAGCATGATGCCTCCAGTTTTGTTCTTTTGGCTTAGGATTGACTTGGCAATGCAGGCTCTTTTTTGGTTCCATATGAACTTTAAAGTAGTTTTTTCCAATTCTGTGAAGAAAGTCATTGGTAGCTTGATGGGGATGGCATTGAATCTATAAATTACCTTGGGCAGTATGGCCATTTTCACAATATTGATTCTTCCTATCCACGAGTATGGAATGTTCTTCCATTTATTTGTGTCTTCTTTTATTTTGTTGAGCAGTGGTTTGTAGTTCTCCTTGAAGAGGTCCTTCACATCCCTTGTAAGTTGGATTCCTAGTTATTTTATTCTCTCTGAAGCAATTGTGAATGGGAATTCACTCAAGATTTGGCTCTCTGTCTGTTATTGGTGTGTAGGAATGCTGGTGATTTTTGCACATTGATTTTGTATCCTGAGACTGCTGAAGTTGCTTATCAGCTTAAGAAGATTTTGGGCTGAGATGATGGGGTTTTCTAAGTATACAATCATGTCATCTGCAAACAGGGACAATTTGACTTCCTCTTTTCCTAATTGAATACCCTTTATTTCTTTCTCCTGCCTGATTGCCCTGGCCAGAACTTCCAACACTATGTTGAATAGGAGTGGTGAGAGAGGGCATCCCTGTCTTGTGCCAGTTTTCAAAGGGAATGCTTCCAGTTTTTGCCCATTCAGTATGATATTGGCTGTGGGTTTGTCATAAATAGCTCTTATTATTTTGAGATATGTTCCATCAATACCTAGTTTATTGAGAGTTTTTAGCATGAAGGGCTGTTGAATTTTGTCAAAGGACTTTTCTGCATCTATTGAGATAATCATGTGGTTTTTGTCTTTGGCTCTGTTTATATGATGGATTACATTTATTGATTTGCATATATTGAACCAGCCTTGCATCCCAGTGATGAAACCAACTTGATCGTGGTGGATAAGCTTTTTGATGTGCTGCTGGATTCAGTTTGCCGGTATTTTTTTTAGGATTTTTGCATTGATGTTCATCAGGGATATTGGTCTAAAATTCTCTTTTTTTGTTGTGTCTCTGCCGGGCTTTGATATCAGGATGATGTTGGCCTCATAAAATGAGTCAGGGAGGATTCCCTCTTTTTCTATTGATTGGAATAGTTTCAGAAGGCATGGTACCAGCTCCTCTTTGTACCTCTGGTAGAATTCGGCTGTGAATCCATCTGGTCCTGGACTTTTTTTGGTTAGTAGGCTATTAATTATTGCCTCAATTTCAGAGCCTGTTATTGGTCTATTCAGGGATTCAGTTTCTTCCTGGTTTAATCTTGGGAGGGTGTATGTGCCGAGGAATTTATCCATTTCTTCTAGATTTTCTAGGTTATTTGTGTAGAGGTGTTTATAGTATTCTCTGATGGTAGTTTGTATTTCTGTGGGATCGGTGGTGATATCTCCTTTATCATTTTTATTGCATCTATTTGATTCTTCTCTCTTTTATTCTTTAGTAGTCTTGCTAGCGGTCTATCAATTTTGTTGATCTTTTCAAAAAACCACCTCCTGGATTCATTGATTTTTTTGAAGGGTTTTTTGTGTCTCTATCTCCTTCAGTTCTGCTCTCATCTTAGTTATTTCTTGCCTTCTGCTAGCTTTTGAATGTGTATGCTCTTTCTTCTCTAGTTCTTTCAATTGTGATGTTAGGGTGTCAATTTTAGATCTTTCCTGCTTTCTCTTGTGGACATTTAGTGCTATACGTTTCCCTCTGCACACTGCTTTAAATGTGTCCCAGATATTCTGCTATGTTGTGTCTTTGTTCTCGTTGGTTTCAAAGAACATCTTTATTTCTGCCTTCATTTCATTATGTACCCAGTAGTCATTCAGGAGCAGGTTGTTCAGTTTCGATGTAGTTGAGCGGTTTTGAGTGAGTTTCTTAATCCTGAGTTCTAGTTTGATTGCACTGTGGTCTGAGAGACAGTTTGTTATAATTTCTGTTCTTTTACATTTACTGAGGAGTGCTTTACTTCCAACTATGTGGTCAGTTTTGGAATAAGTGTGATGTGGTGCTGAGAAGAATGTATATTCTGTTGATCTGGGGTGGAGAGTTCTGTAATTGTCTATTAGGTCCGCTTGGTGCAGAGCTGAGTTCAGTTCCTGGATATCCCTGTTAACTTTCTGTCTCATTGATCTGTCTAATGTTGACAGTGGGGTGTTAAAGTCTCCCATTATTATTGTTTGGGAGTCTAAGTCTCTTTGTAGGTCTCTAAGGACTTGCTTTATGAATCTGGGTGCTCTTGTATTGGGTGCCTATATATTTAGGATAGTTAGCTCTTCTTGTTGAATTGATCCCTTTACCATTATGTAATGGCCTTCTTTGTGTCTTTTGATCTTTGTTGGTTTAAAGTCTGTTTTATCAGAGACTAGGATTGCAACACCTGCTTTTTTTTGCTTTCCATTTGCTTGGCAGATCATCCTCCATCCCTTTAATTTGAGCTTGTGTGTGTCTCTGCACATAAGATGGGTCTCCCGAATAGAGCACACTGATGGGTCCTGACTCTTTATCCAATTTGCCAGTCTGTGTCTTTTAATTGGAGTATTTAACCCATTTACATTTAAGGATAATATTATTATGTGTGAATTTGATCCTGTCATTGTGACGTTAGCTGGTTATTTTGCTCGTTAGTTGATACAGTTTCTTCCTAGCCTCGATAGTCTTTACAATTTGGCATGTTTTTGCAGTGGCTGGGACCAGTTGTTCCTTTCCATGTTTAGTGCTTCCTTCATGAGCTCTTGTAAGGCAGGCCTGATGGTGACAAAAGTCTCTCAGCATTTGTATGTCTGTAAAGTATTTTATTTCTCCTTCACTTATGAAGCTTAGTTTGGCTGGATATGAAATTCTGGATTGAAAATTCTTTTCTTTAAGAATGTTGAATATTGGCTCCAACTTTCTTCTGGCTTGTAGCGTTTCTGCTGAGAGATCTGCTGTTAGTCTGATGGGCTTCCCTTTGTGGGTAACCCGACCTTTCTCTCTGGCTGCCCTTAACATTTTTTCCTTCATTTCAACTTTGGTGAATCTGACAATTATGTGTCTTGAGGTTGCTCTTCTCGAGGAGTATCTTTGTGGCGTTCTCTGTATTTCCTGAATTTGAATGTTGGCCTGCCTTGCTAGGTTGGGGAAGTTCTCCTAGATAATGTCCTGAAGAGTGTTTTCCAAGTTGGTTCCATTCTCCCCTTCACTTTCAGGTACACTAATCAGATGTAGATTTGGACTTTTCACATAGTCCCATATTTCTTGGAGGCTTTGCTCATTTCTTTTTACTCTTTTTTCTCTAAACTTCTCTTCTCACTTCATTTCATTCATTAGATCTTCAATCACTGATACCCTTTCTTCCACTTGATCAAATCGGCTACTGAAGCTTGTGCATTCATCATGTCATTCTCGTGCCACGGTTTTCAGCTCCATCAGGTCATTTAAGGTCTTCTCTACACTGTTTATTCTAGTTAGCCATTCGTCTAATCTTTTTTCAACGTTTTTAGCTTCTTTGCGATGGGTTCGAACATCCTCCTTTAGCTCAGAGAAGTTTGTTATTACTGATCGTCTAGAGCCTTCTTCTCTCAACTCGTCAAAGTCATTCTCCATCCAGCTTTGTTCCATTGCTGGTGAGGAGCTGCTTTCCTTTGGAGGAGAAGAGGTATTCTGATTTCTAGAATTTTCAGCTTTTCTGCTCTGGTTTCTCCCCATGTTTGTGGTTTTATCTACCTTTGGTCTTTGATGATGGTGACGTACAGATGGGGTTTTGGTGTGGATATCCTTTCTGTTTCTTAATTTTCCTTCTAACAGTAAGGACCCTCAGCTGCAGGTCTGTTGGAGTTTGCTGGACGTCCACTCCAGACCCTGTTTGCCTGGGTATCACCAGCGGAGGCTGCAGAACAGCAAATGTTGCTGCCTGGTCCTTCCTCTGGAAGCTTCTTCTCAGAGGAGCACCCAGCTGTATGAGGTGTCAGTCGGCCCCTACTGGGAAGTATCTCCCAGTTAGGCCACTGGGGGATCAGGGACCCACTTGAGGCAGTCTATCTGTTCTCAGATCTCAAACTCTGTGCTGGGAGAACCACTATTCTCTTCAAAGCTGTCAGACAGGGACGTTTAAGTCTGCAGAAGTTTCTGCTGCCTTTTGTTCAGCTATGCCCTGCCCCCAGAGGTGGAGTCTACAGAGGCAGGCCGGCCTCCTTGAGCTGCAGTGGACTTCACCCAGTTCCAGCTTCCTGGCAGCTTTGTTTACCTACTCAAGCCTCAGCAATGGTGGATGCCCCTCCCCCAGCCTCTCTGCCACCTTGCAGTTCAATCTCAGACTGCTGTGCTAGCAGTGAGTGAGGCTCCATGGGCTTAGGACCCTCTGAGCCAGTCACAGGTTATAATCTCCCGGTGTGCCATTTGCTAAGACCATTGTAAAAGCACAGGATTAGGGTGGCATTGAATGAAACCAGCTCCTGGATTCATTGATTTTTTTTGAAGGGTTTTTTGTGTCTCTATTTCCTTCAGTTCTGCTCTGATCTTAGTTATTTCTTATCTTCTGCTAGCTTTTGGATGTGCTTGCTCTTGCTTCTCTAGTTGTTTTAATTGTGATGTTAGGGTGTCAATTTTAGATCTTTCCTGCTTTCTCTTGTGGGCATTTAGTGCTATAAATTTCCCTGTACACACTGTTTTGAGTGTGTCCCAGAGATTCTGGTATGTTGTGTCTTTGTTCTCGTTGGTTTCAAAGAACATCTTTATTTCTGCCCTCATTTCGTTTTGTACCCAGTAGTCATTCAGGAGCAGGTTGTTCAGTTTCGATGTAGTTGAGTGGTTTTGAGTGAGTTTCTTAATCCTGAGTTCTAGTTTGATTGCACTGTGGTCTGAGAGACAGTTTGTTATAATTTCTGTTCTTTTACATTTGCTGAGGAGTGCTTTACTTCCAAGTCTGTGGTCATTTTTGGAATAAGTGTTGTGTGGTGCCGAGAAGAATGTATACTCTGTTGATTTGGGGTGGAGAGTTCTGTAGATGTCTATTAGGTCTGCTTGGTGCAGAGCTGAGTTCAGGTCCTGGATATCCTTGTTAACCTTCTGTCTTGTTGATCTGTCTAATGTTGACAGTGGGGTGTTAAAGTCTCCCATTATTATTGTTTGGGAGTCTAAGTCTCTTTGTAGGTCTCTAAGGACTTGCTTTATGAATCTGGGCACTCCTGTATTGGGTGCATATATATTTAGGATAGTTAGCTCTTCTTGTTGAATTGATCCCTTTACTATTATGTAATGGCCTTCTTTGTCTCTTTTGAACCAACAAAGTTGGTTTAAAGTCTGTTTTATCAGATACTAGGATTGCGACCCCTGCTTTTTTTTTGCATTCCATTTGCTTGGTAGATCGTCCTCCATCCCTTTATTTTGAGCCTATGTGCGTCTTTGCACGTGAAATGGGTCTCCTGAATATAGCACACTCATGAGTCTTATCCAGTTTGCCACTGTGTATCTTTTAATTGGGGCATTTAGCCGATTTACATTCAAGGTTAATATTGTATGTGTGAATTTGATCCTGTCATTATGATGTTAGCTGGTTATTTTGCCCATTAATTGATGCAGTTTCTTCATAGCATCAGTAGTTTTTACAATTTGGCCTGTTCTTGCAGTGGCTGGTACTGGTTGTTCCTTTCCATGTATAGTGCTTCCTTCAGGAGCTCTGGTAAGGCAGGCCTGGTGGTGACAAAAATCTCTCAGCATTTGCTTGTCTGTAAAGGATTTTATTTCTCCTTCAATTATGAAGCTTAGTTTGGCTGGATATGAAATTCTGGGTTGAAAATTCTTTCCTTTAAGAATGTTGACTATTGGCTCCCACTTTCTTCTGGCTTGTAGGGTTTCTGCTGAGAGATCCGCTGTTAGTCTGATGGGCTTCCCTCTGTGGGTAACTCAACCTTTCTCTCTGGCTGCCCTTAACACTTTTTCCTTCATTTCAACCTTGGTGAATCTGACAATGATGTGTCTTGAGGTTGCTCTTCTGGAGGAGTATCTTTGTGGCGTTCTCTGTATTTCCTGAATTTGATTGTTGGCCTGCCTTGCTGTATTGGGGAAGTTCTCCTAGATAATATCCTGAATAGTGTTTTCCACCTTGGTTCCATTCTCCCCATCACTTTCAGGTACACCAATCGAACGTAGATTTGGTCTTTTCACATAGTCCAATATTCCTTGGAGGCTTTGTTCATTCCTTTTTCCTGTTTTTTCTCTAACCTTGTTTACTTGTTTTATTTCATTAATTTGATCTTCAGTCACTGATACCCTTTCTTCCACTTGATCAAATCAGCTATTGAAGCTTGTGCATGCATCACGAAGTTCTCATGCCATGGTTTTCAGCTCCATCAGGTCATTTAAGGTCTTCCCTACACTGTTTATTCTAGTTAGCCATTCGTCTAATCTCTTTTCAACGTTTTCAGCTTCCTTACGATGGGTTCAAACGTCCTCTTTTAGCTCGGAGAAGTTTGTTATTACCGACCTTCTGAAGCCTACTTCTGTCAACTTCTCAAAGTCATTCTCCGTCTAGCTTTGTTCCGTTGCTGGCAAGGAGCTGTGAACCTTTCGAGGAGAAGAGGCACTCTGATTTTGAGAATTTTCAGCTTTTCTGCTCTGGTTTCTCCCCATCTTTGTGGTTATATCTACCTTTGGTCTTTGATGTTGGTGACGTACAGATGGGGTTTTGGTGTAGATGACCTTTTTGTTGATGTTGATGCTATTTCTTTCTGTTTGTTAGTTTTCCTTGTAACAATCAGGTCTCTCAGCTATAGGTCTGTTGGAGTTTGCTGGAGTTCCACTCCAGACCCTGTTTGCCTGGGTATTACTAGCGGAAGCTGAAGAACAGCAAATATTACAGAACAGCAAATATTGCTGCCTGATCCTTCCTCTGGAAGCTTTGTCCCAGAGAGGCAGCTGCCTATATGAGATGTCTGTCGGCCCCTACTTTGACATGTCTCCCAATTAGGCTATACAGGGGTCAGGGACCCACTTGAGGAAGCAGTCTTTCCGTTCTCAGAGCTCAAACACAGTGCTGGGAGAACCACTGCTCTCTTCAGAGCTGTCAGACAGGGATGTTTAAGTCTGCAGAAGTTGTCTGCTGCCTTTTGTTCCGCTATGCCCTACCCACAGAGGTGGAGTCTAGAGGCAGTAGGCCTTGTTGAGCTGTGGTGGGCTCCGCCCAGTTCGAGCTTCTTGGCCGCTTTGTTTACCTACTCAAGCCTCAGCAATGGCAGACGCCCCTCCCCCAGCCAGGCTGCCATCTCGCAGATGGATCTCAGACTGCTGCATTAGCAGTGAGCAAGGCTCCATGGGCATGGGCACTGCTGAGCCAGGCATGGGAGAGAATCACCTTGTCTGCCGGTTGCTAAGACCTTGGGAACAACAGAATATTGGGGCAGGAGTGTCCTGCTTTTCCAAGTAGTCTGTCATGGCTTCCCTTGGCTAGGAAAGGGAAACCCCCCAACCCCTTGTGCTTCCCGGGTGAGACAATACCCCACCCTGCTTTGGCTCACCCTCCGTGGGCTGCACCCACTGTCCAATCAGTCCCAGTGAGATGAACCAGGTACCTCAGTTGGAAATGCAGAAATCACCCGTCTTCCATGTTGATCACACTGGGAGCTACAGACTGGAGCTGTTCCTATTCAGCCATCTTCACTGTTTTAATTTTTATCACATGAGATGCAGTGGCCCTGCCTCAGACCTTCTCATGGCTCATAAAGGTGCATTTATTCAAAAGGCAGCAATGAAGAGCTTCCCTGTGATCTCCAAGTTGAGTCCAAGACCCATCTTAATAGAGAGAATTTATTTGTTGAGACAAATCATACAAGCCTTCTTTAGAGGCAGCAATATCTTCTTGAAATATTTTCTTCCATTTGTGAAGATGTGGATAAATCTCTTAGTATGATTTATTGATGGTTACAAGTCTAAGTGGTCACTTTTTCAGCTCTGTATATCCAAGATGAAGTAAAGATAACAACAATTTTCCTGCATCTTTCTGGATCTTATCGAATGATTAGGAAATTAAAACCCCTCTGTTCCGGTCTATCTGTGTGTTTCAAGATGTGTTAAAAGCACATGAATAACAAAACATAGCTAGTAAACAGAAAACTCTTCAATAAACGTCATACCTGCCTTGGTAGTCACAGGATCTACTGGCATAGGGTGGAGGCTACATTCAGATACCGTGTAATACAACTTAAGATTTACATTCCTCAGCTTGGCCAGCTTTCATCTCACGTGCATTGCCAGAAAATGTGCAGCTAGGTCTTTGCACTCTTCATTGCAGCGACTAATGAGTTCTAAATCATTATCTGTTTACATGTTTGTTCTCCCCAAGTGACCATGAGCTCATTTAGGGAATCAGTGACTCATCTTTGTTCATCCATTTTATCCCCAATATTAATTCCAACATTTGACCCATATCTGTGTGCTGAATAAATGTTTTTTGAACTACAGGAGCTCATAAACACTACCTCTTCTGTTCTTTCCCACTGAAACCAACTGTAATCATCAGCCCTCCAAATAAATTTATGCTGTACCTGTTTCCTGTTTCTGTCATGTAGCTATAGCATGACAAATGGATTCATAATGATGTAACAACAATAATATTTTGCCTAATAGAAGTAACATTATTTTATTAGTTTGAATATGTAGCATGTTAAGGCATTTCTTTCCATTTAAAATTCTTTTTTGGAATAAATGTTCTTTCTTTTGCATATTACTTAACTCATTTCAGTCATTCTTTTTGCGAATATTCATTTAAAGCTGTCTTTAGAGTTAACTAAAAAATAAACTTTCCATTTTCACTCTTTATATTTTAAGATTTAGTATAACTGAATCATTAAGTGCTTTAGCTAAGACTAGAAGATGCATCTTTAAACTGATCCCTTTGATTAAAGCTAGTTTGCAGGCTGCTGATAATGCAGTCATACCAGAAGGAATTAAATGCTTATTGTTCTTACTATATTATACATCTCTACTTTATTCCATTATACAAATAGATACAGCCTGCCTCTATTGACATGGTGGGGGGAGGGGAATGTGATTTCTTTCATTGAAAGGAAGTATAATCCTTATTAATTGAAGTCTGAAATGGAATGTATTTCTAAGGAACTAGAATTATCTTTGCCAAAATTCTGACTGGAATTTTCCTATTTCAATCAATATATGCAACTGCTTTGCATAGTGACATTGCTGGCTTCTGCTAACATTACTCCCTTTGCTTATATGTGAGGGAACTTCAAAAAGTTCATAGAAAATGTGAATTATGAAAAAGCTATGCATGAATTACAATTTTTACCCCAATATAAACTCATACTAACTTGGATATAACATATCTAAACAGGATCTAGTTTGAGGCACTAAGATGGATAAGACATCAGTTTGAAAAATGCCCCTATCACAGCAACATGAATTCTGCTGACATTGAAGCAAGAACAAATATCAAAATTATGGTTAAGTTTGGGTGGAAGAATGGTAAAATTATTGCTGTTTTACAAAAATTTTATGGGGACAATGTCCCAAAGAAATCATCCATTTTC
Organism: Homo sapiens; assembly: GCF_000001405.40. Classification (NCBI taxonomy): domain Eukaryota; kingdom Metazoa; phylum Chordata; class Mammalia; order Primates; family Hominidae; genus Homo; species Homo sapiens. Next base: position 104,598,079 of record NC_000007.14, read on the forward strand.
AAATGGGCATAAGAAGGGACAAGATGATGTTGAATATGAAGCCCACAGCAGCAGAGCATCCACATCAATTTTCAAGCACAAAATTAATCCTGCTTGTGCCTTAATTGAAAGGGACTAGCAACTAACAGCACAAACAATAGCCAACACCACAGATATCTCGATTGGTTCAGTTCATACAATTCTGACTGAAAAATTAAAGTTGAGAAAACTTTCCACTCAAGGGGCACCAAAACTATTGTTTCCATATCAGCTGCCTACAAGAGCAGAGCTTTTAATGCAAATTTTAAACATGTGGAATCAAGATCCTGAAGCATTTCTTCAAAAAATTATAACAGGAGGTGAAACATGGCTTTCCAGTATGATCTTGAAGACAAAGCACAGTCAAAGCAGTGGCTACCAAGAGGTGGCAGTGGTCCAGTCAAAGTAAAATCATAGCAGTGAAGAGCAAAGTTCATGGCCAGAGTTTTTGGAGATGCTCAAGGGATTTTGCTTGTTGACTTTCTGGAGGGCCAAAGAACAATAATGTCTGCTTATAAGAATGTTTTTAAGAAAGTTAGCCAAAGCTTTAGCAGAAAAACACCAGAGAAAGCTTCATCATAGAGTCCTTCTCTACTCATAACAATGCTCTTGCTCATTCCTTTCATCAAACAAAGGCAATTCTGCAAGAGTTTCTATAGGAAATCATTATACATCCACCTTATGGTCTTGATTAGGCTACTTCTGACTTCTTCTGGTTTTCGAATCTTAAAACCATTTTTCTTCAGTTAATAATGTAAAAAGGATTGTATTGACAGGGTTAAATTCCCAGAATTCCCTCAGTTTTTTAGAGATGGACTAGACAACAGGTATCATTCCTTACAAAAGTGTCTTGACCTTGATGGCACTTATGATGGAGAAATAAAGTTTACATTTTTAATTTTTATCTCTTAATTCCATTTTTCCATGAATTTTTAAAACTCCCCTCATATGAGTGCTTCTAAACAAAATGAAAGCTGTGCTTTTCTTAAATAGGCAAATATTCTGCCAACTGAACTCACTTATGATTCTTACAGATAATAGAGAAAACATTACTCTGGCTCACATCTGAATGATCACAAGTTTGAAATTAGTGGCCTAATCAATGAGGGTTATTCCTATAGATTGATTTCTACTAGTTTATATGATTTATAAACACATAAATATAGAATAACACTAATATCAGCATTGTTCATCTGTTTCCATCATGGAAGTGTCTTTTATTTATTTCCTTTTCATTTTCATTGGTTTTCAAGTTCCATTTTGGAAATAACATTTTCTTGTAAGCAAAATTCAGGTTGTTGGATTGGCTGTATTTGGGGTAGAAGTAATAGAACAAAACAGTGATGTCAAATGGTCCTCGATTGGTCAACACATTCTCCATCCTCTGTTTATGGGTAGAGCAGTATTACACTTTGAGAATGGAAGAACCCATCACATGTTTATTCTTTGTCTTCCTCGTTCATTGAATTAGCATTTTCTGAGCACCTTTTATATTGCCAGGGATACACATAGCACCAAGAATATGAGAATGAACCATGTATAGATGACCGACACATCAGAAATTTCACACTTCAATACAATGAGGAAGGTCTGTGATACAGATATATGCCAGGTATTAGGGAAACATTACAGAGGGACCTCAAAACAGCTTATTTTCATGGAAGCAGTTGTGCAGAGGGATGCAGGTATGTGGTCTCTCTTATTTTCCCATCTAATCAACCAAAGTGCCTCTGCTAGCCAAACATCAGCAATGGCTAATGAGGCCAGTGATCATCAAGGTCCTACCAGACAGGCAGTATTGAGTTGTGCTGACTTAAAACTTTTTAAAGGCCCTAAACTTCTTATCCCCCGACATTACTAAGGACTTCCCTGGCCCTTCAACTCTGGTCCCTGACCAGCCTTGTAGCTTCCCCTTCCTATGCTAGAAGCCTCAGATGAGGAAGTATGGCTCATCGCTCATGGCCTGCTGTCTGTGTACAGAAACTCACCCAATCCTCTTCATCACATTTTTATTTTGTGTTAAACCATTGGAACTATAACCTGGGGTACCCTAAAAACATGTTGAGGGGAGAGGGACAGGAAGATATGTGAACTCATAGTAGCAGAATTGCTAAATAGACTTTATCATATTAACAGTACTTCACTATTTGAATACTTTCTGAGCTGGCAACTTTTCGAGAGTTAATCTCTCATCTTTTCCATTCTACATTTATTGAGATACGGAGCTCTGCTCTGTGGAGAATCAAACCCTCAGGAGCAAAAGGAACAGGAATTAATTCTATACACTTTCCATATCACTGAGCTAATCTCTATGTCTGAAAGATTATTGTCACACACGTTCTAATAGAATCTTTACTGTTCAATTTTGCTGTCACCAGAGCCACTGGGGGCCATTATTTTGAAGTTGATGATGGTAATGACAAAAAGCCTCATGTTTCATGATACTTTTTACTTTTACAAAATGTTTTTCCAAACTATTATCTCATCTTATCCTCAGAGTGAAGAAGTAGATTATGTAGATAAAATCCTCTTTTTGCTGGCAAAAATTTAGAGGCACCAGAGACAGAGTTAGTCACTGAGGTCGTGGCAAAGCCAAGGACAAAGATCTTCAAGCTTAAATAGCACCCTATGGCCTATAAGGGGATGTACTGTTGTTTCATTCATTCTTCACAGTGTACCTGTGATTTGGAGTCACGATTCCTATAAATAAGGAGACTGAGGTGCATGGAGGTGATGTAGCTAAACAAGATTTTGCATATTCGCATCAGCTAAGGGGTATTGACTGACTGCTTTGGACCAGGCACTGTGCTGAGTGTGTTCATATGTAATGTCTCATCTAAGCTCACTGCAGTCTGTGAGCTGGGCACCATTATGCAGATTTGACAGAAGAATAAGCCAATTAATTGCCCAAGGTCTCCATTTACTGGCAATGGAGCCAATTCTTAAACTCCTTTCTAATGCTCTTTCCGTTAAGCCAGAGGTTCTCAGCCTTTTTCCATCTCCAATTTATTTATAAGCATAGCATATACTCATCAGTAATATCTCTCCTTATACCACAGAGATGTTTCATAAAGGGCTGGTTCTTCTGGGATATACATCAGAATCTGCTGGAAGATGAAGGGGGAAGGAGTGGAGACAGGAATTCAGGAGAGATGATAGTTTAAATTAGCACTCTTCCCCTCTCCCATTAGTGACTAAACCATATCTCTTAACTCTTATGATTTTTTTAAGATCCAAATTTATCTCTATTTTATCCTTTCAACAAAATGTGTTGAGTACCTCCATGTACCAAATGTGTTCTAGGTACTAGAGATACAGCAATGTTAGGTATAGCAGTGAACAAAATCTATAAGGTCCTTAGATCATGAAGCATATATTATTGATAGTGACAAGCGCTCTGAATGAAATTAAACAGAATGATGAGACAGATATAGGGGAGAGGGGTTGCTAGATAGGGTGGTCAGGGAAGCCTTCTCTGATGAGTAGCATTTGGGCCAAAATGTGAATGGCCAGAGCAGCCAGCCACACAAAGAGCTGGAATCAGGTTTTGGACATCTTATTGCCCACAGCTGGCTCTGGTACTGCTCTCCCTCATACAAAGACACCAACCACAAACTCAGCCTGCTCGACTTCAGCTCCAGTTAGAGTGCCCCAAGAACAGCCAGACCTGGTCCTCACCATACTTTCTCACTGCCAAAACCTGGAGCTGGCTCTGGTCCACATGATCTGGAATCACAGCCTATCCTATGCTTTGTTCCATGGTTCCCCACATTCATAGGTGTGCTCACTCCATCTTCAGCAAGGTGGGACCTACCCAGACAGAGCCCCTGAATCACATGACGGTTTGATGGTTGACTTTCAAAATGTCATCTCCTTCAAAACACACAAATATTTCCATTAGCAATTTATTTTCTTTTTCTTTTCTTTTTTTTTTTTTTTTTTTTCTGACAGCCTTGCTCTGTCACCCATGCTGGAGTACAGTGGCATTATCTCAGTTCACTGCAACCTCCACCTCCTGGATTCAAGCAATTCTCCTGCCTCAGCCTCCCAAGTAGCTGGGATTACAGGCGTGCACCACCATGCCTGGCTAATTTTTGTATTTTTAATAGAGACAGGGTTTCACCATGTTGGCCAGGCTAGTCTTGAACTCCTGACCTCAAGTAATCCTCCCACCTTGGCCTCCCAAAGTGCTGAGATTACAGGTGTGAGCCGCTGCGCCCAGCCAGCAATTTATTTTCTATAGACAGTTTGTCTTTGTGAAGGACCCAGGTTCTTTTCTTTTGCCATCCTCTGAAGGTGGAACTTAACATACAAGCAAGACAAGGCAACTAGTGGACAGGATGGAAGCTAGAAGATTCTGAAAAGCTGCTTTGCTCAGAATTCCTTGCTTGTCATGTGTATGTCCATGTCCTGTAACTTCTGCATATAAGGTGACCAGCAACTAGGTTTCTATTCAATATTGATTACAGAGGAAGGCTAAGTGGTAAAGTTCCCATAATTAAACCTCAAGGACACAGAATCAATAGCATCTTCAGCATTATGTCAGTAGAAGAGTTTCATTCAAATCAATCACCGAAATTTGTTGAAAGATGTCTTAGTTTATTTTATGTTAATATACGGAATACCACAGACTGGGTAATGTATCTTAAACAGAAATGTATTTGGCTCATGTTTCTGGAGGCTGAAAGTCCAAGAGCATAGTACTAGCATCTAGTGAGGACCTTATTGCTGTGTCATCCCATGGCAGAAGGTGGAAGGGCAAGAGAATGCTAAAGAACAAGAGAGAAAAGGGGCTGAACTCATCCATTTTATCAGGAACACACTCCCATGACAATTAACCTACTCCTAAGATAACATTATTAATCATATTCATGAGGCCAGAGCCATCATGACCTAATCGCCTCTTAAAGGTTCCACCTCTCAACACTGTTACAATGAGGATTAAGTTTTCTTTTTTTTCTTTCTTTCTTTTTCTTTCTTTCTTTCTTTCTTTCTTTCTTTCTTTCTTTCTTTCTTTCTTTCTTTCTTTCTTTCTTTTTTCCCTTCCTTCCTTCCTTCCTTCCTTCCTTTCTTTCTTTCTTTCTTTCTTCCTTTCTTTCTTTCTTTCTCTTTCTTTCAAGACATGGTCTTGCTTTGTTGCCCCAGCTGGAGTACAGTGACACAATCACAGCTCACTGCAGCCTTGACTTCCAAGGCCCAAGCAGTCCTCCCACCTGAACCTTCTAAGTAGCTGGGACTACAGGTGCATGCCAGCAAACCTGGCTAACTTTTTAAGTTTATTTTTTGTAGAGACAGGGTCTCACTGTGTTGCTCAGGCTGGGATTAAACCACAGCATTGCACCCCTGGCCCCCAAAATTCATGTTCTCCTCAAAATGCAAAATACATTCATTTTATCCCAGTAGCCCCAAAAGTCTTAACTTGTTCTAGCATCAACTCAAAAGCTCAAAGTCCAAAGTCTCATCTAAATCAGATATGGGTGAAATTCAAGGCATGATTCATCCTGAGGTAAAATCCCTCCATCTGTGAATCTGTGAAATCAAAACAAGTTATTTACTTCCAAAATACAGTGGTAGGACAGCCATAGGATAGACATTCCCATACCAAAAGGGAGGAATAGGCAAGAAGAAAGAGGCAACTTGTCTCAAGCAAGTTCAAAACCCAATAGGAAAAACAACATTGAGTCTTAAGCTGAAGAACAACATTAAGTCTTAAAGTCCTTTGACTCTATGCCCCACATGCTGGGCACACTGGGGTGGGGGTTGAGCCACCCCAAGGCCTCAGGCAGCCCTGTCTCTATGGCTTTGCTGAGTTTACTCTACCCAGTAGCTCTCATAGGTTGGAGTTTCATGCCTGCAGCTCTTTTTTCTAGGCTGACCCTACAAGCTGGTAGTTCTACAGTTCTCGTGTCTAAGGGGTGGTCACACTCCCACAGCTCCGCTAGGCATTGTTCTGATGGGGACTCCCTGTGGCAACTCTGACCCTGCAGCAGGTTTCTGCCTTGGCCCCCAGGCTTTCCCAGACATCCTTTGAAATCTAGGTGGAGACCGCCATGGCCCCACAGCTCATGCACTCTGCAGATTGAGCACCACATGGTAGCTGACAAGTCACTACTTGCACCCTCTGTAGCTGCACCATAAGCCTCGCCTGACCCTGCCAGAGCTATGGCCAGGGTGGTCGAAGAGTGCTGCACCAAGATTCAGAGAGCAGTCTTGAGGCAGCTCTGAGCAGCAAAACCAGGGAGGGCACCCTGGGCCTGTCCCCCAAAACTATTCTGCCCCGCTAGAGCTCTGGGCCTGTGATGGGAGGGGCAGCCTCAAAGAGCTCTGAAATGCCTTCAAGGTCTTTCTCCCATTGTCCTGTAGCACCTGGCTCCCTTCTGCTCATCTCCTTAGCGGATGGCCACTTGGCCACACCCTTAGTTCATTCACTAAACATACCTTTTCAATCTTTACATAGGCAGGCTGCAAATTTTTCAAATCTTTCCATTTTGCTTCTCTTTTAATTATAAGTTTCATATCCTGATGATTTAATTTTGAAGTTTCTATGACTTAAAGTGCTGGAATTCTAATCTACCCAAGTTGGCAGGAACTCTGAAATAAGCTCCTCCAGGATAATAGAATAAACTGTGTCTGTAACTATGATATGACTCTTTTTTTAACTTAGGGAAAGCAAATAGCAGGAAGATCAAATTCCTCCAATAATGGATTTTTCTACTCAATTATTCAGCTGTCAAAGCTGCTAGGCCATGCAGAACTGGTTTCAAGACTGCTCTACTGCCAGATGAAGCTATCAGGACTGTCAGTCTCCAGGGAGCCCGGGAATTGTTTCAAAATGGTCACAAAGGACCATTAGAATTAAATGTACTTTACTGGGGGAAAACAGTCATTTTCCTACAGGGATTTGCTAGCCATATTCTTCATCCTTCAAGGCTATCAAATGACTCTCAGTAAACCTAATTCTGTTATTTTCAGCTGCCATCCCAAGTATCTATAGCTAAATACTCTGGTGATCTAGGTTTATGTAGTCTAAACACAACAAATGTATTTTTTAATCCACGGGAAATATTTTACACTATCAAATAAAGTTGTTAAACCTTTGACTGAGAGTTTTCAATCAAATAATGGATTTTACTTTGTTTCCTAAAGACTATCCTTTAACCTCTCTCCCCTTTCCAATAATCTGACTTTCCAAAGAATTACCTTCTTACTAATGAATAGAAAAAAAATGAAAAGTTTTCTCCTATTAAAACAAGTGAAAAAAATGGTGATTTCCTTTGATTTCCAGTGACAGTGATAGACAGGTATACTAATTTTCTTAATTTTAGCTGTTTTGGTTAAGTCTTTCAAAATCATACGCATTCATATTATAACTGCTACAGTAGTGCAAACTTATACATTAGGAATGTTGGTCACAGAATAATTAATGAAAAACATTTATTAGCATGTACTTAAATATTACACATCCATGTGCACACATACACACTCAGACACACACATTCCAACGGGTACTCTGACTTGATAAAGCCATCTGGAAAGTTATAAACTCACAGACATCAGTGAATAATGTTTCTCATAAAAGCATTTTTCACTTTATAACCCTCAAATCATATTTTTGGTATTCAGTTTACAGATAACTTTCAAAAACATTCGTGTTGTATAAAGTAAAGTTTACCACTGTTGATGCAACTGCAGGAAAAAAACATCAGACTGTTACATTTAGAGGGCAGAAAATTCAAGTCCTTTTTGAATTTGGTCAAAATCAAAATGATGGTCTGAAAAAAAAAAACAACAAGAAATATTGAAAAGCTACCCCGTCTTTTAACAGGCACATATTTTTAAAATAAATTTTATTGCATACGTTTGAGGTTTCCTTCTTTTCTAATATAAAGGCATTGGTTGGCACAAACCAAGGAGACAGTTTTATTTTTTATTTTTATTTTTATTTTTGGAAACAGGGTCTCATTATGTTGCCCAGGCTAGTCTTGAACTCCTGGCCTCATGCAAGTGTCCTGCCTTGGCCTCCCAAAGTGTTGAGATTACAGGCGTGAGCCACCACACCTGGCCAAAAAGACGTGTTTAGATGGCAGAACTTGGGAGCTGATGAAGATTTGCAATATCGACCACACCCCATCATCATGCACCTTTATTGATTGGATCACTTCAGTGTGCTCCACTCTTTGACAGAGAGCAGCGAGTAAGATTTGGAAATAGCAAAACAGAGATATCAGAAAGCACTATTGCTTTTATCGTTTTTCTGCAAATTCATCATTTGGTCATGTCTACAGACAACACCTAGCTTTGTTGTTTTCAACAAGCTGACAGAGGTCTGGGGCTGACTAGTATTTGAAATGCTCTGTCTTTTGTGAGGTTGGCAAATCACTTATCTCTTTGAAACTTAGGTTTCGGTAAAAAGGTAAAAAGTGAAGATAATGATAATACCACTCCAGCCTGCCTCAAAGGATTGTAAGGAAGGTCAAGTGAGATCCTATATGAGAAGGGACTTTGAAAACCATGTAATTGGCCAACAGGTTTTTCCTGCCTGCTGCACAGAAAAAATCAATCCACTGAAACCTCAGCATTGCGATGGAGAGTTTAACTAATGTGAGATCGGTCCATGTTGGAGAACTGGAGTTATCACTCAAATCAGTATCCCTGAAAGCTTGGAGGTTTGGCTTTTTATGGGCAATTTGGTGGGCAGGGGTCTAGGGTATAGGTGCCACTGATTGGTTAGGGATGAAACCATAAAGGTGTGGAAAATGGTCCTCAGGCACTGAGTCCGTCTCTGGGTGAGGCTACGGGATCCGTTGAATCATGAGTCATGACTGCAGGAGGGTTCAGTTAGAAAAACACTTCAAAACAAAACAAAAAAAAACAATCTTAGGTTCTACAATACTGATGTTATCTATAGGAGCAATTGGCAAGGTCTCAAACCTTATGACCACTGACCACGTGACTCCTGAGCAGTAAGGGATAATAGAAACTATGCCTACATCTTAGCGGAGTTCAGGCCCCTCTCATAATCCTAACCTTGGGGCCTTTCATTCATTTTGCAAAGGCAGTTTAGCTTTGGGAAGGGCTATTATCATCCTTGCTTTGAGGTTAAATTATAAACTAAATTCCTCCCAAAATTAGCTTCGGCCTATGCCCAGGAATGACCAAGGACAGTGTGGAGGTCAGAGGCAAGATGGAGTCAACAATGTCAGATTTTTTCTCACTGTCATAATTTTGTAAATGGAGTTTCAATCACAGAGGACTGCACAAGTGTGCAGTTTCATTTTGATGGTCTCAAAAGAGTTGTCTGCCTGAAAACACATCAAGCAATCCTGAAACATTAACTACATACAGAACCATATGTTCAGATCACAGTTGTTTATATGTCTACCAAAGGCTTTGCAAAGCCCCTTGTTTAATATTTCCTCTATAAGTCATCACCATGAGTAAGTCCAGGAAGACCGAAGATCCAGGGGTTATTGAAAAAGGGGTGCCATGGGCAAGGACTTCATGTCTAAAACACCAAAAGCAATGGCAACAAAAGACAAAATTGACAAATGGGATCTAATTAAACTAAAGAGCTTCTGCACAGCAAAAGAAACTACCGTCAGAGTGAATAGGCAACCTACAAAATGGGAGAAAATTTTCGCAACCTACTCATCTGACAAAGGGCTAATATCCAGAATCTACAATGAACTCAAACAAATTTACAAGAAAAAAACAACCCCATTAACAAGTGGGCAAAAGATATGAACAGACACTTCTCAAAAGAAGACATTTATGCAGCCAAAAAACACATGAAAAAAAAATGCTCATCATCACTAACCATCAGAGAAATGCAAATCAAAACCACAATGAGATACCATCTCACACCAGTTAGAATGGCAATCATTAAAAAGTCAGGAAACAACAGGTGCTGAGAGGATGTGGAGAAATAGGAACACTTTTACACTGTTGGTGGGACTGTAAACTAGTTCAACCATTGTGGAAGTCACTGCGGCGATTCCTCAGGGATCTAGAACTAGAAATACCATTTGACCCAGCCATCCCATTACTGGGTATATACCCAAAGGATTATAAATCATGCTGCTATAAAGACACATGCACACGTATGTTTATTGCAGCACTATTCACAATAGCAAAGACTTGGAACCAACCCAAATGTCCAACAACGATAGACTGGATTAAGAAAATGTGGCACATATACACCATGGGATACTATGCAGCCATAAAAAATGAAGAGTTCATGTCCTTTGTAGGGACATGGATGAAATTGGAAATCATCATTCTCAGCAAACCATCACAAGGACAAAAAACCAAACACCGCATGTTCTCACTCATAGGTGGGAATTGAACAACGAGAACACATGGACACAGGAAGGGGAACATCACACTCCGGGGACTGTTGTGGGGTGGGGGGAGGGGGGAGGGATAGCATTAGGAGATATACCTAATGCTAAATGACGAGTTAATGGGTGCAGTACACCAACATGGCACATGTATACATATGTAACAAACCTGCACATTGTGCACATGTACCCTAAAACTTAAAGTATAATAATAATAATAATAATAAAAAGAAAAAGGGGTGCCAAGCCTAAGACCAAAGGCACCACGCCTGGCAGTTAGGAGCATGCCCTTGTTTTTTTGAAGTGAGAATGAGGAGTGAATGGTATTGGTGCATCAGTCAGTCCGCTACTGAGTTTATCAACTGGATTCTGCTTGATCCACCTACGTGGACAAATTACAGAACCCCTCTGTGCCTCAGTCTTATCTTCTGTACAAGGGGGATAGGAATGATGTGCATATAATGAGGTTGTTAAAAGAATTAAATGAGATAATAAAGCATGGAGACCAATGCCTGCAATATAGTAAGTGCCCAGTAAATGTTAGCCACGGCCAGGCATGGTGGCTCACGCCTGTAATCCCAGCACTTTGGGAGGCTGAGGAGGGCGGATCACAAGGTCAGGAGTTTGAGACCAGCCTGACCAACATGGTGAAACCCTGTATCTACTAAAAATAAAAAAATTAGCCAGGCATGGTGGTGCGCACCTGTAATCCCAGCTACTCAGGAGGCTGAGGTAGGAGAATTGCTTGAACCCGGGAGGCAGAGGTTGTAGTGAGCTGAGACCGTGCCACTACACTCCAGCCCAGGTGACAGAGCAAGATGCTGTCAAAAAAAAAAGAAAAGAAAAAAAAAGTTAGCCACAGTTAGTTTTATTATCTTAATGGGGATTTAAACTCCTGTATTTTTATTTGCCATTTATAATATTAATGTAAGCAACTACCCATCTCCTGAAAGTAGAAAACTTTTCTGTGCCTGAGATGTGTCTTGAAATACACAAGTAGATATTTTTTACTTTGAAGTAAATAATATTCAAAAGAAACATTTTCTTCTGTTTAAGAGATTGAGCACAATAAGAGGGCTCAGCTTAAATGAGCAAGAGAGGCAAAGAATCACCAGTAATGAAAATGGTGCAGAGAATATAAAAACCCAGGAGAATTGTAAAGTACATTTAAAATGACAATATTGTTATTACACAGTGCCCATAAAACAGTTAAACATGCAGTTCCTGCCAAGCTTGTTTGCCATCACTTCCTAAATTTGGCTGGTAAGCAAGGAAGACATCTGGAAAAATAGTTAAAACAAAACTGTCTAATTAGTTTTAAAATATTTTGGTTAAAAAGTGCAGTAATTTAATAATACAATTCTGAGAGGATAAAAAGAAAGAAGTGACTATTCTGGGAAGACATGGTATTGCATTCTCAGACATTTTCAGTGGAGACGTTAGGGACTTACAAAGGCATCATAATTATTTCTTCTTTAATTTTTAATTATGAAACTATTCAAACTATCAAAACTACCAGAAATTATGTTTCAAGAACACCTTTTCTCTACCACTAAGATTAAACAGACATCAACGTGTTGCCTTATTCACAGAGTTATTGCTAAAACCAAAATTATATTCAATTATTATGTTAGCTGGTCCTCAATCTAGTATTGATCCCAGTTGGTTGTGTAGCTATTTTTCTGTAACTAGCAATCCAATACAATAAGTCAAAACTTTGGAGTAAATGTTGAATTCTGAATTGTAATTAAAAATCCTTTCTGTATACTGAATCTAAGAGACTCACTAAATGTCTGGCATCTTTGATTGAATTCGTTTTTTTAATTGACTAAAGCAAGGCCAACCCTTCTTTAGGTGATGTGATTCTACCTACTCAGTAATATCTTCCCCATCAACTAGAATTCTAATCACAACTCACTCCTATGAGGTTTATGTTAGCCTGAGTTTTCCAGAGAAACAGAAAAGAGAGAGAGAGAGAGAGAAGTACTTACTCTAAAAAATTGGCTTACACAATCATGGAGGTTGAGAAATCCAAGATTTCTCCAGCTGGTTGGCAAACTGGAGCCCAAGAGAGATGGTGATATAGTTCCTGTGTGGGTCCACAGGCTTGAGAACCAGGAGAGCCACTAGTGTAACTTCCAGTTCAAATCTGAGTCTGAAGGCAGGAGAAGTCTAATGTCTCAGCTCAATGACAGTCAAGCAGAGAGAGAGAATTGTTTCATATTCAGCTGTCTATTCTATTCAGATCTTCAATAGATTTGGTGAGGTCCACCCCACATTGGGGAGAACAATCTGCTTTACTCAGTCTACTAATTCAAATGCTCATCTCATCCAGAAACACCCTCATAGGCACACCCAGAAATAATGTTTAATCAAATATCTGGGCATCCTGTGGCCCAGTTAAGTTAGTGCATACAGTTAACTGTTATAAGATGAGTAACAAAAAGTAAAGCTACTCTCTCAAACACACACTCAGTTTGAATTCCCAGTTTCTGGTTGTCTGGAACAACCATCTAGCCATTTTTTTCATTTGCACAGTAGCATGAATCGGTTGACTCCTATGAAGCAATGAGATGCTGGCAATTTTTAAATGCAGTGAGACAGGAACAGTGAGAAAACAAAGCATCTCTCAGATGTTTGAACCAGGAAAGGCAGTGCTAGGCTGATAAAGGAGTTGAGTTAAACCTATAGGATGTTGATGACAAATCCTGGGTAGTGGCAGTGATGATAGCAGATAAATTTTATTAAATGATGATAAGTTAGGTGGGCATTAGATAACAATAATTTTATTTCATCCTCACAGCAAGATATGAAGGATACACTATTGTTATCCCCAGTTTACAAATAAGAAAATTGAGACTTCTGCAGATTAGATCCAAAGTCATGTAATATTGGTCAGTTCCACAGCTGGAGTTCCAACCTTCCTATTGCTAGAAGGGGACAGCAATGCCAAGCAATACAGGCCACGTGGGGAGGGATCCAGGCAGGAAATACAGCATGGCACACCTTGTGTATTGCACAGTTTTGCCTTAGCTAACTAAAGAAAGGGTGTGTGTTACAATACTTGACAGTGTCAGAATCAAAGGGCAAAGAAGGAGACTAGCCCCTGATGTTTAGCTCAACTCAGAAAGTTGGCAGTAAGGATAGTTGATGCAGCAAGTGAAGAAAAGGGAAATGGAAAAAGAAATATAAATCTTTTTCCCTTCATCTTCTCATTTCCAAGGTTCAAATTAACTATATAGAAGAAAAAAAGAAACATAAAAATAAGACAATTGATTAAAAGGCAGAAAATACTAAAAAAGGGGGGGAGGAATTTACACAAGTTTCTATGTAGGGACAATAGAATTAAGAGTAGTTACAACTATATGAACTAAATCTCAATTTAGTTCATTTGAAAGCAAGAAGATAATACAGACGTGCTGTGCTTTGTATAATAGATGATGCAGTCCTGTGCTTCCTTATACACTTCACACTGGCATGGAGGCTCTTTGGGTGTCTGTCATCCACTTCTGTGTAACTCATACAGCTTCCAATTTTCTAGAGTAAGTGCTCAAAAACGTCTTTTTTTTCTTCAAGATTCTTCAAGATTGAATTGGTTGATTATCACAACAACTACTCTTCCATTATTGAGCAAGAGTCTAATTTTTCTTCTTTCAGAGTTATCTGGTGTGTGAAACATTAAGGGACATAATTACTTAAATATGTTTGGAAATTCAAGACCAGAGATTAAGAACATAGACATCGTCAAACCTGGCTTTTAATCCCAGCTCCTCTGCCTATTACTTAACTCAAGGACTTTCAATGTGTTATTTAATCCCTCTGAGTCTCTGTTTTCATATTTGTAAACTGCTGATTATAGCCATCTCCTAGGTTATTTTGAGGATTGAATAAAATAAAATGAGTCAAGTAATATCCTGATTCCTCAGTAAATGGAGATAATGAATGGGTGGGTGGGTGGATGGATGGAGGGATGGATGGATGGACATCCAAGAGGCAAAACAAAACAAAACAAAACAGTGCACATCTCAAAAAGAAATGAGTGGACTTAGGAACACCAAAAGTTTGGAATAAAGACATCTCATAAATTTTTCGAATGTACCATCACCTTTCTAATGGCTGCTAGTAGTTATACAAGTATCTGAATGTCCGTATGATTTCTTTGGCTTCGAAAATTAGACTATAAATTTGAAAGCATAAAAAGAACTCTCAAGGAAAGCTCTGAAGACACCGGTGCTGAAACCTAAACCTTCATGCCGCTCAGCTGATTAATCATGTAATTGTGGGCCAATACAGGGAGGTGGAATGCTGTGAAGGACGATGACACTACTTTGCTTAGAGGGACTGACATTTCATTTCCTACCTGACTTGCCAAATTATTCTCTTCCTTCTCCTCCATAGACTATCTTTGAGAATCCAAATGCTGTCAATTAACCTGTGACATTAATCATAGCCTCCTTGTTCCAGAATTTTTCATATCAGTGTTTTCCCACACTACACTCAGCTCTCATGTTTATGATTGAGAGGTGGAATTGAAGTAATTCATTTGGAAACAAATATGTGAAGAACTGTATTTACTAATCATAGCACCTGTAATGAAAGTCCCTCCTGAATGCAAGTAGGGGCTGGATAAGTTATCAGTTAACTTTTGTGTACTGGTTATGTTTTAAATATTTTCAAAAGGATGTTCATACCTTTTTTCAGAAAGTAAAAATGATCAGCAAAGACATCCACTGGCAAAGTACCGTCCTGCTTTTTGGTAGCATGTTGCAAAATAACATCCTGGCCATTTAAAAGGAGTCAGTTCTAAATAATGCCAGAGCCTCAGAACTCTTCTAAAGCTCAATGCCCAGGTGGAAACTCCATAGATCAGTTTAGGGCATATCTGGTTTAAAAGCAACTTGACCTATATAAGAATTTTAAGAAGGATAAGAACTTTATTGCCTTAAATCCTAGAATTCCTTTCTTGTGTAATTGCAAATGGTCCTCAATGCTGTTTAAATGCTGCTATGAAGAAAAGACCCAGGGCTTAGAAAATGACGATTCTTTTGAAATTACCTCCTCAGAGCCACTAAGAAGGCTAAAACTGGCTAATGAATGGTAAAAGAATTACCTAGTGTATGATCCCTTCTTGCCTTTCAAACTCAACCTAATTCCGCAACACCAACCCATCTACCCTCCACTCACCCCTAATCAGCACTTGCCTAGATAACTAATTTTCAGACCTTGCTTAATCATTACTTACTCTTGAGTATCTCCAACCAACCTGCCCTTCCATGGCCCTGCTCAAACTAGATTAAGGTGGTCAAAGAAAAATTGCATGGGCCGAGTGGAACAGACAAGAGTTAATTCAAGCCTATTGCAATAGAACAAAGAGATTGAACTTGACTCCATTCAAACAAAAGGCTGGAGAGTATTTAAGCACTGGGTGAGCTAGTAGAAAACTACTAGAGGACATTAGTGGGGAGGTTGGTCAGTGTGATTAGGTCATTTATGTTTGCCAATTAGCACATAAGTTAGGCTCCTACCCTCCCACAGAGACTGGGAGATAGGGGCAGTGTCTTTTCTAATGATCATATTTCAAAGAATTGGCTCCCAGGTCCTTGAGAAAGACTTTCCTGGGTTATAAAACTGGCAAGACACTGGCAGATTCACATTTCAAAAAGGCAGAGAATGTTTTCCAAAGTAAATCCTCTAAGAAAAGGGAGGTTAGGATCTTATAATCAGGAAGAAACTTATCTAAAGTTTAGTTGGGCTGAGGGAGAACATGAGGGCTGTCTTGGTCAGGGCCTTTCTGTCTGCTATATGCCATCATGGTACTTTCATAAGAGTTATCCCAATTATAATTATTTGAGTTTCTAAGAATTTGACTGTAAATTTACAAGTGTAAGAAGAGCTCTTAGTGATAGCCCCAAAAGTCTCTGTTATTGAGCATAATAACTGATTTAATACCTGTGTCCCTTTGGGCAGGTATAATGTGTCTATTTTGTTTACCACCTTGTTCTTAGTACAGGTCATGTACAGAGAACTGGCACCTGGTAAACACACACTGAGTATGTGTGGAATGAGGAGAAAGTTCTGAATAGGCCCACTTTCTTCCAAATTCCTCCAGGACTACAGTACGGTACTGTCCAAAGAGCCTCCTCTTCTCTTCTCTCTCTTCTCTTCTCTTCTCTTCTCTTCTCTTCTCTTCTCTTCTCTTCTCTTCTCTTCTCTTCTCTCCTTCCTTCCTTCCTTCCTTCCTTCCTTCTTTCTTTCTTTCTTTCTTTCTTTCTTTCTTTCTTTCTTTCTTTCTTTCTTTCTTTCTCTTTCTCTCTTTTCTTTTCTTTCTTTTTGAGATAGGGTCTCACTTTGTCACCCAGGCTAGAATGCAGTGGCACAATCACAGCTCACTGCAACCCCAACCTCCCAGACTCAAGTGATCCTCCCACCTCAGCCTCCCAAGTAGCTGGGACCACAGACACGTGCTACAGTGATTGGCTAATTTTTAAAAATTTTTTCATAGAGATAGAGGTCTCACTGTGTTGCTCAGAATGGTCTCAAACTCCTGGGCTCAAGCAATCCATATGCTCTGGTCTCCCAAAGCACTGAGATTACAAGAGTGAGCCACTGTGCCTGGCCAAAGAACCTGTCTTTTACTTGATTTTTCCCCTTGATAAGTCAAGTAAACATATATACTAAAAGTCTATACACAAAATGTAGAAAATATTTCTTCACATATATGAGCTGGCTCAAAATAATATGTTTTCTCTAATACGTGTGAAAAAGTTTGGCATACCTTCTTCAGATTTACAAAGATGATTTAGAGAAACTGAGTGGCATGTGTCTCTTTAAAAAGTTATTTAAAACATTTGTACTAATGCTATTGTTTTCCCTCAAAAATATTTTCCCCTAGCAAATAAAGCATTAACAATCGCTCCATTGATCATTCTTTTTTAAAAATTATCATTGTAGTTCTACAAACATTTTAAATAATCTCTCAAGTCTAGCCTTAGACTAGAAAAATAGTTCTAACAGAAGAGTTTAATTATTTGCAGAAGCTGAAACACAAGCACCTCAATATGGATAGTTCTCCTAAATTCGGTGATTCAGCTGCATTTTTTATTACACTTTAAGTTCTAGGATACATGTGCAGAACGTGCAGGTTTGTTACATAGGTATACATATGCCATGGTGGTTTGCTGCACCCATCAACCCATCATCTACATTAGGTATTTCTTCTAATGCTATCCCTCCTCTACCCACCCCCACCCCCTGACAGGCCCCAGTGTGTAATGTTCCCCTCCCGGTGTCCATGTGTTCTCTTTGTTCAACTCCCACTTATGAGTGAGAACATGCGGTGTTTGGTTTTCGGTTCCTGTGTTAGTTTGCCGAATGATGGTTTCCAGCTTCATCCATGTCCCTGCAAAGGACATGAACAGAGAGCTAAATCATGAGTGAACTCCCATTCACAATTGCTACAAAGAGAATAAAATACCTAGGAATACAACCTGCAAGGGATGTGAAGGATCTCTTCAAGGAGAACTACAAACCACTGCTCAAGGAAATAAGAGAGGACACAAACCAATGGAAAAACATTCCATGCTTGTGGATAGGAAGAATCAATATCGTGAAAATGGCCATACTGCCCAAAGTAATTTATAGATTCAATGCTATCCCCATCAAGCTACCATTGACTTTCTTCACAGAATTAGAAAAAACTATTTTAAATTTTATATGTAATCAAAAAAGAGCCCATATAGCCAAGACAATCCTAAGCAAAAAGAACAAAGCTGGAGGCATCATACTACCTGACTTCAAACTATACTACAAGGCTATAGTAATCAAAACAGCTTGCTACTAGTACCAAAACAGTCACATAGACCAATGGAACAGAGCAGAGGCCTCAGAAATAACGCCACACATCTAAAACCATCTGATCTTTGACAAACCTGACAAAAACAAGAAATGGGGAAAGGATTCCCTATTTAATAAATGGTGCTGGGAAAACTGGCTAGCCATATGCAGAAAACTGAAACTGGATCCCTTCCTTACACCTTATACAAAAATTAACTCAAGATGGATTAAAGACTTAAATGTAAGACCTAAAACCATAAAAACCCTAGAAGAAAACCTAGGCAATACCATTCAGGACATAGGCATGGGAAAGACTTCATGACTAAAACACCAAAAGCAATGGCAACAAAAGCCAAAATTGACAAATGGGATCTAATTAAACTAAAGAGCTTCTGCACAGCAAAAGAAACTATCATCAGAGTGAACAGGCAACCTACAGAATGGGAGAAAATTTTTCCATTCTGTAGGTTGGCAATCTATCCATCTGACAAAGGTCTAATATCCAGAATCTACAAGGAACTTAAACAAATTTACAGGAAAAAAAACAATCCCATCAAAAAGTGGGTGAAGGATATGAACAGACACTTCTCAAAAGAAGACATTTATGTGGCAAACAAACATATGAAAAAAAAGGTCATCATCACTGGTCATTAGAGAAATGCAAATCAAAACCACAATGAGATACCATCTCATGCCAGTTAGAATGGCGATCATTAAAAAGTCAAGAAACAACAGATGCTGGAGAGGATGTGGAGAAATAGGAACACTTTTACACTGTTGGTGGAAGTGTAAATTAGTTCAACTATTGTGGAAGACAGTGCGGCGATTCCTCAAGGATCTAGAAACAGAAATACCATTTGACCCAGCAATCCCATTATTGAGTATATACCCAAAGGATTATAAATCATTCTACTATAAAGACTCAGCTGCCTTTTAAATAAAATATAAATGATTATGAATCGAATATGAAGCCCAGTGAAATAGACCTTATTAATAATAAATTCAGAAATTTTCAAACTTTCTAGCCACCAAGAAGGAATTTTCATGCATGACTTGAAATAATCATCTTAAATTGTAACACAAGATAAAGTCTTTCATATCTGCCAGTACCAGCCTGTGGTTACCCTGTAAAGACAACAAAAGCTGGTGTACTCTTTTGTATATTTAATTCATCCCTTCCAAAGTTTCAGAGTTGGAAGTATTTTGATAGTGGCATCTTACATTATTTTGTTTTCGCTAGATGACTTATATTTACATAATGAGAAAACATCTGGATACAAAGAGGAAAATCTAATCAATAACCTTCTGTGTTTTTCCTAGACGCTTTCTAATGTTCAGATATTTCCAGATGCCTGGGTCACAAAGACACATAGTTGTCAACAAATAATTAGATGCATACTTTCCCTTTCCATCTGAATGTTCTAACTTCATATAGCCCAAAGCTCACTACTCTGTAGCTTGAATATGAGACTTCAGATTTTTGGTGTTTTCTTTAATATATTCATGGAAATGGTAATTCCATAGTTTGTTGAAGATAAAAGCTGAGCCAATGTTTGTGTATCTAGAGAAAATCTGCAATCTATATACGCTATATAAAGTATAATGCTTGTGGCTACCAAGTAATAGAAAACCAACTCAAAATACCTTGGGCCTTAAGCTTAAACAATAAAGAATCAAATCATCTCACTGAACAAGAACTCACCGGCAAGTCAATTACAGACTAGTTGAGTGTGCAGCCTCACAATATCATCACTGCCCAATGTCTTGGTTCTTCAGTCTTCCTGGTGTCTGCGTTGCCCTCCAGACCAGAAAGTAACTGCCCCAGCTGCAGAAATTATGTGTCAATGCAACACAAAAGAAGCCAAGAGATGTTTTTCATCCTGGCTCCTTACTGCAATGTGCAATACCCATTACTATACTTTGGAAGAGAGTGTGTTTTATGATCATGGAAAAAAATGAAGAATAATGACATTCTATAATTAAGAAAATAATTTCATCAATGCTTTAATAAGCAGTTGCTTGATTAACAATCAGCCACCTTACACACTGCTTACTATATGCTCTACAACATTGACTCATATGATCTTCATGACAACTCTATGGGGAAAATACTATTTAACAGATGAGGAGATTGAGGCATAAAGAGATCTTGCCCAAAGCGTCATGGCTGGTAAGTGCCAGAACCAGGATTCAAGCCTAGGCAGTCTGGCTCTGGAGTCCACATTCTTAAATACCATGCTTTGCTGCCTCTAATTGCCTCATGTTTAAGATTCTACGTCTTCCAATTCGTTATACATTGTTTGATCATGTTAGCTTTCCATTTCTTCGCATTTCTTAATGAAAATCTTATTTGGGTTATGTCATAGACCTAGATAATCCAAAAAAAATGTTGATTCTTTAAAAAAAAAAAAGTTCTTGTTTTCAAGGAGAGAAGCCCTACACTAGGATTCTGAAAAGGAAGGGTAATGTGAAACTTACAAGATTCAGATTATTTAGTCCAAATGAAAAAACAATAAGATCCAGAAAGGTCATGTGACTTGGCCAAGGTCCCACAGTCCCTTAATGGTAGTGCTGGGACCAGGATCCATGTACCCTGCCATATATTTTAATCAAGTTAATGATGTGCAATGCCCTCTGCACTAATGGAATGGATCCTGGAATGCGGGGCAGCAGAAGAAGAGGCCCCTTAGTAGCTTCTTTATTTATCCCCTACGTACTAACTGTTCACTCAGTGGTCAAACCAAACCATTTATCATGATTGTATCAGGAGCATTTCTCTTGGGGTTTCATGAGACAGGAGTCAGCGGTGCTTCCTGTGCTTTGGAGAGTGAGAAGCTGGACATGCTTTTTAAAACTGTTGATTTTGTTAGATATAAATGACTTTAGTAAGAATAATATCCAGTTTATCATATTCACATATTATTGTTCTACAGTTGCAGCTAACAGTCTTCTTTGTTTGTCACTAATAATGTTGACTTCTGATACTATTTTGAGGCCACAGTATACAAAATATCCTATCATTATTGCATTGCTTTTCTTTATCCTTCTCTGTCTTTCTGTTATTTTTCACTTATTCCTCTTATCATGACTATTTTAAAACTTCTAATGTAATGCCAGTGGAACTTTGTTACATATCAGCTTGCAATTATAATCCCTTTTTCTTTTTTTTCAGAATTTCTTTGCCAGTACTCATATTTCTTCCATATAATTCAATTAAAGTTCTTATTATGCAGAATGATTGAAATGAGAGACATCCTGATAGAATAATACCATATTTAGTCTAGTTAGTAGAACCCTACCTATTTATTAAATCAATATACTGAAGTATCAATTCTCAAATAAATTAAATATACTTGCCACTTAATGCTTATAGTTTATTCCTTTAATCAGTACATGTTTATTAGCTGGCTCAAGCAGTGTTCTCGATGGGGGGAGAATAACAATGTCACACTTTTATTCCTCAAGGAGTTTATAGTCTTCTTGGAGAACTAGACAAGGATCATGTAATACAGTAGTCCCCAATCTTTTTGGCACCAGGGACTGGTTTCGTGGAAGACAATTTAAGACAATTATTCCACAGATGGGGCAGGTGGGGCAGCAGGGGGCGGGAATGGTTTCGGGATGAACTGTTCCACCTCAGATCATTAGGCATTAGATTCTCATAAAGAGCTCACAGTCTAGATCCCTTGCATGTGCAGTTCACAATAGGGCTTGTGCTCCTATGAGAATCTAATACTGCCACTGATCTGACAGGAGGCAGAGCTTAGGCCATAATGCTCACTTGCCTGCCACTCACCTCCTGCTGTGCTGCCTGGTTCTGATACGGGTCTGTGACCTGGGGATTGGGTACCCCTGATGTAATATATCAAGATCATGTGATAAGGGTAAGAACACAGCACTCAAGGGACCCTAAGACAAGCCTGGGACCCAGCCTTGATACATCAGAGAATCAAGCAAATTGTGCTAGGTGGAATTTGATCCTGGACAATTCAGAGGGCACTGAGAGGTCTAACAGTGCTTTGGATTTTTTCATTAGGAATAATCTTCACTCCACAATAGATTTATAAAGGTGATTGTTAAGAGTTTTAGATAGAACAATGATGACTAAACCCTTTTGGCTATATAGGTTGTTAAATATTTTTAGCTTCTATACCTTACCTCTTGCTTCATTGACAAATAGTACAACTTTTGCTTCCACATAATAGTCCCTGCTTTCTCCTTCAAGTCTGTGATTCTTTGAATGCTTTCATATATCAACATCTATTTCATTTTCCCAGGTACTTCTTACTAGTTTCAGCCTTTTTCGTTGCCTTATCTAGCCTCCAGCTTTGTCCTTTGTTATACACAGCACCTCTAGCCAAATAGAAACACTTTTTATCTTAATGTAGCACTTTTCCCCCCAGTGATTTCCACTTCTGGGTACATAATGGCCCGGAACTCTCTAACTCATTACTGAGGATCTTGAAATGGCAATCATTCCTGTGTGTCGGAGTACAGTTTGGGGGTTTATGATCAAAGAGAAGGCTAAATGATGTACCCTGATACCTTTCTGGCAGCTGGACTGATAGCCAGAGTGCTCTGCAGACAAAGGTGTCATGACTGAAGCTGGCCTTCAAGGCCGTAAGGCTGGAGAACCAGTTTTGTTTCCTTTCTCCTGAAGACAGTCTTTTTTTCAACCCCTGACAGCATAAATCTCTACCCTCTCTAGGAAAATCACCATCTTCTGCTCACAGAAGTTGGCTTTGTTCAGGCATTTGTCCAATACATTTTCTCATATTCAAGCAATACCTGGGGCAAAATGAGAACTCAGATTTTCAAGAGTTTCTTTACCTTTCAAGTCTCTGAACCCATCCCCAGATCTCCCACTTTTTTAGTCTCCAGCCCCACTCATAATGCCATAAGCCCACTGATGCCAGTCCAAAAGTCAAATGAGATCCAGTCCTGAAAGTTAATTCTGTGGCCCTTGAGGCTTACTTGAATCGGGGTTTTCTCCCTTTATGGATTAGTATAGAAAATCCTAACATTCTATGAGAGAGGTTTCACTGAAACAGTTAATCACTCCAGAAACAAGCATGCTCATGCTGTTTTCAGCATGCCCTTTCCTAAAAGCACAATGCTAATATATGAGCTCCCAGAGTTAACATATTTGCACACTGAATTACTTTCCATTCCACCAGACTCATACTGAAAGGTGCAGCTGGTACTGGAATGAATGACAAAGATCACTGAAGAGTGTGCTGGGTCAGAGGACGCCCAGGAGCTCAGAACTTTCACCAGAGCTTCCAAACAGAGGTGCTGACATGGACACCTTTCCCTCCAGGGAGTTGACAGATCGCTTAATCATATTGCCGTCTGTGGAGATAATGTCACACTAGAGAGTTGTTATCTGTCTCACAAGGGGGTTGTAACTGGCTTTTTAGTTGTTTCTGTAGCCAGGAGAGGAGTTGGCAGCAGGCATGCTCCAACTTCAGTCCTTTCATTTTATTATATGATTGTTGAACAGGAAGAAGGGCAGGAAGAGATGACTCCTCCACTGATAAATAGAGCTTGTAAAACCTTAACTTTATAGCAACTTCGAAATCTAGGTCCCCAAAGAAATAAAAATAGGCCTCTCATGCCCCATCTTCCTGCCTTTTAGTAACTCATACTGACACAAAAATTATCTCTTCCACCTACCAAAAAACATTCTTCCCACCCCAGAAGATACAGCACATGTGTTTATAATTAATTAAATACCCCTGATTTCTACTTAATATGCATAAACAAAGAATCCCTTTGAATATAGTAAATTGTGTTTCCAAAGTTGGCTGCAACAATATCCCCCCATCCCACCTTTTCTTTTCTTTCTTTTTTTAGACATCTCTCTTTGTCACCCAGGCTGGAGTGCAGAGGCCTAATCATGACTCACTGCAGTGTTGACCTCCCAGGCTTGGGCTCAGCCAGTCCTCTCACCGCTCAGCCTCCTGTGTATCTGGGACCACAGGCATGGGCCACCACACTCAGCTCATTTTTTTTGTATTTCTTCTAGAGATGGAGTTTTGCCATGTGGCCCAGGCTTGTCTTGAATCCCTGGGCTCAAGCAATCCGCTTGCCTCAGCCTCCTAGAATGTTGGGATTACAGATGTGAGCCACTGCTCCCAGCCTTTAAAAAATAATAATAATAACAACTTTATCTAGATATAATTCACATACCATAAAACTGACATATTTGAAGTGTACAATTCAATGCTCTTTAATATATTCATAGATTGTACAATCACCACTACAATTGGTTTTAGAACATTTTAATCTCCATCCCCCCCAAAAATCCTCATACCCATTAGCAATCACTTCCCCTTTCTTCTTTGCCTCCTCCACAACACAGCCCTAGTAGTCTGTCTGTCTCTATGGATTTGCCTATTCTAGACTTGAATCATGCAATAACTGGTTTTTAGTGACTGGCTTCTTTCACTTAGCATAATATTTTCAAGGGTCATAAATGTTACAAATAATGCAAACGTTCATGTACACATTTTTGTGCAGACGTATGTTTTAATTTCTTGTGGGTATATACCTAGGAGTGGGATTGCTGGGCTAAATGGTAACTCTGTGTTTAGACTTTGGAGGAATTACCAGACTGTTTTCCACAGCAGCTGCACCATTTTACATTCCCAGCAGCAGTGAATGAGGGTTCCAGGTTTTATTTTTATCTGTCATTTTTATTATAGCTATCCTGGAGGATGCTCTCATTGTAATTTTTGATTTGCATTTCCCTGATGGCTAATGATGTTGAGCATCTTTTCATGTATTCATTATTTCTATATCTTCTTTAGAGAAATGCCTATTCAAGTCATTTGCCTATTTTTAAATTGTGTTATTTGATTTTTATTATTGACTTTTAAGAGTTCTAGATACTAATTTGATATCCGATTTGCAAGTATCTTCTCCACTCATGTGTTTTTGTTTTGTTTTGTTTTGTTTTTTTGCAATGCAATCTTGATATTCCTCTTTCAATCTGGGCTATGTACCATTTGAAAAAAAAAAAGGTAGCCATATTTTCTGAGTAACTTCTGATACTGAATCATAAGAGATCTTCAAAGGCTGGGTGCAGTGGCTCACGTCTGTAATCCTGGCACCTTAGAAGGCCAAGGCAGGTAGATTACTTGAGGTCAGGAGTTCGAGACCAGCCTGGCCAACATGGCGAAACCCTGTCTCTACTAAAAATACAAAAACTAGCCGGGCATGGTGGTGCATGCCTGTAGTCCCAGCTACTTGGGAGGCTGAGGCAGGAGAATCGCTTGAGCCTGGGAGGAGGAGTTTGCAGTGAGCTGAGATCACGCCTCTGCATGCCAGCCTGGGCAACAGAGTGTGAGACTCTGTCTCAAAAAACAAACAAATTGTAGATTCCACCTTCAAATTTTCAAACTTTTTCAAACATAACTACCATGCTGTGAGAAAGTCCAAACAGCCATATGCAGAGGTCCACATGAAGGAGAAGCAAGGTTCCTGGCCCACGGCTGCAGCTGAGCTTCCAGCCAAAGCCAGCATTAACTGCCAGCCATAGGAGTGAGGCCATTTTGGACCTTCCAGATATTCCAGCACCCCAAACAATGCCATGTGCCACACAAGCCCCACACAGATGAGTCCTGCCCAAATTTCTGACTTGGAATCCTGAGAAAATAAAGTGGTTTTGTTGTGAGTCACTAAGTTTTGAGGTAGTTTCACAAAGGTAAGTAACTGAAACACTGGACAAGCGACAGTGTCTAGTTCAGAAATAAAAGGTTACACTTACTGAAGAAACTTATTAAGAAGAAGACGATGTTCCTTGGTGTTGTTATTGAGATAGTAAGCATTGAATATTTTGGATATTAGAGGGTTTTTCAGGCATTCAGGAAGTAGTGACCTCTCAACTGCTGGATCACTTCTAATTTAAACCAAATATCGTGAGTTTTGACACACATACAAAACACGAGCGTCTATCTCCAAAACATTCAGGATGTAGTTTGTAGAGCTGTAGCCATGCCCAGAAACCCAGTTCTCGGCGAAGTAGTCAATATTGAGAATCAGAGGCTTCCTCTAATTCATTCCTGTGCTTTGTAAATAAAAGAGGACATGTTGAGAATCAGAAAGTTCCTCTAGAATTTCAGTTCTTCTAGTAGTTTGCCACTCAGGCACAAGCCATTTCATCTCCTTAGAACTCATTTTCCTCCCAAGCTCTACAGAGACTCATAGGATATGTGGAGGTGCTTCAGCTATAACCATAGTGGGGAAAAGGGGGTGGAACAGAAGGACAAGGTCAGTGAGTGGGCCTCCTCATCACCGTACCTTCAGCCAAAGCAGCTCTGCTTCTTAGATATAGCTCATGGGTAAGGAGGGTAATTATTTTGAACTATTATTATTTTGAAGGAATAGAGAGATGGATAGGTGGATGGATGAAGAGAAGGAGGAAGAGTAATTTTCTGTGCAGGACTATTTAGTGGTATCCTTTCAATGCAAAAAAAATAAAATAGAGAATGGCAGGTTGAGATCTATGAAAGATGTGCTTTTCTTCTTTCTCTAGTGGAAAACATGGGATGTGTCTTTGGTTTGTTATGTTTAAGAGATATTTATCTCCAGAGAATTTATTAAAGAGCAAAAGGAGAATAAATCTGAGTCCAGGTTTAAAAAGAACTTTTGAGGCATGTGGCTGTTAATCACTGAGATGGTTTATGGATAATAAACATTGTGTTTTTTCACCTCCTTAAAGACTATAAAGAAATATTAAATTACTTATACATCTTTGCACAATAGTTTAGGTGACACCTGCCTGTAGGTTATCTGCAGAGGGTCTTTCCCACTTCTAATTTATCAAAACATCTCTGCAAATCATATGCAGTTGGACAAACTCTTCACTAACATTGTCCTTGCATTCAGTGCCCACCTGGATAGTCATGCATTTATTTCAAAAGCATTAATTACATTGAACATGTTGTCCTCCTTCACCAAGCAAAACATGAAAAAAGAAGGTGTCCTTTCATTCTGAATTAATTATGACATTCATTCAAAAACAATGACTGTAATTACATTTGGCATTTTGGGTCCTATCACAGAAAACAGCCAGCTTAAACAACAAACAATTTTGCATTTTTGATCTAGGAGCAAAGTGCTGCACGCCTCAGTTCCACAATATTGGAGACAAAATCCTCCCACTCATGGGCACAAGCCCAGCAGCAGTAATAAGCATGGCACACCAGCAGGGAGAAAAGTAACACTTGGTATTTTCTATCTTCAGAGTGTCTCACATGCCTCCTTTAATTTTGTTCCTCTGTTTTTTTTTAATCATAAAGGAAAGATAAGACCATATTATCCTCTTTATCATTAGTCTTTCTGTTGAAACTAACATCACCAATCATCTGTGATGCCTATTTGTGAAGCAAACACCAGCCTCTTTTTCTCATTGGCTGCCCTCCACCTCCAAATTGCAAACAACTGGCAGTCACTAAGAGGTCAATGGCCACTTAAACTTGGAACTTCAAGGAGAAATTTTTACGAATTTTTTAACTCTTCCTTGGGGTCTTTTATGCACTGAATATGACCCTATCAACCAAATACAATGAAGGATTACCCACACAAAGATGGTAGTGTTTAAATTGTTCACATAGTACTCACATCATGAAACTTCTTCAAAGTTTCCAAAACAACACCCCTGCTAGCCAGCTGTCATCTTTCCTCCCATGGCTCTGCCAGAGCCAATTTGCCTGACAGGCCCTAATAAGTTCCACTGTCACCCTTGGCATATATTCAGTAAGAATAAACAACACAAAGTACTGTAGCCATTTCTTTCATATAAATAAGACAATGATATTATGAGAAAAACATCACTGAGCCCATGTAATTTTTTCACTTTAATCAAAGTATGTACTGGCTCCAGGGCCTAATATTTTAGACATGAGTGCCTGCTTCCTTACAAGATTGCCTTCCAGAGAGTGTGCTATGTGTGACTCATTATCAGCCCCAAAGACACTCCATGGCAGGGCTGTGAGCATCAAATTTCCTGCCTCTAGAGTCCAGCTGTTCACAGCTACAAATGTAAATATCAGAGGCAGAAAGTTTAAAACTTTCTGTATTTTTAGTTTTTCAAATAGGAATCTACAAATAAACCAAATTCCTCTGGTTTGCATTTAAGCACTTTAGCATAATTACCTCCACTCCATGCTTCATTTTTATGGCCCTCTTTATAGCAACCTGGAGTCTCCAATCCAGTGTAGAAATCCATGCAGTTTGGGGTATTTGACATATGGATGCTGGACATTGTGAGGACACAAAGGGATTTTAGATATTATGAAGAACTGGGATGACTTAGTTGGGAACATCCAGAAACCAAATTACTTAATGATGGAGCACCCTTTCTGCTGCTTTTGTAACCAAATTATAGGGTGTGGGTTGTTATGGTGATAGAACCTCTGCAGGAGGAAGTAGAAGATGTTGTAATGTTGGACAGATTTAGGGTGAGCAGGCTTATCCACAACATATTTGTGGAAGTTTTCTTCTTTGAATCAATTTAGACAAGGGTCTACTATATTTCCATGTGCTGCTGCTGTGCATCTTGAAGTCAACATCACTTGTTATTATTTTTCTCAATTGATGAATACAAAATGATATAATACAACACAATGTTTTGATATATATAGACCTTGTGGAGTGGCTAAATAAAGCTAATTAACATATCCATTACTTCTCTTACCATTTTTTTGTGGTGAGAACACTTTAAATTTTTCTTAGCAATTTTTAAGTATATAATACGTTATTATTAACTATAGCCCACATGTTTTACAGTAGATCTCTTGACCTTATTCCTCCTATCTAACCGAAATTTTATCTCCTTTGAGCAACATCTCTCCAGTTCCCACCCCCGGGCCCTGGTAACCACCATTCTATTCCCTGCTTCTATTAATTTGACTTTTCTAGATTCCACATATAATTACAATCATGCGGTATTTGACTTTCTGTGCCTGGCTTATTTCACTTAATACAGTGTCCTCCAGGTTCATTCATGTTGTTGCAAAAGGCAGAATTTCCTTCTTTTTTAAGGCTGAACAGCATTTCATTGTGTTTATATACCACATATTCTTTCTTCATTCATCCATTAATGGATGCTTAGGTTGATTCT
Organism: Homo sapiens; assembly: GCF_000001405.40. Classification (NCBI taxonomy): domain Eukaryota; kingdom Metazoa; phylum Chordata; class Mammalia; order Primates; family Hominidae; genus Homo; species Homo sapiens. Next base: position 104,627,398 of record NC_000007.14, read on the forward strand.
ATACCTTGGCTATTGACATTACCTGTTGTTCTTTGAAACAAACTGATCTTTCCTTTTTCTCTGTTACTTCAATTCTAACAGGCTTTGACAGTTATAGGAGAGAGTCTTCTCCAAGAAAGGTATGCAATTTCTAATTGATTATTAGTTTCAATGCATCTTTGTGTCATCCCAACAGCCCCAAAGGATTCTTACTCAGAAGTTAAAATTAGATTTCCTACTCAGCTGTTCTTACAAAACAAGGACCCTTTTAGCTTTGCTCAGCCCTCGTGAAGATACCATCCCTGTCATTATTTGTACTGAATGAGTCTCTGTATAACAAATTAGTAGAGGTTCAGCACCGGGGACAGTTCCTTGCACACTGTAGCTGCTGTGTGCTGAGAATTTGAGATTAAAACTCTGAACTTCTAAAACTTGACCTCTGATCAAACTGCCAGGCTAGACCTTCCCCAATGCAAAATCCAAATAAAGCACATCTGCCTCATTATGTGGTATTGTAGGTAGAAAACTATTGAAAAATCTAACATTCTCACCCTGCAGTTGACAGTTGCTCTTGCAATAAAGCAAATCAGAAAATATCTGTAAATATGAATTATCTGAACCAGATCTCTATAATCATTAAATGTGATAAATGTATGGCTCTTTTCATGTTGGAGCATCAGGGCTTATAGGGTCTTGGATGCCTTGGATGGAAGGACTTGGGAAGCAGGCAGAGAGGAGCACAAGTCTGAGGTATGTGGCAATGACAGCTGTTCTCATGTCCACTGAAAATCAGATACACATGGCCCATTCCTGCTCTACATCAGTGCTGATAATTCTGCATGGATATGGAATTTAATTAGAGGTAATTTTGTATTAGGAACATTACCAAGCAAGCCTTGAATAGAATGGTATTTAATTGCTGCAGCTACTACCCTAGGCTAAGCTTTCCCTACGTCACTGCCATATTCAGCTAAGATAGCACAACAGAAATCAAAATACAGCACTGCCCTGACATACATAATCCTCAGATACTGGCAAATAAAGTTGTAGAACTCGCCAAGCAACAGAAGTCAAATGCTCAGTGATTTTTTTTATCTGATGATGTACTAAGAATCTTTCTATATTTACAAAGTATCTCTTGTGTAGATATCAGTGATGACATAGATAATATTTAGTTTGAGTCTATGTTGTTGGAATACTAAATTTGGGTGACAAATCTTCCCTTGTTGTCCTATCAGGTAAAATTTTCAAGTAGATTTTGCATGTGCAGAATGGCTGGATTATTTGCAACCAGTAGCATTCATATTACTGGGATTCCCTAGAGCTAAATTTAAGCTTTTTCTGTTAAAAATAAGTGTACCATTTTCATAGAACTTTTCTATATAATTTTAACTAACGTTTGGTTCCTTTTTCAAAGAAATTAAGAACTGACTCCGATTCTCCTCTCATTGAGTGCCTTTGGACATTTAGGCTATAATTTTTGGAGGCCACATTGTAAATGGTAATGTGTTCTGATATTAGATATGAAACAGGCTTCTCAAACCCAAGAAATGAATGATTTGCCTCAGCACTGGTCCTATCAAACATTAACTTAAAATGCCTTGGAAAAATTATTTGCCTAAATGTCTGAAAATATTGCTAAAAAAATACCATGTTGCTTTCTGTTCAAATCAATTTTGTTTGGATATTATTCCTTTTGTATAACTACAATATGACTATTTAAGAAACCAAAAATATCTTATGTGTGTTACCAGCTGATGATTAAATAAGTCCTGTTGTTCTTTATAGTGTCAGGGTTCTCCCACATTTCTTCTGATGTATGAGACCTCTCTCACTCACTGTCCCTTGTATTCACAGAAGGATGCTGCTGACATCACGGGTGTTCATATTCTTTAGCATGGGGATAAAGATGGACGGGGGATCAGCAGCTCATTGCATCTATGCATACCTTCTGGAAAGTTGGCTACTAGATTGGCCACTGTTCATGATTCTGTTACTTTACTCTCCAGAATTTGTGGTCCCACAGTTCAAAATTATTTACTTTGTTTCTGAGGGCTACAAGCCAGTGTTGATCACCTTGCAGTATTTATAGAGTAGGTAGCAGCACCTTCTATCTTCCTCAAGAAGTCCACATTTCTCTTGATGCCCTTTTCACCCGGAAATGGAAGCTGGTTAGCAGGCCTTCTGTTATCTGTCATTTGTTTCCAACCCTGCAGAGCTAATGCTACACCAAGCCTGGCTTCAGTGCAGATAGAGTGTCTGTGTTCCAGCTCACTGCTCATGATGCAGACTTGCCAACTGATGCATACAAAGTGTTGAGAAAACTATTTAAGATTCTACTTACAGTAACTGGCCAGTGTGTGTGTCAGTCATATTGGCCCTTAAACATGGCCCTGGGCTGTAACCTTTAGCTGACTCTTCAGCTTGACACAATGTTGCAGCCACATTGGATGGGATTCACTTCTGACCACCATACTACCCTTAAGTGTGAAATGCACCAACCATGTGCATTTTTTAATGTTATATATGCCTCAAGGGTATGGATAATTTCTTTGTGCACTTTTCTTCTGCAGCAGATGTCAGCACATCATTTGTCAAAAATCACTGACAAAGAGCTAAAAGTTCCAGCTGTCCCTAGTCATTCAGTTAGCTCCAATAAGCAAGAAGCCTCTGATAAGCATAGTACCAGGTCCCTCAAGAAAGAAATATAGGAGAAATAAAAGAGAAAGTCCTTGCTTTTGAGGAGTTTGTGACTTAATGGCAGGGAGGAGTCTCAACAGTCTTATTGAAGAGATTTCAAGTATTTAAAATGTATATTTTATATTGCATGTGTGCACTAAGATCATAGAAGTGCTGGGGGCACATACAGGACAAATGAACAAATAGTGTGTGAGAAGGTCTAGAGAGATTTTTCAAAGAACTTGAATGGTGAGCTGGGTTTATAAGGAGTTAGGACTGGTTTACAGAAGGAAATAAACATGGAATTAAGAGGTAATTGCATAGGAAAAAATGAATGGGTGGATGTGAGAATATAGGTCACCTTGTGCAGGGTAGCGTGCAGATTTGGCTGGAATAAAAAGTACTGACAAGAAAAAAAATATGAAAAGTGGGATTTCTGAAATGGTGAAGCTGCATAGAGACCATTGACAGGAGGCCTGAAATACCAGGCACAGGAGTTGGATTTAATAACTTAGCACCATGTGATCCAAGGCAGGAGACAGCTCCATTGTTTTGTTTTGCATTTTTTAGGTATTGAGATATTTACTTACCTGATCTTTACAAGCTGGAACCAGTTCTCTCTCATGGCCCTTGTATATCAGTCAAGGTCCAATTATAGCAGAAAAACACACAGTAGCTTGACCAGGGAAGGTTGGATATAAATAATTATTATTTATAAGAGGACACTGGAGCAACAGATTAGCTAGTAAAAAAGAGTTCTAAAGAATATAAGAATATCAGAAATAAGAAACAACCACTACCCTTAGGGCTCAGTTTGAGTGTCCAAGGAAGAGCTGTCCACACCCACCCACCATTCCCCGGGACTGAGATCCATACCTGATTGGAAAGGAAAGAGCTATGATTCACTGAGTGGCAGAGAAGTCATTGTGGTGCCATACTGGTAGAACTTGCTAGAAATCTGCCTTTCAGAACTTGCTGAAATTCTGCCCTTGTGTAACAAGAAAAGCTGTTCACAAGAAGGTGTCTGATCTTCTGCCATGTTTCTGCAACACGTTTTACTGACAAAGCTTGACATCATCCTAGCTAACAACAACAACAACAACAACAAAGCATTTAAAATGCCCAGCTCAATTTCTGCAGAGCAGGCAATGAAGTATAAGTTTGCAGCTGAGGTAATAAATTGATAACTGGAATATCTTGCCCTCTCATTTCCTAAAAGTTTACCAATGTCCTCTTTCATTTTCAGTGTAAAACCATATTCACTATGCTTTTTAAACTACTCAGCTATGTCCCCCCAACCCAACTCTACCCCCTCCAGAAATCCCGATTGGCCCTTGAAAGGAGCATGACCCGTGGCTGAGAATCAGTGGTCAAAACTGATGTGATTATATTCAGTGAGACTAGTGATTATCCCTACAAGTAAAGGATAGAGGAAGAATGGGTTTATCAGTTTTTGTGAAAAAGACTGGGTTGGAGGAGGAGGGTGATTGTTAGTTTGCTATAAGTAAACTATGAGCCCACAATTTCATGTGATTTCTAAAAGATAAAATAGTCTCCACTGGTGGGGTTCAGAACAAGGAATATGTTGGCCTGGTTTTTATATGCAGAGCTTTTGCTATTCCTTCAATATTGCATTCACTTCTAGGCACTTTCTTTTAACAAAAGATAGTCATGAACTACAGCACTTCTGAAACAGGATGATGAAGAGGCTAAGAATAGTGAAAATACCTGGTGATATTAGCCTAAGAAAAAGGGGGCATAGACAAGACCTAGCTACAACCTTTGTAAGTGTTTTGTAGTGGAAGATGATTTTAACTTATTAGCATCCTTGAGGGCAGGGAAGAAACCTTCAGGAATAAGTTATGGGAAGGAAAACTGAGGATTAAATAAGAAGGAGGTTCTCCACATTAACAGTGCTGGGAAAAATCAGGGACTGCTTTAGGAGGCAGTGAGTGACCTGTCTTTGGATAGGGATGGGACAGATTTCTTTGGGCTTCCTTCTTTCTCCAGTTCTTTATGAGATTCTGTGAGCAGGCTAAGGTATCCCTGCTTATCCCAATATTACTGCAAAGAGACCAGGCTCAACCTTCATATTTAGCCTATCCTTTAAATCATTTGTGTTGGGTGAGGTCATACTTCTTTTAGGAAGAATACAATTAAGAGACCTCTAGAATCGCTTTGTATATTTACGTAGCAACAAGACTTGCAGTCATCCCTGCCTCCCAGAGACCCAAATAATTAAATTCCAACACATAATTAAGTTGCATAGGACCATTACTAATAACACTATTTTAATATGACCTTCAGGATGTAGACGTTGTTATTTTAATAAAAGGAAAGAATTTGATGGTTCATTTTAAACTATTATGTGAATTCTTAGCCTAAAGACTATTACACATTCTATAATGTGAAGAAATTTCTAATAGATAACCATTATGAAATAACCTGATTACATTTTAAAAAGTGAGCAGTGACTATTTTATAAATGTTTCCTGAGAAACTTGATTCAGTTCTTCTAGTTTTCCATATAGCTAACCCTTTTAAATTGAGTCAGAATTACATATAGTTCAGGGCACCATGTTAGATGTTAAATGACAAGAGTTTCTTTATTTGCTTTGAGACAGGTTCTTGCTCCTGTCACTCAGGCTGGAGTGCAGTGGCAAGATTTGCAGCTTCAACTTCCCAAGCTCAGGTGATCCTCCCACCTCAGCCTCCAGAGTAGCTGGGACTACAGGTGCGCAGCACCACACCCAAAAATACAGTAATTTTTTGCATTTTCAGTAGAGATGAGGTTTTGCTATATTGCCCAGGCTGGTCTCAAACTCCTGGGTTCAAGCAATCTGCCCACCTTGGTCTCCCAAAGTGCTAGATTACAGGCATGAGTCATGATAGGGGGTTAGATATGGAAACTATGAATACTATACAAGTAATTGGATAGTCTCAATAATCATGTGAGCATCTCAGAATACGTGGTTTTTTTAAGAAAAAAATTTAAGTACAAAGGGTGATGGTGATGAGAATGATGACAGTTGATGATGAGGAAGTCTAGACACAACTTCTAGTTCTATAAGAGGCTTCTGAAATCTTTCCAACCCTGGCTAAGGCTTCTATTTTCGTCATCTGCAAGTTATTCAGTTTCTCAATGTCAGATAGCCTTTGGAAAACATCAGTCAGTCCTGAGTGCCAGTTGAATATTTGAAAGCTTAATTTAGTGATTTGTCTTCCATTCTGAGTTCTTAGATTATATTCAACAAATACAAATTTCTAGGGAAAGAATATTAATTCCTATCCACAACAGGCATTTTGTCTGACTATTTCTACTCAAGTGGCTGAAAAAAGTCACTGGAAACTGCACAAAACCATAATTCAGGATTAAACAAGTCTACCTGGGGCCTTCCCATAGGATGATGACTCTAAGGATTCCGCAGTTTCTCATCCCCATCAGTTTAGCTGAATGTTACAGCCATAATGAGCCAGGAATAATTTTGTTTCTTTGAGGAAAGAAATCACCTCGGCTTGCCATTCTTGTACAGCTTCCTTCCTAAAATGATATCAGATGTACTGTCCACTTGTTCATTACAATATGGCAGTGAAGGATCATTTTGTATGGTACATAACAACATGTACCATTTGTTGCTATGTCACGTAATTACATTAGTGGGGGCTATTTAATTTATCTTTTTAATCTGTCCTAGATGTAAAAGTTCTCACTTTGGAAGAATTTGCCATCTGTACATTTTCATCTTTATTAAAGTAACTACTAACGTTGCCAACACTAAGTTATAATATTTCAATATGAGGTATTCATTTTCCCCCTACCCATCCTCCACCCTATTTCCTTGCTACCCATTTTGTGGGTCCAGCCCACTTGTGACAGCCAGCAGCTGGTGTTGGATACAAAGACTTCTTTGGTAGCGTCAACCACCTCTATCTAGTCACCTACGTATTTCAGTGATTTAAATAAAACGGTGGTTAAGTATGATTATTATCCACTATTATTCTAAACTTTTATGGTATCTAACAAATATCTTTATTTCTCACTGATGTCTTCTTCATTTTCTATAGTAGACATATAAATACCAATAGCTAACAAACATTTATTCATAAAATATGAGGTCCCTATGTCATTTAACTAGCTCAGGCTGCCATAGCAAATACCATATGGCAGGTGGCTTAAACAACAGAAATTTATTTTCTCTCAGTTCTGGAGGCTGGAAGTCTGACAGCAGAGTGCCAACATGGTTGGTTTTGTTCCTGGTGAGGGTTCCCTTCCTGGCTTGTAGACATCCCCTTCTCATTGTGTCCTCACATGGTGGAAATAGAGTACAAGTGTCTTTTCCTTTTCTTATTTGTATTAGGACCCCACCCATATGACCTCATTTAACCTTTATCACCTCCTCACAGGCCCTATCTCCAAATACAGTCACATTAGGGGTTGAGGCTTCAACATATACATTTTGGGCTCAAAGACACCAGGCACCAAAGAGGAAAGAGTGTTAGACTTAAAATGGGGGGATTAAGTCAGTATCTGCCGAGTGAATAGTGAAACTCTCCCAGTCTTCTTCCATCCCCCAGCCCTAGTATGCTGGCATCCAGAATCATATCTCCTAAGCTGAAGACTGTGGGATCCTTCTTTGAAGAAATTGAGCCACAACAAAGAACTACAGGTCCTTAAATTTAGATATCTCCCCAGAAGGCCAGCTGGCTATCCTGTTGCTGTGGCTGTGAAGCCCTTTAGTATACCAGCCTTGCCTGTACCCAGAGAACTTCAATCATTGGTGTCTCACTCTTAAATATAAATGGACAGAAAGGGATCATATGACATTTGAATAAAGTCTCCAACATGAAATGTAGAAACTAAAACCAAACAGGAAAACAGAGCTCAGGGGAAACAGAATTAGACACAGAACAGAATCAAATGTCAAAGAAACTGTAGTTAAAATGCTCAGAAAAGTAAAAGAAATATGAAACAAGAATAAAATGTTATGTATATTTTTTAAAGAACAATTAAAGAATATGTAAAAACAACTTGGACATTTAAAATTGTGCAGCCAAATTTCTTTTCAATAGAAGGATCTCCTGGAATATAGAACAAAAAGATTATAGACAATATGGGGGGGAAAGGTAAGAAAATAGAGTGTCAATCCAGAATTCCCAACATCCAACTAATAGGAATTATAGAAAAAAAGAACTTAAAAGACAGAAAGAAATGTTTAAATAAATGAAAGATAACTTTCTATTACTGGATGACATTAATTTCCAGTTTGAAAAGGCTTCCAAGTACTCAACACAATGAATGAAGAAAGGTCTACTCAAACATCATAATGAAATTGCAGAACATCAGGGAAAATGAGAGGACTGGAAAAGCTTCTGGAGAGAACAGATGGGCAAAATGTAAAGAAAAAATTTTTTTAAAAGTATTAAACTTGTCAACAGAAACATTAAAATCTGGAAGACAATAGAACAATACCTTCACAGTACTGAGAGAAAATGAACTTTAACCCTGAATTCTATATCCAGCCAGATTATCATGCAAATATGAAAGTAGAAAAAAACATTTTCAGACATGCATGCAGTCAAAAAATTTATCTCTCTGTGCCATTTCTCAAGAAGTTACTGAAGAATGTGTCCTACAGAACCAAAAGGAGTAAACCAAGAGAAAGGAAGGCAAGTGAGGACCAAACATGGGAAAGAGGCAAAGAGATCTTCCAGTATGAGAATGAAGGGAAGTTCCAGCAGGAAAGCTCTGCCCAGGCCAGAGCTCAGTCCATCAAAGATGCAATAGAAAGCTAGAAGACTCTAAGAGGAATGTATCCAGGAGGGAAATGGGTCAATAAATTAAATGACAGATTTGACCTTGTAGAAATTGTACTGAGAGGCTGTTTATAGAGCTGTTAGAGGTTGTAGGAAAGACTTAATCAGGTGCCCTCCCTTTAAAGAAAACCTCTGAGTAAATAAAAAAGACAACTCTAGAAACAATAAAATGTAATTCAAGACAGGAAACAGAATCATATCAACTTTCTAGTGAACAATTTTTGCATAGTCTTTATAATGAAAACACTGAATATGTATGGACTTAACCAAAAGTTGAAGCATAATTATATTGGGAGGAGAGGAAGAATATTCACCTACCATAAAGGAAATTAAGAGCTTTTTTCAATAGTTAGTGTCTAAAGCAGATGCATTTAGAGGTAGAAGTATACGTATATTATATAGAAATATGGAAGTTAATGCCAGAAGGAACAGCTCAAAGAGTTGAATGGTGCTACTAACATCCAAGGAATGGGAGAACAATGAAACACGATACCAAAAAGTACTAATTTTTTTAACTTTTATTTTAGGTTAAGGGGTACATGTGCAGGTTTGTTATTATAGACAAACTTGTTTCACAGGGGTTTGGTGTACAGACCATTTCATCATCCAGGTACTAAGCATAGTATCCAATAGTTATTTTTCCTGATACTCTCCTTCCTCCCACCCTTCTCCCTCAAGTAGGCCCCAGTGTCTGCTGTTCCCCTCTTTGTGCCCATTTGTTCTCATTATTTAGCTTCCACTTACAGGTAAGAACATGTGGTGTTTGGTTTTCTGTTCCTGCATTAGTTTGCTAAGTATAATGGCCTCCAGCTCCCTCTTCATCCATGTTCCTGCAAACATGTTCCTGATCTCATTCTTTTTATGGCTGCATAGTATTCCATGGTGTATATGTAAAACATTTTCTTTAGTCTACCACTGATGGATGTTTAGGTTGATTCCATGTCTTTGCTATTGGGAATAGTGCTGCAATGAACATACACATGTGTGTGTCTTTATGGTAGAACAATTTACATTCCTTTGGGTATATACCCTGTAATTGGATTGCTGGGTTGAATGGTAGTTCTGTTTTTAGCTCTTTGAAGAATTGCCACACTGCTTTCCACAATAGTTGAACTAATTTACATTCCCACCAGCAGTGTATAAAGATTCCCTTTTCTTCACAACCTCGCTAGCATCTGCTTTTTTTGACTTTTTAATATTAACCATTCTGACTGGTGTGAGATGGTATCATTTTGGTTTTAGTTGGCATTTCTCTAATGATTAGTGATATTTAGCATCTTTTTCATATGCTTGTTGACTGCACATATGTCTTCTTTTGAAAAGTGTTCATATCCTTTGCCCACTTTTTAATGGGGTTGTTTGGTTTTTGCTTGTAAATTTGTTTAAGTTCCTCATAGATTCTGGATATTACACCTTTGTCTGATGCATAGTTTGCAAAGATTTTCTACCATTCTAACAGTTGTCTCTTTACTCTTTTGACAGTTTCTTTTGCCATGCAGAAGCTCTTTAGTTTAATTAGATCCTATTTGTTAATTCTTGCTTTTGTTGCAATTGCTTTTGGCGTCTTCATCATGAAATCTTTGCCAGTTCCTATGTCCAGAATGATACTTCCTAGGTTATCTTCTAGGATTTTTATAGTTTTAGATTTTGGATTTAAGTCTTTAATCCATCTTGTGTTGATTTTTGCTTATGGAGTACGGAAAGAGTTCAGTTTCAATCCTCTGCATATGACTAGCCAGTTATCCCAGCACCACTTATTGAATAGGGAGTCCTTTCCCCATTTCTTGTTTTTGTCAGCTTTGTTGAAGATTGGATGGTTGTAGATGTCCAGCCTTATGTCGGGGCTCTCTATTCTGTTTCATTGGTCTATGTGTCTGTTTTTGTACCAGTATCATGCTGTTTTGGTTATTGTAGCCCTTTAGTATAGTTTGAAGTCAGGTAATGTGATGCCTCCAGCTTTTTTTTTTTTTTTTTTAGCTTTTTTTTTCTTGGTCTTGGCTATTCTGGCTCCTTTGGATTCCATATGAATTTTAAAATAGTGTTCTAGTCCCGTGAAGAATGTCATTGGTAGTTTGATAGGAATAGCATTGAATCCGTACATTATTCTGGGCAGTATGGCCATTTTAATGATATTGATTCTTCCTATTCATGAGCATGGTATGTTTTTCCATCTGTTTGTGTCATCTATGATTTCTTTGAGTAGCGTTTTGTAATTCTCACTTTAGAGATGTTTCACCCCCTGGTTAGCTGTATTCCTAGGAATTTTATATTTTTTGTGGCAATTGTGAATGAAATTACGTTCTTTGATTTGGCTCTCAGCTTGGCTGTTGGTGTATAAGAATGCTACTGATTTTTGTACATTGATTTTATATTCTGAAATTTTGCTGAAGTTGTTTATCAGCTGAAGGAGCTTTTGGGCAGAGACTATAGGGTTTTCTAGATATGGAATCATGCCTTGTGCAAACAGGGATAGTTTGATTTCCCCTCTTCCTATTTGAATGCCTTTTTTTTTTCTTCCTCTTGCCTGATTGCTCTGGCCAGGACTTCCAATACTATGTTGGATAGGAGTGGTGAGACAGGGCATCCTTGTCTTGTGCCAGTTTTCAAGAGAAATGCTTCCAGCTTTTCCCCATTCAGTATGATATTGACTGTGTGTTTGTCATAGATGGATCTTATTATTTTGATATATGTTCCTTCAGTACCTAGTTTATTGAGCATTTTTAACATGAAGGAATGTTGAATTTTATCAAAAGCCTTTTTTGCATCCATTGAGATAATTATGTGATTTTTGTCTTTAGTTTGGTTTATACGATGTATCAATATTTATTGATTTACATATGTTGAACCAACCTTGCATCCCTGGGATGAAGCCTACTTGATCATGGTGGGGTAGCTTTTTTTTTTTTTTCTTGAGACAGAGTCTCACTCTGTCACCCAGGCTGGAGTGCAGTGGCACAATCTCAGCTGACTGCAGTCTTGACCTCGAAGGCTCAAGCGATCCTCCCACCTCTCAGCCTCACAAGTAGCTGGGACTACTACTGACACGCCTCACCACACCCAGCATTTTTTTTTTTTGGTAGAAACAGGGTTTCATTATGTTGCCCAGGGTGGTCTCAAACTCCTGAGCTCAAGTGATCCTCCCCACTCAGCCTCCCAAAGTGCTGGGATTACAGGCCCACCATGCCTAGCCAGATTAGCTTTTTGATATGCTGCTGGATTTGGTTTGCAGGAATTTTTTTGAGAATTTTTACATCAATATTTCAGTATGAATGGTACCAACTCTTCTTAGTACATCTGGTAGAATTCAGAATTTGGCTGTGAATCCACCTGGTCCTGGGCTTTTTTTGGATTGGTAGCCTATTTATTACTCATTCAATTTCAGAGTTCATTATTGGTCTGTTCAGGAATTCAGTTTCTTCCTGGTTCAGTCTTGGGAGTGTGTATGTGTCCAGGGATTTATCCATTTTTTTCCAGATTTTCTAATTTGTGTGCCTAGAAGTGTTCACAGCAGTCTCTGATTGTTATTTGTATTTCTGTGGAGTCAGTGGTAATGTCCCCTTTGTCATTTCTAATTGTGTTTATTATTTAGATCTTCCCTCTTTTCTTCTTTATTAGTTTAGCTAGTGGTGTATACATCTTTAAAAAATGCCATTTTTTAATTATAAGACTGTTAGCACTATTTGACTTTTTCAACTATTTTTATGTGTAATATTTTGATTGAAGTACAATTTAATTTTCTTTTAATGTAAAATAAGTAGATAAAATCCTTATTTCATATAAAGAAAAGTATTTTGGGAATGGGAAGGAATATTTTAAAAGCAATGCAATGCAGACTATGGTTTGGCTCTTGAAAGGAAACCAACAACCACATATATTCATGATTAATATTTACTTATCTGTATGCCAGATTCATGTGGGTTGATAATTTGAATTAACATATATAAAGTCATTGACATCAAATAATTCCTCTAAACTGTATATTTGGAAACATACTTGAATTTCCCATATGTCAGAACTCCTTAATTATTCTATGATCTTTTTGCAGTTTTAAGGTGTTGGGAAAATAAAGTCTTAGATTATAAGCAGAATGATGGCAAAATGGGGCTCATTCAGCATATACAGTGCCAGCATCTGTCATGTCATCTCCCTTTTCTCCTCTCCAGCATAGTTGAAAACTCTGCCATTCATAAATGACATTGGGTTTCCTATAGAACCAGAGTTCTTAAGAAATGTACTTCTTTAAAATTTTATTTTACTTTAAGTTCTGGGATACATGTGCAGAATATGCAGGTTTGTTACATAGTTATACATGTGCCAAGGTGGTTTGCTGCGCCCATCAACCCATCATCTAGGTTTTAAGCTCTGCATGCATTAGGTATTTGTCCTAATGCTCTCCCTCCCCTTTCTCCCAACCCTCCAACAGGCCCTGGTGTGTGATTCCCCTCCCTGTGTCCACGTGTTTTCATTGTTCAGCTCCCACTTATGAGTGAAAACATGTGGTGTTTGGTTTTCTGTTCCTGTGCTAGTTTGCTGAGGATGATAGTTTCCAGCTTCATCCATGTACCTGCAAAGAACATGAACTCATTCCTTTTTATGGCTACATAGTATTCCATGGTGTATATGTGTCACATTTGCTTTATCCGGTCTATCATTGATGGGCATTTGGTTTGGTTCCAAGTCTTTGCTATTATAAATAGTGCTGCAGTAAACACATGTGTGCATGTGTCTTTATAGTAGAATGATTTATAGTCCTCTGGGTATATACCCAATCCTTGCCAGCATCTGTTGTTTCCAGACTTTTTAATGATCGCCGTTCTAACTGATGCGAGATGGTATCTCATTGTGGTTTTGATTTGCAAGAAATGTGCATTTTTAAGAGTTTACATGAGTTGCAGTAAGTAAGTAAAACTCATTTACAAGAGTTTACATGAGTTGCAGTTTTCCTTATTCCCTAAATAAGGAAAATGTGAGCAATGATCTTGGACACTTGGCAGTTAACTCTCAATTAATCTATTAATGGAGGGAATTGCTCAGATATTATCAAATATTGAACAAAAAAGTTACGTTTGATTTTGAAACGTATTACATGATTTTAGAAGACTATTTATCCCTCACATGCTGCTTTCTTAGGTTGACTCATATTAAAGACAGGTTTTCGTTTCCCAAGTGAACATATCTGTGGTGAGGGAGCAAGAATCAGGCAGGCTAGGTTGAAAGTATAGCAGGGAGTAAGTGTGTGTCAACTGTGTTTTGGTACTGCATTATTTCCTAGACAGTATATCTTCTTTCCAAGTGGGATGCCATGTAACTTGAAAACAACCAAAAGTAATAAAAGTTTTAGAGTCCAGATACATCAGGCATTACTTTTGCATCACCAGCAATGCACTTGAAAGCTGGCAATATCAGACTTTAAATAATCAACCGCTGAGTCAAATTAGAATCACAAGTAGCTTCTCACTTAAACGAGACCAGTCTGCTCGCTCCCTTGCTTAATGCACTGTGGAGAACATAACATGCTCAGTAAATTATGTAGAAAGGATACACAAATGAGCTAATTTTGTTATGAGAAAGGATCTGACCGATTGCTTGTGGAGTAATTATCTCTCAATAAGTAGCCATCATTTGTTCCATTTTCGTTAGAGGTATACCAGAGAATCAGAACAGATTTCTTTTGGAGAAAGAGTAGTATTTGAGTATACACTTCCCTTTCTTGGAAGTTTCCATTACATGAAAAATGAGAGGATTTCTTTAGTGGATAGTCACTCTGCTGATGCGCTCTGGCCTGTGGTTTCCATGACAAATTCCTTCTTAAATTGAGGGGAGGGGGAAAGCTTTATATGATAGGAGAAACAAATTGGAGAGATTAGAAAGTCCCCAGTTAAAATGTTCACAAGATTGCCTGTTCACATTCTCAGAAAGATTCGGTTCTATCAGAACTTCATTTTATTATTTATAGGTATAGAAAAAAATACTTTCCCCTGTATGAAATGTAGGTGATTACCGAAGAAAATGACTTTTCATGGATGTGATAGGTATCTGTTATCTATACCTCAAAATAGTAGCTGATGTTTTTGAAGTAATACATAAGTGATGAAAAGCAACCCAAGTTTTATGCCCAGACATAACAAAATGGACAATAAAAATAACAGATTTTTATGTTATTACTTTTTTTTTTTTTTTTTTTTTTTTACAGAGTCTTGCTCTGTCACCCAGACTGGAGTGCAGTGGTGCAATCTCAGCTCACTGCAGCCTCTGCCTCCCAGGTTCAAGCGATTCTCATGCCTCAGCCTCCCAAATATCTGGAATTACAGGTGTGTGCCACCACACCCAACTAATTTTTGTGTTTTTAGTAGAGACAGGGTTTCAGCATCTTGGCCAGACTGGTCTCGAACTCCTTGCCTCAAGTGATCCGCCCACCTCAGCCTCCCAGGTACAGTCGTGAGCCACCGTACCTGGCCCTAGGTTATGACTCTTAAAGATTCTTCAGGAGCAGTATTTAAATTACTTCACACAGAGATTTTCTACTGACCAACATAACTTCCAAGATTCACAAATTGCTTTATTTGCTATTCCTCCCCTAGAGTAATCTGGTTGTTCTGGAATAAATATGGTAGAGAACAAACATAAATAAGAATGTTTCCAACTGAAAATTTTTGTTTACTTCCCCCTTCAATTTCTAGAGCTCAGTATAAGTTGTTTTTACAAAATGAAGCTTCTCACTTGGGAATTTTTTCTCTCCTTTCTCCTCCTTATTAATAAATGTAGAGATTCTTACCTCTCCATGCAGAAATACAGCCACTGCTTGCCCTCCTCTCTGGTTCCTTCCCATAGCCTGGGCCCCCACTCTCACATGCAGGGTGCGACAGGAGAAGGCTGGAGAGCATCAGGCTTCCATCTGCTGCCAGATCCGTCAGAAGGCAGCTGGTGGAAGCCTAAGCCCCTGAAGGTTCCCCCTTTACCAGCAGGCATTCCACATGTAAAAAGATTATACAACTATAACCCAGCACCTGCTTCTTGAGCTGTCATTGTGTTGTTGTTATTGTTTTAATCTTGTGATACACAGTGATTTTTCAGTTTTCTCCAGTTTTACAAAGTTAAAAGCTTACCTTCTTTTTAGTCTAACTTTAGTGATATTTGGCCAAGAATTTTTAAGGTTATTTATTTATGTCTTTTGTTTTCTATATTTTTCAAATAGAATCAGCTTTGTTTCTACTTTGCAGAGGGGGCATGAATCTGAAGTCTAAACTTCGGATAAAATTGGATCCACCAAATCTCTCCTTTTGGTAGAGCCTAATTTGTTCATCTGGCTCTCTCTATAGGAGGGCAGGCCTTCTGGTTTCATTTCCTTCTGACCCCTTCTTTACCAAGCTTTCCTGCAGGAAATAAAAAAGGGACATGGTAAATAAAAATTCTGAGCCTTCCCAGAGATTCATGAAAGCTTCATAAGACTCAGTTTTCTCATTTTTAAGATAGATGTAATAATAGTACCTACCTCAAACACTTTTTCTTTTGATTAAATGAGGTAATAGATAATTTCAGTATTATTCTTGTTGTTACTCTTAACTACTACTACTACTAGCACAAGGACTGTTACACATTAGATACCTACACTGTATATTTTTGTATGGATTTTCTTGAAGAGTTCCTAGAAATTTAAGTCTTGCAATCTCCAGGGTAAAACTAGAGCAGTAAAGAAATTGAGTGCCCCACAGAGGGCTTGCGGTCAGTAGAGATTAACCCTGGCTGTGCACTGGAATCACCCAAAGAGCCTGGACCCCACCCCAAAGGAAATAAATTATTTGGTCTGAGATGCAGCCTGGGCTTTTTAAAAGCTCCCCAGATGATTCTAGTGGGCAACCAAAGCTGAAAACTACTGGTTTTGCTTAAATTTAGATTTAGGCCACCTGCGCAAGATCCAGCAGGGGGCTCCATCTTCAGTGTAAAGCTTCCAAAAATGCCAGGGCATAGCTCATTTACAAAGGAACTCCCATCCTACGTGGTGAAACTTGCAGGATTTTCTTGGGTGGCTATTGAACCATGATCTTATCCATGAGAAACCCTGAGAAATCTATTGGTGAGCTTCGATAAGCTAATGTAGTTCAAATCCAAGCATCATTAACGGATGTCAACTACTAGTTCTTTGCTAAGTGTTAACTCTATGGGGAGAGTATAGCCATTGATAAAAAAAACTTTTCTCATTTCTGAACTGACAGTTGTCAAAATAGCTGGTCATTGATTTCACAGATTAGTCAAAATGCTAATTACCAAGTACCTCATTTATTACCAGACAAATATTTCACTGATGCAGTCATTAATTACAGTTTTGTTTGCTGGATCTTTCTAGCAAAACTCAGAACTGTATCTGTAGAGTGATCGATCCCATGGCTATAGGTGCAAAACCTCATGCCCCCCTCCACATCCTCTTTCCCATAGCCCTTGTGCAAACACTAACCCAAATGTTGCCTGCCAATGCTGTGAGAGTGCTTTACTAACTTTCCTTAACCCAACAGTTTCACAGAAACTCCTTTTTCATAAACTGCCTGTAACACAGGCACATAAATATTATTGGGTGATTATATGAAAGCCGACACAGGAAAAAGCAAGGATGCATTGGCAGCATCCATGCCCGCTCCCAGGAAAGCAACACCTGGAATCTGTCCTAAGACTCAGTTAGGAGCATTTTCTTCATAAAGTGCCAAGCTGAGCACTTTATGATGTTTAAGACTGAATTTTCTTGGTAGAAGGACTCGTTGATATTCAGCAGTATGTGATATCCAGCAGGAGTCATGGCTTTATACTTAGCTGTGGAGCTGTGAGGGAGGCCTTGGAGCAGACTCTTCTCCCTTGTTAGTGCCTGTTGCTCCCGCTTGGGACATTCCTCCCCCTCCCTGCTGCCCATGTGTCTGTCATCTATCCCAGTGGTTTCCCGGCCCTGCTGAACGTAAGTATCACCTTGAGGAGCTTTTAAACTACAGGAGGCCCAAGCTTCATGCCAGATCAATCTTGAGCTATTGGCATGTTTTTAAAGCTCCTAAGTGGTTTTGAAAAATAGTGTTGAGGACCATTAACCCAGGTCTCTTCTCTATTACACCACCCCACCCCACAGCCCCTCTGCAGTTCCCAGACCTTGTCTCCACTGTGATCTTTCTATAAAAATGTTCCCAACATAACCAAGAGGCAGCCATTCAGGTTTTTCCATTGAATTTTATGCATGATTATCTGAATTCTTCATATCGCTTTGCCTGTGTAGACACAGCTTATGCTTTGCTTATTTCACATATGCATAGTAAACCCAGGCATTCTTCACTGGGTGGGCCGGGGTTATGGCTAATGAGGCTGGCCATAAAAACAGCTCTGTTTAATGATGCATTTCTCCAACTCTGTTTTTTTCAAAACTGCTTTATTTTGGTTTGCAAAGATTAATTTTGCCCAGCAATGACCCTCTTGGTTTAGCTTACTATTCCGCCTATTTATTTTTGCTTTCAAAAAGGGAAAGTGGGAGACAAAAGTGCATTAGAAACAAAACTTGGACGAGGATGGATGGTGTGCATATAATCCATGAAATATAATTGCCCAGTGAAAATAATTTTTTAAAAAATTCCTCGATGAGTACTATGTTCCCTAAGATGATCTCACAATAATTGTGTTCTTGACAAAAAGAGAATGCGAAGTAGTTCTGTGAAGGAAATCATGTATAAATGCAGCAAAATGTACCAAAGGTGCATGTCTAAATCTTCATGGAAAGTGAGGCAACTCTCCTGACATATTTGCTCTATTGGGTTTTCTTTTTTTTTTTTTTTTTTTTTTTTTAGATGGAGTCTTGCTCTGTTGCCCAGGCTGGAGTGCAGTGGCGTGATCTTGGCTCACTGCAAGCTCCGCCTCCCGGGTTCACGCCATTCTCCTGCCTCAGCCTCCCGAGTAGCTGGGACTACAGGCGCCCGCCACCACACCTGGCTAATTTTTTGTATTTTTAGTAGAGACGGGGTTTCACTGTGTTAGCCAGGATGGTCTCGATCTTCTGACCTCATGATCTGCCCGCCTCGGCCTCCCAAAGTGCTGGATTGGGTTTTCTTAAAGTACAATACACCTATGCTGATGTGCTTTGGAATAGGACTTTAATTCTCCTGGATAGGCTCCCCCATAGCTCTCCAGACAATGAGGTGTAGTGAGACATGAGGCTTCACCCTCAGGCAGGACTAGGTTTTACTCTAGACACCACCTCTTACTTACCAAATAACCAAGAACAAGGCACTTAACCTCTGTGAGCCTCATTTCCCAGATTACATAAAAAAGAGGTAATAACACTGATGTGAAGCCTAAGTACATTATGTGCACCAACAACCCAATTTGAGCTGTATTGTAAGTGGGCTAGTAAATCAGCTATTCCGTTGACAAACATGCATTTTAAAGAATTTGTTCACTTCCACTTGAGTCACTAGTTGCTCACCAAGGACTCCAAGTTTTATTTTCTATAGCACGCCCTAATCGCTATTAACATTCTTTAAGCTATCATCAACATCATTGTGAGTGAAGAAAAATAGCACTCCAAGTATGCACAATGAGGAATTATGATTCTGAGCTTTATTTCTGTGAAATAGGATGTAAGAATTGGCAAACAGAGAGGAAAGGGATCTGAAACATTTTTGGCTGCATTATCTGGTTTCTATTGGGAAAATAAATTCTAAACTCAATAAGAAAATTGTTTTAACTGGGAAGATTCTCCAAGTTTACTTATAATGCATATTGTACTAAAATAAATTAAATGGGAAGACACGAATTATAGTTCCCCTAATCAAACGTAAACATAATTATAGGGGACTGAGCTATTGAATGTTTATATAACCTAAATCATTAGTCACTAAGTTTATTTTCCACAAGAATGATATACTTAGAATACAGAAATGAAACTTGAGTTACCAACTCACTGCTAATAGAATCTATTTGATTTATTCAGTATTTAGCAAACTTCTTTTGAATACCAGATTCTGGGTTTAAGTGCTGGAATACAAACATGAATAAGCACAGTGCCTCTCTCCCCTTCCATGTCCCAAGTACTCACAGAGCCATGAGCATGAGTATCTCACTTCAGTCTGTGGAGTACTAGAACAGCCTTATAAACAGACGTTTATCCCAGCATGATGTATCCCATCCTATGCCCAGTGAAAGATGTCAGTAATACCTTGGATACCCCAGGACAGTCTGGAAGTCTCAAGGGCAGCCTGAATTAGTTACTTCTTTTCATTTAGCATAACAAAAGCACCAATCTTCCTGTTTTTACTATTTGTAATATAGTAGCTGAAGCATATGAGTTGTTGACCTAAGTTTTTCAAGAAGAGGAAATTTCTCTGTCTGGACCAACTCTTGAAAGCCTCTCCCTTTTTTCAGACAGGCTCATGGCATGCACCACCCCAAATAAACTAATCTGACCTAATACAGGCCTACACATCTCCAACTCAGGGCAGCTCTGCACTGGGTACCCGAATTTGGCTTGAGCTAGTGATTTCTGACTGAGAAAAGTATTCATCCAGCCTCTGAGGAAATATAATGAATGAAGATGGGATTGGGAATTTGTGTTCTACAGGCATCTAGGAAGAGTCTTGAATAATTTGTCAGTTTTTCTTCCTGTTGTTGCATTGGTTCTTGGTACATACTTACAGGGTTATTCCACAACAAATATTTATTTTTGAAACATACTGTATTAATTAGGAATGCTTTCAGTTGCAAGTAGCAGCACATTCAACCATAGTGGCTTAAATAAGAAGAGTTTTGTTTTTCTCGTGTTAAATTCTTGGAATTTGTTTTAAAAACTTCACAGTGCACAAATCTCAATGATTTTCTTCTCCATTTCCTCACAGTCATTGGATGGCAGCTGCGGTTCCTGCCATCTCTTTTATGTTCCTTTAGGAAGAAGGAGAAAGAGGAAGGGGCAGCTTCTGTATCAGGAAAGCAAAAGTTTCCCAGGAACCCTACAGTAGACTCCTGCTGACAATTCGTTGGCCAGAGAGGAAAGGGAGTTGGGAAGTGTCAGCCAACCACCAGGGTCTACTGGACACCTCTCTAATTGACACAGTGGATGGTACTGAAATAAACAGATAAACGAGCTGACATGCCTGCTAACTAAAATGGATTAACTCGTATTTGCAGTAATATCTGACTTATGAGGAATGCCCCTAATGAGATAACTGGAGATTAGTTTCTATTAGATATTTAGTGTATGTTCTCAGCTTCTTTACTGACTAGGCCGGGCCATTTCCATCTATAGATCAAAGCATGAAGATATTTACTCCTGAAGGACCTCTCTTACGTAGGAAGCCAGTGGCCAAGACACAAGTCCTGAAGTATGTGCTGTTCCAATTCATGGGCTGCTGTATTCATAATAGTGATCATCACAGCTATGGGTACTGTTTATGCACTGCCAAGCCCTGTGCTCAGACGCTTTCTAGATACTGCCTCTCTGAGCTCTCCAATGAGCCATATTTCCTCCATTCTAAGACAAAGCTCTCAGATGATGTATACCATTAATATTTTATTCCTCCAGACCCCTACAAAAAGAAAAAGCCGTCATTAAATCAATGAAATGTCTTTCCATTGGTGGCATCACAGAATCACAGAATCAAGAAACTGTGGTATTATTTCCATTTGAGGACACGAAACTTGTAAAGATAAGATAAGTTTTGGTAACTTACCCAGTGTCACCCAGCTAGAAACAAGCTTCTCTGATTCTAACCCTGCACCATTTTGTTACATTCTCTTTTAGATTAATGTGGTGATATATAATGTAATAACTATGATGTGTACAGCGCTTACTTTACACCCAGCACTGAGATAAGTGCTGGTCCTGGTTAAGCCCATATAAATCCTCACAATGGCCGCCTGTGTGGGGAGTGCTAGTCCTATCTGGAAAACAAGGCTCTAAAAGTAAAGTTGTTCATGCAGATTAAGCCCAGGTCATCTGGCCTATGGCACAATTCTCTTCATCGCCATGCAGTGCTGTTTGTCAGAGTAACACATAAGAATATTTAATTCTGTAATTATTCTGCTGCATTTGCCATGTTCTGTCCGCCATCCAACACAAACCATAGGAAGCTCTATGGACACATCCTGGCCTCTAGGTCCTTTATGTTCTTCCCCTCCTATTTTCCTACACTCCTTGTTTTCCAGTAGAGTGGATCAATCCACTTCACTTGGCATCACTTAGCTGCTGCTCAGCTAACATCATGATCCAGGAGTTGAGAGAGGGTTTGACTGTTCTGAAGAGCAAATAGGTTAGCAAGCAGAATTCACTTAATTGCATTAATTGGAAGAGCAGGGAAAGGCATTGAGATGGATGGTAGGAATGACAAAACACTTCACAGACACCTGAGGAACTCACAGTCTGGAGGGTGCATTTGGGAAATAGAGGCAGGCAAATGAACAAAATAAAACAGACCTGTCCAGAAAGCTGTGGGAGCACAGAGCAGGAATCATGCGGTCCCACCAGAGGATCCTGGAGGACTTCCCAGAGGAGGTGGCATGAACCTCTTACCACACAATAACAGAGTGGGGGAGAGGGTCTTCTGGTAAAGGTATGGTATGTACAAGAGCCCTGAAAATTTAAAAGGAATTTTTAGAGATCAAAGGACAGCACCTGTCCCATAGTGACCTCTCAGCTAATATTAGCTCCTAGGAAGATAACTGGGACAAAGGAGGGGAGCAGGAGACCAGCCCAGAGAGGTGGACGGGGCCAAACCATAACATTTGATGGATTTCAGATTTTGAAAAACTAAACAAAGCCTCCTGTTGGAAGGGCACAAGACTGTTAAAGGCATCTAAATTCAGGGAGAGGGAAGGATTTGTGTGGGACTATGGCAGAGTTGTGAACTCAGGGAGTTAGTGAGAGCAGCAGGAGTAGGGAAGTATCTTTACGTCCCAAATTGGAACATGGGCTGTTCTGGAGAGGTCCACTTAAGATGCTGTCACAGCATCATTGGATCTAGCACCTTGTACTCAAAAGAAGCATGGTCAGTTGTTTACATTGACAGCATCTGGGGCTTGTTAGAAATGCAGAATCTCATCTCATCTAAGATCTACTGACTAGAAATCTGCCTTTTTGATAGATCCTCAAGTAGCTTCCATCAGCCCATTGCAGATTAAGAAGCACTTCCCCAGTACAGGGGCAAGAGAGCAGACTTTATCAAGGGCCCTGTTTTATTCCCATTCAAGAAGTGAGGCCCAATGGAAGGCTTTTACATTGAGGGAAAGTGGCAACTGAGAGCACAAGTCTGCAGTTGCTTGAATAAGCAGAAAGGGAGCCTAAGATGCCAAGATTGGATGCCACATGTTCTGGTGCAATGAACAGAAGAAATAGTATGTAGGCAGAGACTGCTGTTAGGCCACCACAATGAGGATATGGCTTCTCCAGGGACTTCCTGAGCAATCATCTGTGGTGCACACATCCCTGGCAGCCTCAGAAGATGCTGAAGAACCTATACCATAGAGCAAGGAAGAGGCACTTAGCAGACGACTCCCAGACAAAAAGGGTGATGGTAGAAATCATTGTTCCTCACTGCTTCCCCCTACTTAGCGAGCAGTCCCTTCAGGTGAGAGTTAGCTAGTTAAATGGCTTTAAGACTTAATGAATGAGGAATATTAGGGAAATATTTCAGACTAAGCTAACATGGACAATGCATGAGCAAAATTAAATTATTCCATTCAGATTACTGCATTCCTTGATGACAGCATTGTTTTTTATTACACCTGAGTACTTCTAGAGTTGATAATATTTAGAAAGCTTTTTCGGCCTGAAGAAGTAAACACTTTAACACTGTAAGCTTCTGGATACCCTTGGCTTTTGTCAAAAAAAACACAGTTGGATGGGTAGACAATACACAGTACATGAAGAATGCTGTCCTAGGCACTGTGGGGAGATGCAAAAGAAGTCAATGACAGGAGAAGGAAACAGGCCATTAAAGCAAAATGGACAACCGCTTATGGTGACTCAAAATTTCTATGGGGCATCACTAAGAAACTTGTAAGATGAATGATTCATGTTGTCAAAGAGAGTTTGGTTAAAAAAAATCAGACTCAACAGTGACTTGCTTCAGTTAGAGTCTATCTGCATCTCAAAGGACTTTTAAGAATCTAACTAACCATCTTCTTATGACAGCAGGGTCACCTCGGAGTACAGCAGCGGGGTAAGAGAGCAGCCACCGTAAGAATAAATCAGACTGCATAATGCTGCATGGGGTATGGAACGAGGGTGGATTTGAGCCAAACCACTGAGGGAAGTTTATCAGATCTTTGAGTAAGTAGAAAACAGGCTGCAGTTTAATGAACCACACTGAGAAGCACTTTCCCTGGTGATGCAGTTTCTCTTCCATGACCTAAAATCATCCAAACCTCCTCAAGCTCTAAAACTGGCAGAAATTTGAACAAAGGCTTGATTGTCTGGACTGCTTATTGCTACTATTCTAAAATAAAGATTTTAAACCTTAGGATAGCTGGCCGGAATGCATCGTAAGCTGTGTGAACCCAAGGTGCTCGAAGGATTAACGATCCCTGAGGAAATATGTTTGTGCGCAGCCCTGGATCCTGGGGCCTTGGCACCTGCTCCATGGTGCCTCTGTGCCTGGCAGTGGATCAAATGCTTGCCCTGGCACATGCCCTCAGCATTTCAGTTTGTGAAGGAAAGGGAGGCAGGGTGCCTGTCTCTGTTTTTCATGCAGGCAGGACTAAGTTGGATACAAGAGATCCAGCATCATAATTGTTTATAAAAGCATACAATAGAAGTAGAAGTGACTTGAGCCAGGTATTCTCACTTCTGTCTCCAAGCCTGCATTATAGTGATACATTTCTAGTGGCACTTCTATGCCTCCAGCTTATACCACTTCTTTGATCTTGCCCATGAAGCACATCAGAGCGTGTGCCCTGGAGTCAGCTTCTGCCTGTCATTAGCAGTGAGACCTTGAGAAAACTAGTAATCTGTCTGAGCCTCAGTTTCCTGACTTGTAAAATGGTGATAATTTCAGGCTCACAGGCTATTGTGAGGATTAAATGACATCACATATGTGGGGTGCCTAGCATGGTTTTCTGACCCATAATATATGCTCGATAAATGTTAGTAACCTTATCTACGTCCCCCATATGATCCACAGGCTTTTGTGATAAGATGGAGACCAGGAGGAGGAGAGAGGCATCTGAGTTTGCAAGCTTGGCAACTAGGTGAATGGAGATGCTTTTAACTGAGAAGGGAAGTACAAAAGGAGGAGGAGGCTTGGGGACAAGATGGTGTTTGGTTTGGCACAGACTGAGACTGAGAAGATGGGATGTCCACAGACACTCAAAAAGCTGACTTGACAACCTGGGGCAGTGGGCAGTGTTAATTGAAGCCATGAATGAGGGTGTGTAGAGTATGGAGAAAGGGCCAAGGAAAAGCCCCAGGGGACACCAGCATTGAAGGGCCAGTGGGGGAAAAGTGAAGCAAATTAGTTGGAGAAGTAGGAGCAGAACTAGCTGATGGCAGCACCATGGACACTTGGGAATTTCTTTTTTATTTTATTTTGTTTTATTGATATATAATAGTTGTACATATTTTGGGGATGCATGTGATATTTTGATATCTGTATAGAAGGTGTAATGATCAAATCCAGGTCACTGAGATATCCATCACCCCAAACATGTATCTGTTTGAGGAATTTCAGAAAAGGTCTTAGCATAGGATCCAGTGCTAGAAGGCCTGGGAACATAAGCACTGCAAAGAGGCCACTAGGAGTCAGTGGGGATTTTGTAGCGATAGCACCCTGATTGCTGGAGATTGAGGAGGAGGCTTGGAGGTGGTGAACGAGGGCCACTCTAAGAAGGGAGCAAAGCTGCAGGAGAAGCAAAGCCAGGCACTAGTTAAAGGCAGGAAAAACAGATTTTACTCGGTAACTACTATAGTAGGGAAGAGCGTCTAGGGAAAACTGAGCTCAATTTCAATCTGTGCAGAGGTGACTGGGCATTTTAAAAAGAGAAGAAAAAGTAGGTAGTGGCAGCTCCAGCAGAGTCAGGGAAGTGGAAAATTACAAAAATCAGGGAGGGAGGCTATTCATTGTGATTGGCCATCTCAGCTTGTTAACTGGTGCTTATGTAGTTAGGCTCCTACTTTTCCACAGAGGCTGGGAGACAGGGCCCTACCTTCAGGTGTTGGCTGGAACAAACAGTAAATTCTGGCAGCCTTAAGGTTTCCCAGATAGGAGCTTAAGGAGGCCTGGGTTGTCCCAGGGACATGGCCTTGAGCTATTAAAAACCATGCTACAGTTGGCTTAGGCCTTAATGCAGTTGGGGTACATGAAATCGTTTGTGCTGAGAGTCTGCAGTCCTTAGAGGCCAAGGTTGAGGCCCAGTGGAGAAGAGGGGTCAAAGTTTGGTCAAAGAGAGAATCTTTATCAGAGGAGGCAGGGTCATGGAAATATAAAGATATTTTAAAACTGAGTGGAAACATCCGGGAGAGAAGACAGATTGAACCCAAAATTGAGGTTGGAGTAATAAGTGCAAGTGATTAGGCCACCCAGAGTGGAACAGCGAGGCAGAGAGAGGCCCTAAGGCCCCATAGAGGCAATGCTCAAAACCAGGGGCCAGCAAATTTTCTCTGTAAGAGACCAGATAGTAAATAATTTAGGCTTTATAGGCCATATATGGTGTCTGTGTCTATTTTTCTTCTTGTTCTTTTAACCCCATAAAAATGGAAAAATCATTCTTGGTTCATGGGCCAGCCAAAAACAGGCTACAGGTGGATTGAGCAGCTACCACTTGCAAACACCCCTGCTCTAAACCCTGGTTTGACCCCATCCATGTGTACAGGTCACCCTTTTCATCATTCAAATTTTCATAGAACGCTTTGACATTCCACCTGCCTGCAGGGACTTTTTCATGATGTTCACCTGCAAAAATTCATCCCTCCTCCCAGCCAAGAAAAAAAATTACAGCCTCATCTACTAGGTGCAGAACTAATTTGTTGCTTGGCATCCCCCCAAATCCACAGGCCCAATTCATTCTGTTAAGCTTCATGCCAGCAGCCTCCACGCAGAACCAGGTGATGTTGCTTCCCTAAAGACAGCACTTTTTTGCCCACTACTTAAGCTTAATTGGGAGCAACTTCCTGCATGACAATGCTCACATTAAAAATATCTTAGGATGGCACCTAAGGTCTACCCATTCACTCCATGCCAAGAAATTCCTGACTTGCTTCCAAAGCAAAACCATAAGTAGGCAGTTCCAAGTCCCATTGGATTGCAGCTCCACATGTGATTTAATTAATAGGTTTCTTAGTCAGTTGCTTTATCTAAGAACAGAAATAGCCAAGCAGATGTGATATCTGTCCATGACGTCATGCTGGTACTTTTGCCCTGTATCAGCTGGCAGAAAATTCAAGGGCCGACCAGCAGAATTTGTTACTTTCAGATGATGATAATGTCTGAAAATTTTGTCTGTTTATTTTAAATATTCAGACATATTTCCGTGACCAGAGGGATGTAGATGAGCTGCCAGAAATTAATGCTTTCCTACATCTAGTACTCTTTGAAGTGTGCATCTAAGAAAAGCAGCATGTTATAGTGGGGAAGTTCCAATTTGGGAATCAGAGTTGGATCTGCATCCCAGACTCAAATAGCTGCATGACCTTGGGCAAGTTACTGACCTTCTCTAAACCACAGACTTCTCATCTGTAAGATGAGGATAATTGTACCTACCTTGTGGGAATATCATGAAAATTAGACATACTACTTGCAACCTTCTGAGTGAGGTATCTGGCACCCAGAAAGCACTCCAGAAATGGTTGTAGTAATAATACTTGTAAGGTCATGGTGTCTCGTTTTAGAACTAGGTGCCCCATGTTTTGGATATTTACCTACCTGAAAATGAAGAGCTGAGCAGTATGATTTTTTTCTGTCTTTTTCAATTATAATCCTATGAACCCCAGATTCCTAATCACATGCTTCTTCACCCCACCAGCCCCTTCCTCTAGTGTAGGTTGTACACCATGTACAAACCAAGCCGACTTTCTTATACACAGAGGTACATGTGTTCATACTCGCACTCCCTTATACCAAGTACAAATTATTGTCTTTTACTTCTGATCATTCACACCTGACACATTCCCTGCCTCAGAAGCTTCCTACAGCTCCTGCCATCCCTGCCTCTTTCCCTTCTTCCTTCAGCTAGTCCAAGAAGCCTGTCCTAAGCAATGACAATCGTTCCACTCCCTCCCTCTATCTGCTATTAGCTCTGTACTATGTAGCTAGACTTGGCAAAGTACAGTTCCTATGTTTTCCCTTGCAGTTTTTTCCCATTGAATGTCTTTTATTTTTCACTCCATATGCTTGTTCTGTCTCTTCGGTTGTCTGTTCCTTGGCCAAGGGTTCTACATATTGTCTCCTCTAACTCTCCACTCAGTGCAAGCATAGCTGGCATCCTATTAATGCTTTTGACTGGTAATTAAACAGGGAGAAAGATGACTAAGTAGGCAGGTATCTGGGTTTACATTATGAATAGGTGCATTGACAATGTTATATTCCAGGAGATAACTTGGTCATCCCAATAGTAAATAAATATTTTGGCAGGAAATGTTTGGTATGGACGTTGGAGTAACAGTCCTTGAGTGCAGAATTGAGGATTGCTAAAGGGCCACAGACAAAATGAAAAATCTAATTGGTTTTATTATCAAACATGACTCTTATGTGGACAAGGGTCAAATACATGTATTTCTTGTATCGGATTGTTTGTAGTAGGGAATTTTGTTACAAGAAATTGGCAAAATGTAAATAGAGCTGATACAGGCTACTTTGGCAAGGTGCATCTTTTCTTGCAGTGGGATTTTAACTTATGCTGCATTATATGTCTCCTACCTCTTATCTTCCTTTGAATGAGTTCCACCCAACCATTCACTGTTAGTTTCCTTGGTTACCAATGACTTTCAGTTTTTAATTCGTGAGTTTCTGGTGTTAAACAAAATAACTCTGTTTTTGTGCTGCATTGACAAAGGTTAGAACTAGTTATTATGTTTTTGTTGCCAGAAAAGCATTACATTTTGTTTTTTTCAATGAAAGAACTAGGTAATATAAGAATAGAAAATGACTCGTAGGGCTTTTCTTTACCAGGCAGGTTTCATTTCTCTCATCACAGAATTCAGAATTTTGACATTTGGTTTTACACCTTTTATCATCAATCTGGTTGTACAAAAAATAATTGGAGCTTCTCCATCTAAATAAAATAAACAATATTACTGCTCCTAATTTTTTAAAAAATTTTTATTCACTCCAACATTCCTGAATGGGATAAATGTGCTTTATATGATTCCAGAGAAAGTAGATGAGATGGTAATTAGGGATTACAGATGAAAAGCCACAGAGGACTTTTTTTTTTTTTCATGATTGCTAAGTACCATCCTATGCAAAAGTGAGTTTAAGTGAGTTTAACCCAAGTGATCCATTAGCCTAGTGAGGCCTGAGGAGGCCTGGTGTAGGCCAGAGAGGAGGGAAATACAAGCTAGAGTGGCTCTTTCAGGGGGAAAAAAATGTCTTTGGGGCTAGGGGCTGCTTTCCGGGGTGTGACACTGCTGACTTCCTGCTCACAGCCCCTGCTTCCCAGTTTCCCATGATGCACCTGGAGCCAGCTGATCAGATCTCCCAGCAGAGGCTGATATATGACCCTGAGTAAGGGATAGATCGTGCATGGGCATCTTTCCCTTTCATGCTTCCTGAAGAGGATCTAAAAGGGTGGCCCTTTGAAAATTGCTCAACCTGAGGAGAGCTTGCCCAGAGGAAATCCACAGCTCATGACCACAAGATTACTCAGATCACTGTCTTCACAGCATTCCCCTTCCACCTCTCCAGAATTCTCCAGGACCTGAGGAGTCATGGACCTGTCTTGGCCAAATATCTCCTGATTATAAGACCATTTGCAAACATGTTTTATTTTCCTTTTAACACATTATGTGGACAGTCTAATTATCCATATGGGCATCTTCACATTCTACTGTCCTTTTAAAGAAAGATCGTGGTGTATAGCACTTTCCTTTGGAATCCATGTTACATCTGTTTTCTGAACTTTTGGTTGTTCACAAGCCCACACCTGAAGAAAAGCATGCCTAGCTGGAAAGAAGGTCATGGCCTCTCATTTACTTTCTTTTGAAAGGTATTTCTAAATGCCTGGCTGACTTTGATGGCTCAATTTCTCCACCTATCCCTTTTTACTTATTTTCAATCATGTATAACCTAACAGAAGATAATACATGCTAAGCGGTCTTATAAGCATACTAATTGATATTACGAATTCCTCTCCAAGTGGTTCTTAAGCATCAAAATATTCAATCACCAATATGTTATCCAACTCTATATATTCTTAAACAAGTAGCAGTTTGTACAACCTGTCTTTGAAGCATTCAGACCAAATGAAATGCTGCTGAAAGGAAGCCTGCTTCCCAAGGCAGGTTAAGCCTGCTTATCAGTAGTATCAGCTATTCTGAGCCATGTGTAGCTAATGGCATTGGAAAGGCCAAGTCCAAGTTTGATTCTTCAGGCAGAAGGTCACTGGTTGAAATTCATTCTGAAAATAAAAAGTCTAGATTTTTAAAGTTTCTGTTGGATATACCAATGTCTTGTTTTAATAGCTGCCATTTCTTTAATGCCTAATATGTGTAGAGATTGAATCCTCACAGCAGCCCTGCAAGGTAGACAATGTTACCACTTTATTAGAGAAATTGAGGATTGTGTAGCTAATTACTTTGCCAGATATGTGAAGGTGCCTGGATGTAAATACTGGTCTGGTTCCAAATCCCACATCCTTTGCAGTCCAGTTGCTGCCCTCCCTCTGTGATGTTCATTCTCCCCATGCATCTATCCCTCCATCTTCCATCTCTGGAGCTTCCTTCAACAGACTTCCCCTTCCCAACTCAGAAGTCATAGCTTTAAACTCTCTTTCCCACTCTATTGAAAACTTCCACAATTGAATTTGACTTGAGCTGCTCTAACAATAGTAAATCCTCTGTTTTGACAACTGAATAATATCTCGTTTTATTTGGCTACTAACTTGCCAGTAGAGAGCAATTACAGTGATATGTGGGTCACCTTAATCAAGTATTTTTCCATAGATACCAGCACAATTATTTTCAAAGCTAAGCCTTTGACAGAAAAAAGATAGGGCCATTACATTAAATCATAAAGTGCTCATTAGAAAAAAATAATACATAATTTCAAGTAAAATTATGGAGAGCTTTCAAATTTTCTGCTGCCTTGCAGTTAGAATTGCTTGGTATTTAATGCTGACTTGGTCAGATAAGATTCATATAGCACTTTATGCACCATTAAATATAAATGTATCTATATTCTTGCAAGTTCTCAGTTCTGATTTCTTTTAAATATCTAGGTGCATTTCTAGATAAATTAGAAAGAAGGACTCAGAAGAAATACCTGTTCCCAACATTGCACACATACCTCTTTCTGTATTTTTCTTTTCTTTCTTTCTCTCTCTTTTTTTTCTCCAGTCCAACTTTGAAAACATGCTGATTTACTCCTTTTGCTACACAGCAAATCTGTGAAATCAGTTTAGTCCACCTTGGAATTGCTCAGAATTCCTATAGATTGCATCAGTGTTCTCCATCTCTAGTACCTGGAGTACTCTCGTACCTCTAGTACCTGGCTGGCATGGTTGCTCAAGCCTATAATCCAGCACTTTGGGAGGCCGAGGCAGGTGGATCACTTGAGGGCAGAAGTTTGAGACCAGCCTAGCCAACATGGTGAAACCCCGTCTCTACTAAAAATACAACTAGCTGGGTGGGCGCCTATAATCCCAGTTACCCTGGAGGCTGAGGCAGGAGAATCGCTTGAACCCAGGAGGAGGAGGTTTCAGTGAGCTGAGATCACGCCACTGCACTCTAGCCTGGCCGACAGAGCGAGACTTCATCTCAAAAAACAAACTAAAAAACAAGTCATCTCCTTGGGCTGCACCCTCCCAGATTCAAATGTGGGTATCCCAGGAATCTGAATTTTTGACGCATACCCCAGATAATTATGACACAGATGATTTCCAGACCCTACTTTGGGAAAAGCTGGAAGAGATGAAGGAGTGAGCATAACTAACATTACTTTATTAGATCCTCAAGATTGGCATGTGAAGTAGAAATTTACCGAGGTTCAGTGAGGTCCCACTGCTTACACCATCAGATTCCCTGAACGTGCCATGCACTTACACAGTTCTGTGCCTTTGCATGTGACCTTCCCACGGAACCCCCTTCTTCTCCTCCCTGCTAAATGAGACCCTGCCCAGGCTTCAGGGCCAGCCCCAGGTAAGCAGACTGCATCATGCTGTCCTTGCTCAAGTTGCCCTTGGCTTGCTGTGATGGTTTGGCATCTGCCATGTGGAAGATGGCTAGTTCTGCACCTGTCTGTGCCCCCACAGACTGTTGGCTCCTCCTTGGCAGAATTCATCTCATACCCAGCATCTCTGCCAGCACCTGGAATTTAGGAGGTTCCTCCTAAGTATGGCACCCAGGTTGCAGAGCCAAGATGGGATCCAGACTTCCATTGTTGTTCGGTCATTCAGTGCTCTTTCACTCACACCAGAGAATCCAAGGCTGCCCCAGCAGGGCATGAACTTTTAGACACCTTTCAGGAGTACTCCATAATATATGGTATAGCCACATGCTTTTCCTGAATGCTTCTGGTGCCCTAAATACACAGTGATGGGGGAATTCTTAGCAGGATTAGGGGAATGATTTGAGTCCCTGACACAGACTGAAGAAACTACTTTTCAACACAAAAATTAAAGCCATTCTAGTGCAGTGCTCTAAATAAGCAGCTGAACTGAATGATAGAAGGCCTTCACATTTGCGACTTCTCAAAATCAGGAAGGTATTTCACCTTCCTGATCAAACAGTGAAATCAGGAAGCAAGCTTAGCTGCTACTGTAGAAGGTTGTCTTGCTTTAATCTGGCTTAACCACAAATCCTATTTCTGAGCCAACTAGTCCTAATAGTCAAGGGATAGGGTTAGAAGTAGCCCCCTGGTGTGCCTGCTGGCCCAGTGGCCCCTGGAGAAAGGCCTCATGTCACTTTCCTCCTGATCATTTTATGATCTTTCAAATTGATGCCTTCCTAGCCCTCCAGTTTGCCACAGCAACTCGTTTTTTTTTTTTTTTGAGACGGAGTCTCACTCTGTTGCCCAGGCTGGAGTATAGTGGTGTGATCTTGGCTCACTGCAACCTCCGCCTCCCAGGTTCAAGCTATTCTCCTGCCTTAGCCTCCGAAGTAGCTGGGACTACAGGTGCGTGCCACCACACCTGGCTAATTTTTTGCATTTTTAGTAGAGATGGGGTTTCACCATGTTAGCCAGGATGGTCTCGATCTCCTGACCTCATGGTCCACCCGCCTTTGCCTCCCAAAGTGCTGGGATTACAGGCGTGAGCCACCACGCCCAGTCAACTCTTTTTGTTTAATTGAAACTGTGATCAGTTCACCATCTGGTTTGTCAGCACAACCATCCAGGTTTTGCCCATCTCCAATTCCAGGCTGATATCTCTTTCTGATCAATCTTGGCTTGGAAAAATAATGGATTTTTTCCTCAGTCTGCATGGGGGAAAGCATTAGTCATGCCATGCTGCCTGTTTGTACTATGTCACGTTGTCTATTTCTATCAAGTGGATGCAGGAGTTACCTTTAGCAGAAGGTACATGATTTGGGTGTCAGAGAGAGTTAGAAAGTTGCTATATAAACAGCTTGATGTGAGCTTTCTATTTACCTTCTACTGTGTATAGAGGCATAAGGAAATAGGCCACTCTCTGGGCAATGTCATTTAGATTATCTTGACTTCTGTCTTTGCCTTGAAGGTTATATTAATAGCCACATCTGCATAGATTTTTTCTTCTTTTGTAAACTTCCACATTTGGCCTCACAACAGCCCTTTAGGCATCAATATTCATTTTGCATAATACACAGAAGTCAAGTGGTTTTCTCAAGGTCACATACTCCATCATACACCATTGTCTCTGGTCCTCTTTTCAGGACACTAGACCACTTTCCCTAAAAGTAGATGCCATACATCCTCATAGTATACCTAAGATGGTAAACTCAGATGGGTTTAAATCTTAAAACTGGTGCTGCTGCTTGCTGGTGATGTGGTCATGGAGATGTCAAATTTCTATTATTAGTACAACTAACCTTCTTAATGGGAGGGATGCCTCAGTATTGAGATCCTGTGAGCACTGATATCAGGAAGGCTTAGGGATGCAGTGCAGTGATGGTCCATGACATCTCTGGACCCAGAGCACAGTGAACATCAAGATGATGTCAAAGAAACTCAGGTTCTCAAGAGGTGGCAATGGCAGCTGAATATATGGATGTAAACTACACACAGAAACCTCGTTGATCTTCAGAAGTGTCACTGCATTGGCTGAGGAGTGTGAAGGTGCTGCCCTGCCTATTCTACCCATGTGCCCTCTTTCTTGGAGTCATTCCCACAAATAGTTAAAACATCCAGGGCAGTATTACTAAATAGCTGAACTGACTCATTTTGGACCATCGTTTGAAAGAGGAGACCACCAAACTACCCTTACTCACATATGCTTGTTCTCCCAACTACAGGCAATTAAATCAGGAAGTGAATGAAGTCACCTCTGTCCTGACTTTTTTGTCCTAGTTTACTTGGTTGAAAGAAAAGAAAAAGATATTTTTATGTTATTTTGAGATGAGAACAAGGACAAGTAATTGGTAAATCTGATGTGTTTCCTTCATAATACAGTAGTCCCTCCTTACCCCAGGGAAATACTTTGCAAGACCCCCAAAGGTTGCCTGAAGCCATGGATAGTACCAAACTAGATAGACCATGCAGAAATTTCTTCTTCCTTCTTCGCAATTTCATGGATGGAAGATTCGTTCTCACTGTAGATTTTTGCAACATCAGCATGAAATATTTTTTTCCTTATTATGTCGAGAACTTTCACCTTTTCACTTAAAGGAAGCACTTTATGGCTTTTTTGGCATATCCAAATTGTTAGCATGACTACTCTTACACTCTGGGTCCATTATTAAGTAAAATAAGGGTTCCTTGAACACAAGCACCGAGCTATCATGACAGTCGATCTAATAACTGAGATACCTACAAAATGGCTTAGAGCAGGTAGCATCTACGGCATGGATCAGCTGGACAAAGGGATGATTCCCAATCCAGGTGGGATGGCCCAAAACATTATCATTCTACTCTGAATGACACACAGTTTAAAACTTATTAATTGTTTATTTCTTGAATGTTTTATTTAATATTTTCAGACTGTGGTTCACTGCAGGTAACTAAAACCATGGAAAGGGAAACCACAAATAAGGGGGAGACTACCGTATAAGGACATTAATAACTCTGAGACAAAAACAGCTTGGGGTTGAATTTTATGGTTCAGTTCTGGTGGTATGGCTGAATTAAACCATCTTCAGATAATAATTCTGGCAGAAATATGCTAGTAGTCATAGTATGCTTTCACTCTTCCAGACATTTTTCATAGATTATCTCATTTAATCCCCCCAAGGACCCAAGTATGCAAGTGCTATTATTATTAATTTCCATTTTGCAGATGAAGACACTGAGAACAATGACCCTTAATAATTTACCCAAAGTTACACAGCTAAAAAATGAAGGTGCCTAGGGTCAAATTCAGGCAGCTTGGCTTCAGTCAAATCTCTCTATAACTGTGTCTCATGAGGTATGGTAGGTACAACTTTCTAAGCACTTAATAGAATGTTTATTGGATGAATGACACAAACAAATGAGTGAACAAACAAATAATGAATGAATATTCAACTGGCTTGCAAAGAGGGTAAATGCGGGTTTGGAGGTAGTTACTGTTGATGAAACTTATCTTGGCTCCTGGAGTTCTTTCAATTCACATCTTCTGAATTTGGAAACAGGATTTTCCCAAATGTTGACTCAAAATAATTTAATAAAAGCAAAAAACTTTGTAGGATTGCAATTAGTTCACTGATTTTTAAAGTCTTAAGTCAAAATATATGATTTTCCAGAAACACTCTTTAGACATTTTAAACTGATACTCAGTTATTTCAAATGTCATGACCATCTGTGTTTAAAAATACTTTCCTCTTTACTGTGGTTTACTTCAGACCCAGTTCCTCATGTAGCCTCTCCTCTCAAGTTAAACTGTGCTGGGCATTTAAAAAAATAGTGTTTATTTGTATGCCTATTCTGTCAGTGTTAATTTCACTATGTAAAATAAAACATTATAACCTTGACTACAAACTTAAGAACTTGAAAGTTTTCTAGTTCCTCCTTTTGAGTTTATAGTCAAGGTTGTCTAGGGCACATGTTGAATTGGAATCTGAAATGCTTTATGGGTTTTTAAAGTAATTATTTTAACCACATGCTATAAGACCAACTCATACCCTGAAAAAGAAAACACAACACACCAGAAGTAACAAACAGCCAACATATTAAAAAGAACCTTTGAGAATTTCTCCTTTTTCCTCAACATCTTTGTGCAGCCAGGGCATTCCAACCCAGGAAGAATTGAACTTTCATTGGGAGGGATTCAGCTAAAGATCATGCAGCGATTCTGGCTGGCATTCCCCAGCTTCAGGAGGAGCCATGGTTCACTCATCCCTCATTGAGCATTGATCCAGGTTACTGATTATAAAGGAAAATGGCTACACCATCTGGTTGGAGAATTCATGTACAACATGCAGAGTTGTAAAAAGACTCATATGCCCTGCTAGCAGCCTTATTGTCATGGGAAGCCAAAGACAGTTATGCCAAAGGTATATGCCAAAACTTTTCAGGTTACCATATAAGAGAGCAAGTTTGGGAAACTACATATCTTATGCAGAAAGAGACCAACCAGAAAACTCAGGGATCTGGGGCTTTGTCATATATTACAGAGACAAATTTATGTTGACTATCACAGAATCCTATGATTCTAGAATTGAATCCATGTAAATGAGAGGTCTTTGGAGTTGGGTGCTCAACTATCACTCACTCATACCTTGTCACTTACACCATGTTTGTTTACCTTAACCATAAGACCATCAAAACTTTGAAATGGACAAAAGATATTGCTGTATGTGGTTTCAGTGTAAGGTGATGTACTAGCTAGCAGATCCACCTGGAAATTATCTGATTTTTTAGGGGTGTGTCCCTTTGTTTGACTTGCTATTTATTACAAAGCAGATAGATGATGACTTTTAGAAAACTGATCATGATAGAAATGATTCTTGCCTGATAATATTGCAATGAATTTTGTCCACTAGAGCTAGAAATAATTTCCATCAACATTACAATGAATTTTGTCCACTAGAGCTAGAAATAATTTCCATCCCACATTCTGCTCCATTAAAAAGATAACCCAAAGGTTAAATTTTTATTGCCATGGTACTTATACATTAGGCAGTCTTGTACCAAATTAGCCATTTTACTCAAATATTCTTTCTTTCAGCTTCTATAAAAAAAATGACCCTCCAATTCTTTTTGAATACATGCTAAAATAATACAAATTTTTTAATTAAAAACTTTAAGATGTCTCAAATACAGCAGAAGTTCCTTTCTTTCTCATTCTTTCAGGTTCAAAATTAAAGTCCTGGTCAGGTACCTTTCCTCAGCATGATAACTCCAGGACACTGGCTCCTTTCCTGTCTCTACTATCCCCTATGGCAGGGGTCAGCAAACTTTTCCTTTAAAGGTCCAGATAGTAAATATTTTAGGCTTTGCATGTCCCTTGCAACTTCTCAGCTCTGTAGTTGTAGCACAGCATAGATAATGACTGAGCATAGTTGCATTCCAATAAAACTTTATTTACCAAATCAAGTGGCAAGCTAGATTTGACCCACAGTCTACAGTTTGCTGACCCCTGCCCTTGGATCTCAGAATCTTCTGTCTGACATGAGAAGAAAGGATAGAGAACACACATTCTTTACTGAACCACCTTGTCCTGAAAGTGCCATCTATCACCTCCATTGGTGAGAATTAGTCCCATGGCTTAGATGGGACTAGATGCAGTGGTACCTGGGAAATGTAGTCCCTGGCTGGACACAACTCTACATCATGGAAAAGAAACATGTGTCCTTGAAAGACCTCTAGCCATCTCTGCTGTAGGTATATTACACACGTAACAACTATCTTGCTGGCCATATAAAATGAATACACATTGAATTTCAGATTTCTTAAAGGCAATACTGTGTTCATGGGAATAAATTTTAGCACTTAATCACTAATTTGATTATAGTTAAATATTTCTCACCCAGATACATAAGACTGCTAATGTAAAACTGGTTTTCAAAATAGGTCATTCACTCGGTGTTGGAAACAATAGGTCATGTTTTTATGGAAACATGTTTGTTATCTACAAATGTAGCATCTACTAGAAAGTGGTAGTTTGTGTATCTATAATTACTTCTTGGCTTTCCTGTATAGTTTTCATCAGAACACTCAGCAACTGGGTCCGTCCATGAAGACAGTATATTGAATTATTTCCATGATTGAGGTACTTTCTTCAGAAGAGGAGGATAATATGGTTTAGAGATTTAAAAGCCAGGTTCTAATTGTAATAGTCCATTCCATTAAAAAAATGTAACCATATTCAGGCTTTTTTAACTATTAAAAAATTCCAGATATGTCTAAGCTGTAGTTTCCACAGTAACTTTGACTCCTCTGTGTGCATAACGCCGGCTTTGTGTATGTACAAAGCAATTACATCAAGACCTGAGTTGTATCCAAGGCAGCAAGAGCTATGATTATAGATGTTATAGACACCCTAATTCACATGTATACCTTGTTCATAACTTGTCTGAAAGTGTGATTTTTCAGTGAAGCTTAAATGCGTTTTTTATCTCTGCTCAAAGGTGAGTTATTTCAGATGCATGAAAGATGACCTATCTCTAATGGACTTGTAGATGAGGAGGAAATTGACCTGTTTTGTGTCTGACTTTTCCCAGTGCCTAGATTGACAGGTGTCTTTACAATCTCCTAACTAGCAAACAAGACTCTCTGACTTCGACAGTGTGAGCTGGTGATTTCTCCTGCTGCTCATCTCTTCTGTCTCTTACTACGCAGTGTTCTCCCCCTGGGCTTAAAACCACAAACTCCAAACTCATTGCAGGTATACCCTGCTTTACCTTTACAAATCCTATTTACAATATTCCATTACAGCTTTTAAATGATTTTTTAAATATTTATTAATACATAATATTTGTACATTTGTACGGGATACATGTGACATTTTGTTACATGCATAGAATATATAATAATCTAGTCACAGTATTTAAGGTATTCAGCACCTTGACTAGTTATCATTTCTGTGTTGGGGAACATTTCAGTTCCTTTCTCATGGCTATCTTAAAATACATTATACAATATATTGTTGTTAACTATACTATCAAACATTATAACTTATTCCTTCTATCTAACTGTATGTTTATACCCATTAATCAACTTCTCTTCATCCCTCCCTCCGCCCTCACACATACACTTTTCCCAGCCTCTGGTGACTATTATTCCACTCTCTATCTCTATGAGATCAACTTTTTTAGCTCCCATATATGAGTGAGAACATGCAGTATTTGTCTTTTTGTGCCTGTCTTACTTCACTTAACATAATGACCTTCAGTTCCATTGACGTTGCTGAAAATGACAGGATTTCATTCTTTTTTTTTTTTTTTTTTTTTTTTTTTGAGACGGAGTCTCGCTCTGTCGCCCAGGCTGGAGTGCAGTGGCGGGATCTCGGCTCACTGCAAGCTCCGCCTCCCGGGTTCACGCCATTCTCCTGCCTCAGCCTCCCAAGTAGCTGGGACTACAGGCGCCCGCCACTACGCCCGGCTAATTTTTTGTATTTTTAGTACAGACGGGGTTTCACCGTTTTTAGCCGGGATGGTCTCGATCTCCTGACCTCGTGATCCGCCCGCCTCGGCCTCCCAAAGTGCTGGGATTACAGGCGTGAGCCACCACCGCGCCCAGCCTCATTCTTTTTTTTAATAGCTGAGTAGTATTACATTTTGTATATATACCACATTTTCTTTATTCATTCATCTGTTGATAGACAGGTTGATTCCACATATCTGCTGTTGTGAACAGTACTATGATAAACACGGAGGTGCAGGTATCCCTTTGATATACTGATTTTCTTTTCTTTGGATAAATACTCCATAGTGGAATTGCTAGGTCACATAGAAGTTTTATTTTTAGCTTTTTGGGAAATCTCCATATGGTTTTCCATAATAGCTGTACCAATTTACATTCATACCAGTAGTGTATAAGAGTTCTTTTTTCTCTGCATCCTCACCAGCATGGTTTTTTTTTCTTTTTAATAATAGCCAGCTTTTAAATGATTTTTGATGAAACTTTTCTAAAGGTGCAAGTTCCCAATTATATATCCCCTCCTACAATCATCTGTTTTCTTGGGGGGGGGAATCTTTAATTGGCTTACATGCAACCTGTTAAATAAGAGCACATAAACGTGTTTTATGGTGGCTATGCCCACTCTTGCATTCACAAATCACTTTCACCCTCCCTGCCTGTATTAAGCATCACATGCCATGGGCCATTGCTGTTACTTCGTAGATTTGACTTTTCAAGGCTCACATCCCAGCGGCCGCTTCTACTCTCCTGGGTGCTTATGCCTATAATTTAGATTAGCTGCCCCAGCAGAATCAATGTTGTCTGGGTGATGAACTTATGGTTGGATTAGCCAATCTTCCTATAAAGCCTCCATAGCTGGATCCACTATCAGCATAACTAATATTTGTTATCCATTTAGTGTACAACATTGAACTTGAAACAGCCAAGGGTAAATAGTAACTAAAGTTAACATGCCATTATACATGCAATTTACAACTTAGAGGAGTACTTAAAGAAATACAAGGAAAAGCTTTCCCTCTGCCAACATGGCGGCCTCAGCAAAAAAGAAGAATAAGAAGGGGAAGACTATCTCCCTAACAGACTTTCTGGCTGAGGATGGGGGTACTGGTGGAGGAAGCACCTATGTTTCCAAACCAGTCAGCTGGGCTGATGAAACGGATGACCTGGAAGGAGATGTTTCTACAACTTGGCACAGTAACGATGACGATGTGTACAGGGCGCCTCCAATTGACCGTTCCATCCTTCCCACTGCTCCACGGGCTGCTCGGGAACCCAATATCGACCGGAGCCGTCTTCCCAAATCGCCACCCTACACTGCTTTTCTAGGAAACCTACCCTATGATGTTACAGAAGAGTCAATTAAGGAATTCTTTCGAGGATTAAATATCAGTGCAGTGCGTTTACCACGTGAACCCAGCAATCCAGAGAGGCTGAAAGGTTTTGGTTATGCTGAATTTGAGGACCTGGATTCCCTGCTCAGTGCCCTGAGTCTCAATGAAGAGTCTCTAAGTAACAGGAGAATTCGAGTGGACGTTGCTGATCAAGCACTGGATAAAGACAGGGATGATCCTCCTTTTGGCCGTGATAGAAATCGGGATTCTGACAAAACAGATACAGACTGGAGGGCTCGTCCTGCTACAGACACCTTTGATGACTACCCACCTAGAAGAGGTGATGATAGCTTTGGAGACAAGTATCGAGATCGTTATGATTCAGACCGGTATCGGGATGGGTATCGGGATGGCCCACGCCGGGATATGGATCGATATGGTGGCCGGGATCGCTATGATGACCGAGGCAGCAGAGACTATGATAGAGGCTATGATTCCCGGATAGGCAGTGGCAGAAGAGCATTTGGCAGTGGGTATCGCAGGGATGATGACTACAGAGAAGGCAGGGACTGCTATGAAGACCAATATGACAGACGGGATGATCGGTCGTGGAGCTCCAGAGATGATTACTCTCGGGATGATTATAGGCGTGATGATAGAGGTCCCCCCCCCCCCAAAGACCCAAACTGAATCTAAAGCCTCGGAGTACTCCTAAGGAAGATGATTCCTCTGCTAGTAACTCCCAGTCCACTCGAGCTGCTTCTATCTTTGGAGGGGCAAAGCCTGTTGACACAGCTGCTAGAGAAAGAGAAGTAGAAGAACGGCTACGAAGGAACAAGAGAAGTTGCAGCGTCAGCTGGATGGGCCAAAACTAGAACGACGGCCTCGGGAGAGACACCCAAGCTGGCAAAGTGAAGAAACTCAGGAACGGGAACGGTCGAGGACAGGAAGTGAGTCATCACAGACTGGGACCTCCACCACATCTGGCAGAAATGCATGAAGGAGAGAGAGTGAGAAGTCTCTAGAAAATGAAACACTCAATAAGGAGGAAGATTGCCACTCTCCAACTTCTAAACCTCCCAAACCTGATCAGCCCCTAAAGGTAATGCCAGCCCCTCCACCAAAGGAGAATGCTTGGGTGAAGCGAAGTTCTAACCCTCCTGCTCGATCTCAGAGCTCAGACACAGAGCAGCAATCCCCTACAAGTGGTGGGGGAAAAGTAGCTCCAGCTCAACCATCTGAGGAAGGACCAGGAAGGAAAGATGAAAATAAAGTAGATGGGATGAATGTCCCAAAAGGCCAAACTGGGAACTCTAGCCGTGGTCCAGGAGACTGAGGGAACAGAGACCACTGGAAGGAGTCAGATAGGAAAGATGGCAAAAAGGATCAAGACTCCAGATCTGCACCTGAGCCAAAGAAACCTGAGGAAAATCCAGCTTCCAAGTTCAGTTCTGCAAGCAAGTATGCTGCTCTCTCTGTTGATGGTGAAGATGAAAATGAGGGAGAAGATTATGCCAAATAGACCTCTACATCCTGTGCTTTTCTCCTAGTTTCTCTCCACCCTGGAACATTCGAGAGCAAATCAAAACCTCTATCCAGACAAGACAAAATAAAACTCACCATCTCCTGAAGACCTTTCTTACCTTTTTTTTAAAACAAAAAATGAAATTATTTTGCATGCTGCTGCAGCCTTTAAAGTATTGAAGTAACTGGAGAATTGCCAATACAGCCAGAGAGAAAGGGACTACAGCTTTTTAGAGAAGTTGTGGTGCGTTATGTCACCATGCAGTTGCCAGTGTGATTAGTGCCTAGGGGTCTCCATTTAGCAGAAATGGTAATGACAGTGATATAACGCCTGGAACCTGGTTGGGCAGTAGGGGAGGGAGGTAGAAGGAAAAGTGTGAGATTTCTACCTTTTAGTTTTTTTCCTATTGTGGCATATATGAATTCTCAAACATTATCTGAATAAATTTTCCATTCTTGGAA
Source organism: Homo sapiens (assembly GCF_000001405.40). Taxonomy (NCBI): domain Eukaryota; kingdom Metazoa; phylum Chordata; class Mammalia; order Primates; family Hominidae; genus Homo; species Homo sapiens. The sequence continues at coordinate 104,670,041 of NC_000007.14, forward strand.
AGGTAGATTTAGCCTCAAGTTGTTTTAGTCTCCAGGAGGCTGCCAGCCCCTCCTCTTATTTAATTCTGAGTTTTGGGGGACAGCCTAGAGGGAATTCCTTTTTTTTTTTTTTTTTACCCCCAAGGGGGTTAGTTGGGAGTGAGACTATAGGCCATAAAGAATGGGACTCATTGGACCAAAATAAATGGGAAAATCGTGGTTTGAAAGGAAGCTTTTGGGAATTGATGAGTCATTTTGCACCAGGTAATAGGGGAAAATTGTGTGACCTCCAGCAAACACATGAATGGTTATTTCCTGGAGCCGGAAGCACTTGGGGGTCGTGGTAATTCCCAATGTTTTCTGTGTCCTAGTTTTACCCTTTCTAAACACTGTCCTTTTTGAAAGTTTGAATATATCCACATTCTATTGAAACCTTGAAACTAAAAATTTAGACTCTTATCGTCATCTTAAGTTCTTCATGCTACTCTTAACCTCCCAAAAAGCAGTATCTAAGTCACATACATGATGTCTTGGGCATTTTCTCTCTCAGCCATGGAGAACTCTGAAAGGAAGAATCGCTGCTTTTCTCAAGCAAATCGGTTTCTTGATATCTTCTGGTTCTCACTCCTTGCCTGCTCCTGATGCTTTGACCCCTTTTATTGATCAGAGTGCTCTAGAATAATGGATGGTCTTGGATGGTGGATAAATAGGGACAGGGACAGTTAAATTGGGAGCCTTTCTTACAACCTTGATGGGTTTTTTTCCCCCCAAGTTTCCTTCTCCACTGAAATGCCACACTAATGTTTGTTGGATTCATGAGGTGGCCAGACCAATGTGTTTTGTTTTGTTTTTTTTTTTTTAAGCTTCCCTTGAGAGAATAAACGGAAATGGAGAGAACTATTTAACAAGGTCCTGGTTTCTCTTGCAACACAGTAGCTAAACTTGCCTGCCTTTATATGCATTTTTGTAGGGATCAGCTTGGTAGACAGTATTAGCAGAGAAACACCTTGATCTTGGTTTGCAAACCCTTCTGCCATCAGTCCTAGATTAGGCCCTGTTCAGCCATGCAGGGGTGTTGGTTTATGCGTGCTGCAGCAGTGGGCATAATGAATATAATTTACCCAGTGGACAAAGGTGTGTACCAAGTGAATTTAAATAATTGGTGTGGATTGGCCAGTAGCTAAGAAGTGGGCTTTTAAAGAGTATTGAAGATTGAAAGGTGTTTTTTTTCTTTTTTAAAAAAGAAAAAAAAACTATTGATTGTAGATAATGAAAAGCTAGGGTTTGCCCTCTTCATGTCTACTCTCCTTCCAAATAGTTATATCCAAAACTGTTTTTCCCTGTCCCCTACCTTGTCCCCCCCATTAAAATAGAAACAGGGATTGATTAATGTCCCGCTCCTGAATACATGTAAAATTTGTACAAAAATATCTTCTATGAAAATGATTTGTAATCTGTAGACTTATTACCTGGGAGATGTCTTGATGTAAAATCCCATCCTTTGGGTTGTGGGTTTTTTGTTTTCTCCAAATAAATCTGATCTTTAAAGTTCAAAAAAAAAAAAAAAGAAAGAAATACAAGGAAAAAATACAGACTTTTCCACTATAAGATCATATAGTGATATCACATTCTGGCTCCAATACTAACTATTTGTGTGAACTTGGACAAATTATTTAACCCCTTTCAGCCTCAATTTTCTCATCTGTAAAAAAATAAATAATAATCCCTATTTATTCAGGACCTTCTAGGCGCTGAGTATTGAAACAGTTACTTTCCATTCATTATTTGATATATTCCTAACAACCCAGCAAGGTATTACTCTACCCATTTTATAATTTAGTTGGAAAATTGGAGTTTGAATTTCTCTTACTCTGCTAATATCAATGTCCCTATTTCTTTTGAAAGAATTATTCTTTCCTTCCATTACTTCTATAGATTATGATGAGAGTACTAAAGAGCTGTGGATGCAAGCAAGTAGGAGAAGGTTTATTCTTTTGAATACCTTTTCTTTTTTCCTTCTTCAAAACTTTAACTTCCAAGTGTGTGTGTGTGTGTGTGTGTGTGTGTGTTTGCAATGGTTGCTTATGTAAATTTTCTGTGTAGTAGGGTGTATGCAGGGCTGACATTCAGCCAACCAGTAAGACACAGGATGAGCCAAACTAGTGGGTCAGTGGCTTGGTTTTTCCTGGCTGCATCCCTTTTGACTCATCAGTACCGTGCTTACTGAGATGTGAAATATTTTTAATATCAACCCAGGATAAATTATAGGGGTTCACACACCCCCTTTCTCCTCATTACACTACCACCTGGTTTTATAGTCTTTCTGATGGTAGGTTTCCCCTTTTGGGAACTTCTTGAGGTCAGAGTCTATATCCTAGTTCATCTTGGTGTTCTCAGTTCCTCGCACAGTGAATGTATTGAATAAATGCTGGAATGAATGCGTAAGTGAGTAAGGAGTGAATTATATGAAACCAAGCATGAGATAAATGAATAATCTCAGCGGCTAAAAAGTGGCAAAGCCAGCCCTGACTCCTTTCCTGTGTCTTATACAGTCGATGAGGGAATTAGCATCATAAGATCATGGATATGCCCAACACTTAGCGGGGACTGACATGTGTGTTTCTTCTCCTTCTCTATCCGAGTATAATGAGGTATCTCAGCCCTGAACCTTTATTTTTGAATCACAACTTAATCTAGCCTTGGCATTTGTGGACTCAGGAGTTCACCTTCCCAGTTCATCCTGAACCCTTGTAGAGTTCCTGCTGTTTTCCTTCACCTGCATCTACCTTCCACCCCCGCCATTTTGGTCGATCCCCAGGAATGGCTTCATGTTGCTGCCATGCTCTTGAAAGCAAATGAATGCTCGGGGTTTCTGCTTTTTTTTTTCTCCACTCAATCACTAAAGGAAAAATATGTGGTCATTTCTCAGATGACTCTCTCAATACTGGTTTTTCTTTCTAATCTGAATGAAATAATGCCCCCCCTTTTCACTTACCCTTTAATGTTTATCCTTTGCAGCTATAGCTCACTTACTGGTTAATTTACATTTATGTACAAATCCCATTATGACATCCAGCAGACCCCTGCAGGGTTACAGCCTCCTCCTTCATGTAGGCTTTATAGTTTTTAATGGCTTGGAATGACTTGAAATCCAAACTAAATCAGAATTTGATTTTTTAAAACACTCATGCAAAGTACGAAAAGAGTTTATACACAGGTACAGGGTAACTGAGCCACATAGAGTATGAAGTTCTTGGGAAACACTAATCGTTTTGTTGGTTTGCCTTACAAAGTTCCAAAAATAGACTATTAAATACTAAATAGTTCGCTTTTATCTATACTGTATGTTCTCGTCTAACACTTTTTGGAAGATCACTGATTTTATCTAATCTTATCATTATAATGGCTAGTGCATGATCAGAGATCTTGGTATTCAAAGGCAACACGAAGGAAACTTCTGGCTGGTAGTTACTGTCTTTGCACTTTTTGCATGGACTACATGAAATCTGACCTCAAATGGAGCCAAATGTGATGCTTTCTGATATTGTCCAAAAGCAGTGTGCATTAGACTGGGGATGGGGAAGCTTTGTTTCTCTTTGGGCAAATAGGCATGCAAGTATGGAACAATGAGACATCAGTTCAGAAGAGAGTTTGATGAAGGGCAAATTTGCCTGCTAGAGACTGTGAGTTTAGAAACATTGCCCATGGGATCTGATGGGTTGAAGTCAGAGCATCCTCAATTAGTGGCAAGAGCTCAGAACTGAATTAGAACAATAAAGACAGATATTTCTGTTTTGAAGTTAGAGTCTTAGTTAAACCTTAGAACAAGATAAAAGCACCTTTAACCACTCTGTTGGAAATGTATCTATGTGATTCTTAATGCTCATCTGCATAGTTCATCAAATGATACTGCTTGACCCATTTAAGAAGGGAAGAAACTGGGTGCTGGAAAGAATGTTCAGACCCTTGGTGAAAAGAGACCAACTGGACATGTTCAGTTCTTTTTCCAAGACTTTTCCAGGATCAGCTGAGAGGCAGGCAAGCCCCAGTAGCAAAGATTTGCTGCATGATTTTTTTTTTTTTTTTGCTTTGTGCATGATTAGGAAAAACTCAGAATACATGTTCTTCATAATTTCAGTACAAGCCATGTGCTCTAGACACTGATTTCTTCATCCTCCTCTGGTCAGTTCTCACATACCACACAGTCTTACTGTCAATCACACCATATAGCAAAAGAGATCCCAAGTGGATTTAAAAGTAAAAAAAAAATCTTAAAAACATTCTACAATATATTTGACCATTTGATTAAATTTGAAGTGGGAAAGGGACTTCCTGTTTTTCTTTTTCTTTTTCTTTTTTTTTTTTTTTTTGACGGATTTTCGCTCTGTTGCCAGGCTGGAGTGCAGTGGCGCAATCTTGGCTCACTGCAACCTCCGCCTCCTGGGTTCAAGCGATTCTCCTGCCTCAGCCTCCCAAGTAGCTGGGATTAGAGGTGCCTGCCACCAAGCCCAGGTTATTTTTGTGTTTTTAGTAGAGATGGAGTTTCACCATGTTGGCCAGGATGGTCTCGATCTCCTGACCTCGTGATCCACCTGCCTCGGCCTCCCAAAGTGCTGGGATTACAGGCGTGAGCCACTGCACCCACTCGGGAAAGGGACTTTCTAAGGCATAAAAGTTATGGAATAAACTATGGGAGAAAAAAGATTGACATACTTTATATGAAACTGTAGTATTTCTATACTTCAGGGAACATCATAATACAATTTTAATGCAAACCAAAATTAGAAGAAAATATTTCCAACAAAGAGTAAACATATCCAAAATATAAATCATGCATAAATCAATAAGAGAAACACTAAAAACTCAAGAGCAAAAGATATAGAAGATCTGAGAAATTCACAAGAAAAGAAATACAGAAGTATTCATTCAACTATGCTGTAGGGTACTATTCTAGGTAGTGAAATATGGAGGTAGAGACTGAGTTCTTACCTTCATGGAGAAAACGTTTTGATGCGAAAAACTAGACAATAAGCAAATTCTTAAAGTAAGTAAATGTATGTGTCAGGTGGCGATAAATACTTTGGAGAAAAATAAAGCAGAGTGGGAAGGAATCTCCATGGTGGGAGGCAGTATACTTCTAAGAAGGTAACATCTGAGCAGAGGGAAGAGGTGGTACTCACCAAGGAGACATCTAAGAGAAGTGTTTTCTAAAAGAAGAAACAGCAGGTGCAAATGCCTTTAGGCAGAGAGTACTGAGTGTCTGCAAAATAGGAGCCACCAGAGAGGCTGGAGCAGAGTGGGCAGAGGGGAGAGTAGTGGCAGTGAGGTCAGAAAAGCAGCAGGTGGGAGCAGCTCATGCAGGACTTCCTTTGGCCTTCGCTCTACTCCTTCCCTGCCACTCCTTTGGACTTGCTCCAAGTAAGAAGTCAAGCCCCTGAAAGTCTTGAGGAGAAGAGTGGAATAATGTGGCTTAATACGTAAAAGGATCATCATTCTGCTTGCTATGTGGAAAAGGGGTGCAGGGAACAAAGGCTAAAAGCAGATAAAGCAATTAGGAGTCAGTTGCAACAATCCAGGTGGGATATCATAGCAACTTCCATTAGGGTGATAACAGAGGAGGTAAAGAGAAATAATCACATTTTGAGTTGATTTTGAAGGCAGAGTAAACAGGTATTGCTGAAGAATCAAATGTGGGGCACGAGACAGACACCTGGGTTTTTCTCAAATGACACCTGGGTTTTTTGACCTGAGAAGCTAGAAAGACGGATCAATTATTTTCAGGATGGAAGACTGTGAGAACAACTGGTTTGGGAGGAAAATCAGGACTTCCCTTTTAGATATATTACATTTGAGTTGTCCCTCCAAAACTGCTGGATGCAAGCATTTAGAGATGAGGGCAAAGGGCAGATCTACAGATAGACATCAGGAAGCCCTCAGCATAGGGATGTTTTTTAAAGCCTGGGACCAGATGAGATGATCTTTGGCTAGGTGTTAAATTGGTAGAGAAAAATTGTCAGAGGCTGAGCCTGGGGCTCTCCAACCTTTAGAGTCCAATTAATGAGGAGGAGCAGCAAAGAAGACTGAGAAGTATAGAAGAGTAATTTATGTAGTCAGATATGTCACATTTTTGCTTCATGATTTGCTCCATTGCTTTTATGCTCACCTAGCTATTGATGCTTATAAAATATTCTCCATTTCTAAGGACACTGCATATTAAATCTAAAGGCAAAACCAAGATCAGGTTTAAACAGAGGACTAATATCCCTGGCATAGAAATAACTTAAAAATCTTTAACAGTAACACTAACACATCAATAGAGGCCTATACATATGAACAAGTATGAAGTCAGGAAATTGTAAGCTCTATGTTTATCATCTTTTTACTTTAAAAAAAATTCATCTTTGACTTCCAAAGGAGTAAAACACATAATTTCTTAAGCATACAATCAGATGTAAAAGCAAAGATATAATGAAAAGTCTCATCCATAAACTTCCCATGTGATGTGTTTATGATGCATGTATTCTTTTTTGGTAGATAATATTTTATCAGGCATACCTGGTCTTTTTCAGAATCATCTGACAAGCATATTGGACGATGCAAACCATCTTAGAAATAGCACTGGTAAATACTTAGAAATGTTTAGCCTCAGTCATAAATAAATAACATCAAAATGGCAAATAATGCGATTTTTAAATTCCAGAGTTGACTAGGAGATGTAAAAATGGTCTTTCTGAAACAATGCTGGTAAGTTTGTAAAGTGGTACACATTTTCTGGAGGACAGTGTGTCCTATTTGTATCAAAAGCCTGAAAACTGGCTCACTCTGACTCAGCAGTCAAATTCTGCTTTGATTGGAAATTCTGATTCTAGAGGTGTAATCAAAGGAAACAGTCATTGGTGAGGGCAGATTCAACTACAAAGATGTTTACAAACATCCACGTATGAGGTGGTAAAAAGCTGGGAACAACATAAACAATACAGAATTGGCTAAACAAACTATAGCATGTCCATATGATAGAATAACATGCAGCAATTAAAAACAATGTCATATAAGTAATAACAGAAAAATAACCTCAGCCAGACACACTGGCTCATGCCTGTAATCTCAGCACTTTGGGAGGCCAAGACAGGAGGATATTTTGAGGCCAGGAGTTCAAGACCAGCCTGGGCAACACAGTGAGATCTACATCTCTACAAAATATTTTAAAATTAGCTGGGTGTGGTGGCATGTGCCTACAGCCCCAACACATTTGGAGGCTGAGGTAGGAGGATCATTTGAGCCTCGGAGTTCAAGGCTACAGCAGGCTATGATCATACCACTGTACTCCAGCAGGACCCAGTCTTCTTAAAAAAAAAAAAAGGAAGAAAAAGAAAAATGATCCCTATATAGTGAAACTATATGGGCTATTTCTGTTTGCATATGCCTAGAAAATAGACTGGAAGGAAATCAACCAATATGTTATGTTCATCTCTGGGTAGTCACAGATGAATTATTTTAATTCTATTGGATTTACCTGTTCCAAATTTTCTACCACATGTTTTTTAATTACATTGGCATGTGGAGCAATTACAGAAGAAGAAGCTAGGAATTTTCCACAAAGGTAACACAGAAGCAACATTCTAGGGCAGTCCTGTCCGCTGGAACTTTCTGCAATGATGGAAGTGTTCCGTATCTATGCTGTCCAGTTCAGTAGCCACATGTGGCTATCAAACACTTGCAACATAGTTAGTACAACTGAGGAACTGATATTTTTAATGAGTAAGCACAAAAATTTCCTTTATCTTTGCAGATTAGCACGTGTCCCCATGACTGTTCATAAAAGAAATTTAATAAACACTGTTCCTCCTACATGGGGAAACTGAGTTTTAATTTTCATTGAGTTAAATTTACGGAACCACGTGCAGAAATGGCTACTGTGTTGGACAGTGCAGTCTGTGGCAGATAGGCCTGGAACATAGAGGAAGAGTCACCAGACCTTGTTTGATGCAAGAACTCTGGATTACACAAGATCTGAGACAATCAGCCCCACTGAATTTAGGATCCTCAGCATTTTCCTAGGAGTTTATTTCCAAACTTCAGCGCGAGAATTCATACATGCATATAATTTAGGTGTATTACAGTAGATTAACTGTAAGATAAACTGTGTCAAGTTCTCATTTCATAGTGTAGGGTTTTTTTCTCAATTTATATATTTGGTTGTTGTTATAAAGTGTATAATTGAAGAACTTTTCTGAGCCCTGGTAAAGAGAGAATTCTGGGCAGGTTTAATGCTAGTCTGTATTACAGGCAAGACTCTGACGCCCAGAGTAAACAGCACCCCTTACCAAACGTTGCTTTTTAAGTAACTTTATTTCTGTCTGCATTTGTTGAACATTAGCATTACATATTTCAAAAACAACCCCAAGGTGACCACTTAAAAGGAAGAGGGAAAAAATCCTCCTCTTTTCTGGTACCTCGTTTTGTGGCTGATGTTTTAAAAGCTATTTTTTTTCCTGGCCAAACTTGGTGTGTTTAAAAGCTTCAAAAAGAACCTACTACTTTTTCTTTACTATAAGAAAAGACACAATTCTTAATTCTTTTTAACCAGGATTATTAATTTTATAGCACTTAAGGTAATGTAACTGTTATACTCTGATGGCAGAATAATGTTTTTAAAATAATGAAATAATGGCAGAAGTATTTAGATATAATTGTATAGCCATAATAAAAAATTAGCCATAATAAAAAATTTCAATTAAGCTTTCATTACATTGCAATTAACTCTGCATTTGAACACTAACATTAGTGTGGCCATAGGTTTTATTTGTTTCTTGCTTTTTAAAAACAACATGAAATTCTTTTTCATTTTGTTCACATTCATCTAAGAAGGTTCCTGGAAAATGAAATTAAAATCTAAATAAGTTTTCTAAAACTTGTGAGCAGAAAGTAAAAAAGAATATCTTTCAAATTATTATACCTCTTAATTGTGCATTTTATTAGTTATTTATTGTTACGTGACAAATTAATCCAAAACTTCGCAACTTAAAACATTAGTCACATAATTTCTAAAGGTGAGGAATGCTGGAGCAACTTAGCTGGTAGTTCTAGCTCAAGGTCTCTCATGAGATTGCAGTCAAGCTGCTGGCCAGGGCTGCAGTCATCTGAGCCTGTAAGTGGAGAATCCACTTCCAATATGGCTGTCGGCAAGAAGCCTCAGCTCCTTACTGGTTGTTGACAGAAACTGAGACCTCAACTTGTGGCTCTCTCCACATGGCTGCTTGGCTGCCTACATAGCAGTTGGGTTCCCCCAGTATTCATAATCCAAAAGAGAAAGTCTGAAGCTGCAATGTCTTTTATGACTCAATCTTGTCATAAAACACCCATACTTCCACCTTGTTCTGTTTATTAGAAGACAGTCACCAAGTCCAGCTCATATTCAAGAGGTAGGGAGTTAGGCTCTGCCTCTCAAAGGCTGTATCAAGGAATGTGTGCACATACTTTGTACCAAAACATGTGTGGAACGCTTTCAGTTGTTAACTGGCTTGATTGGTCAATGTTTATTTCATTACACTGTAGCCAAATGAAAGAAGGCAAAGCCACAGTTAGAACCTGAATAGAACTTACATTCTGAGATTTGAAGCCAAATGACAGATTTTAGACATACTTTTTCCCCTCTTGGAGTTTTGTTAGACCATAATTGTAATTTTGTACCTGACACTTTTTTGCCACTGAGAATATACCTTTGTGAGATCAAAAGTCAAAAAATGCATGCTACCCTCTGTTTTCCAAGATTTCTACAAGGCTCATTGTAAAATAAGATATCAAAGAAAACTCAGGTGGTCTCTTCACTCTGAAGGGAAGAGAGCGACACGCATAATAGTGGGTGCTCTGCATTCATTCTATTTGAAATAACTCCTTGCCCCTCTGCTTTTCCCTAACTACATTCTCTCCCTGAGTGATCTCATGCAATTCAACAAGGTTCAAATTTTTATCTCTCACTGAGGCCTCTCCCTGATATTCAGACTTGTATATCTAGCAACCTGCTCAACATCTGCACTGAGCTGATTAATCAGCTTCTCAAACCTAACATGTTCAAAGCAGACTCTTCTTCAGAGTCGCAGAGAGGAAGGAACGCAATGAGCTGAACGTGAAGGACAGTTAGCGCCAGCTGCTCACCCGAAGATGGCTGTGTTTCTGTCCATGTGGTGATGTGGCCACTCAATCAGCCTGCCTCCCCTCCTCAGCAGGGAACCTCCCTATGCTGAAAAGATGGGAGAAATTGTATCCCACTCCTTTGGCAGCAAGAGTAATTTCCTGATTGGCCTCCAAACTGAAAACACATTTTCTCTACTTGGATGTCACGGTGCTCCCTGTAACGGGCTTTGTCAGCCCTCTAGGCTGCAGGAAAAGTGCCAGCACAGGGGATTCATTATTTATGCCCAGGATTGTATGAGTGACATGAGCAAGTGCTCTGATGGTGTGATTTGGGGGTAACTTTTACCGCCCAAAATATCTCCCTATCAAGCCCTACCATTTCCTCGTTCTCATCATACCCATTATCCCTCAAGGGCCATAGAAACACCTCCCCTTGTAGGACCTAACACTTCTCAGTTCTTCCCAGGGAAGCAGATCCTGAAAGCCTTTTGGAGGTTTTGTGTCATGGTTATACAGGAAAGAGTATTTAGATTACAAAGTTACACATTGGCAGGGTCAATTTAATATGAGATGCTGCCATCTCTAAGAGATCATTGCTTGAAAGAACCAGGACAAAACAAACAAACAAACATGATGGGGGTAAAAGAAGAAGAAAAGAAGGGAGGCATGGGGTTGCCTAGACAGGGGAATCCTACTTAAGGATAAAAACACTGGAAAGGAAACATCTAAAGGAGGAAAATTTAGCCTGGTGTGAAATGTTTATTAAACAACCGAGCTACTGATTACAGAACTACAGTATCCATCAAACCTAAAACAGCTTAAATTTATAAAATATTCCTATTTCATATAGAGAAGTAAATATATATTTGAACAGATTGTGTTAAATGAGATATAGCCTTTTTCCTTGTGTGTTACTATTTTACTTATTAAGCACTTATTAAGTATAAGGGATTGTGCTACGTGCTTAACATACCTTTTGGTTTTTTGTCTTTCTTTTCTTCTTTTTTTTTTTTTTTTTGTTAGGGAAGGATGGGATCTGCCCTGTTTACTCTCTATCTCCCCTTGTAAAATGTAAGGCACATGAGGACAGGGATTTTATCTGACTTATTTACTGCTGTATCCTTAGGCAACCTCTAGAATAATCCTTGGCACTAGTCATGTGTTCAAAAATTATTTATTGAAGGGAAGGGGCTAGGCATGGTGGCTCACGCCTGTAATCCCAGCACTTTGGGAGGCCAAGGCAGGTAGATCACAAGGTCAGAAGATCAAGACCATCCTGGCCAACATGATGAAACCCCGTCTCTACTAAAAATACAAAATTAGCCGGGTGTGGTGGTGGGTGCCTGTAATCCCAGCTACTCAGGAGGCTGAGGCAGGAGAATCACTTGAACCTGGGAGGCAGAGGTTGCAGTGAGCCGAGATTGTGCCACTGCAGCCCAGCCTGGGTGACAGAGCGAGACTAAGGCTCAAAAAAAAAAGGAAGGGAGGGAGGAAGAAAGGAAGGGTACATTATCAAATTTAATCCCCCAGGGCCTTATTACCCCTGTTTTACAAAGAAGGGTATTGAGACTTAGAGAGTTTAACTTGCCTAAATCACATAGGTAGCAAAGGACTTTGTTCCCACAAGTATTCTTTCAACAAATATCATCCTCCGAACCTTAAAGGGACAACACTAGGGTACACATAGGCCAGATCCTAGACAGGCAGTACTGGTTTACATTCTCATATATGTCCATGTGACTTGTGCATAATACTCAAATATCTCAAGCCAGATTCTGCCATCAGCATATTGCAAAAGATTTGGAGATACTGTGTACAAATAACCGAACCATAGCGCATAGATGATAATAATTACATCTCTTCAAGAGAGATTTGTAGATTAACAAATTAATACTTACAAAAAAAGCCTTGAAAATATTATGAACTACATAATTACCAAGCATTGTTATTACCAGCGTAACTAGTTATGGAAAATACTTCATGTAAGCATCCTGGGAGGGCTAATGTTTTACATATCCCTTTTTCAAACTCATTTTGCTTCATTTTCAATAGTCAAAAAAAAGTAGAAAGTGACTCCCATGTCCACACCCATTTTGTACAAGCTGTGAGCCTTTGGACAAAAGACCGTCCCTCTGTAAGCCCTTGTTCCTCAAGGTGTCATCCCAGGTTTCACATGGGAGCTTGTGAGAAACGCAGAATCTCAGGCCCCACCCCAGACCCACTGAACCGGAATCTGCATTTTAAGATCCCCAGGTGACTCATAGACACGTTAAATTTTGAAAAGCATAGTTATTAGCCTCACTTAACCTCAAATGGGAAAATGTGAGAACCTAAGTGCCCAACATAGTGCCTGACAGCACTCAATGAAATGCTGTTCCTTACTCCTTTCCCCAACTCCTACAATAATGGTAAACTTGAAACCTCTGGCGACTGGTGCTGAAAGGCCAAGGTGTGAGGCTGGCTTCAGAGGGTCCTGGAATGGGACTGTGCCAGCTGGAAAAACAAGTTTTTTGGATAAATGGGGCCCCTTCCCCTGCTCTAATGTGTATTTGCAAGTTTATTTTTATCCTCTCAACTGCTGAGACACTGTTAGGATTTGATCGTGTCATGTGTGTTCACATTAATTTTAATATGCAACCATTTGAATTCAAGCCCATATTTAATTCAGGGGGAATCATTTTCTTTTTATGGTGTTTATTTATATATGACTATAAAAGCAATACATGCTTGCTGTAGACAAGTTAGAAAACACAAACTGCCACTGCTAGCTTTTAGGTATTTCTTTTCAGTTGTATTTCAAGCAAAAGTAGAATTACACTGGTGAATTGTTTTTTAATTACTATTTTTTTTCCTTGAGATGAAGTCTTGTTCTGTTGCCCAGGCTGGAGTTCAGTGCCGTGATCTCGGCTCACTGCAACCTCCACCTCCCGGGTTCAAGCAATTCACCTGCCTCAGCCTCCGGAGTAGCTGGGATTACAGGCATGTGCCACCACACTCAGCTGATTTTTGTATTTTTAGTAGAGACGAGGTTTCACCATGTTGGCCAGACTGGTCTCAAATTCCTGACCTCAGGTGATCCACTCGTCTCAGCCTCACAAAGTGCTGGGAATACAGGCGTGAGCCACCGCACCCGGCCACTGGTGAATCTTGTAACCTGTTGGTTTTTTTGTTTGTTTGTTTTTGTTTTTACTTGTCTGAACACTTGCCCACATTGTGTAATGTGAAGATAATTTGATGGATCTCTATTACTCCTATTTTGTGACTCTATCATAATTTAACCACCCCTAACTGAAAAGACATACAGTTTCTAATGTTGTTGACTATTCAAATCATGTAGTGATGAACATTCTTCCTTGTAAGTCTTTTGCCATGGTTGGTGATTTCTTAGTATTGATTCCCCCCAAAATAAATCACTAGGTCAAAGGATATTTAATACTCTTCTCTGATACATAAAGTCAGCTTCCAGGAAGTGGGTTCCAGGAGGAGTGTGTGTTTTCTAAGTTTCTACTAACTGATAGGCAGTATAATGATGGCTCCTTATTTAATTTGCATTCTTTCATTTTTAGTGAACATCAATAGTATCACCAATTTACAAAAATAAAAACAACAATCAAAATTCGACATTCCTATAATTTGATTTGGTCAGAATTGACATTTGTACAATATTTAATCTTATTTGCTAAGAATTTGACATTTCTTTCCATTTATTCAAATTAAACCCTTCCTCAATTTTGGGGAGTTGGTTTGGGTATATGTTGCCATTATCAATTGAGAACCAGTTCTCTCACGATATTTGTGAAAAGGCATATCTGTATTTAGGGGTAAAATTGAATTCTCCTTTCTTCATGTTATTATAAGAAAATATCAGGATTACTTTTAAAAATTAGTTTCTGGAACATACATTAGTGCTAAGCTTGTTAATTTATAACTCTGGGTTTAAGTTTTGCTTTCCATCAATTTCTTTTCATTTCTCTTATTGTTAGATTAGTTCAGGGATTTTCAAAGTCTGGTCCCTAAAGCCTCATCTCCTAAGGAAGCTTCTCAGGTGAGGATGAGGAGGGAGGATTATGGGTGCCCCAACCCCTGGCCCAACCACCACCTCCAATGTCCTAATCAACAATCTTAATTCAGCTTCTTATTATCTGTTTTGTCATCTGAGCCTTCTCCAAGGAGTCAGTAAACTTTCTCCGTAAAGGGCCAGATAGTAAATATTTTAGGCTTTACAGGCACTACTGGTAGATGACTGTTGCAACTGCTCAATTCTGACATTGTAGAAACCAGCCATAGATAATGCATACACAAAAAATGAGCCTAGCTGTGTTCCAATAAAACTTCATTTGTGAACACTGAAATTTGAATTTCATATAATTTTCATGTGTTACTATTATTCTTCTTCCAATTTCTTGTCAACCATTTATAATTGTAAAATCCCAGGCTGTATCAAACAGGCAGTGGGCCATAGGGTTGGCTGACTTCTGCTCTGGTCTTCTGTCCCACTGGATGCCACTGATGTGCTCTGGTAAAACCCACCTGGCACCCTGGAAAAAGTCAGTTGCAGAGGCTGGAGCCCAGGCCCCCACGGCTAAGCAGCCCTAGACACTCTACCCTGCCATTCCCTGCCAGGACCAGCCCAGGGCAGAAGCATGCCCAGGTGAGACTTTGCTAGCTTCCCACTGCTTAGACAATCTTTATTCTATTTTGAAAACTCTGCCCAGTGGGTAAGTATACTCCTGATCTCCACCGCCCAGGGCACCACTTGCCCTCTTTTGAGGGAAAAAGAAAATCATTCTCATTCTATTTCTTTCATGGCAGTAAAAACAAAATACGAATTGATTATCTCAGATTATCCTGCCTTGGTGGTTACTTTGAGAAGAGAAATAAGTTGTCTTTCCTTCTCAAAGAGAGATTCATGTATTTACTATTGTTACCACTAAGTAAAAGATTAAATATATTGGGAGGCCGAGGCGGGTGAATCACGAGGTCAAGAGATGGAGATCATCCTGGCCAACATGATGAAACCCCATCTCTACTAAAAATACAAAAATTAGCTGGGCATGGTGGCACATGCCTGTAGTCCCAGCTACTCAGGAGGCTGAAGCAGGAGAATTGTTTGAGCCCGGGAGGCAGAGGTTGCAGTGAACCAAGATCCCGCCACTGCACTTCAGCCTGGCAACAGAGTAAGATTCTGCTCAAGAGAAAAATAAATAAATATAGAATTTTAGAAATCTATATAGCACCAGTTCAGCCCCAACCATTTTCAGATGAAGCCTAGCCCAGTGTGTGTAAACACACACACACACAGACACACACACACATTCAGAGGCAATAACATGACCCAAGCCCAGGAATTCTTCACCCTCTTCCACGTGGTCTCCTCCATAATGCATTTTTCTTGTCTTACTCAATGAGCCAGATTTTTGAGAGTCAGAGTATAAGAGCATGTAGGAGATTTTCCTACAGGTGCTCATCACAGGAAGCCTCCAGAAGGTACAACCAAGCACCAGTAGCCACAAGAAGTCAGCTGAGCATCAGAGCTGCAGGAATCTCTCCCTCTAAGATTCCGTTCATTCAACAAGGGATGTTTACCTTGTGTTGAGACCACAGATACCATGGTACACACATAGTGTTCTCAGACCTGCCTAGTGAAGTTGTAGGTGTTCTCCCACTTCAAGAGCAGTTGTTCCTTCAGGCTAGTTGTTAAAGTGACTTCCTTAGATGAGGAAGAATCAAAGTAATGGATGGTCAAAGGCAAGTCCAAGCAAGACTGAAGGAGCCTACCATTCAGATAACTCCATTCTAGTGTATTAGGTAGAAATACCATTGAAGTAGCAATGATGTTGCAGAGAAAAATGGAGACTTCAGCTTTCAAGTTTCAAAAGCCTCAGCTCTGGCATAAAGCAAAATATTTGAAAGAACTATAAATAATCTGAGCAAAGCACTATCAGGGAGTGAGGATGGTTGAAGGTAGTAAGGGGAACTTAGGCACAAGTGGTCTGAAAAGAGGTCCTGTTACCTACCTCAGAAGCGTGCTATTATAAAACCCTCAAAGTACACAGAGATGGAAGAGTCCAGCCCCATCACCAGCTAAAGAAACAGCTGAGTATCTAGCAAGACTGACCCCAGCCTGCCTCCAAGGCACCTACACCACCATGGGGAGTACAGGTGAAATCATACTTAACAGGAGTAGAGAAGTGGAATTCACTGCAATGCAGGTGTGGGAGCAGCTGCATGATTTCCACACATCAAGAAAGGACAGACAGCTGGCAGATGTGAAGGGCTTTGTGGTTGTCTGATATATAGGACAAAACCAGTGTTTTTTGTACTCTCACTCACCACTCAGCACAAACCTTCTGAAACCAGAAGTGTGTGGAGTTGTCCCCACACACCAAGTAATTCTCTGGTGGACACCTGCTGGGTGTCCTCTAATTTCACCCAATTCTGACGCTGTCTACCTAGAGGTAGCATCAGATCCCATAGGTTGAGGGCTCAGTCTCACAAGACTGCCCCCCATTTCAGCTGCCAATCACAAGTCCCAAGTTGAGAGCAGTACTTCAACTGACCAGCTATGTATTAGTTTATTTTCACGCTGCTATGAAGAAATACCTGAGACTGGGTAATTTATAAAGGAAAGAGATTTAATTGACTCACAGTTCCGCATGGCTGGGGAGGCCTCAGGAAACTTACAATCATGGCAGAAGGGGAAGCAAACAGGTCCTTTTTCACATGTCACCAGGAGAGAGAAGTACAGAGTGAAGCAGGGAAAAGCCTGTTATAAAACCATCAGCTCTCATGAGAACTCACTCAGTATCATGAGAACAGCATGGGGCAACTGCCCCCATAATCTAATCACCTCCTACAAGGTCCCTCCCCCAACACATGGGGATTGCAATTTGGATTACAATTCAAGATGAGATTTGGGTGGGGACACAGAGCCAGACCATATATAGCTATAAATCAGGGGTTCCCAAAACCCCTCCTCAGGTTTGACTTCTTTGCTGGGCAGCTCACAGAACTCAGGGAAACACTTTACTTACATTTACCTACTTATTATAAAGGATATTATAAAAGATGCAGATGAATAGCAAGATGGAAGAGATGCATAGGGCAAGGTATGGGAGAAGGGACGCAGAACTTCCATGTCCTCTCTGGGAGGACCACCCTCCAGGAGACTTCATGTGTTCAGCTATCTGGAAGCTTTCAGAACTCAGTCTTTTTGGGTTTTTATAGAGGCCTCATTACATAGGCATGAATTGATTAAATCATTAGCCATTGATAAAAAGCTCAATTTTCAGCCTCTCTCCCCTCTGGAGGTAGGGGGCTGGAGCCAAAAGTTCCAACTCTCTAATCATGCTTTGGTCTTCCCAGTGACCCTCCCCTACCGTGAAGTTATTTAGGGGCCCTAGCCACCAGTCATCTCATTAGCATAGAAAAGACACGTCACTCAGGAGATTACATGGGTTTTAGGAGCCTAAGCCAAAAAAGAGGGATGAAGGCCAAATATATATTTCACAATATCACAGTTTGGACACAAAGAAAATATAACAGTTCCCTATCTGGACCAGCATCTGGAAGCCAGAGCATCTCAACAGGCACCAGTATTGATAGGAAACTCAGAGAACCTGAAGCTCTGTAAGCCTATCTAGAGTTTAGGTAAACCTCCAGAGAAAAGGGGAATGAGAATCTTATATTTCCTGATATTAAATTTCTACCCTCTAGCAGAATGGGTGGTAGAAATAGAAATTTAGTCGCATTATAGAAAAATACAGAAAATTGGGTCTCTTGCACACTTGAATTGTGAACTAAGTTCCTAATGACCATGCATGTAATTAGGAATTAGAAAATACTAAGGACTCTACTTCTAATAGTATGGAGAACACTCATAGTCCTTGGTGTGAACTGTTCAGAGATTTATGCAAAATAAATGCGTTTGATACTCCTGATTTGATTCACCATTCATGAGAGGCAAGGAGTTTAGTGGTTCTATATATAATACCTTTGACCATCTGTGGAGAACCAAGAAATATAATGAAGGTGGTTGTTTGCTCCTAAGTCCACAGGACAAAGTGACAAAAGAAAAGGATGAGCTCAGAGATTCTAACTCCTGGCTCTGGAAGCACATACCCAGCCTCCAGTCTTCTAAGATTGCCCTGAGTGAAAGTCTTAACTCCTGTAGACAAAGGGCTGAAATTGCGGAAAATCAGACACAAGCTCTTATCATGAGAGTGGCTGACCTGCAATGAAAGGGAAATGCTCAGTCTTGCCAGGTGTCTACTGTTAAAGTGAGGGCGTTGATTGGAAAAGAATGGGACCCTGCAACTTGGAATAGGATGTGTGGGAGGACCTTGATGAAGCTGAGGACACTGAGCTTGTAAAGTCTAAAGAGACTTTTTTGCCAGAGGAAACAGCCTCCCCACCCCCCTGTGGTGGCAATATCCCTTCCCCACCCATGCTGCCATCAGCCTTTCCACCTTTGTCTGAGGAGATTACCCATGCACTGCCTGAGACAACAGTGATGGCCTCCCCTGAGGCAGTTGCCAGGCAAGACAAGCTGATTCTCCTCAGGACCCACCCCAACACCCCTAGACTCAAGTCCTGGCAGGCCCCTAGAGATGTGGTTCAGATTGTGGCCCACAGGAAGTTGTGCTACACTCCAAAAGAACTGCTTGAGTTTTCTAATTTATATAAGCAAAAATCTGGAGAACAGGCAGGGAAATGGATATTAACAGTGTGGGATAATGGTGGAAGGAGCATAAAAATGGATCAGACTGAATTTATTGATATGGGCCCACTAAGCAGGGATCCTGCATTTAATGTTGCAACTCAGGGAGTTAAAAAAAGTTCTAGTAGTTTATTTGCTTGGTTGGCTGAGTGGATTAGTCACTTTAGACCTACTCATCCCAGCTGGGAGGGTCCAGAAGATATACCCTTGATTAATACTTTGTGAAATAGATTTGTGAGGGGGAGAACCTGCATCCTTGAAGAGTTCTGTGATTGCTCTTCTCTGTATTCCAGAGTTTAGAGTGGGAACTGCACTCACTCAATTAGAAAATTTAAATGCCATGGGAATAATTGGATCCCAAGGTGGCAGTGTCCAAGTAGTGGCACTCAACTGTCAAAGGCAAGGTGGGTGTAGTTACCACAGTGGACAGCAGAGGCAAAGCAGCAATCAGAATAGTCTGACTCCTGTAGAGCTCAGGCATTGGTTAATTAATCATGGTGTTCCTAGAAGTGAAATTGATAGGAAGCCTACTGCATTCTTACTTAATTTGTATAACCAGGAAACTTCCAGGTTGAGTGGACAAAAGACTAATTTGAATTATAAAAATAGAGAACCACAGCCCCTCAGTCAATTTCCAGACTTGAACCAGTTTACAGACCCAGAACCCCTTGAATGGAGGGGACACTGGGTCCCCTTAAGGAGGGACCCCACTACACTACTGACAATTTATACTGTTAATCTTTCTCCCATCCTTCCCCAACAAGACCTCCAGCCTTTTAGCAGAGTAACTGTGCATTGGGAAAAGGGGAATCATCAGACTTTTTGGGGACTACTGGACACTGGCTCTGAGCTGATGTTGATTCCAGGGGACCCAAAGTATCATTGTGGTCCTCCAGTTACAGTAGAGGCTTATGGAGGTCAGGTAATTAATGAAGTTTTAGCTCAGGTCCAACTTACAGTGGGTCCATTTGGTCCCCGGACTCATTCTGTGATGATTTCCCCAGGGCCAGAATGCATAATTGGCACAGGCATACTTAGCAGCTGGCAGAATCCCCACATTGGCTGCCTGACAGGTAGGGTGAGGGCTATTGTGATGGGAAAGGCCAAATGGATGCCATTAGAGCTGCCTCTACCTAAAAAAAAATAGTAAATCAAAAACAATATTGCATTTCTGAAGGGATTGCAGAGATTAGTGCCACCATCAAGGACTTAAAAGATGCAGGGGTGGTGATTCCCAACACATCCCCATTCAACTCTCCTATTTGGCCTGTGCCAAAGACAGATGGATCTTGGAGAACGACAGTGGGTTATTGTAAGCTTACCCAAGTGGTGGCCCCAGTTGCAGCTGCTGTACCAGATGTGGTTTCATTGCTTAAACAAATTAACACATCTCCTGGTACCTGGTGTGCAGCCACTGATTTGGCAAATGTCTTTTTCTCCATTCCTATTTATAAGGCCCACCAGAAGCAATTTGCCTTCAGCTGGCAAGGCCAGCAATATACCTTCACTATCCTACCTCAGGGGTATATCAACTCTCCGACTTTGTGTCATAATCTTGTTCGCAAAGATCTTGATCACTTTTCCCTTCCATAAGATATCACACTGGTCCATTACATTGATGACATTATCCTGATTGGATCCAGGGAGCAAGAAGTAGCAAACACTCTGGACTTACTGATGACATATTTGCGTGCCAGGGGATAGGAAATAAATCTGACTAAAATTCAGGGATCTTCTACCTCATTGAAATTTCTAGGGGTCCCATGGCATGGGGCCTGTCAAGGTATTCCTTCTAAGGTGAAGGATAAGTTGCTACATTTGGTCCCTCCTACAACCAAGAAAGAGGCATAATGCCTAAGGGCCTATTTGGATTCTGGAGGCAACACATTCCTCATCTGGGTGTGTTACTCCAGCCCATTTATTGAGTGACCCAAAAGGCTGCCAGTTTTGGGTAGGGTCCAGAATAGGAGAAAGCTCTGCAATAGGTCCAGGCTGCTGTGCAAGCTGCTCTGCCACTTGGGCCATATGACCCAGCAGATCCAATGGTGCTTGAGGTGTCAGTGGCAGATGGGGATGCTGTGTAAAGCCTTTGGAAGGCCCCCATAGATGAATCACAGCGGAGGCCTCTAGGATTTTGGAGCAAGGTTCTACCATCTTCTGCAGATAACTACTCTTCTTTTGAGAGACAGCATTTGCCCTGTTACTTGGCTTTGATAGAAACTGAATGTTTGACTGTGGATCATCAAATCACCATGCATCCTGAACTGCCTATCATGAACCAGGTGCTTTCTCACCCATCTAGCCATAAAGTGGGTTGTACACAGCAGCATTCCATCATCTAATGGAAGTGGCACAAACGTAATTGGGCTTAAGCAGGTCCAGAAGGCACAAGTAAGTTACATGAGGAAGTGGCTCAAATGCCCATTGTCCCTACTTCTGTTACATTGCCTTCTCTCCCCTAGCCTGTGCCAATGGCCTCATAGGGAGTTCCCTATGATCAGTTGACAGAGGGAGAGAAGACTAGGGTTTGGTTTGTAGATGGCTCTGCATGATATGCAGGCACAACCAGAAAGTGGACAGGTGAAGCACTACAACCCCTGTCTAGGACATCCCTGAAGGACAGTGGCAAAGGGAAATCTTCCCAGTGGGCAGAACTTTAAGCAGTGCACCTGCTGTGCATTTTGCTTGGAAGGAGAAATGGCCAGATGTGTGATTATGTACTGATTCATGGGCTGTAGCCAGTGGTTTGTCTGGATGGTCAGGGACTTGAAGAAGCACAATTGGAAAATTGTTGACAAAGAAATTTATGGAAGAGGTAATGTAGATGGACCTCTCTGAGTGGTCAAAAACTGAAGATATTTCTATCCCATGTGAGTGCCTCACCAAAGGGTGACCTCAGCAGTGGTTGGAAGAGTTTGGAGGGCTCAGAAGACAGGAAAATATGGGAAAGTTTGGAACTTCTTAGAGACTTGGAGGGCTCAGAAGATAGAGAAATGTGGGAAAGTTTGGAACTTCCTAGAGACTTGTTGAATGGCTTTGAGCAAAATGCTGATAGTGATACAGACAATGAAGTCAGGCTGATGTGATCTCAGAATGAGAGGAGGAACTTGTTGGGAACTGGAGCAAAGGTGACTCTTACTATACTTTAGCAAAGAGACTGGTGGCATTTTTCCCCTGCCCTAGAGATCTGTGGAACTTTAAAGTTGAGAGAGATGATTTAGGGTATCTGGCAGAAGAAATTTCTAAGCAGCAACGCATTGAAGATGTGATTTGGGTGCTCTTAAAAGAATTCAGTTTTATGTATTCACAAAGATATGGTTTGGAATTGGAACTTATGTTTAAAAGGGAAGCAGAGCATAAAAGTTCAGAAAATTTGCAGGCTGATGATGTGATAGAAAAGAAAAAACCCATTTTTTGAGAAGAAATTTAAGATTGCTGCAGAAATTTGCTGAAGTAACAAAGAGCCAAATGTTAATCACCAAGACAATGGGGAAATTGTCTCCAGCGCATGTCAGAGATCTTCACTGTAGCCCCTCCCATCACAGGCCCAAAGGCCTAAGAGGAAATAATTGTTTCATGGGCTGGGCCCAGGGTCTTGCTGCTTTGTGCAGTCTCAGGACTTGGTGCCTTGCATCCCAGCCATGGCTAAAAGGGGTGAACATACACTCCAGGCCATTGCTTCAGAGGGCGGTGCCCTTTGTCCCAGCTGTGGCTAAAAAGGGCCAACGTACAGCTCAGGTCATTGCTTCAGAGGGTGCAAGCCCCAAGCCTTGGCAGCTTACACACGGTGTTGGGCCTGCGGGTACACAGAAGTCAAGAATTGAGGTTTGGGGACCTCTACCTAGATTTCAGAGGATGTATGAAAATTCCTGGATGTCCAGGCAGAAGTTTGCTGCAGGGGTGGATCCCTCATGGAGAAGGAAATTGCAGAAGGAAAATGTGGGGTTGGAGCCCCAGCACAGAGTCCCCACTAGGGCACTGCCTAGTGGAGCTGTGAGAAGAGGGCTGTGATCCTCCAGACCCCAAAATGGTAGATCCACTGACAACTAGCACCATGCAACTAGAAAAGCCACAGATACTCAATGCAAGCCCATGAAAGTAGCCAGGATGAGGGCTGTACCCTGCAAAGCCACGAGGTTGGAGCTGCCCAAGGCCGTGAGAGCCCACCTGTTGCATCACCTGGATGTGAGACATGAAGTCAAAGGAGATCATTCGGAGCTTTAAGATTTGGCTGTCCCACTGGATTTTTGATTTGCATGGGGACTGTAGCCCCTTTGTTTTGGCCAATTTCTCTCATTTGCAATAGGTATATTTATCCAATGCCTGTACCCCCATTGTATCTATGAAGTAACTACCTTGTTTTTGATTTCACAGGCAGAAGGGACTTGCCTGGTCCCAGATGAGACTATGGACTTGGACTTTTGGGTTAATGCTGGAATAAGTTAAGACTTTAGGGGACTGTTGGGAAGGCATGATTGTGTAAGGATGGCAGATTTGGGAGGGGCCAGGGCAGAATGATATGGTTTGGCTTTGTGTTCCCACCCAAATCTCATCTTGAATTCTAATCCCATAATCCCTATGTGTCATGGGAGGGACCCAGTGAGAGGTAATTGAATCATGGGGGCAGTTTCCCCCATGCTGTTCTCATGATAGTGCGTGAGTCCTCACAACATCCGATGGTTTTATGAAGGGCTTCCACCTTCTTTCAGCATTCATTCTCTTCTCTGCTGCCCTGTGAAGAGGTGCCTCCCACCATGATTGTAAGTTTCCTAAGGCCTCCCCAAACATGAGGAACTGTGAGTCAATTAAACCTCTTTTCTTTTCTTTTTTTTTTTTTTTAAAGACAGAGTCTCACTTGGTCACCCTCCTCCCAAGTAGCTGGGACTACAGGCGCCCGCCACCACGCCCTGCTAATTGTGGGGTTTTTTTTTTGTATTTTTAGTAGAGATGGGGTTTCACCATGTTAGCCAGGATGGTCTCGATCTCCTGACCTCATGATCCGCCTGCCTGGGCCTCCCAAAGTGTTGGGATTACAGGCGCGAGCCACTGCACCTGGCCTAAACCTCTTTTGTTTATAAGTTACTCAGTCTCGGGTATTTCTTCATAGCAGCATGAGAACAGAGTAATACATTTATGTTCTGCATAAACTGGGTTTGCTAAGCTAGGTCTGCTGACAGGGTCTTTAAATGAAAGGAGAAATAAGGGGTGTTTTCCTCTCCTTCCCTGTTCAGAAAGAGCAAGGGCCAGAAAAGGTGTTCTAGAATTTATCACCATCTAACCAAAGTGGCATAGAATTTACCTGGGTTATCTATGCATGCATTCACAATGCAGAAAATATCAATTTACAGTGGTTTCTGACCACTCACCAAAGAGCTACAGTATATTACCAGATACACAGTATGTTACAGTACTAAAATTTCCTAGGGGGACAATTAGGAAAAATATCTAAAAATGCTTTTACAGGAGAATAATGAAAAAACAAAGGTGGAGAAACACTGGTCTATTGTGATGAGGAAGCTTTAAAACCAGATTTAATAGTCTTAGTCTGCAGATACCCAAAAAAGACCAATTACTGAAAGCACTATGGCAATTACATCGAATTAGCATAGTTAACTCACTTCATCAATTAAAAACCTGAAAAACCTTTTTTTTATTCTTTCTCTGGGAATGGAAATGGTAATGACAGAAATATAAACAAAGGTTTGTGGACACAATGTCAAAACAGAATGAAAAATACAGAGTTTTATGGATGTCTACCACTACCACCACTCCCAGAAAAGAAAATAGTTTGTCAAGTTTGTCACAGGTGAGTGGCAACTATCTAAGGCCAGTATCATACAGGCAGTAAAAGAATTTACCAAGAAAGTTGGAGGTAAAGAAAGGCAGATATATTAGAGAAGGAATGAAAATACGCTGCAAGACTGCAATTGGCAGCACAGCAAGAAGGGTCTGTCTGCAAAGAAACAATGGCTTGCTGGGGATTTTATAGAATGATACTTATGCTGAAGAGTGCTACATGCAGCACTGATGATGTCAAGGTTGCAGTGAGCTAACTTGAAGGTGTCTGGTGATAGCTAGGCGCAGGAAGATTGTGAATTTATGTATGTTATCTGTGCAGAAGGGCTATTTGTCATGGACCATGAAGAAAGGCAGACTTAACAGCTTATCTGCTGTCTCTTTTTGCTTTCCCTTGGTCCTGCCAGCCTGATTCCTTTTCCTAATTAGGACTCCACAAGATTTCTTTCAATTAATTTTTTTTTTAAGACAGGTCTTGCTCTGTTGCCCAGGCTAGGGTGCAGTGGTGCAATCATAGTTCACTGTAGCCTCAAACTCCTGGCCTCACTTCAGCCTCCCAAAGGGCTGCAATTACAGGCATGAGACATGCACCAGGCCAATTTGTCCAGTTTTTACTCAAATGAGTAAATGAGTTAACTACATTAATTCAATATAATTGCCACAGATGAGCCACTCCTATTCAATTAGAAATATGAGTGATTACAATAAGAAATGCAAATCAATAAAGAAGCAAGAACACAGATGAGACTCTTATCAAGAGGGTATATAACCTTTTTTGTTGGGTCTCCCAGTTTTTTGGATCCTCAGTATTCTGATAAAAACAAGTAGCTGGTGAGAAATGCTGATGAACAGGAACAAATATCCTAATTTGTAAACAAGGCCCATGAAGCTGCTGAGACTAAAAAACTCAAAGGCTTTGCATCTGTGTGTTTTAGACCTGGAAGATTTATACATTGTTTTTTCTGGGTGAGGTCCATGCAGATGAAATAGGGTGACAAGAGGAAGGGAAAGTGCCCAGAGGAAAATTACCACCTACCCAAGGGACCTAGAAGCAATAGCAATACATTTGCTAAATACAGCATGTACCTAGCTTAGATAAACAAGGGCAACCAACAATAAGCAGAAGGCCTGGAAATTGTAACAAAATGTCAGATACCAAAGCAATAGCTGTAGCAGAAAGAGAAAACAGACTTGGGCTCAGATCCTTGCTCCCTCATTTTCTAAATGTGCATACCCTTTGTCAGATTATTTGAATTCTGAGTTGTTGTTTTTTTGTTTTGTTTTTTGTTGTTGTTTTTTTGAGAAGGAGTCTCACTCTGTTGCCCAGACTGGAGTGCAGTGGCACGATCTTGGCTCACTGCAACCTCCGCCTCCTGGGTTCCAGCGATTCTCCTGCCTCAGCCTCCTGAGTAGCTGGGACTACAGGCACCCACCACCACGCCCGGCTAATTTTTGTGTTTTTTAGTAGAGACAGGGTTTCACCATATTGGCCAGGCTGGTCTGAAACTCCTGACCTCGTGATCCACCTACCTCAGCCTCCCGGAGTGCTGGGTCTACAGGCGTGAGCCATTGCGCCCAGCCTGAATTCTGAGTTTTAAATCTTTCATTTGTAAACTAGGATTAATTCCTACTTGCAAGATTGTTTTGAGGATTAAATAAGAATATACGCACTGCAAAGTACCAGTGTCTAATGTATGCACTTGGCAAATGGGAGTTTAAATAAGCAGAGGGGTGAAAGTTTAAAAGGATGAAACAGAAAAATAAAAAGTGTTACTAGGTGTGTGTGTGTGTGTGTGTGTGTGTGCTTACATATATGTGTGTTTACTTTGTAAAATTTATCAAAGCCCACCTTATAAAGGATAGTGAGAATATGGGTTAACTTAGCTAAGGGGGTGAGAAGGAAAATTCTTAGCTATAAGGGAAGATGTAAGCAAGTGTAAGTGCCTGCCTGACCATTACTAAAGAAGAGAACCAATCCCAGCAATAACTAAAAAATAATAATAAAAATTGTAGAAGGTCTTGCCAGAAAAGATAAAAGAAATTGATGGCTCTGAGGATTTCTTAGTACCTGGCAAAAGGGGTGTCTTCTGCAGAGTTCTAGACTGGAAATTTTTTTGCGGAGTTGGATTTTGAGTTGCTGTATAAAAAATAAATGCAAAACGTTGTGGTATGTGTTAGTCCATTTGGGCTGCTTAGTCCATTTGGGGCTTCTGTTTATAAGCCACAAAGTCCCACAGACTAGGTGGCTTATACACAACTGAAATTTATTTCTCACAATTCTGGAGCTTGGGAAGTTCAAGATCAAGATACAGGCAGATTTAGTGTCTGGTGAGGGCATGGTTTTTAATTCACAGACAACTGCCTTCTTGTGTCCTTACATGGTGGAAGGGGTGAGAGAGCTCTCCAGAGTCCCTATAAGGCATTCTGGGCACTCCATTTCATTATAAATAAGGACTAGTTCCATTCATGAGGGCTCTGCCCTCATGACCTAGAGACCTACCGAAGACCACATCTCTTAATACTATCACATTGGGGGTTAAGATTCCAATATATGAATTTGCGGGGAGAGCACAAAGATTCAGTCTATAGCAAACACCCTCTCCAAAAAGAAACATTAGCAACTAATAAGAGGTAACTTCTGAGCAAAGATTTATTAAACAATGCAAGTGCTTTAAGAATATATATGAGAACCTGCAATCTATTTTAAATTGGCAAGAATATAAGGAGTATCACATAATGTATATGTCACCAGCACCCATAAACAAGGACTGAGCAATATGCTGTATGAGTGTATTAATACCACATGATTGTAAAATAAATATAGAATGATTGTTTCATGCCAGAAAGAAGTTTATAGCCTTTTTAGAAGCGCCAGTAGAACAGAAGTCAGATTTGCTGTGTATTAGGTCAAAGAATATAAGTATAATAATTCATTTGACTTTTCAAAAAATAACAAGTGGTGTATTTTGGAGATCCAAACAGTTGTTCCATATTTGATATAAGAAGAGCAAAGTTTTTAACTTGAGCTTTTCATCTAACTTGTCTTTATAATTGAGTTTTACCCTAGTGCTGATGTAATATTTATTATCTTAAGTATAAGGGGGAAAAAACAGCTTGTTCATGCTTCCATTTGTGCTCATGGAGCAACAGCAACAGAGAGAACACTCAGGTAATGGATTAGCATCCAAGGGATCTGGGGGGATGGTAAGTTATGCACATTGATTCCTTCTGAAATTCTGTTTTGTCTTCTATGACTTTCAATTTAAATTATTATCTTTACCATGGTTGTATTACGGATTTCTTATTCCCAGGTTTTCATGTTCACTGGAAGGAAAAACCTAAATAAGTCCCAAATCCTTATTCCAATATCACGGCCTTTGTGTATAACTCTCTGAAATGCTAGAGGAACGTGCTCAGCAGTCAGGCCTCATTTCAGTCAGGGCCTTAGTGTGGAGCAGCTTCCCATGAAAGTTTTCCTGTAGCTTTTGTTACATTTTGCATCCGAATTTTCTGCCATCCTATTGCATAAGAGTCAAAAATGTATACATTTAAATTCAGACATATAAGAACAACAAAACAATAGCTTTTATTATCTATACCTGATAATATCTTACATTAGATCTCCCTTTCCCACATAGTAGCAAGAAAAAGTCATAAACTTACCAATTAAAGTTAACCATTTCTCTTTCTTTTCATCAAGTTTTGGAGAAGTAGACTTAGATTTTTTTGGGTTTCAGTCAAAGTTTAAAATCCTATAAGGAACAAAAGCACAGACAATAAAAGACAAAATAGGTAAGTTGGACTTCATCAAAATTAAAAACTCTTGTGCATCAAACGGCACTGTCAACAAAGTAAAATGTCTACCCACAGAATGGGAGAAATATTTCCAAATCATGTGTATGATAAAGGAGTTGAAAATGTATGTCCACACAAAAACCTGTACATGGATGTTTACAGCAGTTGTATTCATAATTGGCAAAACTTGGAAGAAACCAAGGTATCTTTTAATAGGTGAATGGGTAAAATACATTATGGTACATCCAGATGAAGGAATATTATTCAGCACTAAAAAGGAATGAACTATCAGGCCATGAAAAGACATGGAGGGAATGTAAATACTTATTACTGTATCTGATAAGGGATTAATAGCCAGAATGTATAAAGAACTCCTACAACTTAATCAAAAAAGACCGATATTTTAAATGGGCAAATAGCTTTAATAGATATTTCTCCAAAGACATAAAATTGGCCAATAAGCAGGTGAAAAGATTTTCAACAACACTAGTCAATAGGAAGATGCAAATCAAAACCATAATAAGGTACCACTTCACATACAGTATAATTGGTATTATTTTTTAAAATGGAAAAATAACAAGTGTTGGCAAGGATGTGTAGAAATTGGAACACTTGTGCATTGCTGGTATAACTGTAAAATGGGGCAACTACTGTGGAAAATGATACGGTGATTCCTCAAGAAATTAAACACTGAATTACCAGATGATCCAGCAATACACTTCTGGGTATGTATCCAAAAGAAGTGAAAGTAGGGACTTGAGCATCCATGTTTATAGCCACATTATCCACAATAGCTAAAAGGTGGAATTAACTGAAGCATCCATCAATAGATGAATGTATAAGCAATATATGGTATGCACATACAATAGAATATTAGCCTTTAAAAAGAAGGACACTTTTACACATGCCAGGACACTTTTACACATGCTACAACATGGATGAACCATAACCTTGAAGACATGCTAAGGAAGCCAGCTACAAAAGGACAAATATCGTATGATTCCTATTACGTGCGGTTCCATGAGTAGTCAAATTCATAGAGACAGAAAGGAAAATGATGGTTGCCAAGGGTTGGGGAGAAAGGAGAATGGGGAATTAGTGTTTAATGGACATAGAGCTTCAGTTGGGGAAGATGAAAAAGTTCTGGAGGTGGATGGTGGTGATGGCTGCACAACACTGTGAATGTACTTAATGCCACAGAACTGTATACTTAATGATTAAAATGGTACATTTTATGTTATATATGTTTTACTGCAAAAATGACCCTATCAAAGCAGTTTTCCCCAGCATCCCCTCGCAGGACAGAATTTAGTTATCCTCATAGCTTTGGTGCAAGGCCCTTGGTTTACACGCTGACATCAGCTGGGGTACTTTGACCTCAGGAAGCTCCGTCCATACTGCCTCCAGCATTGTAATATCTGTAATCCGTTCTGTCAGGGATTGCTCCCAGAGAGCTTGCCCTCTTCCTCTGATGAATAGGCCCCCACCTCAGCCATCAGGCCTTACATGTCCCCTGAGGTCAGCTGCAACCTCTATTCATTCACCAATTTAGAAGTCTACCCTTAATTCCTTGACTGTAAGGTCACTTTACCCTTTGTTTCAGTGACCACCCCTGGGAAGCCCACCATCCAACAACTCTAGGCATCTTTCACATCCTTCATATGTGAGAACCATGCAGAATCTACAGGCTGTATGGAAACAAGAGGAGCTGCCTTGAGCCCTCTCTTGGCCATACCGCCATTTTATTTTCTCTTGTTTCTTCCCAATATTGGCTCAAAGATGACCAGCAAGCAGAGTACTGGTCCCCTTTATTTTTGGCCTCTCTCTTAGCCTACCTGAAGTTTCCTTAACGTCTCCACTCACCCACGCCCCAAGGTCAAGAGCCAGATTAGTGGAGCCACTGTGTTCTTGAGAAATCCAGTCAAGGTCGTCACTCTTCTTCACTCATTGCCCATGGATCTCTCCCTCTCCTGATCCCACCAGCATGAAGGGCTCTCTTCTTCCCTAGTGGGTAAGGAGTGCATGTGACTTCCTATATGACATATCTTGCAAGCACAATCAAGTCATCTGTATTCTGTTTATTTGTTGAGTCTAAAAGTTGGAAATGTCTGAACTGCCTTTTCATTAATATGACTTGCAAATAGGCTTTTGTGTTGGGCTGCATAATATATTTGCTTATATTTCCCTTTCTATGGGTGACTCAGAGAAGAGTATTTTTAGCATTGTAGTTAATGGATTCACTTTTCTTATATTTCCATCCATCAGTTGTTTAAATTCATGCCATATTTTAGGTTGCAATTTTGATTTTTCTAGTTTTAATTACCTTTTTGTCTTGCATTATTTATTATGTCCTCAAGCATTGATCGCAGTATCTATTCTGTCCAATTGCTTTCTTTCCATAGAGCCCTTCATCCTCTTCTCCCTAACTGTACCAATTTATCTCCAGGCCTGCTGCATATTCAGTAACCAGGGACCTCCTTTTACTGCTCTACTGGTTAGGATCTATTGTTTCAGGATCTGACACCTTCATCTTTCTTTGTTTACACTTTCATTTTGCTGAAAAATATCCTAAGAATAGACATATGGGTGGTAAACTTTGAGTCTGTATGCCTGTGTCTTTACTATGCCCTCTCGCTTGATGGATAATTTGTCCAGGTATAAAATTCGGGAATGAAAATCATTTTTTCCTTAGAATTTTTAAGGAATTGCTGTATTGTCATCAAGCATCTAGTGTTGCTGATAAGCCTGATATCAGTCTGATTCTTGTCTTTTGTGGGTGAATTTTTTTCTCTCTAGAAGCTGTTAACATTATAGTTGACCCTTGAACAATGCAGGGATTAAGGGCACCAACCGCTCTCCCCACGCAGTCAAAAATCCACATACAACTTACAACTCCCCCAAAAGTTACTACTAATAGCCTATTGTTGGCCAGAAGCCTTAACACATATTTTGTATGCTATATGTATTACATACTATATTCTTATAATAAAGTAAACTAGAGAAAGAAAATATTATTTAAAAAATTATAAGGAAGAGAAAATATATTTACTATTCATTAAGTGGAAGCAGATCATTCTAAAGGTCTTTATGTTTGTTGTCTTCACACCGAGTAGGCTGAAGAGGACAAGGAAAAGGAGGGGTTGGTCTTGCTGTCTTGGGAGTTGCAGAGGCGTAAGAAAGTTCATGTATAAGCGGACCTGCAGAGTTCAAACCTGTGTAGTCCAATGGCCAACTGTACTTTCTTATCTTTGAGGTTCTATAATTTTATAATGACATACATAGGTATTGTCTATTTTTACTCATCCTACTCAGCATCTAATGAATTATTTCAGTCGAAAAATTTGCATCTTTTAGCTTTGGGAAATTCCATATTTCTAGGAACCCTTTTTTGTTCTGATTCTTTTTTAAAAAAATTTATTATACTTTAAGTTCTGGGATACATGTGCAGAACATTCAGGTTACATAGGTATACATGTGCCATGGTGGTTTGCTGCATCCATCAACCTGTCATCTACATTAATGCTAATGCTATTGGCATTTCTCCTAATGCTATCCCTCCCCTAGACCCCCACCCCGTGACAGGCCCCAGTGTGTGATGTTCCCCTCCCTGTGTCCATGTATTCTCATTGTTCAACTCCCACTTATGGTGAGAACATGCAGAGTTTGGTTTTCTGTTCTTGTGTTAGTTTGCTGAGAATGATGATTTCCAGCTTCATCCATGTCCCTGTAAGGGACATGAACTCATTGTTCTGATTCTTTTTATGGCATCCTGTTCTTGACTCTTCGGAGGATATTAATCAGAAGTTCATCTGTGTGCCAGGAAAAACACATACGAGTGTGTTTTGTTTTATAATTCTCTTCTCTGCATTATTTTGGATTCCTTCAGTGTTGTTTTTTCTATTTATCTTTCTGGTTCTTGCTCTTGTCACAGCTTTCCTCAAATATCTACTAATCCTTAATTTTCCACTCACGATTCAGAATAAGGCAAAAATAAGCTCATGGTGAACCCTGCATATGTGAATAGGGCTTATTAAGTGGATGAACAGACTAAGCTGACCTTCAGAATAAGAAACAAAAATGCCAAAAAAGGAGAAGCTTTTCTCTTAAATTAAAGGCCAGTGCCTATACTGATTGCCTTAATTCTTCCCAAACAATTTGTTCCATTTCTTTGAAGAAAGCTCTAATAATTTTGCCTGCAACATGCACTCTTAACTAATTGGCATTAGGCACTTGGAGGAGAATGGGGCAATGGCTCCACATAGACACCTTCAATTAACCCCTACTTTCTACTCATATCACATCTTGAATTTTACCTGGCTTCTTTGGTGTTCTGAGGTAGGATCCCTCTTTCTCCCTGGCGCCTTATTGCATATTCTGAGCTGTGGCCTCTTCCACATTGTTTCATCATTTACTGCTTGTCTAACTGTTCCCATGCTTCAGGAAAATCCTGGAAGGTCCCAGCTGTCAATAACAATCCTCCCCTCCCATCTACTGTCCTGTTTGTTGTGGGATTATATCTCTTTTCTGATATTGTCAACTTAATTTGAATATCCAAAGAACAATGAAATAAAGATTTCTATTTCTTCTAGATGATTTTTTAACTTCAAGTATCTATTTAATTTCCAAATCTTTTGTGGTGGTTGTTATCTTTTTATTGTTTATTTCTGGTCTTTTCAAATCAAGATGTAGCTTTTAAAAGCACAACTTTCATGAATTTATTTAGGCTTTTTATCACCGAACTGATGTTTTTAACTGTTCTGTGGACTCAGATCATCCATTCTGTTTGTAGGATACAAATTATACAAATGTCAATTAACTTGACCTTGAAGATTATATTATTCAAGTCCTTTAGCATGTTTATTTTTAGAGTACTTTATCTAACAAATTTCAAAAAAAGTTTATTAAAATCTTCCACTGTGTTTTTAGCATCTTCTCCTCACATTTTTAGCCAATTTTGCCTCAGTCTGCTATGTTTGTGTAAAACCTAAGAGCACAAAGTTTTGTGGTTTATTATTCTCATGGATATCATCTTTTGTCAGTAGCTAAGCTGCTTAAATGCTTTTGACTTTGAATTCTGCCACTCTTGCTTCCCTCGTTTGCATTACCTAGGTTTATCTTCATCTCTACCCTTATTTTCAGTCTTACTTTGTCTCTTTATTTTAGTTATGATTCTCACCAATGTATAAGTTGCATTTTGTCTAACTGAATATGACAATGTATTTTGATAGGGAAATTCAACCTTTTCATACTTGTTGTGATAACTAATATTTTTGAATTATTTCTTTCATTTATTTTATTTTAGGTTTACTGTTTAACATACTTCATTTTTTTCTTCTTTCTTCTCCTTAATTTTCTGGCTTGGTCAGCTCTCTCTTCTTTGCATTTTTGCCCTGTTAATTCGGAAGTGCTGATCAATTGCTTTCAATTCTTCCTGGGCTTACCTTAGCTCCCCCACAGTTGTCATCACACTTGTATTTCTCTTTTAATATATCACAATAAACAGTGTCTTCCTACCAAGATATTTTATTTGTCTACTCATCTACCATTTCACTTTCATGAAATTTTTAAGCTGCTATAAGTTCTCCTATCCTACATTATCCCCTCTTACAGTGGTGTGCTAGAGCTGATTTAGACTAATCCTTATCTCTCCCAAACTGTGTTCAATGATATTAATATCATCTTGTAATTTGAAGCTGGCCATGGTGGAAATGATTATACTATGAAAATTGAAAAACACTACAAAGCAGGGCTTTGTATATTGTTTTTTCATAGCACCAGTTGTTAATCATTTAATAACACAGCACTGCCTTTCTACTTCCATTAAAATTTGTGAGTTTTTCTAGACTGCTTCAAAATTTTAGTTCCGGGATATTATTTTCCCTTTTAGTATGTGTTTTGTCTCAAAACTTGATAACATATTAACCAGTCCTAGTCATATGAGTATTCATTCAGTTTTAACCATACATTTTACAGGATTTATTGTTTATGAGTGATTAATTATACTTTTGGTCTTCTATATTTTAAAATATCTTTTCTTTCCATTTCCATGAGGATAGAGTACTTTTTTTTTTTTTAGTACTTCCCTCACAAATGATACAAGAGTGATTCCTGCATATCCAAAAGTACCTTTCTTGCCCTAGCAGGCAGGTGATATCTTAATCAGAATTCTTTATTTCTTTTTTTTTTTTTTTTGACAGGGTCTCACTCTATCACCCAGGCTAAAGTGCAATGGCGTGATCACGGCTTACTACAGCCTCGGCCTCCTGGGCTCAAGCAATCCTCCTGCCTCAGCCTCCCATGTAGCTGGGACCACAAGCATGCACCACCATGCTCAGCTAATTTTTTAACTTTTTGTAGCAACAGGGTCTCACTTTGTTGCCCAGGCTGATCTCGAATTCCTAGGCTCAAGCATTTCTCCCACCTTGACCTCCCAGAGTGCTGGGATTATAGGCATGAGCCATTGCACTGAGCTCACTAGCCAGAATTCTTAAAAATCTTCTCTCAGGAGACTATAGATAATGTCCTACTTCTTCTCCTTTCCAGTATCACAAATAAATGGGCTGTGGTTAATCACATTTCTTTTCCTTTAATCTATTTTGTTGTTGTCATTGTCATTTTCTATGTGGGAACTTAAAAGATTTATTTCTTAAATATAAGAAGTTTATAAATTTTACCAAGCTATGGCAGGTAGGTAATTTTTTTCTTTAATATCACCTGCATTTTGGTAACAATTGTTTAATATAAAAACTTAAGTCTATCTTCAGAGAAATTTTCTTTTTTTAAAAGTATTCCTTTTCTCTTCCTGGAGCTCTTAATATTTACATTTTAAGTCTCTAGCCTCCAAATATCTTGTCTTTTTCCTCATTTCCTTGGGATTTTGTTCGTTATTTGTTCTACCAGGTCTTCCAAACCACTATGTCATTTCTCAACAGCAGCCATCATCTTCAGTTTGAGGTTTTGTAAACTGAAGATTGTGTTTAGCTCTAGGAAGGCTGGTGTATTCTAACTGCATCTCCTTCAGGAGCCTTAGTATTTGTTAGAGTTCTCTCCCCCTTCTTTTTTCAGTTCTATGAGTAGGAGTCCCCAGGTCCAGTTCAGCTGTTCAGCGTTACCTTCTCTTGGATCTCTGATTCCTCTTAAAGGAATTGTAATTTTTTTTGCATCTTCATAGTTTAGTTACCTTTAGCACCTGTTCAGTCAGGACTCTAGGGTTCCCCAGGCCATGAGGTTGAGCATGAAAATTTCTGCTTGTGTCAACTGATAAGGAATTGAGCTGTCAGTCCCCACACTGAGGCAGACAGAGGCCTCTTGGGGAACAGGTGGCAGTCATTCCCCACTACCGGAACTGGGAGTAGATCAGCCTAGCAAAGTATCTCTCCTTCAGATGAGTGGGGTCTGGCAGCTCCTCACAGAAGCATAGGCAGCTCATGCAAACAGGACTCTACTTGTCAGACCCCCTCCAGGAACAAGATATATTGAGTCTTTACCCCTAGTTCTCGTCCCTCTTCCCCAACACCATAAGGAGAAAAGACCTTGACTCTGAGGTTGGCACATGCCCTCCAGGCTCTGCCAGCAGCATCATTTTGTTCATTGTGTTACCAGAGGAGGAATGTGAAGAAATGAGCCAGGGACACATTCTCAGGCCTCCATCTTCTAATACAATTTTTGGTGGCATATCAATTGACTATTTTATGAGCCCACAGTCTGACCCTATTTTATGGTTATAATAGCCACTCATCATCATCTGACCACACCAAATGTAGGCATGATACTTACTGTCAGCACAAAAATTCCAGGGCATCACCTGCTGCCAGCCAGTGTCACCACCGAGAGGTGAACCAGAAAAGGATATTACTCACAAGCCTCTGACAAGGACACTGACTATATGGTGTCTAGCTCTGGCCGATGACTCAGCATCCCTCATATCACTGGGTAAGAGGACCACCAGCACCTCTCTATATTGTTGAAGCTGGACAAGTCCAGCCAAATGAGCAATATTCTCAATTTCCTGGCCATCAAAGTCCTACATGCAAGACAGTTGTCATCCATAATGTAGATTTTACTCTAGGCTGAGGCAGAGCCAAAATTTAAGTTCAGTAAAGATTGCATCTCAAAATCACACTGTTGGAAGATACATGCCCAACACCCTCTCCCCTAAGTATCAGAACTTACTGCAGTTGGTTGGTAAAATTTTCAGGTATTAACTATTCACTGGAAGTCAGTCTTCTGGTTGGTGGGGAATGTTTCACAAAATGCCTTATAACAGCCTCCTCTTTTATTAGCCCTTATATGGGAAAAGGTTTTCTTTGGTCAATTGTATGGGTGATATTTGTCTCCATGATGGCATTTTAATGGTCAGCATTGATGTTAATATTATCCCAGATTAAGTGGCTCAGCCACAATTCCATTCTTTGCACATTCTTATCTGCAATTGTGACACTCCAGGGGAGAGAGGGAGGAGGATAATGACTACAAGACCTGATGCCCAGCTAGCCTAGTGTATGTCTGGCCAATATCCTGGTCCCTCAGTGTATGACAATGAGAAAACAAAAAGAAGCCTTAGATCTTCATTCTAAATTTGACACCAAACATTCAACATCCTGGGAGTGCCAGAGGGGCAACTGCATCATCACTCAACCACATCTAAAGCACCACCTCAAGTCAAACCCAATATACGAATGTGTCTGACAGCAGATGGATGGAGACCTAGATTCATGCTCCATTAGGCTTAATTCACTCCAGAGCTCACCAATTCCCAGGGTACATAGTGTTCAGTCAGGTACAAGCCAGGAGCTGAGGTTTTCTAACCATCCAGTTCACTGAAAAGTATATGTTGTCAGTCTAGGACTGTGTCAGCCTGAGATGAATAAAACAAACACCATCATTACCCCCAACCAGGCTTGGATACTTACTGGTCAAGTTTGACCTGCAAAATTGGGACCTTCTAGGAATTACCAGGGTGTACTGACCACTAATCAGATGAAAATAATCAGTAATACTGAAGCAGTTTATATCCTGGAAGACAATACACTAGTCACACTTCAACTGGAACCTCAAGGAACTTGTTACCTTAAGGAGTTCAACCATCCCTGAGAGAGGCTCTGCTGGGACCACAAGGAGGATGTTTATTCTCTCCCTCTGACACGTGAGGAGTTTTAAATAGAGCTGGGCATCTTCCATTTTCCTAGTAGTGTTTTTTTGTGTATTTTTCTTTATACTAGCTCCATTCTGGGTTATAGAGGCCATGCTTTCATCATATCCCACTGATTGTATTTGAATGACTGAAAACATTTCCTGCAGAATGTAAAGAACCATTACGATTCCCTATCCAGTGCAGGAAGGAGGATGCATTAGAGGAGAAGAGATACGTGTTTGGAAACTGGAGTAAGTGTCCAGCCACGATACTACAAGCCAATTCAAGTCTGACCAAAGCTGAGAAAACAAAAGTAGTCTAAAACCATTAAATGATGCTCAACTACATAAATGCTGAGAAAGAAAGAGGTACATCAGAGAGGCCAAAGACCTAGAATACATCAGCAGTCAAGAACAGGTGAGGGGAGACCAGGAGGCTGAGTACCTAGAACTCTTTTCCCCTTGAACTATTTTCCCCTTGCTTTCAAAGGCCAGCTTGTAGGGCTGGTGGAAACAACCAAATACCCATCGCCATATAGAAAGGCCCAAGAGAGCAAGGTCTTTGCCAACTTTCGCGGTCCATAGATCACTTTGGGTTTCTAGGCAGCATTCTAAGATATGACACTGAAAAAATGTATGAAGTATCCTCATCCAAAATATGAAAATGGTAAATCATTTTTTTCTGTTATTTGGAGGACTCTATAGAGGAAACATATCTTTCACTCTGACTAGAAATATCCAGTTCTGACATTTACTGTACTTCCATTAGAAGAGATGAATAAACACTATTGATGCTATAGGGAGCTTGAGTTTGAATCTTATTGTAGTACAGCAGAGATATTCCCAGACTGCCTCAGCTTGAGACTATAAATCAAGCTCACATTGTTTTTCCTATAATTATTAACTTAAAAAAATCCCTTTTGTCCTCCCTGGCAATTGTAAGTTCTATTGCATATTTCTATGTTGGTACTGGTTACCTTCCTATTCTTAAGTTATATTTACATCTACATTTTAATATTTATATACTATAATTAAATAGCCATGTCCTCCCCACTACACACACACACTCATACACATAGA
Source organism: Homo sapiens (assembly GCF_000001405.40). NCBI lineage: Eukaryota > Metazoa > Chordata > Mammalia > Primates > Hominidae > Homo > Homo sapiens. Next base: position 104,708,676 of record NC_000007.14, read on the forward strand.
CTCTTTACTTCTCTGACTGTCAGTCCTCTGAGCCCCAGTCCCCTTCTGACTCTTAGATCTGGTTGAAAGAATAATGATCTGGGACTAAAAATGTTAAATTATATGTTGTTACACTTGATAGCCTCTGTCTCCCTTTTTTCCTCATGTTGTTTCTCATTACAGCAGTTACACTGGATACCTTTGTAGACCTTTTCTCTCAAGTCCCTTGAGAGAAAAAATTAGATTTGTCTTCATCACCACTATCTCTGGACCTGGGACATAAATAACAGTTACCTGACTGAAGAGGCCATTTGCCAAGGATATGTAAAACCACTTTAGGTCTGGCCATGCAAAAAAAATTGCACCTCTTAAGACTCTCATCAGCTACTGACAAGAACTCCCTTAACTGAGAATATATTGCTCTAAAGTTCAACAACAACAACAAGGAAAATCAGTGGAGTCCCTGCATTTTAGTTTAGGGATTTTGCTGCCAGTTATTTTTAGGGATGTCATTTTTTTTTATTACTATCATAATTTTATTATCCACAATTTCATTTTTATTTTTTTATTTTTTTTTATTTTTTATCTTTAGTATTTATTGATCATTCTTGGGTGTTTCTCGGAGAGGGGGATTTGGCAGGGTCATAGGACAATAGTGGAGGGAAGGTCAGCAGATAAACACGTGAACAAAGGTCTCTGGTTTTCCTAGACAGAGGACCCTGAGGCCTTCCACAGTGTTTGCGTCCCTGGGTACTTGAGATTAGGGAGTGGTGATGACTCTTAACGAGCATGCTGCCTTCAAGCATCTGTTTAACAAAGCACATCTTGCACCACCCTTAATCCATTTAACCCTGAGTGGACACAGCACATGTTTCAGAGAGCACGGGGTTGGGGGTAAGGTTATAGATTAACAGCATCCCAAGGCAGAAGAATTTTTCTTAGTACAGAACAAAATGGAGTCTCCCATGTCTACTTCTTTCTACACAGACACAGTAACAATCTGATCTCTCTTTCTTTTCCCCACATTTCCCCCTTTTCTATTCGACAAAACCGCCATCATCATCATGGCCCGTTCTCAATGAGCTGTTGGGTACACCTCCCAGACGGGGTGGCGGCCGGGCAGAGGGGCTCCTCACTTCCTAGACGGGATGGCGGCTGCGAAGAGGCGTTCCTCACTTCCCAGACTGGGCGGCCGGGCAGAGGGGCTCCTCACATCCCAGACGATGGGTGGCCAGGCAGAGACGCTCCTCACTTCCCAGACGGGGTGGCGGCCAGGCAGAGGCTGCAATCTGGGCACTTTGGGAGGCCAAGGCAGGCGGCTGGGAGGTGGAGGTTGTAGCAAGCCGGGATCATGCCACTGCACTCCAGCCTGGGCAACATTGAGCACTGAGTGAGCGAGACTCCGTCTGCAATCCCGGCACCTCGGGAGGCCGAGGCAGGCAGATCACTCGAGGTCAGGAGCTGGAGACCAGCCCGGCCAACACGGCGAAACCCCATCTCCACCAAAAAAATCAGGGATGTCATTTTGACAACTCAGCATGCCAATACTTTGAAATAAGTTGGTCAACTTCTTAAAGTTCATGGGAACTTTAGTATTGTTGCACCACAAGACCATTTCTCAGTAACAGGCTTCAAGCCATGTACTGCAACATGAATATTTGTTGGTGAGTCTGATTTTTGCATTTTTTCTGACCTGCTTTGACCTTAGTTATTGACTTTCATTAGTTAGTTAATTAATTTTGTTTCAGACTTTTGTTTCAGATCATGTATATCAGTCTCACCAATTCTTAGGTGAATCCACTCCCGGTTGGATATTCTAATTTTACTGTCAGAGGAAAGCTCTGTATTTCCCTGAAACTGTAAAAAATTAAACTCTGTAATTGTATAATGGTTAAGAGGTAAAACAGCCGCCAGACTACCCGAGGCATCAATCCTGACACCTCAGTTACCACCCGTGACATTTGGCAAGTTATTTAAGTTCTCTATTTTTGCTTCATTTTCTATAAAATGGGGGTAATAATAGTATCTACTTCATCAGGTTGTAATGAGGTTTACATGAGTTGATTCATGTAAGACAATTAGAAGAGCACTTGGCACATAATAAATGCTCAATAAATGTTGGCTATTATTTTTGCATTGTCAAAATATCTTAGGAAAATGAAGATACTGCTGGTTTTTCTTCCAGTTTCCCTGACAATATTTTTTCTTTTCTTCAACATTTGTTCAAACTATTAATCTCACTGGGGAGTCTGGACTCTCCAATACCTAAATGATGACTGGCTTTATATAAAAATGATAATACCATTAGTGTCCAAGGATGAACACTGATACCATGAGAATAAGGGGCAAGAATTTAGGTCATGATAGGTTTAGAGCTATGAAGTTTGAACACACAGGTTGAGTGTATCAATACCTAGAGATAAAGGAACAGAATCCATACATACTCTTTTTCAAACTTTCATATGTGTCAAATGGCAAAAGTTTCAGGGAAATTTTATTTAGCAATATCACTCTGCAGTTATCAGAGGTATTCAAGTTGATCATCCATGTTTTAAGATAGAAACGAGACAGAGAGTCTGTGGTGACAACCTCTATAGAACTGGAGCTATTGAGATGCCAGCTGCAATTTAGATGCTTGCTGCAATTCAGATGAGTTCAGCCAAATAGCACACTGTAACCCCAACAGGGAGCCAGTGCTGAAAGGCAGAAAGTTGAGACTAGCAAGACTGGGATTAGTCAAGTAATTAGTGATACAGAATCACTAATGGGAATGGTCAGTAGCCCAAATGATTCCAAAGTTAGGCTTGATTCAAGATGGAGATGATGTCCAAGGCAGGGTGGTGGCCAAGCAGTGGATTGCGTCCTGCAGTAAGATAGCCCCAAGTCATGGCCTTTCTGAACATCATTAGCCTTGGTCAAGGTGACCCATTCTCTTGGAACATAAATCAAGCTTGCCTTTAAGAATTTAAAAAAAACAATGTACACAGCTAGAACCAGGCAAAATATCAGGACTGCCAACAAGCAGGTTAGAAATAAGATCAAATTTTGGTCCCAACAGGAAACCATAAAACTAATCAAGAAACGAGACAGAACCATGTCACAAGCTGAGAAAACCCAGAAGAGATTTATGAAAGGCCAGACTTGGAAGACACAGGTGCTCAGAATTTATTCCATATAATAAAGCTACAATTGATCTCATGCCCGTCAATTTGGGCCACAGTAACTACAAATTAGAAGTGAAGAACCCATAAGTATCAAGAGCATAACAACGTACTACTATGTGTAACATTATGTGGTATACAGAATAATCCTCCTCCCTGCAGAGATGTCCACACCCTAATCTCTGGAATGTGTAAATACATTAGGATACATGGAAAGGGGGAATTAAGGTTGCTGTTGCAATTAAAGTGGCTAATCAACTGACCTTATGATGAGGAGATTATTTTAGATTATTTGGATAGACCCAATTTAATCATATAAGTCCTTAAAAGTAGAAGAAGAGGCAGAAGAGAAAGTCAGAGAGATGATATGTGAAAAGGACTCAACCAAATGTCTTAAGTCAGTTTGGGCTATTACAACAAAGTGCCATGGACTGGGTGGCTTAGATGATGGAAATTTATTTCTCACAGTCCTAGTGGCTGGGAAGTCCAAGATCAAGGTACCAGCAGCTCTGGCATCTGGTGAGGGTCCACTTCTTGGTTTGCCAACAGCTGTCTTTTTGTTGTATCCTCACATGGCAGAAAACAGATACTAGCTCTGTGGCTTCTTCTTACAAGGGCACTAATCACATTCATGAGGGCTCTATCCTTATGACCTAATTACCTCACAAAATGCCACCTCCAAATACCATCACATTGCAAATTCTATTTCAACATATATTTGGGGGAGAACACTAACATACCATCCATAGCACCCACCATTACTGGCTTTAAAGATAGAAGGAGACCATGAGCCAAAGAATGCAGGCAGCCTCTAGAAGCTGAAACAGGCAAGGAAACAAATTGTCCCCTAGAGTTTTCAGAACAGAATGCAATCTTACCAACACCTTGATTTTAGCTCAATGAGACCCATATGAGAATTCTGATCTAGAGAACTAAAAGATAGTAAGTATATGTTGTTTTAAGCCACCAAGTTTTTAGTGATTTCTTATAGCAGCAACAGAAAATTAATACACATTACAGTTGACAAAATGCTTAATCTAGATTGTTTGACTCTTTAAAATCAATGAAATCACAAAACCACAATTTGTCCCAAATAAAAATCATTTCATATATAAAAATCAAATCCCTGTAAAGAATACAAACCATAGCTTGAAGAGGCAGAGTGGGCAGTATTGGGCATGGGAAATGTATGTTCCTCTTCTTTTTATTCCCTCAAGCTGGGGTCAAGAAAAATAGGGATCAGTACCAAGGCCTAGATCATGGCTACTCTAGATTGTTCTCAATTTCCATTTAGAAACTTTAAGCTCTGCTGATGGCCATATGTTGATCTACAACATGAATTAATATCCCCTACTCTGAGCAAATAGGTACTAATATTCTGGATTCAGAGAGTGGTAAAGAAATGAAAGAAAGACAAAGAAATTCATTAGTGTAACATGTTGGAATGTATACCACTCTAGCACTTTATTAAATGTTTCTAACTGTATTAGTGCATTCTCACATTGCTATAAAGAACTACCTGAGGCTGGGTAATTTATAAAGAAAAGAGGTTTAATTGACTCACAGTTCCACAGGCTGTGCAGGTAGCATGGAAACTTACAATCGTGGCAGAAGGCAAAGCGGAAAAAGGCATGTCTTACATGGCCAGAGCAGAAGGAAGAGAGAAGGGGGAGGTGCTACACACTTCCAAACAACCAGATCTCATGAGAACTCACTCACTATCACAAGAGTAGCAAGGGAGAAATCAGCCACCATAATCCAATCACCTCCCACCAGACCCCTCCCGCAACACTGAGGATTACAATTCAATGAGATTTGCGTGGGGAGGACACAGCCAAACCATATCACTAACTAGCAGACTTTACCAGTAATTTACATGAGCAGCATCCCAGAATTTAAAATGCTTTATATTATCAAAATTCTATAATTCTATCAGCATTCCCAGCCTCGATTATAAGAAAGCCAAATGAATTACAATAGATTTTTAAATGCCAGGAAGGAAACTGGAGCCTTTGGGTAAAGGGTGAAAATAGAGAGTCCCAAGGGGAGTAACAATACCAAGGCAGAAAGCAAATCTCAGGCTCCCTGCTCAGTTTCCAAAACCCCCCTCAGCTCTGCCTGGGGCCACTCTAGCCTCCATGTTCAAAGCAAAATTATCTTACAGGCATTTTGCTGGCAGGCTAAGACTGGGTTAAGTCTCATTTTAGTCTAGGGAAGTCGTTCTGATCACGCATTGTTCTTCTTTAGATGTCTTACTGCTCAAGGTTTTATTTATAAACTTTTAGCTACTGCTGTTAGAACTTGAAGTTGAAAGATGTGTAAAAAATGTTTTGACAGAACACTTAGTACACTGACTTCTTTCACCCTCCCTTGACCTGGTTTCTGTCCTACCCTTTCGTTTGTTGTTGTTGTTTTGTTTTTGATACCTACTGCCTTTTTCAATTCAATTTCTCTAGAGACACTTTCTTGATCTAAAGCCCAGCATTCTCAATAAAAATAAAAGTTATTGGAAGATCTTACCATAGATTGGTCATAGCCAAACATATTGTAAATTATCTATTTTTCACCATCTGGATAAATTGCTTCAAAGAGTAGCAAAAAATGTGAAAGCCTAAAAAAAAACTTTAAGGAAAGTCTGATGAGGAAAGGGAGCAAGAAATAAAGAAAAAAAAGAACTCAAACAATTTGCCACAAGTCTGGGTTTTTTTTTTTTAGCAGTTCTTCATTTTAGATTTAGTAAGTCAGTGCCTCGGAGTTCATATAACCTTAATCTTAAACATCCGAAGGGTGAGGGGATTGGAGGGAGGAAAATGATACTTAAGAAGAGCCAGATAGACATAAGGAATAATCAGTTTGAAGATTTTGTTATCTGGAACCCCACCATGCTGGTCTGCCCTTTTCAATATGGTGAAAAAGATAATTCAGTGCTTTGGTTAGATCAAGTCTGTCCAGAATTATATTATAAGCCCTCTCTACAAAAAGATTGCCAACCACCCTCTAGCTTATGCAACTGTTCTTAAAATGTATAAAGAACAGGACTGGGTGCAGAGGGATGCGTTTGTGTGTGTGTGCGCATGCACACATGTGTACATGCTCACTCTATATATATATACACATATATACATATCTATATTTATAGGTACATACTTATATACCTGTGTATATACACAGAGAGAGAGAGAGAGAGATTAGCTAAACTGTGAAAAAGTGTGACTTGGGTGCCTATTAACAATATGTGCACTTTGGGAGGCCAAGGAGGGAAGATAGCTTGAGCCCAGAAGTTCAAGACCAGCCTGAGCAGCATAGGGAGACCTCATCTCTACAAAAATAAAAAAATAAGCTAGGAATGGTGCTGCCACTGCACTCTAACCTGAACGACAGAGCAAGACCCTGTCTCAAAAACTATATATGTGTATGTGTATGTATGTATATATGTGAATGTGTGAGTCTGATACCCCCTTGAGTAAGGGAAAGGAGTTCAGAGAAGCATTCATCTTTCTTAAACTTTGTTCTACTTCCAATGTTTTTAGTATGCAATATTTATTTTTTCACATTTACTTTGAACAATTTTTTTTACCATTTGAAGTTTTAAAAGCATTAAAATATTACTGTCAAGTACTATGTTAAATAGAAATAACAAGAGTGGTCATCCTTGCCTTATTCCTGAGAAGATTTCAGTTTTTCAGCATTGAGTATGATGTTTGCTGTGGGCTTTTTATACATGGTGTTCATTATTTTGAGGTAACTTCCCTCTATTCTTAATTTGTTGAGAGTTTTTATCATGAAAGGGTGCTGAATTTTCTCAAGTGCTTTTCCTACATATATGGAGATGATCATGTGATTTTTATCCATTATTCTGTTATTGTGGCATATCACATTGACTGATTTTTGTATGTTGAGCCTTCTTTGTATCCAAGGGATAAATCCCACTTGGCAATGTGTATGATCATTTTTAATGTGCTGTTGAATTCAGTTTGTTGGTATTTTGTTGAGGATTTTTGCATCCGTACTTATCAGGGATGTCAGCCTACAGTTTTCTTTCCTTGTGGTGTCTTTGCCTGGCTTTGGCGTCAGAGTAATATTCGCCTCATAAAATAAGCCTGGAAGTGTTCCCTCTTCTTTGATTTTTTGGATAAGTTTGAGAAGGATTAGGCATTAATTATTTAAATGTATGGTAGAATTCACCACTGAACTGTAAGTCCTCACTGGAGCAATTAGGCAGGAGAAGAAATAAACAGCCATCCAAATCAGGGCCAGGCACGCTGGCTCATGCCTGTAATCCCAGCACTTTGGGAGGCCGAGGAGGGTGGATCACAAGGTCAGGAGTTCGAGACCAGCCTGACTAACATGGTGAAACCCTGTCTCTACTAAAAATACAAAAATTAGCCAGGTGTGATGGCTTGTGCCTGTAGTCCCAGCTATTTGGGAGGCTGAGGCAGGAGAATAGCTTGAACCCAAGAGGCAAAGGTTGCAGTGAGCCAAGATTGCACCACTGCAGCCTGGGTGACAGAGCGAGACTCCATCTCCAAAAAAAAAAAGCCATCCAAATCAGAAAGGAAGAAGTAAAATTTTCCTTGTTTGCAGTTGACATGATGTTATATAGGGAAAACCTTAAAGACTCCACCAAAAAGCTGTTGAAACTAATAGACAAATCAGTAAAGCTGCAGTATACAAAATCAACATACAAAATTCTGTTGAGTTTCTATACAGTAACAATGAACTATCTGAAAAGGAAATTAGGAAGACAATCTTATTTATAATAGTGCCAAAAAAAGAAAATACTTAGAAATAAACTTAACTAAGGAGGTGAAACACTTATATGCTGAAAACCACAATACGTTGATGAAAGAAATTAAGGAAGACAAAAACAAATGGAAAGACATCTCATGTTTATGGATTGGAAGATTTAATACTGTAAAAATGTCCATACTACCTAAAGCAGACTACATAGTCAATGCAAGCTCTATCAAAATCCCAGTGGCATTTTTTTACAAAAATAGAAAAACCACTTATACAATTCACATGGAACCATGAAGGACCCTGAATAGCCAAATCAATATTAAGAAAGAACAAAACTGGAGACATCATACTTCCTGATTTCAAAATATATTACAAAGCTACAATAATTAAAACAGTACCATACTGACATAAAGACAGACATGTAGTCCAGTGGAATAGAATAGAGATCCCAGAAATAATTCCATACATGTATGGTCAACTAATCTTCTACAGGTGTACCAAAAATACACAGTGGAAAAAAATGATGTTGGGTAAACCAGATATATACCTGCAGAAGTAGGAAATTGGAATCTTATCTTACACCACACACAAAAATCAAGTCAAAATGGATTAAGGACTTAAAAATAAGGCCTAAACTGTAAAACTCTGAGAAGAAAACACAGAGGGAAAAACTTATAACATTAGTCTTGGCAATGATTTTATGAATATGACACCAAAAGCACAGGTAACAAAAGCAAAAATAGAAAAATGGGACTACATCAAACTAAAAAGCTTCTGCAGAACAAAGGAAATAATAAGCAAAGTGATAAGGCAACCTATGGCATGGGAGAAAATATTTGCAAACTCTATATCTGATACACGGTTAATTTCCAAAATATGTAAGGATACCCTACTACACAATAGAGAAAAACTAATAACCTGATTTTAAAATGGGCTAAAGACTTGAACATATGTTTCTCAAAAGAAGACATACAAGTGGCCAATGGGTATATAAAAATATGCCCAATGTCACTAATAATCAGGGAAATGCATTTTAAAACTACAGTAAGATACCACCTCATACTCATTAGGATGACTACTATAAAAAAAAGGCAATAAGAATTGTTGGTGAGGATATGGAGAAATTGGAACTCTTGTATATTGTTGGTGGGATTCAAAATGGTACAGCCACTATGAAAAACTATATGGCAGTTCCTCAAAAAATTAAAAATAGAACTACCATATGATTCAGCAATCCTACTTCTGAGTATTATTCCAAAAGAATTGAAATCAGGGTCTCAAGGAGATATTAGTATTCCTATGTTCAGTGCAGCACTATTCACAATAACCAAGGTAGAGAAACCTACCTCTCTAAGTGTCCATGGACAGATAGATGGATTACAAAATATAGTATATACATACAATGAAATATGATTCTGCCTTTAAAAAGAAGGAAAGTCTGCAATATGCAATACCATAGATAAATCTTGAGGACATTATGCTAAGTGAAATAAGCCAGTCACAGAAGGACAAACACTTCAGGTATCTATCTAAAATAGTTAAACTCATAGAATCAGTGAGTGGAATAGTGGCTGCTAGGGGCTGGAGGTAGGGAAAAATAGGGAGTTGCCAATCAACTGGCATAAAGTTTGGGTTATGCAAGATGAATAAGTTCTAGAGATTCGTAGAACATTGTGCTTATAGTTAATAATACTATATTGTGTGCTTGAAATTTTATTAAGAGGGTGAATATAATGTCCTTACCCACAATGAAATAAAATTAAGGGGGAAAAAAGCTGCATTCGTGCCATATTCTGTTTTAGGAAAGTGGCTAGAAATGGATACTCTATTTCCAAACGGGTCTTTTGGGCTTAGAAATGCTGGTCCTCGCTGAGAAAGAATTAAATTACTCCTAAGGCCAGCCCTTGTATTTGGAAATTGTAATGCTGGTAGTCAGACTGGCACAGAATTCCTGGCCTTGTCTAATTTCAGCCTATAGTGACTTTCCCTCAGCATCGTGGTAAGCCAGGGTGGAGAGTGAGAATGCCTCCCTCTCTCCACCTGCTGTGCAGGAAGACATTTAGTCAGCTTGTGAATTACTAGGTTGGTGCAAAAGTAATCGCAATTTTTGCCATGAAAAGTAATGGCACAAGCAAAATTATTTCTCATAATATGTATATGGAACACCAAGTGCATACAAATTTATTATCAAAATGAATAAGCTAAATAGTAGGTAACCACTCAATAATCTGGACCCAGGCTCCCTGTTTTACAAATAAAGTAACTATGGCACAAAGTGGTAGTCTAGAGGCACACAGAACTGCTAGCAGGATAACCACTGGTCTGTGTTACCTTGCTTTGGGTGTCACCCTGGCTGAAGCAGGTTTTGCTGGGAGAATGGTGATCCTGTTCATATGGAGAATTATGCTCTTTTCTTCTCTTAAGATCCTGCGGCAAAAATGCTGTTTAGATTTTAGCTTGTGAAAATGTTGCCTAAGTCAAGTCCTCTCCTGCAAATTACAGATGTGTTTGTGACCTGCCAGCATGTTCAGTTGGTATTTATTAAAATTTTTATTAAAACAATGTGTTTACTGAAATCCAAAGAAGTTACTTTCAAAAAATAAAGCTTTACAAAAACTTAAATAGAACCTAATTGATTCATATCTTTATTTATAAGAAGGAGAAATTATTATACATACAAGTAGCCATATATATAAATTAATAAAGTACACATGTACACATACACATGTATATATATAATCTTTGAAAGGAATATATACCTTTTAAGAACATATAAAAATGTTTAGCTAACATAAAGCCAACTTAAAATATCGAGGCAAAAAAATCAAGCCAAAAAAGGGGGATGAGTATTCTTGTACAAGTGTGTATGGAACAAACTGTATGTGTATATGAAACCAACTATACAAATGTTTATACATGAATTTATGCAATAAAAGCTCATTAATTCCCATTCCACACATTTAGCATTTATAATTATTCTAAAGTTCTTGGCACTACGTGTAAAATGAAATTCTAATTAGGTGAAATTCTAGTGTAAATAAAAGAAATATTTATACATATAAAAACCAACAGTTTTTAAGCGTCATTTTATTAGTAGTTCTTGTACTCAAAAAATGTCTAGTTATAAGTAACATGTTAAGCAATGCCAAGATTCTATAAGTGTTCTTAGTGCTAAAACCAATATTCGAAAGTGATTTCACATGCGTTGTTACTGTTCATATGTAGAGGATAATAAAAGCATAGATTCCAAAAGCATAGACTGCCTAGGTTCAAATCCTGATTCTGCCATTTGTGGACCGTGTATGACCTCGAGCAAGTATTTGACATTTGTATGCCTCTGTTCCCTCACATGTAAAAAAATAATAATAATGTCAAGGTTGGTCGAGAAATAACAAATGGCAGCCTCCTATTTCCGAACCTGACCTCCAAACCAACTGAGAGCGATGGAGGAAGATGGGAACCAAAATAGCCCCTTTATTACAAAAAAGCCTAGGCAGAAGAACATGGCTCTGGCTCTATTAGCCAAAAGGACTTACTAGTCTGCACTCTTAGAATGAGACATACTGAATCTTCCTAATCTCAGCAGGCCTGCCTTCTACAGTAACCAAAACAGCATGGTACTGGTACCAAAACAGATATATAGACCAATGGAACAGAACAGAGGCTTCAGAAATAACACCACACATCTACAACCATCTGATCTTTGACAAACCTGACAGAAATGAGAAATGGGGAAAGGATTCCCTATTTAATAAATGGTGCTGGGAAAACTGGCTAGCCATATGTAGAAAGCTGAAACTGAATCCCTTCCTTATACCTTATACAAAAATTAATTCAAGATGGATTAAAGACTTACATGTTAGACCTAAAACCATAAAAACCCTAGAAGAAAACCTAGGCAATACAATTCAGGACGTAGGCATGGGCAAGGACTTCATGACTAAAACACCAAAAGCAATGGCAACAAAAACCGAAATTGACAAATGGGATCTAATTAAACTAAAGAGCTTCTGCACAGCAAAAGAAACTACCATCAGAGTGAACAGTCAACCTACAGAATGGGAGAAAAATTTTGCAATCTACTCATCTGACAAAGGGCTAATATACAGAATCTACAATGAACTCCAAAAAATTTACAAGAAAAAAAACACCCCATCAAAAAGTGGGCGAAGGATATGAGCAGACACTTCTCAAAAGAAGACATCTATGCAGCCAACAGACACATGAAAAAATGCTCATCATCACTGGTCATCAGAGAAATGCAAATCAAAACCACAATGAGATACCATCTTACGCCAGTTAGAATGGCGATCATTAAAAAGTCAGGAAACAACAGATGCTGGAGAGGATGTGGAGAAATAGGAATGCTTTTACACTGTTGGTGGGAGTGTAAATTAGTTCAACCATTGAGGAAGACAGTGTGACGATTCCTCAAAGATCTAGAACTAGAATTACCATTTGACCTAGCAATCCCATTACTGGTTATATACCCAAAGGATTATAAATCATGCTACTATAAAGACACATGCACATGTATATTTATTGTGGCACTATTCACAATAGGAAAGACTTGGAACCAACCCAAATGTCCATCAGTGATAGACTGGATTAAGAAAATGTGGCACATATACAGCATAGAATACTATGCAGCCATAAAAAAGGATGAGTTCATGTCTCTTGCAGGGACATGGATGAAGCTGAAAACCATCATTCTCAGCAAACTATCACAAGGACAGAAAACCAAACACCGCATGCTCTCCCTCATAGGTGGGAACTGAACAATGAGATCACTTGGACACAGGGCAGGGAATATCACACACTGGGGCCTGTCGGGGAGTGGGGGAGCTAGGGGAGGGATAGCATTAGGAGAAATACCTGATGTAAATGATGAGTTGATGGGTGCACCAAACCAACATGGCACATGTATACCTGTGTATCAAACCTGCACGTTGTGCACATGTACCCTAGAACTTAAAGTATAATTAAAAAAAAAAATCAGGCCAGCCTGATGTAGGATGTATAGCATGGAGGAGTAGAACACATGCTTTGCGTGGACAAACTACTCCTAAGGTAGGGAAAGGAAAGTGTTGGAAAGGTATTCCCAGTTCCTCTTCCCCAGACACTCATCAGGTAACTCATTCCACTGCCATGGAAAGGAATGAGAAGTGGAATAAGGGGCCAAGAGTATTTAAGGAAAAATTCCTCTTTGCAGAAACTGAAGGTGTCAGGAAGAAGTGTTCTCATGTTTCTCTTAGCTTTATTGGAGAATCAAATGAGATGATGCCTGTAAAGTGTGCCCCATACATGGTAAATGTTCAATAAATATTAGCTATTATTATGATGTGTATTATTATTATTAACTATACCATTAGCAGGATTTCAATGAATGTGACTGGACCCTTGGTATGTATCAGAAGCCATCTAGTGGTGCTCTAGAGATCAGAACTGCTTTTAATTTTTCAAGTTCTAAATTCTGATTTTCATTTTATTTGGGTATTAACCCTTAAAATTTGGGTAAATTAGCAAGTGATGTTATTTATTTTTCTGAAACATATTTCAATATGTTGCCTTTTGTCTGGCAACATATTCTATAAAAGGTGTTTCTCCATCAACTAGATAGTTCATACATGCAGGTGTGGACGGACTCCAGATCATCTGCTTACAGCCGAGGTCCAAGGTTTCACAGCTGATACCGCACAATGTGTGGATGTATATACAGATCCTTTTAGTTGAACAAACTGGAGCTACGTATTTTGGCACAGCAGAGAGGCTTTTCTCATCATCAGACACAACATTCTAACTCTTCTCTTTTAAGAGCCCTGTGTTTATATTTTCTTTTCTCCTCTATCTCCCTAAGGGATGTTACATATTTTGTGTTACGACCCCAAGTTAAATGCCCATAAAATTACACTGTGTTTAAAGCCAAAATTTACCAGGACACAATGTGTTTTCTTCACCACACTCTAAACCACAGTATTTCATGTCCTAGATTGTCCAGTGACTCTGTTTTCAGAAGAGACCAAGGTGTAAATATTATACTTTTTCTAGAGGTATAAATATTATAGCTCAAGTTTGTCAGCCACGTGCCAATAAAGAAGTGATAGGAATGAGCCTTCTATCTCTTTTACCAGGTGTTAAGAGTGACAATCCTTGTGTGAAAGTTCCCCCTCCATAGCCTGGCAGTGTCTGCTGGCATCAATTTCTTCAACTACTGTATGCCTGAATAATTGACAGAGCTAAGCGGATGCAGGTTCCTTTTTTTCACCAAGTTCCCCTTGAGTGCTTCAGCAACATGAGGCAATTTATCAGTTTTTTTGTGCAACAGTGCATAGACTTTTTAAAGAATGAATTTAGACTTTCTCCTTCTGTTAAAAAAATAAGTAGTTCTCAGGTTCACAACGTTAAAAGCCCCAAATGGGATAGTCAGACCAGCAGTATCAGCAGGCCCACGTAACCCAAGTCATAGGCCCCCTATTGCTTTTTTCATTTTGCTTCATTTTCCTTTGAAGAAAGACCCAATTACAAAGGTTTGTGGATTTTTCTAAGGATGTTTCCTCCATAGAGGTTACATTCAGCTCTTTAGCAAGAAAAATGCCAGAGCAATTAGTGGCTCTGGGGAACCACTAGCCATTTGTGTACTATTTCAGAAGAGCCCTTTGTGGGCATCAGTAGCCTCTACACAGAGATTCCTTTCAGAATGTAAATGTTTCTTAAACATTTGGAAGATACCTAAAATTGAAATCATCGGTGATATCCTCACAAAGAAGCTTTTGTTGTTTACTCTGTGTCAGAAGATATCATGGCATGGTTTCTTTTCATCACTTCTCTGCTCACCTCCAGCTTGTGAGCTCTCGTTTCTCTTTAGCATTCAAGAATGTTCTCTCAGCCCAGTGCAGTGGCTCACGCCTGTAATCCCAGCACTTTGGGAGGCAGAGGTGGGTGGATCACTTGAAGTCAGGAGTTTGAGACCAGCCTGACCAACATGGTGAAACCCTGTCTCTACGAAAAATACAAAAATTAGTTGGGTGTGGCGGTGGGCACCTATAATCCCAGCTACTTAAGAGGCTGAGACAGGAGAATCGCTTGAACCCGCGAGGTAGAGGTTGCAGTGAGCCAAGATTGCACCATTGCACTCCAGCCTGGGCGACAGAGCAAGACTATGTCTCCAAAAAAAAAAAAAAAAAAAAAAAAAAAAAGATGATCTCTGATATACTTCCAAAAAACCTGCTTGCTGCCAAAATGAAGAAATACATAGCTGCAAGGAGGTTAGTAATTTCCTAGGTGACATTTTAATAAGAAACCCATTTTTGGATAATAGTCCAGTTGAAACTAATTCTTTACTATCCCTCCTGGTCAGGAAATAGCATGTCCAAATTAATCTAATGTCCTGGTGCCTTGTATACTGTAATGTTTACTATTGTGATGGTGCTACATCTTAAAGGATTATCAATTTGTGAAGAATCAGAAATAACTAATTATAAAGCCAAGAGGAGTATTATTTAAACTTTCGTTGACTGAGGCATTAGCCTAGGATCTTGCAGGTACTTCTTAGGATTAGGAGCAGCTGTTAGTTTCCAGTGGCTATACAAATCGTGCAGGTTAATAAGGTTCTGGTTAACGGAATGCCAGAAAACAGAAATTTATTACAGCACTCAAGCATTAATGTGGAATATAATAGTCATGCCTTTCCAAAGAAACCAACAAAGCCTAAACTATTTTAATGGCTTAAATTAAATATACTAAGCTTTTGGGGCGTTAACCTTTCAGAAACAGAATAAAACAGCCAAGTAGGAGGAGTTCGGATAGGAGGAGAAGAAAATGTACATTTTGATAATACATTGTCAGAAAATAAAACTTCTGTTATGCAATGGCCATCTAAAGTTTTAAAAGCTTTTAAGTGCAATTGTGTGTTTTTTAAATCCTACCATACAACTATTTAGATTTTCAAAACAGAGAAATTAGAAAGGGATAAAGTCTTTCACTTTAAGAAAACTAAATGATGAGAACACATGGACACATACAGTGGAACGACACACACTGGGACCTTTCAGAGGGTGGAGGGTGGGAGGAGGGAGAAGACCAGGAAAAATAACTAATGGGTACTAGGCTTAATACCTGGGTTATGAAATAATCTGTACAACAAACCCCATGACATAAGTTTACCTATGCAACAAACCTCCACATGTACCCCTGAACTTAAAATAAAAGTCAAAAGAAAAGAATATATCCAAAAGAAAAGAAAAGGCTGACAAGAAGTGGATGGAGAACCCGTACACACTACAGTGCCCTGTAGCCTGAAGGAGACCCGAAATATCCTTACTAGGTAGGCCTAAACATTTTTCTCCAGGAGCCCAAAACCCTGACCTTGTTAGACAGGTTTTAAGCATTCTCCAACCAGTCAACTCTCTTGCATTATTGAAAATAAGAATTGCATTTCAGAAATTCTCTTTTTGTAACTTTCAGCAAAATATCCATTGCATAAAGTACTGTTGTATATTATTTCATCTATCTTCTCATATTCTTCACTTAAAATTTCATTTAGAAAGTCATATTTTGAAAACAGGGAACAATGGCTTGCCATTCTTATTCTCCTGTGGTTTTAATTCAGAGTTAATTCTACCTCTGTTTTTTTTTATCCCAATTTGTAACTTAGAGTTTCCAGAAATGAAAGTTCTAAGATAGCCTACCTTCAAGACAGAAGGACTTTGAGAAAAGACGTCTTTGTTGACATAACCATTCCACACACATCCTGTTCCAGTGAAGTTGTCCTATAATGTTCACTAACCTGCCTGAGCTTATGTCAGTTGGTGATTTCTATTAACTTTAGCTGCAACTGTAATGTAAGTTATTCTTCAGGTGATTCCCATTTGTAAAATAAAAATATTCAGTTTTCTTTTTTTCTTTATAAGAAATTAATTTTCTCACAAATAAAATTATTTAGTATGTAAAAAACATTTCAAATATTTTAAAATATTCCAAGTAATCCTGAGAGGTGTTTTTTTGAACTATAGTTTGAATTCAAAGATCTTCTGCATCCTCCAAAATAAAAGGAATTCTTTTCATGGAAACAATGTGTTTTAACAATCTTGTTATCACTAGACAATGCCTTAGACAGCAAGTTGAGTACTGACTAGTGACTGCTGGGAGATACAGAGGGAACAGTAATTTGAAAAAATTTTCAAATCACCAACTTTACCTTTTAAGAATTATTCTCGGCAGGGCGCGGTGGCTTACGCCTGTAATCCCAGCACTTTGGGAGGCCAAAAATGGCGGATCACGAGGTCAGGAGTTCAATACCAGCCTGGCCAACATGGTGAAACCCCCATCTCTACTAAAAATACAAAAAATTAGCCAGGCATGGTGGCATGTGCCTGTAATCCCAGCTACTTGGGAGGCTGAGGCAGGAGAACTGCTTTAACCCGGGAGGTAGAGGTTGCAGTGAGCCAAGATCACACCACTGCACTCCAGCCTGGGTGACAGAGTGAGACTCCATCTCAGGCAAAAAAAAAAAAAAAAAAAAATTCTCCCAAGTACTTGTAATCTGTTGTCTAATCATAACAAAGTTGCTTCTGTTAAATGTCAACTAAATATGAACCCATCTTTAACTAGATTTGAGACTGTGATATTGACCTCCATGAACCTTATTTTAGAGTGTATTGTCTAGATGTTACAGCTCCTTTAACTGTTCATTCATTTTCCCATTTTCAAACGTATTTTAGTGCCTACTATGTAGTTGCACTATTTTAGATGCTATGTATACGATGATGGACCAAAGACTATTTTTTTTTTTTATTCCAAGGTACATGTGCAGGATGTGCAGGTTTCTTACCTAAGTGAACCTGTACCATGGTGATTTGCTGCACCTATCAAGCCGTCACCTAGGTATTAAGCCTAGCATGCATGAGCTATTTTTCCTGACGGGCTTCTTCACCCTGCCTAACCCAGCAGGCCCCAGTGTGTGTTGTTCACCCCTGTGTCTATGTGTTCACATTGTTCAACTCCTGCTTGTAAGTGAGACCATGCAGTGTCTGGTTTTCTGTTCCTGCATTAGTTTGCTGAGGATAATGACTTCCAGCTCCATCCATGTCCCTGCAAAAGACATGATTTCAGTCCTTTTTATGGATGCATGGTATTCCATGGTGTATATGTACCACATTTTCTTTATCCAGTCTATCATTAATGGGCATTTGGGTTGATTCCATGTCTTCGCTATTGTGAACAGTGCTGCAATAAACATATGCATGCATGTGTCTTTATAATACAATGATTTATATTCCTTTGGGTATATATCCAGTAATGGGATTGCTGGGTCAAATGCTATTTCTGGTTCTAGATCCTTGAGGAATTGCCACACTGTCTTCTACAATGGTTGAACTAATTTACATTCTCACCAACAGTGTAAAAGTGTTCCTATTTCTCCACAGCCTCGCCAGCATCTGTTGCTTCTTGGGTTTTTGATAATCACCATTCTGACTGGCATGAGAAGCATCTCATTGTCGTTTTGATATGCATTTCTCTAATGATCAGTGATGTTGAGCTTTTTTCATGTTTGTTAGCTGCATAAATATCTTCTTTTGAGAAGTGTCTGTTCATATCCTTTGCCCACTTTTTAATTGGGTTGTGTTTTTTTCTTGTAAATTTGTTAAAGTCCCTCGTAGATTCTAAATATTAGGCCTTTGTCAGATAGATAGATTGCAAAACTTTTCTCCCATTCTGTAGGTTGTCTGTTCACTTTGATGACAGTTTCTTCTGTATGGAAGCTCTTTAGTTTAATTAAATTCCATTTGTCAATTTTTGCTTTTGCTGCAGTTGTTTTTGACGTTTTCCTCATGAAATCTTTGCCCATGCCTATGTCCTGAATGGTATTGCCTAGATTTTCTTTTAGGGCTTTTATAGCTTTGAGTTTTACATTTAAGGTGGACCAAAGACTCTTTCTTCAGAAAGCGTATAATCTCTTAATTGAGATAATACTTGTAAATAAATAACTGTAACAATGTAAAAAGTAACCCGGACCCTAAGCTAGGAATTGTCAACAGCTATGAAAGTGCAGAGACAGGCAATATTGCAAATCGGAAGAATTTCAGATGGCTTGCTCTGTGGAGGATATTGCATTTGGCTTGAGCACTAAAAGATATTTAACAATGGAACATTTAGGGAAAATCATGGCAAATACTCCAAAGAGAAGAGAAAAAAGAAAAAAAAACTTGGAGTCATGTGAGGTTCAACCCAAGTGTAAAAGTAAGTGGGGGCTGGATTACAGAGTTTTTGAATACCTGACTAAGGTACCTTTCTGTTCTTTAATGTCCAGTAGGGAGCCAGCAAAAAGATTTTGGCTTGATGATCTAGGCAATCTTGTGTAACCTGGATTAGAGTAAGGGCAAACTGAAGGCAGAGAAAAGTTAGGCCTGTTTTTGAGAGGTAATGAAGGCCTAAAGTAGGGGCGTGTCAATAATACCTACCTATGCAGAAAGAGCACACAGGTAGATAAGAGAAGCATGGCAATGCTTGGGATGTGGGTCAAAGAAAAGAGAAGAATCAAATATGACCCACAGTTTTGAACTATTATTCTGTAAAATAACAAATAACTAAAGCAGAGTTCTCCCAGGCAGTCTTTCTACTTGTCACCCCTCTTGGTCTCTGTCTCCTCCAGACCTGCCCTGTAGAGCCATGTACCTGCTAAAAAGGAAGAAAGTAGGTGCCCATTCCTGTGTTGTTCAGTAAGTTGCGGTAAGGCAAGAGTTATATAGCAACCCTCTTGCTAGCTTCAGGAATTATATGGCCCTGATAGTCACAGAACTCTAACTCAGTGTGGCTAAGCTACATACCCTGGAAACAGTAACCTGCCATGATACATAACCCTTGCCTGCTTTGCACCCTCAGTGTGATCACTTTCTCCATCCCAGTAACTGATCTCCTTATAGTTCCTCAAACACAGCAAGCCTCTTTCCAATGCCAGAATCTTTCCACATGCTGTTCCCTGGAACATCTTTCATGCCAATATCACTTGTCTAGTTTTCAGTCTATTTTTGGCCTTAGCTTAAATGTTGCCCCCTCAAGAGGCCTTACCTGACCACCTTTTCTAAAGAAGTGCCAACTCTTTATTTTCTATCTGAGCCTTTAGTTTCTTTCCTAGTTAGTACTTACTACAACATACAACTATTTTATTTGTATGCTTACTCATTTTTCGCCTCTTCTCCTGACAAAACATTAGCTCCATAATAACATAAACCATGTCCCTTTCCTGGTCACTGTATCCCTAGCACCAAGAACAGTGCTTGGTACTTCATAGGAGATACTCAATAAGCAACTGTTGAAGCAACTGTTGAATGAATTAGTGAATGAATGGATGAGCCCACTTGTTCAGAAAGCTTTGTATAACCAAAAAATAGTATCCTGTATAATTCAATGAAATATAAAAAGAGACAACATGGCTACTTTTCTTTTTTAATTTTCAAAGTAACCTCTTCCTATAAAATGTATTTATAGAATTAACACAGTGATATTTGGGAAATTGAATATCAGTATTCTCCAGGATTTCTTAATTTCCATAAAAGTTCTGTGGTGCCACACTATTTTGCAGTGTTTTTCAGCCTTACTAAAAATGAAATCAAATGGAGAATAGAATAGAAAATATCAGCATGCATTGCATGTGGTAAGCATAATTTCAAGAAACTTTTTTTATTGACTCATAATAATCTCACGTATTTATGGCAAACATATAATGGGATGTTTTAATATATATATAGTGTAAAAATTAAAACAGAATAGTATATCCATCACCTCATACATTTATCATTTCTTTGTGGCAAGAACATTCAAAATCCTCTCTTCTCTCTTCTAGCTATTTTGAAATGTATAATATAATGTTGTTAACTAATAGTCACCCTACTGTGCAACAGAACACCAGAAATAATTCCTCCTATCTAACTGTAACTTTGTACCTGTTGACCAGTCTCTACTTATCCTTCTTCCGCAGTCCCTCCCAAGCCTCTGATAACCAGTATTTTACTCCACTTCTATGAGATCAACTCCTTTAAAGTCTACGTATAAGTGAGGTCATGTGATATTTGTCTTTCTGTGCCTGGCTTATTTCACTTAACATCATGTTCTCCAGGTTCATTCATGTTGCTGCAAATGAAAGGATTTCATTTTTTGATGGTTGAATATATACTTATATAACATTTTCTTTTATATATATTTTTTATTATACTTTAAGTTCTAGGGTACATGTGCACAACATGCAGATTTGTTACATATGTATACATGTGACATGTTGGTGTGCTGCACCCATTAACTAGTCATTTACATTAGGTATATCTCCTAATGCTATCCCTCCCCACTCCCCCCACCCCACAACAGGCCCCAGTGTGTGATGTTCCCCTTCCTGTGTCCAAGTGTTCTCATTGTTCAGTTCCCACCTATGAGTGAGAACATGCAGTGTTTGGTTTTTTGTCCTTGTGATAGTCTGCTGAGAATGATGGTTCCCAGCTCATCCATGTCCCTACAAAGGACATGAACTCATCATTTTTTATGGCTGCAGAGTATTCCATGGTGTATGTGTGCCACATTTTCTTAATCTAGTCTATCATTGTTGCACATTTGGGTTGGTTCCAAATCTTTGCTGTTCTGAGTAGTGCCACAGTAAACATACGTGTACATGTGTCTTTATAGCAGCATGATTTATATTCCTTTGGGTATATACCCAGTAATGGGATGGCTGGGTCAAATGGTATTTCTAGTTCTAGATCCCTGAGGAATTGCCACACTGTCTTCCACAATGGATGAACTAGTTTACAGTCCCACCAACAGTGTAAAAGTGTTCCTATTTCCCCACAGCCTCTCCAGCACCTGTTGTTTCCTGACTTTTTAAAGATCGCCATTCTAACTGGTGTCAGATGATACCTCATTGTGGTTTTGATTTGCATTTCTCTGATGGCCAGTGATGGTGAGCATTTTTTCATGTGTCTGGTGGCTGCATAAATGTCTTCTTTTGAGAAGTGTCTGTTCATATCCTTCGCCCACTTTTTGATGGGGTTGTTTGTTTTTTTCTTGTAAATTTGTTTGAGTTCTTTGTAGATTCTGGATATTAGCCCTTTGTCAGATGAGTAGATTGCAAAAATTATCTCCCATTCTGAAGGTTGCCTGTTCACTCTGATGGTAGTTTCTTTTGCTGTGCAGAAGCTCTTCACTTTAATTAGATCCCATTTGTCAATTTTGGCTTTTGTTGCCATTACTTTTGGTGTTTTAGACATGAAGTCTTTGCCCATGCCTATGTCCTGAATTGTATCGCCTAGGTTTTCTTCTAGGGTTTTTATGGTTTTAGGTCTAACATGTAAGTCTTTAATCCATCTTGAATTAATTTTTGTATAAGGTGTAAGGAAGGGATACAGTTTCAGCTTTCTACATATGGCTAGCCAGTTTTCCCAGCACCGTTTATTAAATAAGGAATCCTTTCCCCATTTCTTGTTTTTGTCAGGTTTGTCAAAGATCAGATAGTTGTAGATGTGTGGTATTATTTCTGAGGGCTCTGTTCTGTTCTATTGGTCTCTATATCTGTTTGGTACCAGTACCATGCTGTTTTGGTTACTGTACCCTTGTAGTATAGTTTGAAGTCAGGTAGCGTGATGCCTCCAGCTTTGTTCTTTTGGCTTAGGATTGACTTGGCGATGTGGGCTCTTAAAGTAGTTTTTTCCAATTCTGTGAAGAAAGTCATTGGTAGCTTGATGGGGATGGCATTGAATCTACGAATTACCTTGGGCAGTATGGCATTTTCATGATATTGATTCTTCCTATCCATGAGGATGGAATGTTCTTCCATTTGTTTGTGTCCTCTTTAATTTCACTGAGCAGTGGTTTGTAGTTCTCCTTGAAGAGGTCCTTCACATCCCTTGTAAGTTGGATTCCTAGGTATTTTATTCTCTTTGAAGCAATTGTGAATGGGAGTTCACTCATGATTCGGCTCTATGTTTGTCTGTTATTGGTGTATAAGAATGCTTGTGATTTTTGCACATTGATTTTGTATCCTGAGACTTTGCTGAAGTTGCTTATCAGCTTAAGGAGACTTTGGGCTGAGATGATGGGGTTTTCTAGATATACAATCATGTCATCTGCAAACAGGGACAATTTGACTTCCTTTTTTCCTAATTGAATACCCTTTATTTCTTTCTCCTGCCTGATTGCCCTGGCCAGAACTTCCAACACTATGTTGAATAGGAGTGGTGAGAGAGGGCATCCCTGTCTTGTGCCAGTTTTCAAAGGGAATGCTTCCAGTTTTTGCCCATTCAGTATGATATTGGCTGTGGGTTTGTCATAAATAGCTCTTATTATTTTGAGATACGTCTCATTAATACCTAATTTATTGAGAGTTTTTAGCATGAAGGGCTGTTGAATTTTGTCAAAGGCCTTTTCTGCATCTATTGAGATAATCATGTGTTTTTTGTCTTTGGTTCTGTTTATATGATGGATTACGTTTATTGATTTGCATATATTGAACCAGCCTTGCATCCCAGGGATGAAGTCCACTTGATCATGGTGGATAAGCTTTTTGATGTGCTGCTGGATTCAGTTTGCCAGTATTTTATTGAGGATTTTTGCATCAATGTTCATCAGGGATATTGATCTAAAATTCTCTTTTTTGGTTGTGTCCCTGCCAGGCTTTGGTATCAGGATGGTGCTGGCCTCATAAAATGAGTTAGGGAGGATTCCCTCTTTTTCTATTGATTGGAATAGTTTCGGAAGGCTTGGTACCAGCTGCTCCTTGTACCTCTGGTAGAATTCGGCTGTGAATCCATCTGATCCTGGACTTTTTTTGGTTGGTAAGCTATTAATTATTGCCTCAATGACAGAGCCTGTTATTGGTCTATTCAGAGATTCAACTTCTTCCTGGTTTAGTCTTGGGAGGATGTATATGTCCAGGAATTTATCCATTTCTTCTAGATTTTCTAGTTTGTTTTTGTAGAGGTGTTTATAGTATTCTCTGATGGTATTTTGTCTTTCTGTGGGATTGGTGGTGATATCCCCTTTATCATTTTCTATTGCATCTATTTGATTCTTCTCTCTTTTCTTCTTTATTAGTCTTGTTAGTGGTCTATCAATTTTGTTGATCTTTTCAAAAAACCAGCTCCTGGATTCATTGATTTTTTGAAGGGTTTTTTATGTCTCTATCTCCTTCAGTTCTGCTCTCATCTTAGTTATTTCTTGCTTTCTGCTAGCTTTTGAATGTGTTTGCTCTTGCTTCTCTAGTTCTTTTAATTGTCATGTTAGGATGTCAATTTTAGATCTTTCCTGCTTTCTCTTGTGGGCATTTAGTGCTGTAAGTTTCCCTCTACACACCGCTTTAAATGTGTCCCAGAGATTCTGGTATGTTGTGTCTTTGTTCTCATTGGTTTCAAAAACATCTTTATTTCTGCCTTCATTTTGTTATGTACCCCATAGTCATTCAGGAGCAGGTTGTTCAGTTTCCATGTAGTTGAGAGGTTTTGAGTGAGTTTCTTAATCCTGAGTTCTAGTTTGATTGCACTGTGTTCTAAGAGACAGTTTGTTATAATTTCTGTTCTTTTACATTTGCTGAGGAGTGCTTTACTTCCAACTATGTGGTCAATTTTGGAATAGGTGTGGTGTGGTGCTGAGAAAAATGTATATGCTGTTGATTTGGGGTGGAGAGTTCTGTAGATGTCTATTAGGTCTGCTTGGTACAGAGCTGAATTCAATTCCTGGATATCCTTGTTAACTTTCTGTCTCGTTTCTGTCTAATGTAGAGAGTGGGGTGTTAAAATCTCCCCTTATTATTGTGTGGGAGTCTAAGTCTCTTTGTAGGTCACTAAGGACTTACTTTATGAATCTGGGTTCTCCTGTATTGGGTGCATATATATTTAGGATAGTTAGCTCTTCTTGTTGAATTCATCCCTTTACCATTATGTAATGGCCTTCTTTGTCTCTTTTGATCTTTGTTGTTTTAAAGTCTGTTTTATCAGAGACTAGGATTGCAACCCCTCCCTTTCTTTGTTTTCCATTTGCTTGGTAGATCTTCCTCCATCCCTTTATTTTGAGCCTATGTGTGTCTCTGCACATGAGATGGGTTTCCTGAATACAGCACCTGATGGGTCTTGACTTTTTATCCAATTTGCCAGTCTGTGTCTTTTAATTGGAGGATTTAGCCCATTTACATCTAAGACTAATATTGTTATGTGTGAATTTGATCCTGTCATTATGATGTTAGCTGGTTATTTTGCTCATTAGTTGATGCAGTTTCTTCCTAGCATCGATGGGCTTTACAGTTTGGCATGTCTTTGCAGTGGCTGGGACCGGTTATTCCTTTCCATATTTAGTGCTTCCTTCAGGAGCTCTTGTAGGGCAGGCCTGGTGGTGACAAAATCTCTCAGCATTTGCTCGTCTGTAAAGGATTTTATTTCTCCTTCACTTATGAAGCTTAGTTTGGCTGGATATGAAATTCTGGGTTGAAAATTCTTTTCTTTAAGAATGTTGAATATTGGCCCCCACTCTCTTCTGGCTTGTAGAGTTTCTGCTGAGAGATCAGCTGTTAGTCTGATGGGCTTCCCTTTGTGGGTAACCCGACCTTTCTCTCTGGCTGCCCTTAACATTTTTTTCATTTCAACTTTGGTGACTCTGACAATTATGTATCTTGGAGTTGCTCCTCTCAGGGAGTATCTTTGTGGCATTCTCTGTATCTCCTGAATTTGAATGTTGGCCTGCCTTGCTAGGTTGGGGAAGTTCTCCTGGATAATATCCTGCAGAGTGTTTTCCAACTTGGTTCCATTCTCCCCGTCACTTTAAGCTACACCAATCAGACATAGATTTGGTCTTTTCACATAGTCCCATATTTCTTGGAGACCTTGTTCGTTTCTTTTTATTCTTTTTTCTCTAAACCTCTCTTCTCACTTCATTTCATTCATTTGATCTTCAATCACTGATACCCTTTCTTCCAGTTGATTGAATCAGCTACTGAAGCTTGTGCATTCGTCACATAGTTCTTGTGCCTTGGTTTTCAGCTCCATCAGGTCCTTTAAGGACTTCTCTGCATTGGTTATTCTAGTTAGCCATTCGTCTAATCTTTTTTCAAGGTTTTTAACTTCTTTGCCATGGGTTCAAACTTCCTCTTTAGCTCGGAGAAATTTGATCATCTGAAGCCTTCTTCTCTCAACTCGTCAAAGTCATTCTCCATCCAGCTTTGTTCCGTTGCTGGTGAGGAGCTGCGTTCCTTTGGAGGAGGAGAGGTGCTCTGATTTTTAGAATTTTCAGTTTTTCTGTTCTGTTTTTTCCCCATCTTTGTGGTTTTATCCACCTTTGGTCTTTGATGATGGTGACGTACAGATGGGGTTTTGGTGTGGATGGCCTTTCTGTTTGTTAGTTTTCCTTTTAACAGTCAGGACCCTCAGCTGCAGGTCTGTTGGAGTTTGCTGGAAGTCCACTCCAGACCCTGTTTGCCTGGGTATCACCAGCAGAGGCTGCAGAACAGCGGATATTGGTGAAAAGCAAATGTTGCTGTCTGATCGTTCCTCTGGAAGTTTCGTCTCAGAGGGGTACCCCGCCATGTGAGGTGTCAGTCTGCCCCTACTAGGGGTGCCTCCCAGATAGGCTACTCAGGAGTGAGGGACCCACTTGAGGAGGCAGTCTGTTGGTTCTCAGATCTCAAACTCCGTGCTGGGAGAACCACTACTCTCTTCAAAGCTGTCAGACAGGGACATTTAAGTCTGCAGAGCTTTCTGCTGCCTTTTGTTTGGCTATGCCCTGCCCCCAGAGGTGAAGTCTACAGAGGCAGGCAGGCCTCCTTGAGCTGCGGTGGGCTCCACCCAGTTCGAGCTTCCCAGCCGCTTTGTTTACCTACTCAAGCCTTGGCAATGGCGGGCGCCCCTCTCCCAGCCTAGCTGCCACCTTGCAGTTTGATCTCAGACTGCTGTGCTAGCAATGAGCAAGGCTCCGTGGGCATAGGACCCTCCGAGCCAGTTGCGGGATCTGATCTGCTGGTGTGCTGTTTGCTATGACCACTGGAAAAGCGCAGTATTAGGATGAGAGTGACCCGATTTTCCAGGTGCCATCTGTTACAGCTTTGCTTGGCTAGGAAAGGGAATTCCCTGACCCCTTGCACTTCCCAGGTGAGGCAATGCATCGCCCTGCTTCAGCTTACGCTCGGTGCACTGCACCCACTGTCTGACAAGCCCCAGTGAGATGAACCCAGTACCTCAGTTGGAAATGCAGAAATCACCTGTCTTCTGTGTCACTCATGCTGGGAGCTATAGACTGGAGCTGTTCCTATTCAGCCATTTTGGAACCGCCATAACACTTTCTTTATCAGTTCATCCATTGATAGACATTAGGTTGATTGCATAACTTGGCTATTGTGAAGAGTGCTGTAATAACATGGGAGTTCAGATATCTCTTTGACATACTAATTTTATTTCCTTTGGACATATACTCAATAGTGGGATTGCTGAATCATATTGTGGTTCTATTTTTAATTTTTTGAGGATCCTCCATGTTGTTTTCCATATGGCTATACCAGTTTACATTTCCACCAACAGTGTATCCTTTCTCTGTATCCATACCAGAAAAACAAAGAAAAGGAAGGAGAAAAAAAACAAAACTTTTCTGTGGCAGGGGAAGAGGGGTGATCCCAATATAAAAATATTTTTCATAGTGATTCAAAGTCAGTACACACTCTAGTGTTTGCCATGTTATCCTTTTGTGGCTGCTGTCATAGCTCCTCAAATCCAGCCTTGAATTGTTATTTTGCAGTGTTATGATTCCTTATGACCTATCTGTAATGGAACCCTTCCCACAAATGCACCCCAAAATTCCATTTCTTAATATTTTCTTAACCTCTTTCGGGATGCTTGCGTTCACTGTAAAGTGCATTCCCAGAGTTTCTTTCAATGTAGAGTGCTGGGCTGCTTTTACCTTAACCAGCAACACACACACGTGCACGTTTGCATGCCCACACACACACACACACACATTCAGAGTGACAGTGGTGAGATTTGCTGTTTTTTAAATCAAGAATAATTTGAAACAATGATTCGACAGACAGTGGAAACATTTGCTAAGTTAAAATTTATTGACTTATCTTTTTTGTTTCTTTTGTTTTTCTCTCTTTCTCTCCAAGCTGCCTGCCTTGTGCTTGGCTGTATGATTTTCCCTGATGGCTGGGACTCAGATGAAGTAAAACGGATGTGTGGAGAAAAGACAGACAAGTACACTCTTGGGGCTTGCTCAGTCCGCTGGGCATACATCCTGGCTATTATTGGAATTTTGGATGCCCTGATCCTCTCATTTCTAGCATTTGTGCTTGGTAATCGACAAGACAGCTTGATGGCAGAGGAACTGAAGGCAGAAAACAAAGGTAAGATTGCTTTAAGGAACTCTTACCTGGATGCCTCAAGCACAAAAAAATGGTGCTCTCCATTCTTTCCCCTCAAATACTAGTGCTTCCCCTGAGGTTCTAATTTGCTGCCTCTTTTAATACCGTGTAGCTTGCAGACTTTACCCCAGACTCAACTCAAGAAGCTTACACAATAAAAATATAATATTATACTTACTTATCTTTCTGAAACTCCCTTAGTCCATTATTATTATTTTGATGCTTTTTTTTTTCCGGTTTCTTCTTCCCTCTTCCTCTGATTTCAGGTTTGCCATCAGAACTTAATGGCTAAGATGTAACTGTGGGTGGTGTCTATTTGGTTGAATGGAAAGTACTTTCTCTCCATGTATTCAGCTATGTTTCAGGTTGAAATAAATGCCTGGAGAATCTCTAACATCATCTATATATATCTTTATTAAACTATTTGTGATAATTGAATTCAGACCCAACTTCTCAGAGAGAGGTAGTAACACTGGCCCCAAATAGTTAGTTAGAGATTTCAGTAGTTACCTAATTAGCTGAATTTTAAATGTGTTGTCTGCGTATCAAAAGTCCTCAGATTTCTTTTCCAAAAGAAATTGCCTTCTGAAACACAAAGAAAACCAGGATGGAAAATAGAACATTGACTATTGAATGATACGTAAATATATCATAGTGGGCAAATAAGAGGTAGCAAGTTGTTATTGAAGATGAATCTTTTAATTTTCTTTTCAGATTTCTAAACCAATTTTTTGGGATAGAATTTTGGTGTCTCTGTTTTTTTAGTAGACTTAGATTCATTTAACAGTTTTATCTTTATGTTATCTTTAACTTTAAAACTGTGCACTTACATTATCACCTTTAGCTGAGTGGCTCCTTCTTCTAGCTCTTATTTCTAATTGGGAGCTAAATCCATCCTTGAAGTATGAGATTTAGCTTATTATTTCAAGTAGGTGCTAATTTCAAAAACCCTTCACTGCTTCAACGGGACTCAAATATAAGTATATACTAGTTTCTACATAACTGTCACATGTAATGATATAGCAGGCTTTATATCTAGACCATCACTGTTTATGCGGGTAAACTGTTTATGCGGGTAAACTATGACATAGAAATAGTCTATGGACTAAAATGGAGCAGCCCAGCAGAGCAGCAGTCACCCACAAACCCCTTTTCTCCCTGATTTATAGACAGAACACATATTAGTTTTCTTAGTTCTATCAAAAATATTCTAAACACAAAAATAACCCTTACACAGGGGAGTGGTGCTGAAACTTCCTAAAAACAAAAGTACCACCTTCTCAGAGCTGCCCTTTCTAGATAAAAAGGATGATATGAAGATAATTACACTTTTATTTACATTATAGATTTTGTGCTTTCACAGGCATTCATTAGTGTGGTACCTTTGTTGTCTTTGTAGCTTGTTGGATGTAGACAGGTCTCTGTCCAGTTAACTTTACTTCAAATGTAATGGTAAGGAGAATTCAATATTAGAACAAGCTATCTTTTTCAAAAGAATGAATTAAATAAAAGCCTAGCTTGTTCTGCAGATTATGATTTTTGCCCCCACCTAAATGGACCAGAATGCTATTGTTTCCTGTACAGTTCAAAGTCATATTGAGAACCTTTCACTTTCCAGACATCTTTTGACCACAAACAAAGAGAAAAAAATTCACAAGAAGAAAAATATAACAAAAGCAGGAAGATTTTTACTTGGGAATTGAGAATTACAACTCATACTCATGTATGAGTGACAATAATTCTCCCGATTCATGGTTCAGAAAAGAACAGCTTAGAGGTATAGAATAATGCTCAACAGTTTTCAAAATTGGTCTTTCCTTCTGGTTGATGCATTTATAGGTTGATGTCTGATCCTTTCCGTCTGAGTCTTCATTAAACAAAGCATCGTGTTCCGTCAGTGATATATTAAACCACCTTGCTATAACTTTTGATGAGAAAGAAGGTTTAGGGATTATCTTTGCATAATTTTTCTGTGTTCATCATCTTCTCCATTTGCATATGTGACCGTAGTTTCTTCCATCTTGTTCTGAAGGACGAAAATTAGTAGGAGTTCATCTGTATCAAACCAGATAGATCCAATAAAGCAGTGGGATCATCAGGCCACATTGATGAAACATTTCAGTTGCACCACATTTTTATTTCTCAATTGAAATTCCTTAATCTCAGACTCTGAGAAGATGTAAACAGCTCTATTGTAGGGAATATCAGACCCTCATGCAATGGGATCTATACAAAATCAGACCAGGATTTCTAAGCCTTGTATAAAATTTAGTCAAACCTGCATGTTCCTGGGAAATGGTACAAGATTTACACTTGCTATACAAAGTAGTCTTTATTGTTTGGTATTATTTAAACACTTGCTAAACATTGAAGCTTCCAAAGTCAGATTGTTTGCGGAAAGACCAATCAGTAGTTGTGTATGTTGTATGTGTGAATATAGTTTCATTAAACAGTAGTTTAGTAGTGTTCAGGTGCATGTAATTATCAAAATTAAATGTCATCAATGCTATCTTCTATAGATTCTAAAGGAAGAGAGGTTGGTTTTAACTAAAAATATAAGAATAATTTGAAATTGTGTAATTAATTATATATAAATGGGTGCTTTTACAAATTGCATGGATGCATTGATATAACTTTTCACCTATTAAGACTTTTTTCACTATTTTTTTTTGCTGCTGTTCTTGTTTTGGATTTCACTATTAAGTTTTTTTCTGATAAAACTACTGAGATGTACAATGGTAGTCAAGGCTTCCTTTTGGTTTCAGGGCAATGCAGTGAGACAAGCAAATCTAGTTCCAGCTTGGAATTTTAGAAGAATTTATTCAGCACATGATGACTTTCAGTGTCATGGAAGAAGGCAATGTCATATCTCAAGACTTGGCTCAACAGAGCAAAGTATTCATACATTCTGATAGAGATTACACATCTGAAAGGGATACACACTGTAATGTCTTTTATAATCTTCCAGTTTTATGGTTGATATGGTCTGGCTCTCTTTCCCCATTGAAATCTCATCTTAAATTGTAATCCAAATTATAATTTCCACGTGTTGGGAAAGGGACCTCATGGGAAGTGATTAGATCATGGAGGTGGCTCCCCCATGCTGTTCTCATGATAGCGAGTAATTTTCATGAGATCCGATGGTTTTATAAGTGTCTGGCATTTCCCCCGCTGGCACTTCTCTCTCCTGCTGCCATGTGAAGAAGGATGTATTTGCTTCCCCTTCCACCATGATTGTAAGTTTCCTGAGGCCTCCCCAGCAATGTGGAACTGTGAGTCAATTAAACCTCTTTCCTTTATAAATTACACAGTCTCAAGAAGTTCTTCATAGCAGCATGAAAATGAACAAATGCAATGGTCTACCAATTATATCACTTACATCCCATAATGAACAACAAGAGCATTATAGTGAGAATAGCCTGAAATTGTAGAATATGCCCCTAATGTGAAGTTCTTCCTGAGTGTCACTTTCATGTCATGATGATGTCTTCTTTTTGTGGCTATTGTAATTAATGCAGCAACACACTTCCCCATTTATCTGGAAAGGCCACTGTATTAGTCTGTTCTCACGCTGCTAATAAAGACATACCTGAGACTGGGTAATTTATAAAGGAAAGAAGTTTAATTGATTCACAGTTCCACATGGCTGGGGAGGTCTCACAATCATGGTGGAAGGCAAAGGAAGAGCAAAGTCACATCTACAGGGCAGCAGGCAAGAGCTTATGCAGGGGAACTCCCATTTATAAAACCATCACATCTTGTGAGACTTACTCATTATCACGAGAACAGTATAGGGGAAACCGCCCCCATGATTCAATTAATCTCCACCTGGTCCTGGCCTTGACATGTGGGAATTATTACAATTCAAGGTGGGATTTGGGTGGGGACACAGGCAAACCATATCAGCCACCATATAGATTCAGGCTTTCTAAGTGTCATTGCAGCAAGGATATTGCTTAGATCCATGAATGCTTCCCAACATTCCACCTAATGGATACACAAAAAATCACTGTTACATGAATTCTAAAATATGTAAGGGAAGGGAAAAAGCTCAATTCTAATTGTTGAACTATGCTCTACTCACAGAGTCTTTAGATGAAAGGGAATACAAGATGCTGCTGAACCATAAATTAATCGTCACAAAGGTGATATTCAAAAGGAAAACAAGGGAGGGGTGTACACAGCTAAAAGTCTCCACTTCTACAGACTGCTTTTTCCTTGACACACTTCAGTCAACTAGCCCCAATCCTCTTTTCAGTGTCCCCCTTCAATGCCTCCCACATGCCTAAGTTTCTCCTTTCCACGAGATCATTTGAAAGAAGTCACAGCTAAGATTTATCATAAATTGTAAAGTGGGAAAATTAAAATGAAGGAATTTTAACATACTTAAAAAGTACATTAAAAATGTACTTTCATGAAACAGAAGGCAACAAGTTTGAAGACACAACTGTTGTCTTAAAGAAAACCTTTATAAGAGATAAACTGAATCATCCATGGAGCTCCAGTGAAGTGCCAGAATATTTCTTTATGCCAAAAAAAAAAAAAAAAAAAGCCCCACTGAAAAACAAAGAAAAGTGAAACCTCTTTAAATATCTAACTAACTTAATTTTTTTTTTTTTTCTTAGAGACAGAGTCTCACTCTGTTGCCCAGGCCAGAGAGCAGTGACACGATCATAGCTCACTATAGCCTTGAACCCCTGGGTGCAAGCGATCCTCCTGCCTTAGCCTCTGGAGTAGCTAGGACTACAAGTGTGTGCCATCACATCCTGCTACATTTTTGTGTATTGGCGGCGGGGGTTGTTTTTTGTAGAGACAGGGTACCCAGGCTGGCCTCAAACTCCCGGTTTCAAGGGATCCTCCTGCCTCGGCCTCCCAAAGCAGCAGGATTACAAGTGTGAGCTGCAATGTCCAGTGCCAACTAACTTTATATAGGAGCTGGCACATGCAAGAAAACTCAACTGCCTGCTCTGAATTTGGGGAGCAGCTCTACAGGATGTGTGCTATCCCTGGCTCTGGGGCTGATCATGGACAGGCAGGTATTGTTTGGGAGTTCAGCAGCATGATTTCTAAATGAGCCAATAACAGTAGGCATTTAACCTTGATATGCTGCTTAATTGCATATTTTAACACACTGAACTGTGAAGTCAATTTAATTATGTAAAATTAAAGTTTCATCCAGATAAAAAGGATTTGAAATGAAAGCTTCATTTTCAATTTCTTTCATTAATTATGAAAGGATAAATAATTACATTTTCCAGAGCTCCTATGCCACAAATATCTCTTTCCTTGTCAGACACCATTCATAAAGAGGTCTGTTTCTGCATTTGTGTATATGGTCTTTGGAATTTCTTATCAGATAATTGGGTCCTCTCCTGAACAATTTTAAAGTTACTTTGTCTTCTAGCACTTAAACTACAAATGAGAATACATGATTAACCATCAAGAGGTGACTCCAGCCACCATTTATATATTAAGGGTTTAAGCTCTTTTCAATGCTATAGTGGAGGAGGTAGAATAAATTCACTTTATTTAAGCAACTAATTGAGAAATCTTTCAAAATTTTTGTTTTAGGTATCACACCATGCTATGGCCACACTGGGAGTGGCGGTGTGGTGTAGTGGAAAGATTGTCCACTTGGATCAAGCTGCCCAGTGCTAGTCCTGTCTCTGACACCAGCTGAGGAGCCTTGGGCCAATATCTTAATAGTTCCAAAATTAAGCTTCCTGGCCTGTGAAATGCAGGGCATGACCAAATGTCATCTGAGGGTCTTTCTAGCTATAATATATTTCAATTCTATGGATATCTTCAGAGGTGTTCTTTAAAAAGAGGACATGAGGGCAGTAAATGCTCCTGCCTTCATATCAGTGAGCACATTAAATACTCTTTTAGGAACTTGTTAGTATGCAGTGTTGACTAGGGGAGGGGATAGGTAAAAGTCAAAGGGGATGGGAGGCCGAGTCAGGATGATCACTGGGACAGGAGTTTGAGACCAGCCTGGCCAATATGGTGAAACCCCATCTCTATTAAAAATACAAAAAAAAATTAGCTGGGCATGGTGGTGGGCACCTGTAGTTCCAGCTACTCAGGACGCTGAGGCAGGAGAATCTCTTGAACCTGGGAGGCAGAGGTTGCAGTGAGCAGAGATCACGCCACTGCACTCCAGCCTGGGCGACAGAGAGAGACTCCATCTCAAAAAACAAACAAACAAACAAAAAAGTCAAAGGGGAAGGGGCTCTAGGATGCCCTGAATGTTTCCTGCTTCAGATGTGTACCCACCCACGGACCCATGCTGTCAGAGGCCCATACACTCATACCACCAAGAGTAGAATGAGTGCAATTTAGAAACTCTGGTCCATGGCAGAGGAGCCTCCTTGCCTCACTGGATTCTGATACCATGTGGTGTCCATGTGAACACCTTAATAGTGGACAGAGCCCCAGATCATAGACAGAAAACTATTTCTGGTCTCAACTCTGGCAGGTATTAGTCATGTGACTTTGGCCTAGCCCCTTAACATCTTAGAGCCTGGGCTTTACCTTCTTTAAAGTATTTCTTTAAAATATTTAAAAATATTTAACAATACCCATCCCTGCCTCCTACATAGATTTGAGAGAGTCCAACAAAAGCATGTGTGTGAAAGCAATTTATAATCAATAATATCTACATAGGCTTTATTTATTCTCATTACTAAGCATTTTCCCATATAACCTTTTCATTGATCTCTGCAATAACCCTGTGAGATGTTTATCATTATCCCCATTTTACACATCAAAAACCAAGCTACAGAAAAGCTTAATATTTTATCTAAATTTTCACAGCTAGGAAGGATTGGATGCAAGACTCAAACACAAATCATTTTACTCAAAATTTCAAGTTCTTTGTTTTACACAGTATCATGTAATCAATTCTTTTTTCCTTTTTTTTGAGACAGGGTCTCACGCTCACGCTGTCACCCAGGCTGGAATACAGTGGCATGATCACGGCTCACTGCAGCCTCGACCTCCTGGGGTCAGGTATTCCTCCCACAGCCTCCTAAAGTAGCTGGGACCACAGGCACACACCACCACACCCTGCAAATTTTTTTTGGTACTTTTTTTTTTTTTTTTAGAAACAGTGCCTTACCATGTTGCCCAACTGGTCTCGCGAAGTCCTAGGCCCAAGGGATCCACTTGCCTCAGCCTTCCAAAGTGCTGGGACATATAATCAATTCTTATAGATGCTTGTTCTGTTGCTTTCAACTTGATCAGTCCACTCTGTACAAGTAAAGAGTTTGGTCTTATTTTTATTTGACAGCTTTTAGATAATGTTATTAATCAACAGTTTAATGCATTTAAGAATGAGGAATAGCCTTTGAAAGCTATACTCTTACTTGGATATTAACTTTATAAAAACCTTACTGAAGTAAGATCAGGAAGCCCAGAAAAAAAAGTATCTTCAAGTGCTTTGAATTAAAACTTTCATAAGGTCATAGTGAACTGCCTGTTTCCTGATGGGATTTGTGTTTAACAAAGTCCTTGTGGTCATCAAAGCATCTCAGAATGTGCCTCTAAAGAAACTGCATATATCCTGTCACATTTTCAGAAGGGCTCAAGTTAATCTGAGAGTTGGAGCTGACCTTAGATGCCCTTATAGAATTGTCTTATATTCATGCTGCTTCTAATTCCTCTCCTCCCACTCTTTTCATGAACTCATTCCATTCAGGTTTTCACCTCAGAATTTCACAGGCACTGTCTTACCAAGGTCACTCCAACCTCCCAATTGCTAAATCTCATGCGCAACTTTCAATCCTTATATTGACCTGTCAGTAGCCTTTTCACAGTTAACTACTGACCCCATCTTGAAACCCTCTCTTCAGTTGGCTTCCGGTCACTGACCTTGCCTAATTTTCTTTCTGGGCTCTTCTGATGTGGTCTCCTTTGCCAATTCCTCTCACATGGCTCCACTCTTTAACTGGTGTATCCTTTCTAGCTACACACACTTCCTTAGGTAATCTCATCAGGTGTCACAACTTTAAATAACATCTATATTCTGATTTCTCCCAAGTTTAAGTAAGCCTCCTCCCATCCCTTCAATGAACTTTGGTCTCTATACCCAACAGCTTACCCGATACCCTTTTTTGAATATCTAATTAGCTTCTCAAACTTAGTATTTCCAAAACTGAGCTTCTGATACTCCCCACAAAATATCCAAGCCAAAGCAGACCCTGGTGGTTGGCTGACACTTCCCAACTCCCTTTCCTCTCTGGCCAACAAATTGTCCGCAGGAGTCGGCTGCAGGGTTCCTGGGAAACTTTTGCTTTCCTGATACAGAAGCTGCCCCTTCCTCTTTCTCCTTCTTCCTAAAGGAACATAAAAGAGATAGCAGGAACTGCAGCCACCATCCAATGACTGTGAGGAAATGGAGAAGGGAATCACAGAGATTTGCACACTGTGAAGTTTTTAAAACAAATTCCAGGAATTTTACATGAGAAAAACAAAACTCTTCTTATTTAAGCCACTATGGTTGAATGTGCTGCTACTTGCAACTGAAAGCATTCCTAATTAATATAGTATGTTTCAAAAATGAATATTTGTTGTGGTATAACCCTGTAAGTATGTACCAAGAACCAATGCAATAACAGGAGGAAAAACTGACAAATTATTCAAGACTCTTCCTAGATGCCTGTAGAACACAAATTCCCAATCCCATCTTCATTCATTATATTTCCTCAGAGGCTGGATGAATACTTTTCTCAGTCAGAAATCACTAGCCCAAGCCAAATTCAGGTACCCAATCCAGAGCTGCCCTGGGTTGAAAATGTGTAGTCCTGTATTAGTTCAGATTATTTTATTTGGGGTGCTGCATGCCATAAGCTTGTCTGAAAAAAGGGGGAGGCTTTCAAGAATTGGTCCAGACAGAGAAATTTTGTCTTCTTGAAAAACTTAGGTCAACAATTCATATGCTTCAGCTACTAAGGGGGTGTAGTAACTTAGGGGTGATAAAACAAATGTCCCCTCTCATCTATATTGGGGATCAAGGTAAAGAAATATTGAAATGCAGTGACAGAGGCAGAGAGGCCCTGGTTCTTCACAATCACCTGGGGGAGATTTAAAAGGATTCCAGGCCGGACATGGTGGCTTATGCCTGTAATCCCAGCACTTAAGGAGGCCAAGGCAGATGGGTCACTTGAGGTCAGGAGTTTGAGACCACCTTGGCCAATATGGCAAAACCCCATCTCTACTAAAAATACAAAAAATTATCCAGGTATGGTGGCGGATGCCTGTAGTCCCAGATACTTGGGAGGCTGAGGCAGGAGAATCGCTTAAACCCATAAGGTGGAGGTTGCAGTGAACCAAGATCATGCCACTGCACTCCAGCCTAGGAAATAGAGCGAGACTCCATCTCAAAAAAAAAAGTATTCCAGGGATTGGGTCCCACTCCAGAGAGTCTCATTCAGTTGGTATGAAGTAGATCTAGGAATGAAAAACTCCCCAGGAGGTTCCAATGCACAGCCAGTATTGAGGACCAATGAAGTCACTTAACTCCCTTGTTTTACTGATGAAAAAGCCAAGGCGCAGAGAGAGGAAATGAAATCTCACCAGTTTGTTTTATTATAATTAGAAATCAGTAAGTAACCCATGACATAGAAAGTTTTACTCAATCACAGGCTAAAAAAATCACATTTCTGATAAAATTTTATTGTTGCCTTTTCTTGGAAACAGAGCTCTCTGCCAGCCTTGGGAAACTGATTTGTGCTACCTGCTAGCTCTGTGAGTTTGGGCAAACTTAAGTGTCTTCATCTATAAGGGCATTAATAGAACCTGCCTGATAGAGATTTTATAAAAATAAAAAGAGATAATGCATGTAAAACTGTCTTTCACAATATCTAACACATGTTAACTATTGTCATTTTTAGTGCTTTGATTTAATTTAACCAACATTTATATAGTGTTTGATTAACGGGGTGCATAGCCCATGCCCCTCACTACCTTGCCCTGCTGTCTCCCTTTGTTCCTAATATCACTGAATCATCAAGGAGGCCTCATGAAGATCTGGAGATTGCTTCCTCCACATGCTTAAATTTAATTTTTTCATCTGGTTGCTTTACAAATATTTTTAAATATAAGGGTGATCATAGTTGGTCAGTTGGTTTCGGTTTTTGTTTTGTTTCTTATAATCTCCCCACATACACCTGTATTTATGAGGTAAGAGACTAAAAGGTTATTCCTTTACAACATTTATTCTTTTATCACATTTGCCATCCATGGAACTCAAACTGTGTAGCTATTTCTGCAAGTTCGATGACAGTCCCCAAAGAAAGCCCTTATTCCCCTGATGGAAATGTGACTTCTTAGAATGTTACACATTTTCAACCTGGCTGAGAATTCCCTCGTTGTATTGATAGACAGATGAGGAACAAAGCCAAGCCTTAAAAATGTCTATGTGAATTTGGGATGAGGTGTCCTTCAGAAGTAACGGAGGGAAGAGATTCTGCCCAGGCAGAAGAAACAATAAAGACAAGAATCCCCCGTGTAGAAAATACGATCACTTTAGTTCATACACAGGGTGATGAAAATTTAGTGCTAGTAGGTTTGTAGGTCCCTGTGTTTTGTCCAGAACATATCTTTACTTTCCTCACCATAAACACAGCAAGTAAAAGCCAAGTGTCAAGCAAATATAAGTAATACAATTTTTATTATTATAGAAGTTAAAATAAATCTTGGGAGACTATTCCCCCATTACTCAGAAACTCATTTCTCTTTGGCTGTCTCTTGGGATGCATTCTGAATTAATCCCTTCCTTCACCAGCTAATGCACACCCACTAAGTGACACCCACAGCAAGCCTTATCATTATTATTATGCAAATAATAATTTTCAGGTAGTAGCTATGGAGCTTCTAAGAGCATAATATTTACTTGGGATACTTATCTTAAATGCAAATTCTGACTTCAGTAGTTGTAAGGAACAGCTCTGTAATCTTTTTTTCTTCAATTAATAAATTGTATTTTTAGAGTGTGGGGAAAAGCAAGAGAGATCAGATTGTTACTGTGTCTGTGTAGAAAGAAGTAGACATAGGAGACTCCATTTTGTTCTGTACTAAGAAAAATTCTTCTGCCTTGAGATTCTGTTAATCTATGACCTTACCCCCAACCCCGTGCTCTCTGAAACATGTGCTGTGTCAACTCAGAGTTGAATGGATTAAGGGCGGTGCAAGATGTGCTTTGTTAAACAGATGCTTGAAGGCAGCATGCTCCTTAAGAGTCATCACCACTCCCTAATCTCAAGTACCCAGGGACACAAAAACTGCGGAAGGCCGCAGGGACCTCTGCCTAGGAAAGCCAGTATTGTCCAAGGTTTCTCCCCATGTGATAGTCTGAAATATAGCCTCGTGGGAAGGGAAAGACCTGACCGTCCCCCAGCCCGACACCCGTAAAGGGTCTGTGCTGAGGAGGATTAGTAAAAGAGGAAGGAATGCCTCTTGCAGTTGAGACAAGAGGAAGGCATCTGTCTCCTGCCTGTCCCTGGGCAATGGAATGTCTCGGTATAAAACCCGATTGTATGCTCCATCTACTGAGATAGGGGAAAACCGCCTTAGGGCTGGAGGTGGGACCTGCGGGCAGCAATACTGCTTTGTAAAGCATTGAGATGTTTATGTGTATGCATATCTAAAAGCACAGCACTTAATCCTTTACATTGTCTATGATGCAAAGACCTTTGTTCACGTGTTTGTCTGCTGACCCTCTCCCCACAATTGTCTTGTGACCCTGACACATCCCCCTCTTGGAGAAACACCCACAAATGATCAATAAATACTAAGGGAACTCAGAGGCTGGTGGGATCCTCCATATGCTGAACGCTGGTTCCCCGGGTCCCCTTATTTCTTTCTCTATACTTTGTCTCTGTGTCTTTTTCTTTCCTAAGTCTCTCGTTCTACCTTACGAGAAACACCCACAGGTGTGGAGGGGCAACCCACCCCTACATCTGGCGCCCAACGTGGGGCTAAGGGATCTATTCTATTTATTTGCGCTGACTGAATTTTTTCTTCCACTAATTTAATTTCTTTTGTTGCCTCTGGGGTTAACATTCTTTTACTATTTAAGTCTGAGTTTCCTCTTAAGATAGAGAACAAATTTGACATGGCATAAGTAGGAATGCCTAGAGTTGGCCGAATCCAATTAATATCTCCCAGCAATTTTTGAAAATCATTTAGTGTTTTTAATGTGTCTTTTCTTATTTCTATTTTTTGTGGCTTAATTTTTCTATTTTCTATCTGCATCCCTAAATAATGAAAAGGAGTAGAGGTTTGGATCTTATCAGATGCTATTGCCAGTCCTGCATTGGCAACCTCTGCTTGCAGAAATGTATAACAGTCAATTAATTTATCTCTCGTTTCTGTAGCACATAAAATATCATCAATATAATGAATAATATAACAGTCTGAAAACTTGTCTCTAACTGGTTGAAGAGCTCGACCTACAAAAGTCTGACAAATAGTTGGACTATTAAGCATTCCCTGAGGTAACACTTTCCACTGAAACCTGGTGGCTGGTTCTTTATTATTTATGGCTGGTATAGTAAAGGCAAATTTTTCGCAATCCTGCTCCGCCAGAGGGATGGTAAAAAAGCAATCCTTTAGATCAATTATAATTAAAGGCCAATCTTTTGGGATCATGGCCGGAGAGGGCAACCCGGGTTGGAGAGGCCCCATGGGTTGAATTACGGCGTTTACGGCCCTTAAGTCAGTTAACATATGCCATTTGCCTGATTTCTTCTGAATTACAAACACAGGAGAATTCCAAGGCGAGAATGAAGGCTCAATATGACCCTTTTCTAACTGTTCATTTGCTAATAAATGTAAAGCCTCCAGTTTTTGTTTTGGTAGTGGCCACTGATTTACCCACACCA
The DNA here is from genome assembly GCF_000001405.40 of Homo sapiens. NCBI lineage: Eukaryota > Metazoa > Chordata > Mammalia > Primates > Hominidae > Homo > Homo sapiens. Next base: position 104,749,814 of record NC_000007.14, read on the forward strand.
GTTTTTCTGTTTTCCAAGTTAATGGTATGGGTTTAGGAGGCTCTACAGTGGCCGCCCCTAAAAAGGATACCCTATTCCTTCTCTTTCTTGATTTATTTTAGCCTCAACTGGAATTTTAATGCCATCTTCATTTTTCCCTAGTCCCTTTCCTGGTATATATCCCATCTTGGTCATGATTTTTTGACTCATGGGGCTATATAATGGAGCGGGCATGGTGATTTCCGCACCCCATTGTTGTAATAAATCTCGACCCCACAGATTAAGAGGAATTGAAGTAATCATTAGCTGAACAGTACTTTCTTGATTATCTGGCCCTAAGCAATGTAAAATCTCAGTACTTTGATACACTTCTGAGGCTGTGCCTATGCCGACAAGTCCTGTAACAGCCTTTTGTTTAGGCCAATTTTTTGGCCACTGATTTAAAGCAATGATAGAGACATCTGCTCCAGTGTCTACCAACCCTTCAAACTGTTTTCCTCAAATAATGGCCTTACACACAGGTCTGTTCTCTGAGACCTGACTTGCCCAATATGCAGCCTTTCCTGTCGGATCAGTGCTTCCAAACCCTCCTATTCTTTTTATTTCACTATTTCCACCCTTAATGTATGGCAGGAGTAATAATTGAGCAATCTTGTCTCCTAGACTGGCACTCCAAGGAATTGAAGAGCTAATAACCAATTGAATTTCGCCTTTATAGTCTGAATCAACCACACCAATATGAATTTGAACTCCTTTTAGATTTAGACTTGATCTTCCCAAGATTAGTCCTACAGTCCCCTCAGGCAGTGGGCCATATACCCCTGTGGGGATTTTTTGTGGGGGCTCCCCTGGAAGCAGAGAGACTGCTTGTATAGTACATAAATCTACTGCTGCACTGCTGCTTGTGGCGGGAGACAATTGTTGTATTGTGGTAACTGGCTTATTCCCTGAAACACTTGGGACAGGGGGGGTTGTTGTCCCTGAAAACCCTGAGGAACAAATGGCTGAATTGGGAATGCCCCAGTTTGTTGTGGGGCCTGAGGCTGGCCCCTTTGCTCATTTCCCGACAATGGTTGCCCATTTTTATCAAATTTAGAACGACATTGACTAGCCCAATGTTTTCCTTTTTTACATCTTGGACATAAGTCAGGTGGCTCTCTACCTGTTGTGGTAGTAGCTTGAATAGTTATATTCTGTTTATTTAAGACTGGGCAATTCTTTTTTAAGTGACCAATTTGACCACAATTATAACATTTTCCTCCAAATGTTCTAACTTGTCCTCCTAAAACAACTTCTGTTATTGCTTGAGCCATAAGCATAGCTTTATGCATAGCTCCTCCGATTCAATCCAGGCTTTTACATATTCTGAGATTACATCTGATCCTGCAGGAACCTTTCCTTTTAATGGCTTAATGGCTGATTGACACTCAGGATTGGCGTTTTCATATGCCATCAACTCCACTGTGACCTTACAGGCTTTTTCATCGGCAATTGACTTTTGAGCAACATCTTGGAGCCTTGCCACAAAATCAGGGTAGGGCTCTTTTGAACCTTGTCTTACTGTATTAAATGAGGGGCAGGCACTTCCTGGGTCTTGGATTTTTTCCCAGGCTCTAAGGCAGATAGCTCTAACTTGCTCAATGGCCTCATTTTGCATTAATGCTTGTTGACTAATAGTACTCCAATTTTGACCTATTCCTAATAGTTGATCTGCATCTATGTTAACTGGAGGATTGGCAGCCCTATTTCTTCGGACCTGTTCTTGAACCCCATCAATCCACCAAGTCTTAAATTGTAAAAATTGAGAGGGTGAGAGAGACGATTTTGCCAGAATCTCCCAATCATAAGGAATGAGTCTATGTCCATGAGCAATGGAATCTAATAATGTCCTCATATAAGGGGAGTTGGGTCCATACTGTTTTACTCTCTCTTTCATATCTTTTAGCATTTTTATCGAAAAAGACTTGTATCTGGCCTCAACTGTGAGAGGCTCTCCCTCTTGGGCTCCTTCTCCAGGTGGCATCGGTTCTAACGTTACTGGGAATTGCCATGCCTCAGTATCTCCTTCCTTTCTTGATTTATCAATAATTTCATGTAATTCACTACCCTGTCTACTAGGTGGTGCCGTAGGATTAAGTCTCCTAGTGGGCGGCTGAGGGTATGGCGCCCTGCCCTGTGGTGCTGGGGGCATTCCTGGATATCCATACTAACTTTCTGGGGGTGGCCGATACTGAAGTTCAGCCGGCGGCCAGTATTGATAGGCTACTGGCGGTTGGGTCTTATTTTCTTTAACCTGCGTTTGAGGTTGTAATGTTACAGGCACCTGACCTGCTGGAAGAGGACTTGTGCCTCGTGGTTTAGACTCTGATGGCCCCACTAATTCGGGACCTTTTCCTTCTAATTTTAACGTTTCAGGATATATCACCTCCTGTAATTGATTATAGTCAACATTTTGCGTTGACTGAGCCATTACCGGCTCTGCTACATATTCGCAATGTAAACCTTCTGTTTCTTTCTGGGATTTTTTCCTTGTCTTTTCATTACAATCTATTAAACAGCTTCCAGGGGCATCAGAAACTGAAACGCTATCTTCTTCTGTTTGAAATGGTTCTAAAGCTGCTTTAATAATGGCCCAATCATTCCATACTGTAAGTGGAATGATATTACCCTTCCTACCTGCTTGTTTTAGTTCCTTACCAATTCTTTTCCAATCTTTTAGATCTAAAGTTCCTTGTTCTGGAAACCATGGGCAAAATTGTTCTATTATTTGAAATAGCTTGATTAGATTTTTTGTAGATACTTTAACTCCCCCTCTTTTTAAAAGAATTTTAATAAAGCTGAGATAAGAGGCATATTTACTTTTAATTTTACTTTTAGTTTGCCCCATTATCACCCTAGCTTCTTCCGAGCGCACAAGCTTACCGTAAGGCTGACTGTAGACGTACTCGGGATCTCTCGTCGACTTGTCCTCAATGACCACGCTCGAGTGTACCTTCACCCTAGAGAAAAGCCTCCACGTTGGGCACCAGAGCAGTTTAGGTGTACAGCAAAACTGAGCAAAGTAAAGAGAGTTCCCACATACTCCCTTCTCCACCAGCTCACAGCCTCTCTACCATCAATATCTTACATCAGTGTGGTCCAGTTATTACAACTGATGAACTGATATTGACACATTATTATCAACCAAATATTAGGGGTCACTCTTTGTGTTGTACATTCTATGGGTTTTGACAAATGAAATCTTTATTTTTAACAAGCACATTTAAGTAAATGCAATGCAATTAATTTGAGGACCACACTTTAAGCAACACTGCCCCTGGTGATTTATAATCACATTAACACTATGATTATAATGTAACGATACTGAGGCCAACAACAATGGCCAGACCACTATAATAGAACTTTAGAGTTCCTTTCATAAATATCCTGGCAACCTTGAATGCATAAACAGGCTCTATTCCAAAAGTCCACTTCTAAATTGATGTCTTGGAACTCAGATCACAGGCTTTTCACAGAAACAATTGATGTATACAGTGATCAAGTTCTTGGACCTACTCTTTAAAGCTTATTTCACTCATAATATTATAAGGTTATTTTAACAGTCATATTTAAAGGGGAAATAATAGAAATGTAAACCCATAAAGATAATGGACAAAAATGTTTTGAAAATATTTGAGAATTTTTTTTCAATATTCAATATTTGAGAATAGAGGTCAGGGGCCTCTTTTAAACAAAACTTAAAAGGCACAAACAATAAGGCAAAAATATATATTAATTGAAAACATCAAAATAGGACTTCTGTTCATGAGAGACAGCAAACACAAAGACCAGATGATAGATTGGGAGAAGCTATTTGGAATGTTTCTAGCCAATGTATCTAGAATAAGCAAAGGATTCCTCTGAATCAATAAGAAAAAAAAAAGCTCAATTACAAAATGAGCAGATTATGAATAGGTAATTTTTAGAAAAGGAAACTCAAAAACAGAGCCAGCATGTAAAGAAATGCCCAAATAATTGGTAATTAGGTAAATGCAAGTTAAAACAGTGAGTTATCGGTTTGCACCTTTCAGGCTGGCAGAATTTAGACAGGATCATAGGCATAGATTTGCCTTCACGTGCTGCCAGTGGGAGTGCAGACCATTATGAGGAGCAATTTAGTCCAACAGATAAACATTCCCTGTGACATGCCAATTCTGCTCCTGGATTTACACCCAGGAAATTTCTCACTTGGGCCTTAAGGGACCATGTATGAGGATATTCACTAGAGCATTACTTGTGGTGGGGAGTTGGAGGAAATCTGGTTGTTCACTATGGAGGGGTGGATAAAGAATTTGGGATGAGTAGAAACCATGGAGTACTAGGTAGCAGGTAAGAGGCAACAAATTAAATGAACACATAGCGAAGTGTATGGATCTTAAAAACAGAATGCTTAATAAAAAAAAGAAACAGAATAAAATAAGAAATAATTATCACTTAGATAAATTAGAAACAATGTGTACCAAACAACCATCTTCACTGTGCAAAAAATATTCACATAAAAATATATACGTTAATGGTTGCCTATGGAAGGGGAGAAGAATGGCAGTGGAAGAGAGGATGAAGAGGATTCAACAAGAAAGGACAGTGTGGTATAGGGGGAAGAGCACAGGCTTTGTTGTCAGCCTGCCTGGATTAGAGCCTTAGCTTCACTGCTTACTAGCTGTGGATCCTGAGCAAATCATTTGATGACTCTTAAGCTTCTTCGTGTGTAAAATATAGACCATGTTGTCCATCTTACAGTGCCATAGTGAGGTTTAAAACACATAATCCAAGTACGGCACTTAGCTCAGTGCTTAATATATAATTAGTATTCAATAAATGTTAGCAATAATTGCGAAAGAACCCTGGCCTCATGATGCAGATCAATAGTGGGAACAGAAAGCATTGAGAGTAGGAAATAAGGGTTGGGAAAAAGAAAGGATATGAGAGAACTGATTAAGGAACAGGAGGAGCATGGTGATGGTTAATTTTTCCATCTTTCCCATAGGAATCTCTCAGATGGCATCAGCATAGTCTTCTCTCCTTTACTCTCATTTTTTCCCCTTGTTTTCTCTTCTATTTTCCTAGTGCTACAGAAGTTCTCACTTTTTGTCACCAGGTGCTAGGGGGCAGAGTGCGGTTCATCTAAGGAGTAGAGAAGGGGAGGATCCGGGGTCTGCATGAGGAGGAAGAAGGAAGTGGGTCCATTGACTATTTCTGTATACAAACCACCCCAATATTCAGTGGCTTAAAGAGATAATTATTTATTATTCCTCACAAGTCTAGGGATTAGAACATCTAGGCTAGATTTGTCTGGGGGTGGCTTTGCCCCACATGTCTCTCATTTTCTTCCTGGAACTAGCAGACTAGAATGTCTTCCAGGTGATGACACGGCACAGAATAGTCAAGCCCAGCAGCACAAGGACTTCTGGAGTCTCTGCTATGTCACATTTGCTAACATCCCATCAGCCAAAGTAAGTCATGGCTGGACCATATACCCCATACACAGGGGAAAAGCACCACAAAATGACACAACAAAGGACATGGGTACTGGGAAGGGTGTAGAATTGGGGCCACTCATGCAATTCACACAAGGAGTCACATACTTCTCATGATTGACTAGAAAAAGTGAACATAGCCTAGCTGAGGAAGCAGGGAAACTAAATGCTGGATGATGCAAAAAGCAGGTCTAAGCAAGTTCTCTCTGTCTCTCTGTCTGTCTGTCTGTCTCTCTCTCTGTCTCTCTTTCTCTCCCCCAACCCCCAACACCACCACACACACACACACACACAGAGAGAAACACCCACATATATTAATGGAAGAAGCCCCAGTGACTAGTGTAGTATTAGTTTTTTGGTGTTTGTTTGTTGTTTGTTTCTTTGTTTGTTTGTTTGTTTGTTTTGAGATGGAGTTTCACTCTTGTTGCCCAGGCTGGAGTGCAATGGCACAATCTTGGCTCACCACAACCTCTGCCTCCTGGGTTCAAGCGATTATCCTGCCTCAACCTCCTGAGTAGCTGGGATTATAGGCATGCGCCACCACGCCCGGTTAATTTTGTATTTTTAGTAGAGACAGGGTTTCTCCATGTTGGTCAGGCTGGTCTTGAATTCCTGACCTCAGGTGATCCACCTGCCTTGGCCTCCCAAAGTGCTGGGATTACAGGTGTGAGCCACCACACCCAGCCTAGTATTAGTTTTAATAAGCTAGTTGGTAACTAAGGATAAATAAGTCTTGCTATGGGGCCAGGGGTTGGGATGGGGAGTGGGGATGGAGATCTGTCCTTAAGGAAGTAGACAGCTGGATAAATAGTGCTGTTTGGGGACATTGAAAAACACATGCGTGCACACACTCACACTCCACACACTTTCTTCAATCCAAAGCAAATGAGAAGTAAGGACTGAGATTAGTTTACAAGTTTTTATTAAGCTTGTTCCTAATTTTTAACTAGACACACCTTGCACTGAACCTTTGATAGCTTATTATTATAGCCTAATGTTGATGTTCATACTAATATCAACAGCAAGAGTCTGGCATCTATAAAATATAAATACAAAATTGTCAGTTACAATGAAATGAAATTAATATCCAGTCTCTTTTTAGACAAATCTTTTCTCCTAGGATGGGGGAGGATATACTTAAACAATCTGAAATGTGTATCTATATTACATTTTAAGCACGACAATTTTATTTTTATTTATTTATTTATTTTTAGACAGTCTCACTCTGTCACTCAGGCTGAAGTGCAGTGGTGCCCTCTCAGCTCACTGCAACCTCCACCTCCCAGGTTCAAGTGATTCTCGTACCTCAGCCTCCCAAGAAGATGGGATTACAGGCATGCTCCACCACACCTGGCTAATTTTTATATTTTTAGTAGAGATGGGGTTTCACCATGTTGACTAGGCTGGTCTCAAACTCCTGACCTCAATTGATCCACCCACTTCGGCCTCCCAAAATGCTGGGATTACAGGCATCAGCCACTATGCCCAGCCCACAGTGTTACCTTTTAAAGAAGCATTTATTCATTCAGAAAAGCATTATTTGCTTTGAATATTAAGCAGAGATTCTGACAACTTTTTTCACTACTGTGTGCGTAAAATATCTCTTTCACTGATGCTAAAATTAAATTTAAATGTGCCTTTAATATTTTTTAAATGTAACATTGTTGTACCATAGGCCTAGTACCTAGAATGGTGCCCTACAAGTGAGAAAAAAGAAAGTGATAGGGTACCCCAAAATAAAGCTGCACACCTACAACCATCTGATCTTCAACAAAGTAGACAAAAATAAGCAATGAAGAAATGACTCCCTATTTAATAAATAGTGCTGGGATAGCTGGCTAGCAATATGCGGAAGAATCAAACTGGACCCTTATCTTCCACCATATACAAAAATTAATGCAAGGTGGATTAAAGATTTAATTGTAAGGCCTCAAACTATAAAATCTTAAAAGGAAACCTAGGAAATACCATCTGGACATCAGCCTTGGGACATAATTTATAACTAAGTCCTCAAAAGCAATTGCAACAAAAAACAAAAACTGACAAGTGAGACCTAATTAAACTAAAGAACTTTTGCACAGCAAAAGAAACTATCAACAGAATAAACAGACAACCTACAGAATGGGAGAAAATACTTGCAAACTATGCATCCAACAAAGGTTTAATATCCAGAATCCATAAGGCACTTAAACAACTCAACAAACAAAAAACAAATAACTTCATTTAAAAAAAGACATGAACAGACACTTCTCAAAAGAAGACATACAAGTAGACAAAAAACATAGGAAAAAAATACTTACCATCACTAATCATCAGAAAAATGCAAATCTAAACCATAATGAGATATCATCTCACACCAGTCCAAATGGCCATTAATAAAAAGACAAAAAACAACAGAAGCTGGCAAGGCTGTGGAGAAAAAGGAACACTTATACACTTTTGGTGGGAAAGTAAATTAGTTCAGCCACTGTGGAAAGCAGTTTGGAGATTTCTCAAAGAACTAAAAATAGAACTACCATATGACCCAACAATTCCATTACTGGTTAGATACCCAGAGGAAAATAAATTGTTCTACAAAAAAGACATGTGCACTTGTATGTTCATTGCAGCACTATTCACAATAGCAAAGACATGAAATCAACCTAGGTGCCTGTCAGCAGTGAATTGGATAAAGAAAATGTGGTACATATACACCATGGAATACTACACAGCCATAATAGAAGAATGAAATCATGTTCTTTGCAGCAACATGGATCCAGCTGGAGGCCATCATCCTAAGCGAATTAACAGAGGAACAAAAAACCAAATACCACATGTCCTCACTTGCAAATGAGAGGTATATATAGACATAAACATGGGAACAATGGACACTGGGGACTCCTGGAGGAGGGAAAGAAGTGGCAGGCAAAGGGTTGAAAAACTACTTATTGGGTACTATACTCACTACCTGGGTAATCCGCTAGTAGGGATCATTTGTTCCCCAAACCTCAGTATCACATAATATACCCATGTAACAAACCTGCACATGTACCCCCGAATCTAAAATAAAAGTTGCAATTATTAAAATAAAATAAAAATAAAGCTAGCAATGAGCCCTATACATGAAAATCAATAAAACATAATCATGGCTGTATAGAGGGGCTTGTCATTTATAGCAATTTTAGTTCAAGCTGGAATAGGACCGTGTCTCTTTCAGTTCTACCCACTGTGGCTAGCATAGTGCCTGGCATCAAGCAGGTGTCCTATATTTATTTGAATGTAATTAACTGGGAGCTTTCTGCACCCCACCAAAAATATATAAATAAATAAAACTGAAGTGAAAGAATGATATTACTCATGCAATTTTTCAGGCATAGAGTCATCTGTCTACCATCTGGCCCATTCCTCATGTGACTAGTTGTTTTTCTCAGGGAAGCGTCACTCAAACAAGCTACGAGATAGATGCATGTAATCAGTCCTAGGTACACACAAGGAGGGGCTTCTTTCTGTCATTAGAATGCTCTCTGAGTCTCCCATAGGGTTGGGTTCTTAAAAGAAGACGAAATATTTAAAACACAGAGAACCAAATCCTCGTAACCCTAAAGTCTTTTTAAAGATTAGAGCAGGTCTGTGTTGTCTTGAATAATTTAAGTTGTGCAAATAAGAAATTGTCATTTGAGACATCTCAACTCAGGTAATTTCACAAATGTTTCTCTCTGTAATATACTTGACTGACAGATGACTTCCTGAGCTGATTTTTAAGTCACGCCGAGGACAAATAGACATCTGAGAGAACTGCCTTTTATTGTCTGTTGTTAAGCAAGAGAAGATAAGAGTGGGCTGATGCTTAAAGAACTCCCATTTCCTGAACGCTGACTTTTTTGAATGTCTGAGGGGCTAAGCAAGTCTCTTGATTCTGCCTGTATGAAAGCAGTGTGGGAGTGCTGGAAGATGGAATGGGGACTTATCCCTCATAGAACTTTACTTAGGAGTGGACATTATTAATAAGCCCGAGTTACTCAGAGTTAACTCTGTGAGCCACATATGTGCTTATACATGTCCCTGTAGCCACAGTTTAAATTTTTTTTTAAAAAAAGGTGAAATTAATTTTAATAATATATTTAACCCAATATACCCAAACTTTTATTTCAGCATGTAATCAATATAAAAAATTATAAATTAAATTTTTTTCATGTTAAGTCTTAAAATTCCAATGTGTCTTTTACACTTGCAGTTTATCTCATTCACACAAGCCACATTTCCAGTGCTCAATGGTCACATTTGGCTCCTGTGTTGGACAGCACAGGCCTGGACAGCAGACAGTTCACTCAGTACAAGACACCAACTTTCACCGAGTAATGTCCATGAGTTTATGAAAACCCTCTTAATTTTCCACAAATATTGATGGCTCTTACCTCTTGGATTTTTCCGCAGAAGTTCAGCTTCAGGGAAGGGAAGAGGAAAAGCACCAAGGTTTTCTGGGCACTTACTGTGTGAACAAGGACTCACATCATCTGACTTTCCCCACAACAGACCTGTGAGGAAAGGAGATGATTCTGATTTTGCAGAGGAGAAAATCAAGGTTCAGGCATGCCAAAGACTTGCCAAGGTCACGCAGTGAGTGATAGCAAGGCTGGGAAGGAACTCAGGCTTGGCCTCAGAGCCCTGGCACTTTCTATTGTATTATCGTCGCTCCTCAGATACCACTGGGTAGCAGTGGTTCCCAAATCAGTGAGTGTCCGAATCACTGGGAGAGCTTACTATTAAAGTACTTGTCACTGGGCCTGACCCCCAGAGGTTCCGATTCAGCGATTCAGAGTGAGGCCTGAGAATCTGCCCTTCTACCAAGTTCCCAGGAGATGCTGATGCTATTGGTCCAGGGACCACACTTTAAGAACCCCTGCTGTATAGACTGAATTTGATGCCATTAGTAGGAGTCTGTCTTAAGCTAATGATGATGCTTCCCTTGGCTGCCAGAAACCAAACTTTGATTTATAAACCTGTCTATTGTTATTTCTTTAGTCAGCTAAAGATGGCTACCAAGTAGTATGGACTGGGATAGGTCCACTTGTTATGAACCTTTTTATTCCTTCTTAATTAATTATTAAACATAAGTATAGCATTTTATTGTAATAGGGAAGCATTCACCTCTTCCCTCAGTTCTTGCAAGGAAGCAGAAATGATACATGTGGATGTCTCGTATCATGTAAACATACAGTAGCCTTTTCCAAAGTACACACACTTTGAAGTCATCACTATTTACTTTTGAAAAATTCATATGGCATCTTTTTAAAGAAGTGGCTACATCATCAAATATTTTCCTAGTGTCATTTTTTTAAGCCAAGTGATAGTTATTGTGCATTCACCACAATTTAGAAAGATCCTGAGTCTAAAATTTAACTGATTGTATTTTAACCACCGATGCTATGCTCAAGAAGTGAGCAATTATTTGCCTTTCTACCTATCTGCAAGTTCCATCACGTCTTGATTTATTAAGTGGCCTGAGGGCACTTTCAATCTTCCTACCCATTGATCTCTAGCCCTTTCCATTCTTGCAAGGTAGGGGCCTTTCCATTCCTCTTATTTATTTTTACAGCTTTTAAACTCTGTCTTCTGCCCCAACTCCCAAACCCTATCACATCAGAAAAAAAAAAAAACATTACTTTGTGCATATCATGGAGCCCATAATATTCACAAAAGGACAGCAGACCCAGGTGTGCTAACTGGACAGGAGCAGGTCAAACTGATATCAGCATGAAAAATGGAAAAGTCATCTTCATTAGAAGCTCCATCAGAAATATGGGAGCATTTATGTGTTCAAAACTGCAAAGAGAGGCAGGCTGCGTTTTTCCCATGGCCATATAATGACAAGATAAGTGAAAGTGAAGTTAGGCTGCAGAAGCCGTCTAGGTCTCTTGACATCACTCACAGCCTATACTTTTCATAATAGATGCCTGAAGCCTGTTTCTTTATCCATATATGGATCGATTGATTTGGTGGGTTTTTTTACATTTTTACAAATTCATCCTTGTAGCACAAGGATGGAGTTTCTAAGTAGGGAAAAGGTAGGGTGTGGGTGTATTTGAATAAATGAAAAAAATCATAATAATCCAATATTACAAAGACATGTTTTGAGCAAAAACAATAGGAGGAAAAGCCACCAGTTCAGTAAGTCACCAAAAATACCTGCCATTTCTCAAAGCTTCCCCCTGTCGTTTGCCCTCAGTCACCATGTTCTGCTCTGTACTCTGGTGCTGGTTTCAGAGGAACTGATGGAAGAAGGTTTGGGAAGGCTAGGGTAGAAAAAGGGAAAAAACAAAAATAAAAAGTAGATTCCTAGAGTTCTCTCTCTTTACCGTACAGTTCATAAACGCAGGATCCCTTCATTTGATTTGACTCAGAAGCAAGTAGAACAGTCGTAGAGTGAATTTCTTCAAATACATAGCCTGCCGGAATTTTCATTTCACTGCAGCTTGTCACAAGCCTGAACTTCATCCTTACAACACAAAACCCATCCTTGGGATGAAAAGACACAGAATACCATATTGCCATCCTTTTAATAGAAGTGCCAGCAAGCCATATTGGGAGGCAGCCATGTGTCTCTAGAACATCACCAGGAGGAAGGTGAACAGATTTTTGCCAGATACCACCAAAGTATTTTCTAACCTAGTCACATTTCCTTACTTATAGCACAGTGATTCTCAAAATTTCATGTGCCTATGAATCACCTCAGGATCTTGTTAAAATGCAGTTTCTGATTCAGTAGATTCTGCATATCTAATAAGCTCCCAGCGATGCCAGTGTGTCACCTGAGCAGCAGGGACATAGAGGACTCTGTTTCGTGTCTAAAAACACTACCTGGCATGAGAGGGTTAACATCCAGGACCCGAGACAAAGATATTTGCTGGAGTGGGAGGGGAAGATGGCAGATGTAGGTAGGAAGGAAGTAAAAGAAGGACTCAACTACAAGTGACGAGAAAAAGGAAAGTTGAACTCAGCATCTGGACAATAATGTGACAAATAACAGGTGATAGTTCAGGCAAGCAATAGCAATCTAGAATGTCATGACCAATGAAAGGGTGGTGTGTGCAATGGAGAATCTCAAAAATTAGATAGCTGTGCAGGCAGGCAGATGAGAAATCTCTACTAAGTAGCAAATATCTGGCCATAGAACTAAATACGGAAGAGGAGACCAAGGGCAGGAGGGGTAAGGCAACGTGGATCCTGGCAAGGACAAGATGGTGGGGAACTGAGACACAGTTGAAACCAAGGGCCACAAGGCAAGGATTCATTCACCAAAAGTGAAGCTTCAGAATGTGATTGAGCCCAGAGCTGTGAAGACTCAGCCCTAAAGAAGCTAATATTCAATATGCCTGATCTGTGTGCCAGGCACTGTTAGTTACAAAGGCCTTTGTAGTCATTATTTCACTTAATCCCCACAAATTTGTATGGCAGGCATTTTGATTCCATTTTAAAGATGAAGAATCTAAGGTTTAAGAAGATTTCACATCTTGCATAAAGGCCCTCGCTAATAATTGGCTAAGCAAATGACTCAAATTCTATGCTCTTTCCAAGACCCCACGCAAGCCTGGCAGCAAGCACATGGACAGAGGAGTCTGCATGCTAACCCAAGGCTCTGCAGTCTGCCCCAGAACCAAGGAAGGATGTGACCCTTCGTGGTGGCAAAAGTCTGAATTAAAGATGCAAGGACAAAAAGGACAGGGCACCAGACATTGTGTGACAGAGTAATGACTTGTTGTTTACTGAGGCTACAATTCAGAACTGTGATGATGCCAAAAATAGTCTAACCTCTTTGATAACTATTCTATAATCATCTCATTTCACAGCGAAGTACCCATGTCTTAAGCTCTGGGGCTTGTCAACAAGTAATTGGCACAAAAATCGTGGAAAGAGGGCAGGAGAGACACTGTAAAGGTCACAATGTCCCAACCTTCGCCAGACCTTGTCTTTATTTCTTTGTGTTGGTCTCTGAGGTGGGAATCCCCAGATATCTCGTTCCAAGAAAACTAGTGGCTCCCTTGCAGCTTATTCAAGAGCCTGTCATTCACATTAATGTGTTAAGTACTGCACTGTTACAATGAACAGGACTTGATTTCAGAAGAAAGAAGGCAAGGTAGATATGCAGATTAACTCACTGAACTATATTGTTTTCCTATACATGGCTTACTGCATGCCGTCTGCTGCAAGTAGAGACCGCGTTACTCAGACTCCCTGCAGTGCAGCCTCTGCACACCACTTAGCCTCCACAAGAGGCAGAGGCCATGCCCCACAGTTGGTGAGAGTATGGGAGGGTGGAAGGAGGACAGCAGCAAATAGCTCAGTGGCTACTTCTCAGCTTCACAGGTATCAAGAATCTTCCTGGTGTGGATCTTGACAAAAGCAGTGTGATTCTGTGGGAGCAGGTTCTTGCTTCCCCAGCTTCCTGGAAAGGGCAGTAACTTCCTCATTGGACCACTTCTGTAGGGTTGTTTGGTTGTTTGGGAAGTTACCCTGAAAGCTTGGCCTAGAGCCTGCTCTTCTCCCTTCCAACAATTTTATGAGTACCTAATTCCTGCATTACATCCCTTTCTGCTTAAACTAGCTAAAGTAGATTCTGTTAACTAATCCAGAAGGAAATTTCCAATAAGGATACATGGAAATATCACCTAGAAATGGAAGAGTAAAGACATCTGGGAATGCTGTTTGGCTCTTAATCTGTGTGTATATGTGTGTCTCTAGCTCTCTTCAACCTACTTCATTCTTTCTTCTCAGAAGCAGTACCCACTTTCTCTACCAATCAGCCTTTTATACAATGCATTTTTAATTTTCCTCTCTCTGGCACACACTTGCCCAGAAATGATGGACAGTCCTTTTTTTGTTTGTTTTGTTTTGTTTTATTGAGACAGAGTCTCACTCTGTTGCCCAGGCCGGAGTGCAGTGGTGTGATCTCGGTTCACTGCAACCTCCGCCCCCAAGTTTCTAGCAATTCTCCTACCTCAGCCTCCTGAGTAGCTGGGATTACAGGCTCCCGCCACCATGCCCAGTGAATTTTTCTGTATTTGTAGGAGAGATGGGGTTTTGCTATGTTGGTCAGGCTGGTCTCAAACTCTTGATCTCAGGTGATCCACCCGCCTTGGCCTCCCAAAGTGCTAGGATTATAGGCATGAGCCACCGCACCCAGCCAATGGACAGTCCTTTAATCCCAAGCCCAGATTCCCATGGGAGAGAGTCTGATTGGCATAGCTTGAGCTAGGTGTCTATTGTGGTTCAATCAGCTATTATTTCAGTTACAAAAACCCTATGATTTTTTTAGTAACTTAATAATCCATATCTACACTTATGGAAACTGCGCCTTATACAGTTTACATGACTTACCCCAAATCAGACAACTGTTAAGCAGACAATGCAATATTTACATGCCTATCTACTGACCTCAAATTCAATGCTCATTTCGCTAGGCCATGACTGTGTTGTTAGTATTTATAACTATATATTGAAGTGCTTTACAATTTACAATATGTTTTTATATCTTCTATCTCATTTGACCCTTGCAGTAGTCCTACGATTATTTCTGTCCCACTTTATTGGCAAGAAAATTGATGTTCACAGACATTAGATGACTTGTTCAAGGTCTTACATTTCATTAGCGCTCATGCCAAAGTTTCAATTTCCATCTTCTAATTCTAAGAGGATTTTATGTTGGAGTGAGGGTTGGGGAAGCCAAAATGTAAATGGAGCTAAATCTCTTAGGACATCAGATCTGATACATCAAAGCCATTTCTTATCTTGTGTTCTAAAAGAAGCAAACAAAAGATGACACTTTGTTGTTTGATGAAGTAATTGGGAAAAATTTTGTTGGACTCTTACATTCTGATAAACCTAAATAAAAATGGCAATTTGAGGGAAGAAAGACTCCTGTCTAGCTACAAGGAAAATGCTCCTCTACTCCCTTTTCAGCACAAAAGAAAAAGTTATGACTCTAGCAGGCTCCTAAGGAGCTGATAAAACACATCTGAAGTAAGAATAGATAACTTTCTTCAAGTTTAAAGATCAGTGTGGACTGCAGAATACATCTGGGCTCAGTATTTGGCCAAAGACCTTGCAATACTGTCTTGCTAATCTATAAAGAGATACCTAAATAACCTTCCAGTTTTAACATTCATTGGAAATTATTTCTATTGGGGAGGGACAGTATTAGCATAAGGGATTCATCCTTGCTTCTTGTCATCACTTTTAGAAGTCATTGTGCTTTCCTTTCAACCTACCTTTTGCAAAGAAAGCCATTTCCCAAGAGAAATTACAAAGGCATTTTCTGCACCATCTTTAACTAATAGTTATTGAGCTTATACATGTACAAAGTGCAATACTGAAAGGGCAAAGGACCAAATTCTAACTTTCTGCAAGATACTCCGTTGTTTCTCCCATGATGACCTTGTAGCAGCAGAGCAGAGCCCCATGATAGAGGCTAAATTATTGTAATTCTCTCCCAACAGGTCTTTCAGTGGGCATTTCCGCTCCCCACAGTTTATATGCAATGCAGATGTCTGATTACTGTAGCACAGTGATGGAAGTCCAGGCTCCACACACTTGTGCAGAAGTGTTCAGGACAAGTTCTGGCAATCCTTCATGGTCAACATCAAATGCATCCAACCTCCACACTCCTGACCACTACTATGGAATAGTTTTGAAACTTCACCATGTTCTTCCCTGTTTTGTAGTCAGCTCTCATAATTTGCTAAACCCTGCTGTATGGCTTGTTTCAATATCTTTTCTGCTATACCATCATTTGTTCCTGAGTTGGCACAGAAATCCATATGATGATACGGAATGATCCTAATGCTAAAGTAGTTTCTGTGGATGGTAATGTCGAGCTTTGTTGGTATCTTGGCTTTCTAGAGAACAAAAGAAACTTTGTTGATATGGGAGATTATCTAGAGAGCAATGAGTGGAATGATCAAAAACTAAATCGTATTGACTTGAGAGTCTGAATGCCATGGGAGCAAGGCTTTGGTAGAGGCCAATATAAGGAGCACTATCTTTGACAAGGCTCTTACATCCTCTTAGAAAGTCCAGCCACTAGGGACATGAACCAATAGCAAAGAGGATCTTTCACTTGGATTGTTTCTCATCTATGCTGATTTTCTCCACCTTGTACATTTTCTAATGATCTTAACTTTAAAACTAAAATACTTAATGGGCTAAATTTCACCTGGAAAACTATAATTGGCCCTCTCATTAGGATTCCATTTTACTGCCAAGCCCATGAAATTACTGGGGAAAAGGGAATGGAGATTTTCGTCTTCCTCCCCAACCATGAGGAAGCCCCTGAAAAAGAACCTCTTGGGTTCCTTGGCACACAGTTTGAAAACCATACTTCTAATCTTGTGCAAGAAACTTCTGATTCTGGGACCCTCAGATGAGTGGCAGAAGGTTGACATCAAAGGATGAGAAAGAGAGCAAACATTCCTTTCTGCTTGCATTCTCTCCACCACTTCCCACTCCCATTATTTTTCTCGTAATTTCCTATTCTCTTAAGTTTTTCTGCTCTATTATTTTGCCAAACTGTGGCAAAGTTCAAATTTGATGGACACCAAACCCAAAACAGCTTAGCCTTGGTTTGCACACCAAATTCATGCATTTTATTTCCATTATTATTTGCATTTAGCAGAGTTTATAATCATGAGAAACATTGTAATTTGCTTGTCTTTATCATAAGGAACTTCGATTTTCTTTTTAAAAAGCTGAAAGAATCACTGAATAGCTTCAAATTTTGAGTAAAGTTATCACAAACATAATAAAAGTTAAAGTTCTGATTAAATGCGATAAGGTAGGACTTCCTGAAGAGTGACATTTCTCAAAGTAACCATTATTTACAGACTCTGTAGTCTGCTAGGTTAGTGCCCTTGGTGAGAAGACTAGCAGTGGTCATATAGAAACTGTCACGATCAGAGCAGCTCCGGGTAAGATGGAGCTGAGAGAGGCCATTTGGCCCTGCAATCAGGGAATGAGCTCCGAAAGACACTGTGAATGCTAGAGGATCTGCAAACCCAGAGGTGCCTCTGGCAGATTGCTTCTGTCTTGGAGAGGACCTAGAGAGAATATCTGAAAATTCAGGGAACAGCCAGAGGAATCACCCCACCTCCGATATCATGTGATCCACAGAAGGCAATCTGCATCTCTCTGACTGGTATTTATATAGTTTCTGGGTAAAGTTTACATTTTTCATTCCTCCAAAATGAAATTTAGGTACCCTGTGTACACTTTTCTTCTTTTATAAAAGTATTCTTAGCTTCCTTTCTTATACTGCTTTGTATCTCGAAGTACTTTCCTTGAGCCTCTCAAAGTACAAACAATAATTAAACCCAATCTTGCAACTTCCTCAAGAGGTAGGGAGAAATTTTATTGAAAAAGACGTGGAAGTTAGATAGATTAATCAAAGTATAGTACCAAATCCACGGGTTGGCTTGAGAACAAAAGCCCAGAGTTCAGTGGCTTCCAACTCCCTTTCTCAACAGTCACCCATCAGACTTGGTTTCTTTTTCTTTTTCCCATTCCTAAGGTAATTTTTATTTACATTATCTTCATGTGACTTGGCCTTTAAGGAAATTGTAGAACAAAGGAAATAAATGAACCTTGTGATTTCATCTTTGCCTAAAAGCAAATATTTCCAGACTGTTTTCTATCCTCTCATCCTCATCACATGGTATCCCATTTGCTAATCCCTAAGTCTCTGAGATAATGACTCTTTCAGCAAAGAAAAAGAAGCTACTGACTTCTTCCCCATCAGCCTTCATGGAAAATACTCATGAAAGACTGAAGCAGATACCCAAACACCCTTGTGATTATTCTCGTGAAAAAAAAAAAAAAAAAGCAAGAACATTGCCTCTGCTTTCCTTTGACTTACTGGAAATATCTCAGATTTATAGTTTTTATCTTCATGTTCTATGTCGTTTGCAAGTACAGTGACCTGGTCAGTGGGCTGAGGGAGTCTGAGAAGTTGCTGGGAACACTTTTTCTTGCCTCAGTAAGAAAAAGTTGACACCAGAGGGCAACGTATCATTGGCCTTTTGTGAACCGACATCACACTCCCATCTCCAGGGAGTGCAATCACCCTTGGCATGGCCATTTTTATTAATGGAATCAGCAGAGTTGGGCTTGAGCCTGCCCTGTCACCCACACACCTAGGGGTGCTGTGTGACTAAGTGGTATCAGATGACAATGCAGGGAATTTCTAAGGACCCTTAGTGTCCCTTTGTCATCTACAGATGCTCCTCTTCCTAGCAGCAGAATCCCTGCTAGATAGCCAGCTGGTTGTATTATTTCTGTGACTGGCAGTTTTCAGACAATGAGAAATCGATCCAGCAAGCAAAGCCCTCGGCACAAAGGATTAGGTTGACTTTTATTTCCAGGAACAGAATACCACTCCCAGCATCCTCCTTTTAGATGACAACTTTGTTGCCACCTTCCATCGGAATGAAACAGCCCTCTCTCCAGATGGTCTATTCTGTTGCACTCTTTAGTAGACAGAAATCCTTCATACAAATGTTAATCAGAATATTCAGATACTTTCATATCCACATGCAAACACAGCCATTGGATAGTATGAGTGAAATAAAATGGGATGCCTGAACAAAACTTCTCTGAACACCAGCTTAGTCTTCCTGCAAGATTCCATCAGCTGTTGACTGCAGTTGCTATTCAGTAGTTAATCCAGAAACCAGATTTCCCTCTGTCATTGGGGAAAGAAATAGAGATGTAGCTATCATTTCAAACATCTCAGGAGTTTCTCATTAAATACTTACTTTTTCCATCTAACCAGTGAATACAACAGAGAACCAGCAGCCTTCTGGCTTCATGTTATCTATAGAAGCACAGTTGAGCTGTGTTCAATTGCACTCTTCAAGTTTGAGCAGAGAGGCCTATGAGCAGCTGTTCTTACTGTCATTAAGAAGGGACCAGGAAGAGCAAGTTTTGAAGACAAAAAGACATATTTCAGCAAAACATTAATGTCCATTTCTTTTTTGCCTTTCAAAGTACAAGGCATTCTCCTTAAACAGCCTAAAGCCCAAATTCTCAAGTGTAGGATTGTTAAAGAAAGTATACATCTATTAAGTTGAACCAGAGAAAATTGCCAACACTAAAACTTTTTGACCTATAAAAATAGCAATTTCTTTTTTTATTATTATTATACTTTAAGTTCTGGGGTACATGTGCAGAACATGCAGGTTTGTTACATAGGTATACACGTGCCATGGTGGTTTGCTGCACCCATCAACCCGTCATCTACATTAGGTATTTCTGCTAATGCTGTCCCTCTTTTAGCCCCCCCAACCCCCGACAGGCCCCGGTGTGTGATGTTCCCCTCCCTGTGTCCATGTGTTCTCATTGTTCAACTCCCACTTATGAGTGAGAACATGCGGTGTTTGGTTTTCTGTTCTTGTGATAGTTTGTTGAGAATGATGGTTTCCACAATAGCAAAGACTTGGAACCAACCCAAATGTCCATCAATAATAGACTGGATAAAGAAAATGTGGCACATATATGCCGTGGAATACTATGCAGCCATAAAAAAAGGATGAGTTTACGTCATTTGCGGGGACATGGTTGAAGGTGGAAAAAATAGCAATTTCATATGGTTCAATCTAACAGGAAAAAATTAACATTTTATTTTTGACATACAAAATTTTGCACCAAGACAATTGCTTATAAGCAATATAGGATTTTCTGAATTTCTTTATTTAACATATCAAGGGCTAAGAAAAAGGGTTTCTCCCAAACCCCCATTTACCTTTAAGGCTCAGCCAGAAAGCCAGAGTCAGCCTGGTACGAGATATTCTGGAACTACAATACACTGTATCTCTTACAGAGTTATCAAGGAAGGTTGCATAGTTACTTCAGGAGACTTAAAGGAAAAAGGTAGATCACTTCCTCTGAATGCCATGGAGGGATGTATTATATGACCCCAAACAGAAGACAAGTGTAGCATATGAGCAACTAAAAATTCTGAGGCTCTAAGAGGCTGACACTCATTTTGAGTTTGGAGTGCAGGGAGCCAAAGAAGTGGAATCACAAACAGAAACAGGTTCTATAAAACATAGCTGAGTTACTTGCCTGCTCATGGTCTCAATAAAGAGAAGGTAAAAGATTGGAGAAGTATACCATTAACACTGGCATTTACATAGCAGAGCTTTCTCTGAGAATATCCAAATAATTTTTCATGTACACACAAATGCTGGACTTAAATACTCGCTTATTAAGCTTCGTACCATTCTCAGAAGACTGGAAGAGCAGAGATTGGAATGTCACACAGAACCTCTCTGGGAATGGTGAATATCTAACACTCATCCAATTATCCCCTCCCACACCCATTGTGGACATCAGTAATCAATCCTGGCACTCTTCCACCAGAGCCAAAAGGAAATCTCAGAATCCTCCTCAACACAGATTCCAGGCAGCCACTACCAAGTCATCTGAAGCAAAACCAGATATGAAGCCTATTTTCCACAGCCTCATAACCCCTGTAAGTTCTCCTTCTGTGTTTTTGTTAACTCAGTTATCTCATCCTTGATGATCCCTCCTCACCCTTGCAACTTGCATATTGTGCCCCACCGCATGCCCGTCATCCCCTGTAGCATGTCAGTTTTTTAAGTGTGGGGATATTCATTCTGCTCATTGATGAATCCCCGCAAGCCCCTAGTCCAGTGCTCAGCACATGGTTGGAGCTCAACATATATTTATGGATGAAAGAAACTTTGTTCACACTTTTTGGGGGCAGCTCTCTCAACACCTCTGTAATGAGCCCTTCCCAGCCCTTCCAGTTCTTTCTCCTCTTCACAAAGCCACACAGTATGGGCAGCTTCTTGCCAAACTTACCACGCTCTGCCAGTAGACCCCCTCAACAAATCAGTGTTTGTTGAATTAAATTAGAATAAGAACAGACACCTGACTAAATAATTGAAATAATCTTACCTCACAGGTGTATGGCACTTTCACTTGTTCAGATATGTGTTTCATTTCATTTCGTTTCATTCAGCCCCATGAGTTGAATAGGGCAGGAATTACCTCCATTTTGTAGGCAAGGGAACAAGGGGACAGAGGTGATTTTCTCATGATTTGTTCATGTCAGAAGCAGCATCTGTCTGCTCAGGGCTCAGGGCTCTTTTTACTGGAAAATGCTGCCATTTGATACATTATTTGCTTCAGTTGAGAATATAGCCATATTCTCCAGTTCTACAGGTTTTTGGAAATATATACTAATTATATTATTGTGGTTATAAATTACATTTTGAGTATTTCACAGGGTATTTTTTAAAGAAAATTTGATTTTACAGCCCAATGAATATTGATATTTTGGCTCTATTTTGTAGTCGCTAATAAATACTGCTCACGCCACTCATAATCCTCACTCCTGTGTGATTTGTTTACTACCCTCTCCAGTGAAAATAAGAGACTGTAGGCTCTTTCTCCTTAAGCCCAGAAGTTACCCTTAGTTTTATTTTCAATACTTATTAATTTTTCTTTTGCCTCTCTTTTTTTTTTTTTTTTTTTTTTTTTTGAGACGGTTTCGCTCTGTCGCCAGGCTGGAGTGCAGTGGTGTGATCTCGGCTCACTGCAACCTCTGCCTCCCGGGTTCAAGCGATCCTCCTGCCTCAGCCTCCCAAGTAGCTGGACTATAGGTGTGTGCCACCACGCCCAGCTAAATTTGTATTTTTAGTAGAAAAGAGGTTTCACCATGTTGGCCAGGAATGGTCTCGATCTCTTGACCTCGTGATTGCCTGCCTCGGCCTCCCAAAGTGCTGGGATTATAGGAATGAGCCACAACGCCCGGCCCTTTTGCCTCATTTTTAATATCTCTGCTGGCCAATCATACCTTCATTTGAGCCTATTAATAACTGCTTATATTCATGGTATTTCCACATCTTTTATTATTCTTATTCTCCCAACCCAGAGGGATAGAACAAATTTCGTTACCTCCATTTGACAAATGAGAAAAATGAGGCACAAAGAAAGGAAGTGACTTGCCAAAAACCTTTTAATTAGTTAATGGCTCAGTGATTATTAGAACCCAATTCTTTTGATCTCAAGTCCTGCTCTCTTTCTGCTCAAGCCTAATAGCCTTGGTGTGAGCTGTCTTATAGCCATGCAGCCCCTACGGTGTGCTCAGACAATGGGCTCCGACTGCCTCCTCCACCAGCCCTACAAGGACACCGGATCCTACACAGCAGTCACAGCAGTCACAGCAGTGCCCTTTCTTATTCTGATGCCACCCCAGCTCAGTCCTCACCAGGAAAGGGCAGGCTGCGCTAGACTGCACTGCTGCTCTGCAAAGTGAATGGAAACATCACACAGAGATAAAGAAGAACACAGAAATCTCATTCCCCTGCTGCCTCGAGGTAGAGAAGAAAGCATTCTCAGCTCCTGCCTCTGAGAGTGGGTTCACCTCCAGAATGTAAATGCCAGCCTCCATCCTGTGACGTATCCTACTCTCGAGGCAGGCAAACTGCATGCTCAATGGGGAAGACACATGACTCAGGCTTCAATCCTTCAATCAGATAAATTTTTAATTCAAGTTCTGTGCAATTTGGCTAACATTAACTTTATTGGGTAATTACCTTATTCGGAGTGCTGTTAACAGCGCTGTCAACAAGAATGTCAGCTTGCTGCAAGAGATGTGCTTGCTGACAGCAACACAAAGAGAAGCTGAGGCAGGTTTTTCTTTTAACCTATTTATTAAAATTTTATGA
Source organism: Homo sapiens (assembly GCF_000001405.40). Lineage (NCBI taxonomy): Eukaryota > Metazoa > Chordata > Mammalia > Primates > Hominidae > Homo > Homo sapiens. The sequence continues at coordinate 104,773,032 of NC_000007.14, forward strand.
GTAAGTTGTTTTCTCCCTGGTGGGCTTTCCCCTGTAGTATTTATGGGATCACAGCTGCTTGAATGTAAATGCAGTGGCCCAGCCTCGTTGTCATCCACATTAGCTGCCTCTGAGCCAGAGAAGTCCCCTGGTGGGGGTCTTCTTACCCACCCAGAACCTGACAGGGCAGTGAGGGGCCACTGGCTGGACTTCACCCCCCATCCTGGCAAGCTAACCAAGGACAGGCAGTGTGCCTCTGGGGGTGGGCCCAGTGAGTTCTGCTCAGAGATGGAGGAAGGACTTCCTGTGCCTGGTTACAGTCAGCTCTGTAATGGGGAAGTAATGACCTCATTTGGGAAGCAGATGTTCCCAAAAAGGCAGGAGTGTTAGCGTGAGGCCCTGATGATCCTCCACAGTTGAGCAAATGTGCTCTCTAGTTGGATAAATTTCAGAAATGCCATGCATCCTTTATTCCCCTCTTGGAGAAGCATAGAGATTCTGAGAACTATCCCTCGTGCTATGGGTTGAATTGCATCCCCCTAAAATTCATATGTTGAAGTTTTAACTCCAGTATCTCAGAATCTGTCCCTTACCTGGAAATAGGGTTGTTGCATATGAAATTAGTTAAGATGCAGTCACACTGCAGTAGGGCAGGCCCCTGGCCCAGTCCTTACAAAGAGAAGAAACCTGGACAGAGACTCCCACACAGGGAGAATGCCATGTGAAGATGAAGGTGGAGATCGGGCGACACATCCACAAGCTAAGGAATGCCAAAGTTTGCCAGCAAACCACCAGAAGGTAGGGGAGAGGCCTGGGACAGATGTTCCCTTGCAGCCCTAAGGAGGAACCAACCCTGCGGACACCGTGATCCTTGACTTCTAGCATCCAGAACTGTGAGACAATACATGCCTATTGTTTAAGCCACCCGGGTTGTGGTACTTTGTTACAACAGCCCTAGAGACGAACACAAAGGGTAGGACAACTTCCGTGTAGTCACACATCTAGTTAATGTAAAGCCAGGAAGAGAATTCAGGCCTCCTGGCCTTTTAAAACAGTGCTCTGCCCACTGAATAGTTCTAATCATGCTCAATGTTCATTCCTCAGCTTCAAATCCCATTTGGAATCTGGCAAAGAAATAGGGATGGGAAGAGAGAAAGGTGGCAGAAGGAAAGGAGAAGGGACAGGAAGAAAGTGGCTCTTTCTCTTTTCTCTTCCTTCTCTTACAGAGCCCTCATTAATGAAATTAAAATGATATTCATAATGATAGCTAAATTTGTCTAACACTCGCTCTGTTCCAGGCATGGTTCTAAGTCTTCTACATACATTATATAACCCTAGCAATGACTTAGATACTGCTAGTATCCTCACCTCACAGTACAGATGAAGAAACTACGGCAAGAAATTTTTAGATAACTCCTTCATTATCACTCAGCTAATAAACAATGGGTTCAGAATTTGGCCCCAGGCAGCCAGTCTCCAGAACCCAATTCTCACCATTTGGCTATACACCTTCATTCCAGTAATACAGAGAGAAAGGATCTTTGCAACATAAGGTCAAACACAGCCTTTAGCTTTTCTAGTGGTTAAATCTCAGTAAAGCCTCTAAGCAAAAACTTATCACTGTGTTCCAGTGTTTTTCTAGAACTTGGACTTTTTTAGAAAAAGAGTACTTTGATGACTTATATGCTGGGCATCAAGATATGGTCCATTTTATTCAAGTACTGTATTTTTATATATTCAGTTCTTTCTGATCATGTTCCTTTTACAGAGTTTTGCTCTGAGAATCTCTGTTTGTAGTATAAGGAGCATGCTGGATTAAAGGCCTCATTCAGGAGGCAAAACATATGAGTTTTAGCATCTTTATACATTAGAGCAGAACCATAGACTGTAAAATTTCCACTTCTCCTGCCTCCTTGATGCAAAGCAAGCTGAGCCATCAACACTGGTGTTACAGTTACAGCAAATCGCTGGCTTTTGTGGAGCAGGTTTGAATTCAAAGATCCTGCACCATTGTCAATACGTGCCAGAGTTTGAATCACACCAAGTTTCAAAAATAGGATAACCATAATACAGTATATGTTTGACAATTAAATATAGCTGACTGGGCACGGTGGCTCATGCCTGTAATTCTAGCACTTTGGGAGGCCAAGGCAGGCAGATCACTTGAGGTCAGGAGTTCAAGACCAGCCTGGCCAACATGGTGAAACCCCGTCTCTACTAAAAATGCAAACAAAAATTAGCCAGGCATTGTGGCAGGCGCCTGTAATTCCAACTACTCAGGAGGCTGAGGAAGGAGAATCACTTAAACCCAGGAGGCAAAGGTTGCAGTGAGCCAAGATCACACCACTGCACTCTAGCCTGGGCAACAGAGTGAGACCCTGTTTCCATCAATCAATCAATCAATACAGCTACTAATTTTTAAAGTCTATTAATCAAACTATATTTCCAAAGAAGCCTTGGCTTTCTCTTAATATTAATCATTTATGCCCAAATACCAACATTGTTTGTACAAATTTTTTTTTTCATTTTCCTGCCAGGTGTGTGAAAATTAGGGGCCAGATGGAGAAACACTATAGAGAATATGGAAATCATTTGTAGGAGCTTAAAAATACCCTCTCATGCCAGACTGAAGAAAATGATTTAAAACCTCAAAGATTCTTTGCTTGCCCTGAAGCAAGCAGCCACTGCAATAATTTAACTGGAACCTTTTATTACATTAGTCACTAACTTTAAAAATGCAAATCTTCTGAATACACCCAACAACTAACAATCTTTCTTCCTGTCTGAAAGGCTTATTCTTTAAGGTTTCTTCTTCTAGGTTCCCTGGGAGTTCTTTTCTGTCTTTTTTTTTTTTCTCAGCTTATCAGAACATAAAAAATGCATGCTCACATTTTTCTTAAGTCTTGATTTTCCATGTGTACTCTCTAAAATGCATCTGATTTGTATCAGAATCTTGGAATGCATTGTTTAAAAGGAAAGAAGCTAATTCCAAACATATCCTATCTTTGTACTTTCTAGTTTGGGTTTAACATGTAAACTGGTTGGTACCAGACTAAAGCCAAAGAATGGTATAACGCCAGTGGGTTTTAATCTAAATGTATCCTAAGAACACTGAAGCTTCATTGTGGTGAACATCACAGATACAAAGGGCTAGGAAGCAAGTCACTCTGTGAGCCCAAAGTCATCCAGGCTCCGACTGAAATTATATGCCCACACTGATAAGAAAAATGTATTTGGAAATACAACACTTTGGCCTATTGCCAAATACAGCAATTTCTAGAAACCACACCCACAATCCAGATGCTACCGAGGCACCCATGGGACTCCCCATCCCCACCTGCATACAGCCTTATTCCTCAGGCTTTCCTCTCAAGCTCTAAGGAAGACACAACTATCTGAAACACCCCAAAATTGTAGTCAAGGCACCAGAATTGCACCCCCCACAGCCAGCTTCTCCTTCTTTTACCAGTGGTTCTCACATCAGAATCACCTGAAGTCTTGGAAGCCTCCACCTCCACTGGGCCCTCCTCCCAAAGTTTCTGATTCTGCAGGTCTGGAGGTGAGGCCCAAGAATGTGCTTTTCTAACACATTCCCAGCGGATGTGAATCTGCTGGTCCCAAGAACATACTTTGAGAACCTCTGATTTTAAACAAACAAGAAGGTGCCATTCTAATGCCCAAAGTATTCATACTGGCATATAGATGTTTGGTTTTCACTGCAACAGTTCCCCTGTATTTGGTTTCCTATTTTACAACACGCAGGATGTGAGGATTCAGATTGCAGGGCTGGGCTACTGTACTTGTTGGGTAACAAACTCTACATTGTAAAAAACAATCATGGGCTTTTACAACAGAGGAGCAAACATACCTACTTGTGGCTGAAAACCCTTCACCCTTGATTCAACTGCAAAAAGCCTCACTTGAGAACTAAAATGGGGCTCAATTTAGTAAACTCTCTCCTGAGACCAGCTCACTCAAAAGGAGCAAGATGGTCCAGTGTCATCTGGAGGGCACAGTCCTATCTGGCTCTAAGTAAGTGTCATGACCTCTGGGAGCCTCAAGATGCCTGGAACACAGGAAAGAGATGCAGGGAGCAAAAGTATAGCCCATAGATTATTATGTGGCCTTGGAGATTAATATGTGGCCTTGGGAGAAAGAAGTCATCTCTCTTGTCTTCATTTTCTGCCTTGAAATTTGGAAATATTATGATCCTATTCTTCCAACAACTTCTCAAAGGGCAGTGTTTCCAGTATGGTTTTTGATGGGTCCCTGCACATTCTGTGATAGGTTTGAGCCATTGTGCTTAAGTGCTTGTTGTTTTACTTCCCAGGGCTCCTAGAAAACAGGGTTCAAGAAGTTACCAGGGAATATTAATAAGCCCTGAAGTCATCTGGGAGATGCCCCGCTGTGGCCCCACCAGCTCTGACCCTGATGCTGCTAGGGTACCCAGCTCTCAGGCAATGCTGTCAGCCCAGAGTCTGATTGGACTAAGGAGCCACAGGGCTATTCCTAAGGATGCCTTTTGGTTGCTATGTCTGCAGTTTCTTATTTCCCTTTGCAGTTAGAATTCCCTTGGCCTGATGCAAATCCCCAAAGGCAACCTTCCCAGAAATCCCCAGTGCCTGATTGCCAGCACTACAGAGAATATCATTTGTCTTAATTACTCTGAAGAAAACTGTGGAGACCATTTCACTGTCCTCTCTGGCTGTACAATGCTCGGTTCAGTTGCCATTGATGAACTTCTTTTTTTTTTTTCCCTTCGTTCCCTTTCTGAGTGACTCACCTGAAGATAAGAGTTTGAATGGAAACACAGCAGGAACCATGTCCTTTTGAGAAATTCCTCCAAGTGACATGAAAAAGGAGTGTGGGGATCTCTTGTAACTTAAGTAAGTCATTTAGGCAGCCTTACTTCACCAGTTTCTTATTGGCCTGTGCAAGATTTTATGTCTAAGAGAGACATCTGGGATGTATTGAACTTGTTCTCCTTCCCCAAACAGTGCTCACCTAAGCTCCTTCCATGACAATCTGGGCTCAGCATCCTGGAACAAGAGCCCTGCTTTGGAAGAAGAAGAAGTAGACCCAGGTCCTAAAAGGGTGGACCTATAGGTGCTATGACCAGGGAGATCCTAAGTCCCAAATCCTTCTCATCATATCTTTCATATGCTTTTAGAAACCAGAAGATTGAGTGCGATTTAGATTTGTCATTGCTGTGGGCTCTCAATGGTCCCTAACCTCCTTGAGTCGATTAATACCCATTCCTGCTGTGCGGGAGCTTGATCTCCCACAACCTTGTGCAGAGGCGGTGACCCTACCCACCTTGGTCTCACTCATCCAGAATCAGTTGACTATCAGAATGGCTGAGTCACATGGAGTTCAGATCCTGTGCCTAGTGCAGGAACACACCAGCCACAGATTTGACCACTCCAGAGACTTACCCAAGAGGCGTCCTGAGCTCCCCAGATTCCCATGGAAGGAATGATTATCTTGGTTCCCAAGTGGAATTAAAACCCTTCACTCTGTGTTTCTCCAGTTTTCCAGCAACCATGTGTACCTGCAGGAACTTCCTGAGCCCACTAACATCCACTGTATCTCCCAAACACAACTCCTCCTACTTAGGCCAGCCTCCTACTTAGGGCTCACTTTCCCCTCGCACTATCATCTACCACTTCTCCGCCCGTGGAACTGTTGGGCAGAGGCCCTTGCAGTGCAGCAGGTGGGTGCCCCAGCTCTGGACCAGGCTGCCTCAGTTAAAATCCAGGCTGCAACACTTACACACTGTCATAGTCAGCAACCATTCTGTGTTTCGGCATCCTCTTCTCTAAAATGGAGATAATGATAACAGAGCTAATGTCAGAGAGATGTCAGAAGGGTTCAGTTAAACAGAATTATTTTATGTGGCGTACTTGCCATAATGCCTGGCTAAATAAATGGGAGCCATTATTATTCTTCAAAACTGAATTCAAATGCCATACATACTCTTTAGGATCTCATCGTTGCCTCTTTTCTCCCTGGACATAAGCTTTCAATAGCCATTATCACATGTATTATAATCACAGGTGGCTTCATGATGCAGAGCACACCCCTGCAGCCTGACTGACTACCTGCAAGACTTGCCCCTGCCACACTTAATAGCTGTATGATCTCTATGCCTTAGTTTCTTTATCTATTGAACGGGATTAATAATAGTACTCACCTCATAGGGTGGTTATGAGGATTAGGCAGGTCATAGGTGTAAAGCATGTCAGCAGTGTGTGATGCACAGGAAGCATCCCATAACATAATCACTCTCATCATTGAGTATTCATTTGTCTGTCTCTTTCACTAGACTTCAAGCTCCTGAGGGCAGGGAAATGACTTATTTATTTTTGTATGTTTCATAACCAAAATATAGTTTGGATAACTGGAGAAACACAGAGTGAAGGGTTTTAATTCCACTTGGGAATCAAGACAATTATTCCTTCCATGGGAGTCTGTGACGCCCAGGATGCCTCTTGGTTAGATCTCTGGAGTGGTCAAGTCTGTGGCTGGTGTGTTTCCCCTCTCCCTGCACCAGGCACAGGATCTGAACTCCATGCGACTCAGCCGTTCTGATAGTCAACAGATTCTGGATGAGTGACCTCTGCACAAGGTTGTGGGAGATCAAGCTCCTGGACTTCTGATCTCTAGTGTTTGTTTCCTTGCTTTCTTCCTTTGTCCATGAACACTGATTCAGCACTGATATGCGCTGGCCACTGCCAAACTTGATAGAACATGATAGAACTTGATGGAGATGCAGGTCTGACTCGACCATAATCCATAGTCTTCTTATCAGAGCTGTGGTTGATCTGCAAGACTCCGTCGCCGGAGCAGTTTCATGGCTAAAGCCCCTAGCTGGAACTCTTCTAAACAATATAAATTAGTGGGGTTTTTTTTTTAGCTAAACTTTAATCTATGTGATGGCTTGTAATGTGCCTGTAAGTGAGGGAAGGAAGTTTGAATTTTACAAGTATGTGACCAGAGAGACAATCATTTACAAAAGGCAACCAGGAGGAACTCCCTTCATCCACAAGCTTGTTAACACCAGCCCTTGGCCCCCAGTGGCCCCTCCTCTTGTGCAGATCTGTACAGATGTGGTTTTGTCTACAGGCAGAGCTCCCTCATCCACAAGGATAGGGCCCCACCCCACATACCAGTGGCCACTTCCCACTTGTGAGTGAGGTCTAGTGCAGAAGCTTCCCAGGAACGAAGAAGCCTTGAAAGAAAGGGAGCCAGAGCAGAGACCCCGACAGGATTCCCACTCCCGCTGCCAGCAAGTCCCTGACACCTCCATTCTTTGGTAAGCATATCCCCGTAAGTCCTCACCTCCTCCCTAAACTTTCTCTCTGCCTCTTTCCCTTAACTAAAATCCAAACCTGCCCTGAAGACCCCACTTCTCTAGCCCTGCCCAGAGGACGCAGCTCCTTCTCCCACAGCTTTGTAAGGCACCGGTGACAGTATACTTCTTGGTCTCTAGTGCTGCTTCCAGAGCATATCCTGGCACCCTGGCACCTCAAAAACAGACAAGGGGGGAAAAGATTCTTTGAGATTCGTGTCACCAGGCTACCTCTCTCACAGCCTCTCCTCACCACTGTCACTTACAACCGCCCACCCTTGCTCACTTTCTAAACACTTTGACAGCTGGTCCACAGTCTGCCTCTACTCTCAAGCCCTGCCACCTTTTCAGACACCTCTTTTGTCCACATCAGTGACCATCCACATGAATGAAACCTCTCAGTTCTTTGATTTTCTCAATTTCAATGCCTTCTTCTCCACGCAAGCCACATCCTGCAGACCCCAGACTCTGCAGTTACTTACCACCTCTGAAAAACCAAAACTGGATATCCATTCTCTGTCCTTCAACCTGATCAAGACCTTGATCCCTCAGACTTGACTTTCTTCCCTTGTCATCACTCGATTTCTGACCAGTGTGCCCTCACTTCAACCCGTTCTTTGCCAACATCCTCAACTCCTTTGCCATGTGCCTTGTTGAAGTCCATCAGGATGCCAACCCCAGGTTAATCCAACTCTCTGTCCTCTTTGAGTCTACACCTGGACTGTTAAGGAATATCAGAGGGAAAAAAAAATTCACGTAACCACAGAAATAGGTACCATTCCCAAGGATACAAATTTTCTTTGTTTCTCTGCTTGGTCCCCTACTGTCCCACCCAGTGGCTATTTCAGGTCTTTTTTCTTCTCCTAAATGTCCTATCTCAACAACTCCCCAACCAGTCAGTGCACAACCTTGTTTCCTACTTCACAGGAGAAATAAGCACCATCAGATAAAGTAGCCCATCACCTTATGGCTGCTACACATTTACATATTTATCTTCCTCTATCTCATCATTTTTCCCATCTCTCCTGTCACAGTGGAAGAGGGGTCCCTCCTTCTGTGTCAGCCAAATTCCTCTGCTTGCACACTGGGACATCCCCTCTGCTTTCTGCAGAATACTTACTGTATCTATTTGCCCAGTGCCTCTCTTCACCCTCTCCTGCATTTTGTATTTTTCCCAACATCACTGAAATTTGCGCATCTACTAACTGTAAAATAAAAACCTTTTCTCAACCTGCATCTACCCTCTTTCTTCATCATGAAGCTCCTTGACATAGTTACTTTCTCCTTCCGCCTCTACCTTCTCATTGCAAACCATCTTCTGAACTTATCAGACTTTCTTCAATGTCACCAGTGACATCTGTGGCATTAAATCGAAAGGATACTGTTCAGTCCCTATACTTTTCTACTTTTCAGCAGAATTTGACATTGATAACCACTCCTTCCTACTTGAAGTACTCCTTTCTTTTGGCTTCCATGACACCACACTCTCCTTGTTTTCCTCCTTACTACTTATTTTGCTTTGAAGGCCTTGCTTCCTCTGTCTGCCACTTAAATATTCATGTTCTTTGTGACTTTATTACTGAAAATTGTTCCAGTTATCTATTATCATACAGCAAACTACCCCAAAACTTAATTACCTAAAACAGCAACCGTTCTATCACGCTTATAATATCATGGACCAGGAATTCAGGCAGGGCTCCGCAGGGCAATTCTTCAGCTCCACATGGCATCATGCATGGTATTCAGCTAATGACTGGGCTGGGCTGGAGGTTCTAAGATGGCTTCACTCACATGCCTAGCACCTTGGTAGTGGTAACCAGAAAATTGGGATTCCGTTCCTTTCCATGCAGCCTCAGGACTTCTCCACATGGTCTCTTCAGCAAAGTTGTCAATCTTCTCACAATGCAGTTTAGCAATTGAAGAACAAGTGCTCCAAGAGAAAGGAAAAGAAGCTAGCAGTCTCTTAGAGGCTGAACCTGCAATCTGACACATCATTACTTCCGCCTTATTCCATTGATCAACTATTCATAAGCTCATCCGGATTCAAGGGTAGTAAATATAGACCCCAACTCTGAGTGGGAGGAAGGGACCAAGAATTTATCCTCTGCAACAACCTTCTTCTCTTCAACAACCTTCTTCTCTTCAACAAAAAGACACTTTCGTCATGGTCACCATCTTTCTCCTGGCTTACTGCAATGCCTTCCTAACTGGTCTCCTGCTCCCATGTGTGTGCATTCCATTATCCACAGTGAAGCCAGAACAACCTTTCTGTAATGCATATCACATCATAGCACATCACTCTTCTGACTGAACCACTTTAACAGCTTCCCATTGCCTTTAGGGGGAAGCCAAAACTCCTTAGCATAGCCAACTAGGTCCTTTGTGATTTGTCCCTTGCTGATACCTCCACCTTCACCTCTCACCACATCTTTCTTATACGCTACACTCTACAATATTGATGTCCACAAGCATGCCATGCTTTCACTTATCTCCAAGCCTTTGTACATTCCGTTCCCTTTGCAGTAAGCTTCTATGCAGCAACCCCCATTTCCCACTTCCTGTGGATGAACACAAGTGCGCACGCGCGCACACACACACATGCACACATACATTGCCTTCTTTTATCCCTCCTTAAGATCTTGGCTTAAAGAAATGGTTCTCAAATCACTTGTGCAATCCCAGAACAGGCATCAGCATCAACTGGGAACTTAACTCGAAATGCAAATCCTCAGGCCCAACTTCAGACTAGGGAATCAGAAATGCTAGATGTGGGAACCAGAAATCAATATTTTAACAACCCCACAAGGTGCTTCTGGTGCACATTGAAGTCAGAATCACTGGCTTAAACAGCATTTCCTCCAGGAAGCTTTCTTTAACTTAACTCTTTACCCAACAAGGAATAGGGACTGCTCCTGTGTGTTTCCACAGTTCCCCATCCTTATCCTGACCATAACCCTTCTCACAGTATAGTACAAATGCCTACATACTTATTTAACCCCAGTGGGCTCTCTCTTAGTTCCCACAGTCAGGGACTGTATCGTGTTGACTGCTGAATCCCCAGCATCTACATAATGCCTGTCATGTTAGTAGTTCAATAAGAAATTTTGAAGCCAAGATTCAAATCCACGTGTACATCACAATCTTCTAGAGAGGTAGACTGCAAACGCCAAAAACAAGAAATGTAATGCACCGACGATATTTGTAATCAGCAGTTGGATCAGGCTTCAAATAAATGCTTTCATGCTTGCATAATAGAAAGGAGATTCTGAGGAGGTACAGGATACCTAACTACAAAAGACTGTAATAAAACCCCAAAGATATACACTGTTGAATCTACCTAAATCCCTGAAAATAAACTACCTGACTCTAGCCCTGAAGTCAGATAAACCAAGCTCATCATCTTCCCATTTCTGCCCAACCAGTTCCTCCATTGCTTGTATTTTAGTATGCTATGTTTACTGGAGTTTCTAAAATGCCACTAAACCTTTGGAAATTTTGTAGAAAAGAAGAATCTGGGTCATGCAACTGTGAAATCTAAATAAGGTGTAATTAACATGTCCATCAACTTTCACAGAAGTGACGCTAGTTTGCAAACTATTCATTAATTCTGCACAATAACAGCAACTGGATACAATGCAGACACCAAGCTGAGGATGAGAGGCTCAATGTAGTGCCAACCCAGAGTGCTGCTGGTGATGTGTAAGAATGAACTGCTTCTATTTTCTGCATAGAGAGCTATGACTATTTAAGAATTTGGGGCTGGAATTGCCAAAGAGTGGTAGTATAATCACTGACTCTCAATCTTTAAATGTAACCTTGTTGATTTACAAAATACTCTCCAAATTATGAAAAACATTTCATAAATTACTTGGGAACTTGGGGAAATGAGCTCTTCTCAACAGAAACAAAACATCAAAACAGCTACATCTGAAAACCAGGAAAGAACTGAATTCAAGTCCCAGATCCCAACCAGCAGTGTGGCCTACTTAACATTTCTGGACCTCGCCTGCAAAATGTGGTAATAATACCTCTTCAGAATGTTGTTTTGAGGATTAAATAAAATAATGCACATACTCTGCTCAGCACACAGCTAATATGCCAAATAGTTATTATTTCTATTCTTTCCAGACAGAATTAGAAAATGATGTCAAAAACCAAGTAGACTATGAAAAACAGCACAGCAATTCCTCAAAAAATTAAAAACAGAAATACCATGTAATCCAGCAATCCCACTTGTGGATACATATCCAAAAGAATTCAAAGCTAGATCTCAAAGAGATATTTGTACATCCATGTTCACTGCAGCATTATATTCACAATAGCCAGGAGGTAGAAGCAACCTAAATGTCCATTGACAGATGAATGAATAAACAAAATGTCATATGACTTTCATGTCATAGGCTGCCACATGGAAGAATCTTGAGAATATTGTGCTATGTGAAATAAGCCAGTCACAAAAAGACAAGCCCCATAAGATCCCACTTATGTGAGGGATCTAAAGTTGTCAAACTCATGGAAGTAGAAAGTAGAATGATGATTGTCAAGGGCAGGGAAGGGGAAGTGGGGAGCCATTGCTTAACAGGTCTAGAGTTTCAGTTTTACAAGATGAAAAAGTTCTGGAAATCCATTGCACAGCAATGTGAATATAATTAATGCTGTGGAAGTATATACTTAAAAATGATTAAGATGGTAAATTTTAGGCTATGTGATTTTTATCATCATTCAAAAATATTTCTTAATTTTTTTAAAAAAGTGGACCTGCTTCCCTCCCTTTCTTTCTTCTAATAGTGTGTGTTCCTGTCTCCCTTGCCACTCTGTCTTAGTCCCCTTCATTCCCTCCCCCTCTTCTCTCACCTACCCTTTGGTTGTTGAGATTCCTCAGGGCTCCATCCTTGGCCATCCCCTCTTCACACTCCCAAGGACTTCAGCCACTTCTCCAGCTTTGCCAGCCATCTCCATAGGTGCAGTTGACTGTCGTTCACTGCTCTACTTCCGGTCTCCAGAATAGAGCCTAGAGCTTAGTAGGCACTCAATAAACCTCTGCTAAGTAAGTGAATATCTAGAACTCTAGCCCCAACCCAACTCGAAGCTTCAAGAGCCATATTTCCAACTACTTTCTGAACACCTCCAGCTGACTGTCCCATAGGTCCCTCAAATTCAACATGTCCAAAATTTAATTTACTTAAGTTCTCCAATGGGAATAAAAAGGCTTCTCCTCTTGATCTTGGTTAATATTGCCCTAAGTATTCTCCCAACCTGCTTTCACTGGCTGTCCAAACCCTGTGGATCTTAACCTAGAAATGTCTTGAGGCTCTGGCCACTTCCCTCCCTCCCAAGTCCTCATGATTTCTCAACTGCTTTCTCCTCACCTCTGTTTGCTCGTCCAAGAAGTTCATTCTCCACACTAGTGTCAGATTTTTCTTTCTGAAGGGAAAATTTCATTATGCAGCTTTACTGCTCAAACCTTGACCACACTGGTACCATCATAGGCCCCTATCTCCTACAGGGTTAATTCCACAAGCATTGATAGGGCCTACAAATCTCCTCTATTCTGGCCCCCATTGGTTCCACCAGTCCTTCTTCCCTGAACCCCCAAATTTGCCAAATTGCAAACACACTTGCCCTCTGCACAATGCCCTTCTGTACCTCCATGTACACTGTGTCCATGTCAGACCCTCTGTGTGGAAAGACCGTCCACTATTCCCAACCTTCCCTTCCTAGAAGCAACTGGTGCCTCATGAACAAGGAATAAACACTTACCAAGGAGCCACACAGCTATGATGCAAACCATTTCATCTTTAAAAAATTCCCTCATCAGCACAGTGGTCCAACCAGCTTAGCCACTGGTTAAAGACTGAAATGTCTATATAAAATTCAGCGACCCGCTTGGAAAGATGAAAAAGCAGAGAGTGGAGTCTGTGGCAATATTTAGAATTATAATCTTTAATTTTATCAAACTAGCATAATGGTCAGGAGCTACTTGCTCAGCTTCCTCATCTGTCAAAGGAGAATAAGAATACCACCTACCTCATAGCACTGTCAAACTTTGGATGAGGTGATATATAAAGTGATTAACCCTATATCTATTATAATGTAATGTTTAATAAATTGAAGGTATTGTTACCATAGAATCAACTTTCTCAATCTGCTACTTACCCATGCATTCTCACTGCTCACTAACAGATCTCATTTACATCTCTAGTGCCACCGGTATAATTCCCTGTAGGCAGAGGAGTAAGATGGATTGAAATAATAGGTGCCATTCTAAACACACTAAGATGAAAGTTCCTGGTCCTGTCAAATAAGACTACTACTGTGTGTGTGTGGGGTGTGTGTGTGTGTGTGTGTGTGTGTGTGTACGTGCTATATAAAACTTGAAAAAAAGATTTATATACCCAATAATGTTGTTACATATGGCTAGTGCAATCTAATTCTGCTCATTTGTTCTAATTACACAAGTTTAATTACCAAAATCACATGAATGCAATTTCATTACTAAAAAATTAACTTTTAAAATAACATAGTGATATACTTAATAAAAGCCCAGCATTGTTAAGAACCGACAATTCTAGAAAATCCTTCTATTGTGCCCTCTGTATAAGTAGGCCTAGTTGCAATCTGAAATTATTATAGTACATCTTTGCTATTGCAAGCCACTTACTTTTATGTTTTGTTCTGTTTTCTTGTTTTTAGATATTTTCAGTACTGGGCATTGGGGTAAATATCCTTCCATTTCTAAAAGGGACTGTTCTCATAGTTGCATTGAGAACCTCTCAGAAAAATTCAGCATCATTACTGAAGCCCCATGTTATTCAGCTTATGCACTCTGTCCTTCAAGTATAGGAAAGTCTTGCAATTGCTTTCAGTATCATTTAGATGATTTGTGGAAATATAGAAGCTGTGAGGCCGAAAATTAATGTTAGCTCATTCCCAGTACAGTAATGTGGCCTCAAACAATAGAAAGCATGAAAACAATAGGTTTGGGGTGGTTATTGTCTTTCTTCAGGCGCCTGTAACAGAACACCATACACTGAGTGGCTTATAAACAACAGAAACTTATTTCTCACAGTTCTGCAAGCTGGGAAGTCCAAGATTAAGGCACCAACAGATATGGTGTCTGAGGAAGGCCTGCTTCCATAGATGGCATTCTTCTCCTTGCATCCTCACATAGCATAAGGACCAGAGAGATAACGAAAATCTCTTTTTTGTGACAAGGTCTTGCTTTGTAACCCAAGCTGGAGTGCAGTGGCACAATCACAGTTCACTGCAGCCTTGAGCTCTTGGGCTCAAGCAATCTTCCCACCTCAGTCTCCTGAGTAGCTGGGAGTACAGGTGCACGCCACCATACCTGGCTATTTTTGTGTGTGTATGTGATAGGGTCTTCCTGTGTTGCCAGGCTGGTATCAAACTCCTGGGTTCCTCCTGCCTTAGCCTCCCAGAGTGCTGGGATTACAGGTGAGAGCCAGTGCTTGGTGTCTCCTTTATAAGAACACTAATCCCATTCATGGGGGCTCCACCCTTATGACTTAATCACCTCCCAAGGCCCACCCCCTAATACCGTCATGTTGGGGGTTAGGTTTTCAACAAATGAATTAAAGGGGCTTGGAGAGACACAAACATTCAGTGTATAGCAGTTATCTTTGTCGAGTTCTTTCTCGTTGAATTTTTAAACCCTGTGCATCACAACCTATCCCTAGTGGTTCTTTTATAAACTATGTGGTGCCGTAGGAAGAATAGAAACCATTTATTTCTGCTCACGCGTGGGGGAAAACATAATTTCTTTATGAGGAGTACTCTCAGCTGATTTCCTGGTTCTGTTCTTATAATCTCTGACACATGATGTAGGTCAACTAATTTATAGTCTAATAAACAGAACAGAATCACCTGCAGCCTAACTAGTAGGAAGCTCAGCACACGTGTATCCAGGGATCTGAAATGGCTCTTCAAGATGGTGTTTTCCAGAAGGCATCAGAGATGCTCCCTCCTGAGTCCTGCCAGCGACAGCCTCTCAGACTGACTCCTCTGTTAACTTAGCACAGTCTTCACACACCATTTCACACTTTATCTATTCAATCTATTGTAGAGCTTCTTCCAAAAAGACTATAAGAAACTTTTCTGTTACTTTTGCCCTCACACTGTTGGAAAAGTATGTAGTGGCCTATTTCATGCTTAAATTATACATGTGAGAAGATAGACTGAGTCTGGAATTCCAGGTGTAATGCTTTCTCACTGACTAAAGCCAGTTGGTACCATGACTTTCTTGTTTTTTTAATGAGAACAAAGCTGTCTTCTCCCTGACTTCCTCATGTGAAAGCTGTGAGAATTGCTGGAGTCTAAAAAATGCTACATCAACAATTGGAGCATGTAACCGTTTGCGAGCAAGGATATATTTTCCTGAGCGTTAAGGAGAGTTATCTAAATCAAACTGGTCACTTCTTCAGTCTTTCTTTTCTCCTTCACTCGTTCCCTCTCTCACTCCTCAACAAGACTGCATTTAAACAAGAGTTGTGGTCTAAAGTCAGTAGGCAAGGCAAAATATATAGCAGAAGTTACCCTTGAAAATCTCTTTAAGAAGGCACCACCATTTCCCTAAGTCCAACACAGCAAGCCTATCTTTCCACTGATGATGGAAGCAATTGCTGCTTCTTGGTAGAGCATCATTCTTGTATTTGTGGACTATGCTTTTTTAAAAAATGTGTTTCTTTAAACTCCAAAACACACAATACAGCAAGATGCTCATGCTATGGAAAACACAGGGGAACTGAGGATTGAGAGAAGTGTGGAATTCACAGCTCCTCACATGCTTACCAATAGCTCATCTTCCATAAATGGGAAGGAAGACCAATAGCCAGCCTGAACTGTTTAAATGTTCTCTTTCTCTCCCTCTTTCGCACACAGACACATACACTCTAACTATAGCTTGATAAGTACATGGTGTTCTTGGTGAGTATAAGAAGAGAACCTAACTCAGTCTTGGGGACAGAGTTCAGGAAATAAGTGAGTTAGAACGACTCTTAACTCCAAGAGACTCTTGGGGTTCAGAGAAATGTTAAGGGGTCATTTTTAACTGGATTGGATTTCTGGGCTTTTCCATGTTCCAATCAGTCTTCAGCTATCTTCATGGAAAGCCACTATGCAGAAAACAAAATTAAGATTAACAGCATAGACTCCAGCTTTCTGTCCCTTTACCCAGCCTACTAGGAGTAAGAAATTTTGGCTCCTATTTTCGAGTGTCAGTGACTCCCACACCCCCTCCCCCCAATTTTACACTACATTTGTATGTATCTTAATGTGGATTTGCACAGCTTAAAGAGGTAGAAAAGCAGAGAAAAATTACATAATGTAGCCATCCATTCATAAACTATGTTTTTCCCTCCATTGTTAAGTCTCCAGCACTGATCATTAATATTATCAGCCCTGAGTTCAGGAAGCTGTGGTTGACTTAGATGCCCTTCAAGAGAATTCCTCCCACACACATCTTAATGAAGAGTGATCCCTTTAACAAGACTCTTGTCAATATTGAGACTGATTATGAGCCCTAATTTTTTCTAGCGGTTTTTTCCATCTACTATACAATGAGGGCACTAAATTAACATTATGTATTGTAGAATATGCCAGCCAAGCAAATCTGTCTCTGGGTTTCCGAATTTCCTGATTTATCCTGCTAGGTTTCTGTATTCAAAACTGTCTTGCATGATAAGAAAAAAGCCAATGAAGTCACCTTGCTGAATAGTGTAAACCAGATGGACTGTGTTTATTCACCAGGGCTCTGCACTCTAGCCTAGCTACCTGGTTGCTTCCAAATGCAATTCCAAGCGTTGAAATTGATATTAAAGCTTTAAGGGATGGGGGTCCTCATAGCCTGACCTTCTGTTTACCACCCAAGGCAATTTTCCCCAAAAATTCCAAAATCTCCTTATACCTGCTAAAATCAAGAGGTTTCTAGAGTTGCCTTTTTCACTCCCCAGGGAGGATTCATGCACCCTGCTGCTCTCCCATAGACAGAGCCTGCTTGTCTACAATGTGCAGTTCACCTAGGTCCTATCTCCTGTCTGAAAACCTTTGCCTGGCCATACGTATGTCTCCTTTCTGGAATTTGCTTGCACTTTTTTTTGGTACCATCCAGTTTGGCAGTGTCTTGTTTATTCTTTATTTTAGGACCACTTTCCCCAACCAGAGTATAAACCACCTAGGTACAACATTGTATCCTGTTTTCCTTTTGAAACTCATGGTTCCTAAAGCAGACCATTAGTCATCTTAATTGCTATCTGATTTATGTCAGGATGCCAAGCCCATCGTCTAGAATTCACCCTCCTGAAATATGTTAAGCAGGAAAGATGGACATTCTAGTGCAGTGAAATTCATATCCAACCAGTTGTCAGAAGACCAGAATCCTCGTCATTTTTTACCTTGGGCAAGTCACATAACATTTTCAAGCCCCATTTTCCTTGCATACAAATGAATACCTTATATACCTGCTTCCCAGGTTCAAGTAAGGACATCAAATAAGACAGGACAAGCAAAAGTCATCTGTGTCTATGAAATACTATTCAAATGTACGGTTGTATTATTAAGTCATTTGGTCTTTCTCCACATGGTTGACCTAAATGAAAAGCACAGATAGAGCATCTTGAACTTTCTGGGAGATCTTCCACAAACTTTAGTCTTTAACATTGTTTTTCTATGGTTAATATTCTAGTATTATTTCTATAACCTGCCCTCTTTTCCTTTGAGCTTCTTGTTGGTATAATTGGAACTGTTTTTCTGAGCTGATTCCTCTCCAGTAACCAAGTTATCACCATTGTGTGTTCTGGACTGTGGGGAGGAGGGGTTGTCACTGGCTCAGACTTCCTTGGCTTCAGGAGTACTTTCTGATTGCTCATAAAACAAACACAAAAGGACAAAGGGAAATTCAAAAGGCTGAGAACAAAGCCTGTGGGCAACATTTCTATTGACAGGGTTAATTCTGGCATAATTTAAAAGAGTTTAATTAATCATGGAGTTAAGCATAGAGAAAGGATTCCTGGCAGCCTTACATTCTTGGGCTGAGATTATTGGTCCCCTACTTAGATGCCCATTCTCCTTTTGCATCACAGACTTCTTGATATTTTTAGCCTCTAACCACATCACATGATCACTGTAGTTCAGGGGTCTTCCCACCCATCTGTTTTTCTGGATCTTTGGAAGCAATGGATCTAGAAAAATAGTGCTTTTCTGTATCTAGAAAAACAATGTTAACGACTAAAATTTGTGGAAGATCTCCCAGAACCAGCTGGAACTGCCGGTTGCCTGGCCATACTTGGGAATCTCAACTTCTTTGAGCTATTTCCATTTCCACAGATCAAAGAACAGGAGAGATTCGGATTTTCAGGGAAACTAAGGGATACATTTCCTGATTGAAAATATTGTTCCCCCAGGGGTGCAGGGTCTTTGTATTCTTAGATTCCAAGATGACTATGTCTTGGTTCACCTGGCCTGTCAAACTAGGACAACTGCCGCTGACAGTCAGCATTTAAGAGGTCTTTACTTGTGGCTGCAGGATGATTTCAGGCTTTTTGTTCTTGGGATAGCATGCTCTCAGGGATCTGAGAGTTTGCCTGAAGGAGCTTCCCTACTCCCAGTCTCTCCATAAGGTTATGGAGAGATATTGGATCTTTAAGAAGTTCAAAACAGCAAGGTTTCAATACTGGTGATGAAAGAAAAGCATCACATTCTCATTCGAAATCAAAGGTACAGAGATTTCCTAGCAGTGTCATCCCTGCTTTCTTTCCCACTTTCTCTCCTTTCCCTCACCCCACAAAGGCAAAGGCTTGCTCCCTACAAGCATCCAATGGATAGAGACACTCAGGAAGCCGTCTTGGGAGGGAAAATGAATAGAAGTGTGTGCCTGTAGCCTCCTCGTTAGCTAGAATGTTGACAGCCAATAAAAATAAAAACAAAAATTCCAAGCAAACTCCTTTCTGGCCAGCTTCTGGCCTGGAAGCCATAGCAAGTGTCTCACCCAATTTAATCCAAAAACTGCTAGAATTCTCCGTGAGTCCAGACTCTATTACAGATGAATTAATTATCTCCGTCATGGCTACTTATTTTAGTTCACCTTGACATGGTACCATCCATGACTAAATAGCTTTTTCACTATTGGCTCTTACAGTTCCTCGAGACTGCTGCCTCTGGGTAAGAGAGTACGAGGCTGTATATAATGTTTCCTGGAGAGCTCCCACAAGCACTTTGTTCCTGTACCTTGTTTTTGCTACTATAACTTTACCCCCTTCACTTACCAGACAGGGAGGATATATTCTGGTTTTCTCATATTCGGTAACTTATAGAGCAGAAAAATGAGATGATCCACAAATATGCTGAGTTTGGATAGCTGGTAAACTCAATTCTGCATCTACTTATCTTTCTTTCAGTACATAAAAAAACTGCTTTGGGAAGTATCTGACTGTGCAAAGAAGGATGTGTGACCAAAAGATGGAAATCTGATGTTTCCTGTGAGCTGACCATCAGTCTGCATCGGATCCTGCTATTTGCTAGCATTTTTTTTGTTTTTTGAGATGGAGTCTAGCTCTTGTCGCCCAGGCTGGAGTGCAATGGCATGATCTTGGCTCACTGCAACCTCTACCTCCCAGTTTCAAGTGATTCTCCTGCCTGAGCCTCTTGAGTAGCTGGGATTACAGGCACCTGCCACCACACCCAGCTAATTTTTGTATTTTTGGTAGAGACGGGGTTCCACCTTGTTGGCTAGGCTGTTCTCAAACTCCTGACCTCAGGTGATCTGCCCACCTCGGCCTCCCAAAGTGATGGGATTACAGGCGTGAGCCACCGCGCCTGGCCCTGCTAGCATTTCTAAGATGCAGTCAGAACATCCTTGCGCAACTGGGTGGTTAATAAAGCATGTACATTTACATCACCTCCTGGACAAAAGAGGGGAAAAACAGAGGAGAGGTGGGAAATATTTGTAACAGAAAACCAAGTGTTTAAATCAACATGAAAGCAGGCAAACAGAAAGGCTAGCTTTGCGTTACAGGAAATAAGATGTAGAAAGCTGGTTTTTCATTGTGAAGAAATTTTAAAAGCAGTCCAGTGATATTTCTGACTCTGGGTTTACTAAGATGTCAGTGGTAAAAAAGCAATATTGTCAAGAATAATAATATGTCAGGGTAAAAATCAATAGCAGCCACAAAAAGGTAACACATTTTTCTAAAGAATGGTTTGAACTAACACTCACAGTCATTAGAGTGACCGAGCAGCAACCAGCTGGACCTGCACTGACAGCTGACCAGACAAGAGCTGGGTTTGTTTTGGTTTGGTTTTTTAGCAACTTAACTCTAGTAGCCTTGTCTCTAACTATGGAAGATTATAGAGCTGCCAACTTGATTATGATGAAAATCTGATGTCAAAATTGAATGTGGTTTTCCTTCCCAGTCTCATTTTTGAAACTCGAACTCTTGTGGTATCTCCCATAGGAGAAGGTGGTGCCCAAAGAAACTGTGGTAGTGGAAAGCGAACTGGTTTAGGGATTTTTAGACCCATTAATATAACGTTTAAACACAAGCAACATTAGTCTAAGGTGTTAGAAGTCAAGATGGAATCACTCTTAGAGAGGCTCGGTGTGGATGGGAAGGGAGCATAAAGGAACTGGAGCTGTTTCTTGAGCTGGGTGCTGGCAAGACAGATGTTCCCACTTTGTGAATTCACTGAACATACACGTATGATCGGCACACTTTTTCTTATATACTATAGAAGTATAATACTACACATTACACTTCAATAAAACACAGTAAAAAGCCTCTGCATTCTCTTAACAAATCTGCTCTAAATAGCCAACAAATTTTGAGGAGGTCACTTGAACCCTAGTTTCTTTCACAAAATGAGATAGTGGACCAGAGGACCCCAGACCTGAAACTTCTTGGTGCTGTCATCATTGGCACATGATGAATGCATAGCGTTGGTATTCCTGCTATTTGTGACTCAAAGAACAATCAAAACATGGGCAAAGTTGCCACAGGCCTTCCCAGAAAAGGCATGAACTGAAAGCTATATAAATTTGCCACATGGGGAATGGTGTTGAATAACTGGAACCACAGGGCTGATGTTGATAGCAAAGAAGTAGAATTACGGTGGCTGTCAGTGTGAGCCCTACTTTAAAAGCAGATGTTCATCACACAGCTAGTGATGTGTGCGATCACATTAAATTCAAGAGCCAATGTTTCTTTAATAGTTTCTTCTCAAAAATAGCTGCTGGAAATTATGGTTCCATTAAAATAGGCTACAAGAATTTCCATCTAATCAAGCAGTTCAGTGTTTCAAGCAGTTCCTTTCTTTTCTTGTTTAATATAAAGTGAATTTAAAGGTGACCTGCACCGTGACTGATTGGCAGTTAGAAAGAATCAGCCTCTGTGTCGTCACTTAGAAGTTGCCAATCACGTCACACAATGGATGGGAAAAGACCAAGGTCTGGGTTGGAGGGAATTTGCTGTTCTAATAGGAGAAATTACTGCAACCTCCTTTGGATAAGAAAATGAGCTATACTTATCTCCCTATGTGCTTTTCCTACAACTTGAGCCTCTTGGAAGACAAAATATGTGTAGCAGGAAGAAGGAAAAATAATAATAATCCAACTAGGTGGTTAGCACCTGGATAACAGATCCACAGAGAAGTTCTTAAAACCTTTTTATTTTCTTCTAAAGCGTCTAAAGTCCCCTAGAAACAAGTCACCTGATTCTACTAAGCCACCTGCCTCATCCCACTGAAAACCTTTCCGGAAAGATGGGCCAGACATGCTCTCTGATGGCCATTCGTCTTCTGAATCCCAAGAATAATCCTTTGGCACAAACATAGAAGTGTATTATTTGGTCTTCCAGCAAACATGAAGAGAAACAATGAAATGAAGGAAATGCACATCACGAGCTGCCACACAAGATCCTAATTACCATAATTTGACCCATCCTCCTTCCCATTGCCGGAAAGTCAGCCTTCTGGATGAGAGGAAGCCAAACCAGCAAGATAACAGGCTTCTGTTCTCTCTCCCCGTCCCTCGCCTCTTTCTTTCTTCCCCTCTTCCTTAAATGATGTTCATTAAGACAGCGATTCTTCTAACAGTTTGTATGCCTCAATTGTATTAGGGAAAGCTTTGCATGACTTGAAAAAATGAGCCAGAGAGAAGGAAGAGGGGCTGAAAGAAGCAGACACACGTTGTCTTTTTATTCCCCAAAGCAACTGTCAGTCTCAGAATATTTTTGTAGAACCTGCCAGAAATCTCTCTGGAATCATCCCTGTTGGATACAAGGACAGTAAATCTAAAAAGTTCAGGTCTTCTGTGGTATAAATCAGAAACTCTTAATAATTCAGAAAAGGCCAATTTAAACTCCACATGTCCAGTCACATCAATAACACCACTCCCTCTAGCTCCAAACAGCCCCTAGAATATTTCCTTTTCCTAGATTACTCATAGCTTTGCCTTGTCCCTGACTTCCCCCAAACTACTTGAGTAAGTTACTTTGGCATAGCTTCTTACATTTAGGCAGCAAATGAGCCAGGATGGGAGACATACAAAGTGTGTTAACTTCGTTCCTATTAGAATTCACCTAAAATATACCCATTGAAATATGGATCTAAAAGCCCACCCCTGCCCACCCCAGTGCCGGGGCTTCTGCCTTTTGCTGTAACAAGTGCTGTAGAAATTGTCTCCACTGTCACTCTTCAGCTCACGTATGGGATGTGATGGGATTTTTCAATAGCAGCTTTAAATCAGCTTGCTGAGGCCTCAATAGTGCAGCCCCAAGTTAGGGCTCGAGGAAGCAGGTCCTGAAGTCACAACGCTCCTGGTGACAGCATGTGCACTGACACAGTGGAGGACTGCTTCACTGACCTTTTGTATTTTAGAGTGTGTGACCGGGGGGCTGGTTTGTTTTCAACCATTGTGTAGGGAAGACACAATTTAGCAAGACAAAGGACATGTTTTTTAAGAAGCAGAGATATCGAGAACTGGCATCCTTTTTGGCATTAGTGTGGAGGTGGCCAATCAAGACAGGCTAGGAGTGATCCAAGTCATTGGAGGAACCTAACAGAGAGTAAATGATTATGAGGCCGTATTTGAAGGCCGTGAAGTCAGTAAGAAAAGAAATGCATGTGATAGTGGGAGTTTGAAGTAAATCTATATTTTATTTCCAAGTGACCTATGAGTAGAGGAAAAGGCAGCCAGTAAGGTACGGAAAATGAGGCCAAATTGGAGTCAAGGGCTACCAATCAGGCAGGAAGGACATGACAGGAAATCTAGTTAATTCAGCTTATTAGTTTGGATGGTTGAGACTGCTAGGTCTTAGAAAACCCGGCTCAAAGTGCCTTAAACAAAAAGGACATTTTTGGCCTAAGATAACCAGAAGTCCAAAGGTAGGCAGTCTTTAACTGTGGCTGATCCAGTGGCCAATCATTTCATCAAGGACCTAGGTTGTATCTGTCTCTCTGCTCTACCATGCATGGTGTCTGCTCCATCCTGAGACTGGGTCTCCTGTTGGTCAGAAAGTGGATGCCTATGCTTTCTCGCACACATCCAGGGAAAGCAGGGGAGTTACTCCCAGAACATATCCTAAAAAAATGAAAAGAAAGTTTCCCAAAAGCTTCTGCAAACCTTGCATGGCATCTCATTAGCCTGAATTGTATCTCGTCTTCTTTCCTGAAACAATCACAGTTAGTTTGTATTATTTTGTTTGGCTTAAGTGCATCAAAGTCCACTCCTGGTGTCAGAAAATGGGATTAGCTTTGCCTAAATTAATGGTCAGCATGGAGGAGAGATAGAAAACTAACCAAAGTCAGCAATCTCCTAGGAAAAAGAAAGAGGAGATGCACACTGCATGGGCCACTGTGATCATCACTAATGCTGTTCACCCAGCATTTCTGAATTCCCACCTTCCTGGCACATGATAGGATTGTACCTCCTGGCTCTTAGTGGCTGGGTGGGGCTGTGAGACTTGTTGCAGTCAATGAGTAGTGAGCAGAAGTGGCACATGTCACCATCAGGCTAGAAACTTTAATGGCCAAATGAGGCCTCCTTAGCTATCTTTAGTTCTGCATTAGAGACTAATTAATGCAGAGCAGCTCAGGTGGTAGCTGCTCCTTCTGTATACATCCCCAAATGAGGAGCATGGAGCAGAGCCCCCAGTCAGCCCATGATGGAGATGAGCAAGAAATAAACCTTCATGGTTAAAATCTACTTTTTTTTTAATTCCAATATACCTTAGTCTGTCCTTGATAAAACTATAGACAACATAGGCTAGGTGTGGTGGCTCACACCTGTAATCCCAGCACTTTGGGAGGCTGAGGCAGGTGGATCACTTGAGCTCAAGAGTTAGAGACCAGCCTGGGTACCAATGGTGAAACCCCATCTCTACAAAAAAAAAAAAAAATTAGCTGGGCATAGTGGCATGTGCCTGTAGTCTCAGCTACTTGGGGTGCTAAGGCAAAAGGATTGCTTGAGCCCAGGAGGTAGAGGTTGCAGTAGGCTGAGATGGTGCCACTGCACTCCAGCCTGGGTGACAGAGTGAGACCCTGTCTCAAAAACAAACAAAAACAAACCAAACAACAACAACAACAACAAACTATCAATAACGTCACGGCAGCAGCTGATGTCAGCATTTGGCATCTAGTCCTAGGTGGGGTGGCAGTGGGGGGGGCGGCACTATGTGAGGTGGACACCAGTGTCACATGGCTTATGACCCCAGTTAGGCATGGCAGGCCAAGGTGCGCAAGTATGTCCTAGAACTAGAAACAAGCAGTTTTCCTAAGAGTTCCCACCAAACAGAGCCACCACTTACATATCTTCTCCTCAAGAGAAACAAAAGAAAAAGATTATTCGTAATTTGTCTCTTAAATAATCTAGACACATGCCTGGCATATAAGAAATAAAAAAGAATCTACATTCTGTTAAGTATTTTAAGTTAAATAAATTACTCAAGAAATGTGGAGAAAAAAGTTACCTGGATCAAAAAAATCTGAATTCATGTAAATGATTATTTAGGATTAGAAATTCATCTGTGGAAAAAATAACCTAAAAAGTAGAAAACAAAAATTTTAAGCATCACATTTATTAAAATATATTTTAGTTTTTGAAATAGTTTTGAAATGGGAAAGTTATCACTAATTGAAATGCGTATAGAACTACACCTATGCAATGTTTATTGCTCTGTTGTATAGTCTACAAAAAAATTATAAGTTGGTATCATTTCACCTTATAATTAGTTGCCTTTTTTCTAAATGACAATATTTTTTAAAGTGTAAAAATACAATGTAATGTAAGTCATCCTAATAACAAGAAAGATAGGTGCTAGAAAGTCTCACGATTTTTTTTTTGAAAGCCTAGTTCTCAAAAGAAATTAAAGTAGAAAAGCTTCACATTTTTTTAGTAAATAATAGCTATAATACCTCTTCCATATATTCATCTACATCTTCTTTAAAGAACATTTTTAAAACTACCTCATGTTTTTGCTTCTGTTTTTTTGGATTGGCTCTGACCTGTGTATATCGTAAGGTTTTACTAACTACCACAACAGAAATGAATTATGTGGAATTCTTTGGTGTAAACTGAGGAGGACTTGGAGAGTGTTCCTTCTCTGGCGGGAATGTTTAAGATTCAGTAGGTTTTGCTCCTAGAGATAATTTTTATTACCGCATTCAAAAACATCCTGTCCGGTTGTTGAGCATTTCCAGAGCAGAATACCTGTGTAATTTTGATTAGCTCATAATCTTCAAAATGTGTTACAACTGCCTAGTGACAAGATGTTCAATTTTCAGATTTTATTTTTGCCCTGTTCTCAAATGCAGTCATCATTCCCTACTTGAGAGCTATTTCTACTATCCTCCTTGCAGAGATGAAAATATGAAGGCACAGGAATTGTTGTTAGGTTGTGTGCCAGCCTAGGAGCCAGAAGATTTGGGCTCTGGGTGCTGGACCTCACAGGCTGATGCTCGGGCCAACAAAGTCAGGAGGAGAGTAGGGTCTCAGACACCTGCTGATGGGAAAGGTGTGCAGCACATTCACATACAGGCAGCCACACCTGCCTCACCCCTGGAAGAGATTTTCTTTGTTTTGACAAATGACCCTTCTGGGTCTGTCTGGTCAACAAGGAAAGGTGAAGCACCAGCATTGCCCACACCTTGCCTAAGTCCTCTCCTAACAATCAGGCCTGGGAGAGATGTGTTCCAAAGCTCCCAAATCCTGGCCTCCATCTATATCACGACATAGTAGAGGAAGCATGCACTCTTCGATGCTCCCTCTTGGGTATTGATGATCCTGGCTTCTGCCCTCTCTGCCTGCAACTTAGGAGATGGAAGCAGGGACCCCTGCAGAAACAACTCCTGCTGGGCGCAGGAGTCATGGGCATCTCTCCTAATGATTCCATCATGCTGTTGCTTCCCACACACTGTGCCCTGAAGAACCTCATTTTCCTTTTGCTTTTACCTTGATTAATGCCCTTCATGACTTGCCTTCCCATGACTTCACCCGCAGCCACTGCCCAAGCACGCGTTCAGCTGTTGGGATCTCTAGGAGTTGTTTTCCATCTTCCTACTCCACAATTATGCCAACAGCCTTCTTCCTGACCCAAGCCTATTGGGAGCAGGAGTCTTCTATTTTGTTCTTCCAGGTGATCTTTCTTTTTGCAAGTGCCAGATCTCAGGTCTAGGCTTTGGTCCTTTGGTGCTGAAATGTGAGCTGAAATTTAAAATGTTACAAAGGTAGGTCATGGTAGGATTTGCTGTCCCTAAACCAAAGATGTCCTTAAACCTAAGGCTAATGTTGCCTTCCCTTTAAAAAGCTACCGCATCAATAATTCAGTTTACATCTCAGCTTGCCTAATATATTTCTCTCTTATTTGAACGGCAAGATGAACTTCAGAGAATTGTTTTTTAAGTGAGGTTTTGTGAGCTGAGCCTTGCAAGAAGCTCTCCAAGGTCTGTGGGATCTGTATATGACTAGAGCTCAGGCTTCACTCTGGAGAGTAAGTGCGATCTCCGTTTTCTCCTCCTACCTCTCCAAACACTCCTAACCTACATTTCTTCCAGCTCTCCTTCCTCTAACTGCTCTTGCCCACTTTCCTCTTCCTACGTGCCTTCCTTAAACTTATCCATTCCCATTGTCTCAAACACCCACAACCAGTAACTCTGGCCACAATCCCTCTTGATCTCCAAACCCTCTTTCTCCCAACTGTCAAATGCAGGATGTCTTGGAATACTTAGATACCTCAAAGTCAACCTGTCTAGACTGAATTAACTGTCCCTTTAGATCCCCACCCAAACGTTTGCCACCTCCTACCATCATCTACCCACCCACCCAACCACCTCTTTGAGTATTTCTTAGTGACCCAGCTCCTTTCCTTGCTAGCCAGGCAGATAGTGTTGAAAGGAGGAGCTGGAAAAGTTGGCGCAGGAGTTGAGATAGAGTTCCTACACACACCCTCAACTCCAGAGCCAAAAACTAAAGAAGAAACAGGAGGCAAAGTGCAATAAAAGATCCAGATAAGCTCCTGAGGACCCCAAAATAGACAGGACCTTGGCCCGGCTTCCCTTTATGAGGCTACCAGCCTCACAGAGAATTCCACATTCATCTGGCACTTGAGCTACAGATTAGAAAAAATGAGGGAGGTGATCAGGCATATGGGACTAAGAATATGTTTCCAGTTTCCCAAGGGCTGACCAATGTATGCAGGGATTCCAGAAGTTCCTGCTTATCCCAAGGGGGAACAGAGAGGTTCTAAGAACAGCCATAGTCTAGAAGAGACTTAAGATCTGGACACAGAAACTGAAGAATGCAAAGACTTTGAACTGGAAGGATATGGCTGAAATGGTGCACAGAAGCAACAGGTGACCCCAAGGACCAAGCATGACCGAGCATAACAGGGACACTAGCACAAAGCCCCCAGGCCCAGGGACCAGCCCAGCTCAGCCAGGGCTCTCACAATAGGACCAGCCAAGACCTGGAAAGGCCCTTCCCATCACGGTGATGACAGATAAGCTTTGCTCTGCACCCATACAAGGGGGTCAGGGGGATTCGTGGGCAGGGTAAAAAGAAAAGACCCTGAAAGCCTGAATGTAACCAGGAAAGTGGTGTTAACCTGAAAGGAACTATTTTAACTTGGAAGAGACTGATATTTCTCTAGTTAGCACCAAAGTTTTTTGTTGTTTTTTTGTTTTTGTATGTTTGTTTGTTTTGTTTTGTTTTTGTTTTTGTTTTTGAGATGGAGTCTCGGTCTATTGCCCAGACTGGAGTGCAGTGGCGCGATCTCTGCTCACTGCAACCTCTGCCTCTTGGGTTCAAGGAATTCTTCTGTCTCAGCCTCCCAAGTAGTTGGGACTACAGGCACGTGCCACCACACCCAGCTAATTTTTTGTATTTTTAGTAGAGACGGGGTTTCACCGTGTTAGCTGGAATAGTCTCAATCTCCTGACCTCATGATCCGCCCACTTCAGCCTCCCAAAGTGCTGGGATTACAGATGTCAGCCACCATGCCCGGCCAAGTTTTTTGTTTTTTCACTTTATGTTTCTTTCTCTCTTACCATTGGGTTAAGAGCTATCAAAGACCATTAACTAAGTAGTAAACAAGAAAAATGCTATTTTTTTCACAATTTGTGCTGTAGTGAGACGTTTTTGACACTATTGCACAAAAGCATCACTGTTAACCTTTCTTCCCTACCTCTTTCTCTACCCCTGCTATGTTGCTGTCTCCCCAAAATTTTTGGTGTTTCCCCAAAATTCATATGTTGGAACTTAATCCCCAATGTGATAGAATATAGGAGGTGATTAAACCATGAGTGCTCTGTCCTCATGAATGGAATTAGTGCCCTTATAAAAGATGTTGGGCCAGGCACACTGGCTCACACCTGTATTCCCAGCACTTTGGGAGGGTGAGGTGGGCAAATCACTTGAGCTCAGATGTTTGAGACCAGACTGGGCAACATGGTGAAACCCTGCCTCTACAAAAAGTACAAAATCAGCTGAGCATGGTGACACCCACCTGTAATCCCAGATACTGGTGGGGGCTGAGGTGGGAGGATTGCTTGAACCTGGAAGTTCAAGGCTACAATGAGCTATGATAGTGCCAGTGTTCCAGCCTGGGCAAGAGAGCCAACCCTATCTCAAAAAAAAAAAAAAAAAAAAAAAAGAGAGAGAGAGCAAGGGAAGGCAGCTTCCCTCCCCTTCCACCATGTGAGGACAGAGAGAAGGTACTAGCTATAGGAACAGGCACTGAATCTGCTAGCACTTTGATCTTGGACTTCCCAGGCTCTAAAATTGTAAGAAATAAATTTCTGTTGTTTATCAGTTACCCAGGCTAAGATATTCTGGTATAGAACCCAAGTAGAATAAGACAACACCCATCTAACAGTAGACCAGCCTGTAGACTGTATCTGTGAGCTGTCTCACATCTAAGTTCCATCCTTTCCAACCCCAATGCCAATGCCAAGATTCACACTGGTCATCTCTTACCTGGAGGTTATAAGCCTGAGTGGTGTCCCCTCCTCTCGGTCTTCTCTTTTTAATGTGTCCTCATCCACATTGCTTGATCTTTCTAAAATATGATGCTCTCCAGCTTCAAAAGCTGCGCTGACTCCCTGTGAATAAAGGGATATTGAAACTCCAAAGCTTGTCCCAGAAGCCTCTTCCTAATCTACTCCTGCTCTAACCTCAATCTTACATATCCTCTGCCCTCTCTCACACATTCCAAGTTCAAGCCATAGCAGTTATTTACCATTCCTATAATGGACCAAGTGCTTTCACTTCACTAATCTTTGCACTTGCTATTTACCTTCAAGATCCAGATCCAACATACCACTTCTTTGACATCCTCTCTAATTCCTTTCACTCCCCAAGTCAAATTTGTCAAGAACCCTTTTGTTCCCTTTACACTATATACATGCCTATGGCAACCAGAAAGCCACAAGTACCAGTTTCAAATATTCTATTCTATTCACGCATTAGAAAGATAAAAGTCTGTGGACCATGCTCCTCAATTTATAGTTCCAAGGCCATAACCATATGTTCCAAAATCGTTATTAGCCTTTACGACATTTTATCATGATCTTCAGTTTGCATAACTAACCCCATACTTGAATTAAACTCCTAAAGGGCAAGAACCACATGTGTGTTCCTCTTTGTAGCCACATCTTTCTACCATGCTCACTCCTTCCATCCTACTCAGCTTAGCAGAGGAACAACTGGCCAGTTAGCAAGTTATAAACATCACTCTCTCCTGGGATGAAACCACTCCCACACCAGGGCAAATGTTTGGCAAATATAAGGAAGACTTGGTTTCAGTTCCCTTACCCTCCTGAGTAGGTACATTTGTGCAGTGCACAAACTGCCCAACTATATGTAATAGCCCTTGGACCTAACATGTAATAAGGGCAAAATATATATTTGCTGATGAATGAACTTGTCTAGGGAATATTCCCTACCTTTACCCCTCTTAAATTACACGAACCAGATGTGCCTATTATTTACATAGTTTTGGTATTGCACTATATCCAATAATCAAATATTCTTCAGCATGCCTTGATAAATTAATGTCAGGCTTCTGTCATCATGTTAGGAATAATTCACTTACGACACAGCTGGATTCAGGACTGGTTCAACAAATAGCATCAAGACTCAACATATCTTTTGGTTCTCCTTCTGCTATGTTACTTTCAGTCTTGGACTTCACATCTTAGCAGACAGAGGCAGCAGCTCCAGTTCCTAGATCCTCTCTAGTTTTAAGTCAACCTGAAAAATAGAGCATATCTTTCCAGGATTCCCAAGAAAGTTTCCTTGCTCTTCATTGGCTCTTGTTGGGTCACATGTGCATCTGTAAACTCACCACTGTGAACCCAGACATGTGATATGCTGATTCGCCAGCTTAAGTCACTTTTCGACATCTGGGGCTGAGACTGCCAGAAACATTGTTGAAATGGTGGAGGGGGCTATTCGTCAAAGGAAAATCTAGGTATAATTACCAGAAGGAGGAATGGATAGCAACCAGAAAAAACAATGGATGTCTGCCATCACTTTCTTCCACGTGATGGGCAAACTCTAGATGACCCCCAGTGATCTCCACCTCCTGGTGTTCTGCCCTTTTGTAATGCTCTTCACCCTTGAGGGTGGGCAAGACTTTGTAACATGCTTTTAACCAATAGAATATGTCAAAAGGGATGAGATGTCACTTCCACGATTAAGTTACATAAGATTGTGATTTCCTTCTTCCTACCAAACTCTCTCTATTGCCTTCTCAGCTTGCATGCTTTGATGAAGCAAGCTGCCATGTTGGGAGAGGCCCACATGGCAAGAAACTGAGGATGGCTGCCAGCTAAAAACTGAGGTCCTCAATGCAGTAGCTCTCAAAGTACTGAATTTAGCTAACTACTACATGAAAATGGATCATTTCCTAGTCAGGCTTTCAGATGAGAAATCAGCCCTGACCAATATCTTGATTGCATTCTTGTGAGAGATATTGAGACAATGGATCCAGCCATGTCCAACTCCTGACCTAGAAACTGAGATAACAAATGTGGGCTGTTCTAAGCCACGAGGTTTGTGGTAATACTGTTATACAATAATAGATGACTAGCGCACTTCCTTTTCTGCTCCCACACCCCTTTTAGAATCTCTCCCAGATCTACTTCACTCCCACCAGCCAGCACCCAGTGCCAATCTGGAGCAGCCAGAGGGCTCCCCTCAGGGGCCCCCATAGGCTCAGATGCCCTGGGAAAGGCCTAGTGCTTCCTTCTCCTCTTGTATCCCCTCACTTCTCCGTGTGCTGACTTCCATTTACCTTTCAGAGAAACCATCTGACTGGGCTAAGTATCACAGATTCCTCAGGACTTAACCCAAAAGAAAGGACATTGTTTCATTGACGATATCTGGGGCCCTTCTTAGCATCCCTTAAGTTCAACTACTTAGGGGAGTACTAGTTAACATAATATGAAGGTGCAGAACTAAAGGGTATACAAGCATTTTGGACCCCAAAATAATTGCTTCCTGAAAGAGATGCGACTCAAATGAATGTGTAGTCCTTGTTAATGGCCAATGACAACTATCTGTAGCAATGTAGTGATGTTGTCACCTGTTACAATTTGAGGTCCTCTCCTATCTGGAAGTTGCCGTGAATGGCCAGAGTTGACTACATGGTCCCACATCAGCCTTCTTTCTGTCTTCAGTTCCTTCCTATTCCCCTGCTTCGTTCACCCCTTCCAGGGTGGCACAGCTGCAGCCCCATAGAGCCCAGACTGCAGTTGCACTAAAGGAGGCTTCACAGAGCTGTACAAAAGCTTCCAGCCACCAAAGCACAAAGCCTTTCCTTCAGTCAGCCTCCACAGTCTCCCAGCTCTTAGGAGAGCCATAATCCTACATGACAGTCAGATTTATGCTTTCTTATGGGGCTTTTTAGGCTTATCCCAAACCCCTCTCTTCTCATACCATCTACAGTTTTTAGTCTGGATCCCTCTAGAACAGCCCTCAGGGAATAGGATTTACTAGGTTAACCCTAGCCACATCGCTTTGTCTGAACCCTGGGCTCTCTTCCTCTGTGGATTCTGTGATTCCACAGCTCAGTATAGTATTTCAAACACATTGCACTGTAAACCATGATACGTTTCATGATTAAGCACTAAAAAGAAGACAGGTGGTGCATTTATGGTAATTAAAGCCTGCTGCAGGCCGTGTTTTAGTGCGTACGACTGACAATGCAGGAACTACGACAGTCTTTGGTAAAGAAACAGTTCTGTCTGTCACATGGCTGTGGCTCATACAAGTTTTCAGACAGAGAACAAGATTGGAGGGAAGCTCACTCATCTTTATCTAACTGACATTTAGGTCATTTGGGAAAGTATATGCCACAAAGCATAATGCTTTCATTCATACTTAGGTTTCAATTAGTTCAGGACTAAGTTATTCATAGATTATTTAGAGATGTATTATGTCTTTTGAATTATTAATTCAAGATAAAACTCAATCTGTTAGGGGAAATTTTTCTACCAGAGTTTATTCTAGAAACCCTTAAACTGTTCTTGATCTCTGCAGATTTCTAAACCAATAAAGGGATTGCATTGAACCCCAAAGTTGTCTTCATTACAAATAGGAGTTTTAGATTCTGGGAAACAGAGTTGAAGTTCTCTTTCCAGTAATGACACATGCTGTCTTTGTGACTGTAAACATTTTCTCTTGAGGGTTGACTAAAATGAAGAACTCTTAGGATCTTTTTAGGATGAATGTCCATTATGTTCTTTGAGTGTTTTCAACATGAAAAAAAAAATCCTGAATTGATTAAATTCTGTTGACAATTCTAGAATGAAGATTAATTATTTTTTAGTGCAAGGAAATCCTTTGCCTTCATTCAGTTGTGAACAAAATATTTCCAAGCCCCTGTGAGGCTGGGTCATGAAATGATCAAAGGGAACCCAACAAAGTCTTGCTGTGGACCACACCTGAGATCAGGCACTTTCCCTCACTCTCCTTGCTGCTGGAGCCATGGCTTCATTTTACTCATAATACCTTTCGGGCATTAAACAATACTCTTGGAAATCCTCTTTTTCTCAGTCCTCTCTTCCATCTATGTGTTCTTCCTAATAATTTCATTTATTCCTATGACCCTGTTGGGGGTTGAATTGTGCCCCACCAAAATATATATGTGTGTGTGTGTGTGTGTGTGTGTGTGTGTGTGTGTGTGTGTATTAGAGTCCTAACCCCCTGTACCTCAGAATGTAATTTTATTTGGAAACAAAGTCCTCATGGAGGTAATCAAAATTAAAGTAGGTCATGAGGGTGGGCCTCAGTCTAATATGACTGGTGTCCTAACAGTCTAGGGGGAAATTTGGATACACAGACAGACATGCACAGAGAGAGCACCATGTGAAGATGAAGGCAGAGAAGAGGTTGGGGCGATGTTTCCACAAGCCAAGGAATGCCAGAGAGTGCCAGCAAACCACAGAAGCCAGAGGACAGGCATGGAAGAGATTCTTCCTCACAGCCACCAGAAGGAATCAATCCTGCCGACACCTCGATCCTGGACTTCTAGTCTGCAGAACTGTTAGACGATAAATTTCAGTTGTTTAAGCCACACCGTTTGTGGTACTTTGTTACAGCAGCCCTAGAAAATGTATACGACTCCAACTCTCAAAGTATTATTTCCAGTTCAAAATCCTCTTCTGAATTTCGGGTTGACAAGAGATACACAGGCTTCTCAAACTCACATAAAGGTGTTATTTAGCCCAATGCCTGTACCATAACAAGTTCTCAGTAAGAGTTAATGCTGCTGCTACTATTGATGATGATAGTGATGAAGTCGCAGAAAAGAAGGGGAAGAGAAGGAGCAGCAGCAGGAAGAAGAGAATGAATTAACTGAGTCTGGCTCCCCTCTGTGACATACAAAAGATGTAAACAGTCACCACAAGATGTGTCTTTTCTATCTTTGTACTCCCTCCATCCAACCACTCACTGAACGTCTAAAGCACACTCATGATTGAAGCTTCTGAATGTCCTTATTGAATGCATTGGTAGACAACTGGTCGTTAATCACAGATGGACATTCTTTAGAAGAAATCATAGTTCCTGGCCCCTTTGTGCATTCAACGGGAGTGTTTATTTGCAGTGAGGCAGTCTGAAACACAGTTTCACTGGCCAGGACTATACTCCATCTCGGCTGAAGAGGGAGAGGTGGCATGATACGTTCACATTACAGCCGTGCCTGGGATTTAAGTAACAGTATTTGACTCTCAACCTACTCTTCTCCCCCATCAGCCACACTCTTCCTCTGATCAAGATGAGGAGGCACAGAATCGCAAACTATGCCCACTTCCTTCAGAAACTGAAATGCCCAGGTTATTTTAAATGGCACCATTTATCAAGCACCTGCTAGCTATGTCAAAACACTGTCACACTCTTACTTTGTATTCATTTTTCCAATTGAACCCACCAACCCCACTTCCAGTATGGAAGAAGTATTATTAATCTCATTTCAAAAATACTACCCATTTCATTGGTGGCTGGAGAGACTACATTGCCTGAGGTCATTCAGCTAGAAACTGTCAGGGCTGGGATTTGAACCTATGTCTCTGTGACTGGCCTACTTAGGGCCCAGCACTGGAATTGTGCCTGGTGACTAGCTGCGGCGCAATAAGTATTTTGTGGGCTTACTGACTCCAAAAGCAATACTCTTTCCACTACATGTTGGAAACTCTCTAAAACTGGAGGAGAAGAGGTGAAAAAGACAGAAACTCAAGGCAAAAGGTCTGGGTGGCAGGAGTTTGGATATTGAGAGGTAAGTCTTTGGTCTTTCCGTTCTATTAGTGTGTGATTCCATCAACTTGTAGTAATTACACACAACGCAAGCCAATGTTTATTAGATACTCTAAGGCCGGTGAGTCTAACAGGTAAATAACAAAAACAAAGATTATTACCATTAAGACATCTCTTGATTTTAGGGTAATACCCAACAAAGCACTTATTTCATTAATCACTGTTTGGTCCTTTTCTGCCCTTTCACCCCAACACCATAGATGATAGATCCTTTTTTTTTTTTTTTTTTTTTTTTTAGGTGGAGTCTAGCTCTGAAACCAGGCTGGAGTGCAGTGGCACAATCTTGGCTCACTACAACCTCCATCTCCTGGGTTTAAGCAATTCTCCTCCCTCAGCTTCCTGGGTAGCTGGGATTACAGGTGGTGCCACCAGGCCCAGCTAATTTTTGTATTTTTAGTAGAGACGGGGTTTCACCATGTTGATCAGGCTGGTCTTGAACTCCTGTCCTCAAGTGATCGCCCACCTTGGCCTCCTAAAGTGCTAGGATTACAGGCGTGAGCCCGCGTGCCCAGCCGGATCTTGGACCCTCTTGACAAGAGTTTAAAGAACAAGCATAAGGTACAGATATTTTAGCCTGGAGCTATTCAGAAGTTTATAGATCTTTAACATCCTTTTCCTAAATGTCAGGTTGCTGAGACAGGCAGGGGTGGTACATATGCCTTGAGATTCTTTTCTTAGTACATGTGCTGAAGTGAAAAGCTCTTTCCAATTTCTACTTAGGAGAGCAGATAAGGTTGCAGTGCATTCTAAAGTGACCATCCACGTTCTGCCTTTGAGGCACTCAACCTGGATACAGGACAGATTTTCTATTAGGAAAAATCCCAAAGCCCCTATCCAAGGACAGTTGTATTTACTAATTTTTGACATGTTTTTTCTTAAATTCTATTACTAGCACTCTCACAATAACAGCACCTTTAATTTTCAATTATTGATAAATAGTATTTCTATAAATAATTTTGTATCATATAACATACGATTTTTATAATATATATAGTACCAAATGAATGGCTTAAAAAGTTTATTATGGAAAGCAAGAGAAGACTCTTACCCATACAGCACAGAGGAAGCTCATTGTACTGTAGCTCAGATACCCTGGATTGAGTGTTAGCCATTTAGTCATTTAGTTAATGAATCGTTTTTGAGCACCAAGGATATGCTATGCACAGAGCCAGGTGCTGGGGTACAATAATGAGTGAGATGGACATAGTTCCCACCCATTCAGAGCATATAGTCTATAAGAAAGCAGTAGAATAAATTGTGGTAAGTGCTGCAATAAGGAAGATGCAAATGCAGGCTGTACCAGGCAGGAACACTGAATTTAGTCTAAATGGGTTATGCAAAGCTTCTTGGAGGAAGCAACAACTAAGCTAAAATCTGAAGGAGTAAGCCAGTTGAACAGAGAAATATGTCAGACCAGGGGAATTGTATGTTCAGTGACTCAGAGAGAGCATGGGCACAGTGCTTCCTAACACCTGAAGTTCTTAGTGCCTAGAAGGGAAAAGATAACATGAGGAGTGCCAAAGGTAGTAGCCAGAGGCTAGCCGTGATGGGCTCTGTGGGCCCCGGACTTCATCCAAGGGCAATGAGAAGCCATTGCAGGGATTTAGGCAGGGTTGGCATGATCAGACTGTGGCTCAGAAGGGTGGAAATCAAATTGAAAAAGCAAGATTAGAGGCAGAGGAACCGGGGGAAAGGCTGCAAGGAATAGCCCAAGCAAGAGGTGATGGTATATGTGGCAGGCAACTGGAGAGAAGCATTTGGCTGGAGAGGTTTCAGAGGTAGAACTCACAAGAACTGAGGAGAGAGGGTCATTCTCCCGCTGTACTTTGAGCCACAGGGAGAATGATGGTGCAGTAACTGAGAAAGGGGGCATCAGTGGGGTAGCAAGCTCGGGGATGTGGAGGGAAGTCAGGAGAGGAAAGGCATGTGTTTCTTTGGGGTAGGATGCCCATATCATTTTTTGTCCAAACAGGCACATGTTCAGAAATAAAAGGAGGTGTTATTAGTGCTATTGGGACAACATAGCTTGTATTTGGCAGACCAGACACATGACAATTCTAGTTTTGGAATATATTGAAGCTGGAGGAACCAACAAGGTACTCAAGTGAAGATTTCAAGTAGGCAGAAGTAGGTCAGAGCTTGAAGAGAAATCCTTGACCAAATTGTTTTCCACCAGGAAAACATTCAAGGAAATCATTTCTTTTTTATCACTCTATGGTGTTTAATTAAGACACATTTTATGGTTGTTGTCACTGTAGATGCCAAAATAAACTGGCAGCTCAGGATTAATGCTCTGTCCTTCCCTTATAGCTTCTCTCTTATCAGGTGGTCCAGGAATAGCTCCAGATGTGTTAGAACTGTCTTAGGCTTTAGGTTAGAGTCAGAATAAAATCTGGTCAAAGGCAACCTGCCTAAAATGAGATCTCTTTCTTTCTCTCTCTTTCTCTCTCTCTTTCCTTCCTTTCTTTCTTTTTCTTTCTTTCTTTCTTTCTTTTCTTTTCTTTTCTTTTCTTTTCTTTTCTTTTCTTTCTTTGACACAGGGTCTCCCTCTGTCTCCCAGGAGGGAGTGCAGTGGCGCATTCATGACTTACTGTAGCCTCAACCTCCCAGGCTCAACCCATCCTCCCACCTCAGCCTCCCTAGTAGCTGGAACTACAGGTCCTCACCACTGTGCCTGGCTAATTTTTTAATTTTATTTTTTTGTAGAGATGAGGTCTCACCAAGTTTCCCAGGCTGATCTTGAACTCCTGGGCTCAAATTATCATCCTGCCTCTGCCTCCCAAAGTGTTGGGATTGCAGGCATGGGCCACCATGACTAGCTCTAAGTGAGATTCCTAATGGAGGTCAGTCAAGAGAGCAAGGATGGATGAGCATACATATATCCCCAATCCTAGAAGGGAAAAAAAAGCTCAAAAAAGATAGTCTACTGACTCTGGATTAGCAGCATCATTTCATATCCAGATGACAGCATGTTGTTGCCGTGGTTGTGATAATCATTAGCAATTATTATTATTATGACAGAGGACATGCTGATGCTAAGCATCAGTCTTTGTCAATGCCAGCATAAATGAATGCATATATTAAAGTTCTTTCCACTTTTAGTTCATTCTCATTTTGAAGGCTAAACCTGAAATAATGTGAAGACATTTATTGCTGTCACCTCTAGCTGATTATGTCATTATGAGAGAAAGCTGTTTTAAAGAATGCACACAACACTGAAGGATTTGCAAAGTAAGTCTGCTGAATTAATGTGTCCCCCCAACAAAAAAGATTTAAAATATTATTTGATAATTTGTTAACCTGAATGCAATAATACAAAGAATTATTTCTCAAATGCTGATGAAATTGAAACAAGTGAAAATTCAAGAGTTACCAAGGTAGAACTCAGG
The DNA here is from genome assembly GCF_000001405.40 of Homo sapiens. Classification (NCBI taxonomy): domain Eukaryota; kingdom Metazoa; phylum Chordata; class Mammalia; order Primates; family Hominidae; genus Homo; species Homo sapiens. The sequence continues at coordinate 104,812,069 of NC_000007.14, forward strand.
GCTTTTCTTGGTGTCTGAGACACCATGAGCCTTTCTGTTTGTTGTCAATGCTGTCTTACTTGGAAAGTGATCAATAACACCTTCTCTGTGACCAGTCTTCATCACAGTCCACAAAGTCTCCATCTGAACTTCAATTCAGTAATTTGCTGGCGTGACCATTGCTGAAAGAGAGCCAGCAGCTGCTGAGAAAACGATGAGCTCAAAGAGAAAAGAGCAATGCCCAAATGGCCATTCCTAGTAGACTGGATGAATAAATTGTGGAATAGTCATGCAATGGAAATCTATACAGCAAGGGAAATGAAAGAACCACAACTATCTACAACAACATGGATGAACCTTACAATGTACAATGCTGAGTGAAAGAAGGGAAACATAAAAGAATCTCTACACCAGCCTAGGCAACATAATGAGACCCCCATGTCTACAAAAAAAAATTTTTTTTTTAATTAGACGTAGCCAGGTGGCTCATGCCTGTAATCCCAGCACTTTGGAAGGCATAACTGGGCAGATCGTTTGAGGTCAGGAGTTCAAGACCAGCCTGGCCAACATAGAGAGACCCCATCTCTACTAAAAAAAATTACAAAAATTAGCCAGGCGAGGTGTCAGGCACCTGTAATCCTAGCTACTCAGGAGACTGAGGCAGGAGAATCACTTGAACCCAGGAAGCAGAGGTCACAATGAGCGAAGATCGCACCACTGCACTCCAGCCTGGGTGACAGAGCAAGACTCCATCTCAAAAAAAAAAAAAAAAAAAAAAAAAAAAGGCCAGGCGCAGTGGCTCATGTCTGTAATCCCAGCACTTTGGGAGGCCGAGGTGGGCAGGTCACAAGGTAAGGAGTTCAAGACCAGCCTGGCCAACATGGTGAAACCCCTTCTCTACTAAAAATACAAAAAAATAGCTGGATGTGGTGGCTCACACCTGTAATCCCACCAAGTCAGGGGGGCTGAGGCAGGAGAATTGCTTGAACCCAGGAGGCGGAGGTTGCAGTGAGCCGAGATCATGCCACTGCACTCCAGGCTAGGCAACAGAGCAAGACTTCATCTCGGGGAGAAAAAAAAATTAGATGGGTGTGAGAGTGCACAACTGTGGTGCCAGCTACTGGGGAGGCTGAGGTGGGAGGATCACTTGAGCCCAGAAGGTCAAGGCTGCAGTGAGACATGATGGCACCACTGCACTCCGGCCTGGGAAACAGAGTGAGATCCTGTCCCAAAAAAGTAAAAATAAAGAATACGTACAGTATTACTCTAAGATCAAAAATTGAACTTAGCATATTGTTGGGTCATGTAAATAGCTGGTAACCTCAAAAAGAAAGCCAGGGAAGTGATGGTCATAAAAGTGTTATGGGATCTTTGGGGTACCATTTTTCTGGTCGGAAAACTCTGTGGCTAGTGGCACCTTTGCCTGAGTTTTGCTTGTGCCCACTGGGCTTGTTTCACCCACTTGGCCTGGCAGGCTGTGCTGGGTTCATGCTACTAGCCTGGGTCCCATGCCTGCTAAGGGTGAGTCAGGCATGGAATGGCGAGAGGTGTGTGAGTGAGTGTAGGGTCCAGCCACTGTGCACAGTCAGACATGCTGGCTGCTGCAGCAGGGAGGGCAACTCCAGGTTCCAGCACAGGTGCCAGCTTTCTATGAGGCTGTGGCCAGACCAGCAGATGTCAGATGATCAGCTGCAAAGAGGAGAAACCCACAAGCAGCTTCCACAGCTGGCATCAGAGAACACGGTGGTGCCTGAAAGCTTGGAGATGCCAGGAATTGCAGGGCCTCAAAGAAGGAGTCATAGCCCTGACTTGGGGAGCTCCCAGGTTTGGGTTCCCCAAAGGACCACAGCTCTTCTTTCCTTCTCTTCACCCGCAACATAGGAAGCAAGAGGCATGTCTCAGCCCTGTTTGTGTTACAGCTCTTTTAGCCTCACCATTCAGTGGGTCCCAAGTTCTTGTCCTGCAACCAGAAAGAATGAGGTATGCAGACAAGTGGAGGGTGAGCAAGATGAAGAGGAGCTTTACTGAGCAATAGAACAGCTCAGAGGATGCCTGCAGGGAGCAGCTCCTTTCCACAGCCATGGTGTCCTGATAAGTGTTCGGCTCCTAGCAGAGGGTAGCTCCTCTCTGCTAGGCAAGTCATCCCAACAAGTGTTCAGCTATCAGCAGAGAGGGTAGCTCCTCTCTGCAGCTGGTTGTCCCATCATCTGCACAGCTCTCAGCAGTGGAGGAAGCCCTAGAGTGGGTGGCTCCTCTCTGCACCTGGTCGACTCATCATCTCCCTATCATCTCTCCATCGTCTCTGCAGCTCTGAGCAGAGAGGAGGCCCTGGAGTGGGTTGCTCCTCTTTGCAGCTGATCATCTGACATCTGCTCAGCTCTGGCTGATCCCAGAGCTTTTAAGGGCCTCAAAGGGGAAGAAGTGCATGCTGATTGGTCCCACCCAGAAAAGGCACTACAAGTTTCTACTCAGGTCCACGGAACTGGCAGCCTGACTCCCAGCCTTCAGGTCCTCCCTGGCCTGAAGGTGGGGCCTCACTGGGGACCTGCCCCGTTCCACCCAGGAACCTGTCTGCCTCCCTCTGCCTTTCATGACATCCAGGCTATAGGTGCCAAGCGGCACCTATAGGTCAGCACCAAGCTTCCCTCATCTCACCCTCAGCTTTCCTCCTATGCTCGTCAGTGCCCAAATTCCAGAGGGGGCAGATGCAGCAGGGTGCTGGCGTGTCAGCACTGCCCCAAGTGTGTGCACGCTCGACTGGGCTGCGGCAGTGGCCGGGCTGGGTCCTGACTTTACTCTGAGATCAGAGCAGGTGCCGACAGCAGGGAGAAACCAGGCGGCGGGAGCAGGCACTTTCAAGCCTGCAAGGGCAGGGGTGCCTTCCCAGACCCCCAGTAGTGCAGGGATGCCTGGGTCCATAGCTGCAGTTTGGGGCAGCTGCAGCTGCGCCTGGGCTCCCACCTGCTCTATGGAGCAGGAGGCCCAGGTCTGCAGCCATGGTTTGGGTGGCTGCAGCTATGCCCAGGAAAGTGGGACTCCCGCCTGCCCCCCAACCCCGAGAGCACGAGGATGCATGGGTCCATAGCCATGGCTTCCACAGCTACAGAGCCACCCAGGGAGCTCCCACCCCAACTTAGAAGGGGTGGGGCTCCCACTTGTCCCAGCTCTTGCTGGCTCCATGGAGCGAACAGCCCCCACCCCGCCTCCCTGCTGCAGCCGGCATGATGGCAGGGGCAGCTCCAGACGGCCTGCTGCTGCCATCAAGTCAGTGAATAGTGATTACCCCCAGCAGGAGAAGGGCATATGGCTGGGGAGGGACATGTGGGGTTTCCAGGATACTGGCAATGTCCTATTTCTTGAGCTGGCTGGCGGTTACACAGTGCTCACTTTATAATTCTGTGTTAAACTGTGCCTTTGTATTTTGTGCACTCTTCTGAATGTGTGTCTTATTTCAAAAATCAAATTCTTAAAAAGATAAGAAGACCACTTGAGCAGTGATATGGGGGAACCTAAATCTGTACATTTTAAGTTTTTCATTACAATGATTTACCCAAAGGGACAAAGAATTCTTCCAGTTCCACCTTTTTCTCCTCCGTTCAGAGGTTCTAACTAAATGCCACTTCTCTCTCAGATAGCCCTTTCTTTTAAGTCAGCCCAGATCTCCCCTGTGCCTACCACCACCCCACCCCACACAGTAGAGTCTCATGCCCTGGATTCTCTTCTGGATCTGGTCATCTCATGGCAGGCTGCACACATGGCTTATTGGGAGACACAGGAAAGTTGTGAACTGCCTCGTGTGAGTACTAGGGCAAAGAAGCTCAAAGGTAGGAATTCTCAAGGTCCCTCCCCCTTTCCCCTTTGAAGAATGAGGGATTCATGCATGGAACTGCTTTGCTCATTCAGAATGACAGACCAAACCCCTCCTTCCTGTAGCTGACCACCACATTCCATATAGACCAGCACCCCTTGGCACAATGAGAATTAGCCTCATTGTGTGCTTTCTGTCACCTATTCTAGGACACTCTGCAGCAGCCTTGACCTTCATTATGAGTTCAAGATGAAGATCCCATCCCAAAAGAACAACTTGAAGAACTGCGCCCTGTGAAAAAAATGCTGTCGTTGTTGTTGTTTTACAGCAACAGCATTTGCCAGTAGATTCCAAGCTTTTTCCATAATTAGGCCCACTTGGGGCAAAAAGAATCAATCTAGGTAAAAATCATATCTAAAAATCTCATACCTATTACAGAAACCTAGTTTCCTTTTAGCTTAGCAGGATTCCATCCTGCTACCCAGGATTTGAGGCTCTGCACTAAGCTTCAGGGATGCAAGAACCACTATGCTGGCTCCTGAGATTGCTTCATAAAAGGATGCATTTACCAAAGATAATCAGATAGTTTATACAAAGCATAAGTGTGAGCTCTACCTTGAACCCATTCTATTTTCTTGGATTCTAAATCCTCACCTTTGGTCTTAATTTTAGTCCTCTATGGTAACCATGGTTTCAGAATCCTTCTTTCAATTACTATCAGCAGTTGCATAAAGGAGATGTTGGCTTTAGTCTCTTAAGCCCCATCTGAAATTTCTGCAGTGGTTTGGGAGCAACTCACTTTTAAAGTGAACTTCAGATCCTGCTTTCAAAGGCACACAGTGGCTGTCAGAGCTGAGCAGTTTCATTTTCAGGCCACTCAACGTGGCAAAGAGCTCAGGTCTAAACAGCCTTTGCCCAGGTGTGGAACCATCTCACCTTGCCTGACTTAACTCCTCCCTGCTGGCCTCCTAGCCTCGGGCTGCTTTAACTCCATTGTATTTGTCAAGAAAATGCATTTTCCAAGCCTGCCTCATGAACCTTGTGTCTTCTGGGTTTCCATAATCCTCTGGGTTAAGCACACACTTCTGACTGTGACCACCTTAACTTCTGAACTGCTAGCTCTTCCAGTCATTCTGGGGCTCCCCTGCAAACCTTCTTTGCTTCTCCCCCTCTTTCCACCCAGGCAAATTCTTCAAGGCCCATCCCACACACCCTGGCCTTCCTAGCCCACAAGGATCTCTCCCTGCCTCTGCCTATCTACACACTTTATTGGAGTATTCCTTGGTATTGCTATTTATCTTTGCTCAGCGCGGGCTACGTTGCCAGTCTTCGTTATAATTTCCCTGAGGGCAAACCCTGTCCAGTATCCTGTGTGCCCATATTGTGCCTATCCAGTGCTGGGCAGTCAATATTTATGTGTTGAGCAAAGGCTCAACCTCAGATTTTTTTCAACCTCACCCCATTTCATTCAGCCCACAAGGGCCTCCTCCCTTTTTCTCCTCATCTAATTCAGCTTCTCAAACTGCTGCCTTGACCCAGCCCAGAAAACAGCAGGGTTTTCTTGTTCATTGGGAAGTTTTCTCATGTAAACACCACATCTTTAAACAACCTTCCCCTTCAATACAGTCTCTGGCATTCATCCTTTTGCAAGTCTCCTAAACGCTTATTTGATTGTGTTTAGGTCCATAGCATACTCTTTACTTTGTTCATCTCTCTCACACTGGTAGATAGCTGAGGACAAAAACAACATCTATGCTTCATCATAGAGCCCTGAGGCCCTCACATCCCTGGGAACTCAGGGGCCTTTCCTGATTTGACGATTGACAATTCTAGGTACAGGACCACAGAAGCCTCCTCCCTCAGACAGTACTACTTCACTGATTCTAATCCCATACAAACCCCCATGGCCACACCATGATACCCTCCTTCTCCACACAGTCCCTCCCTCATACCACATCATCAACTGTCTTTTGAAATCCTCCCATTGCTGACTGATCATAAAGTCTTTAGGCAAACACTATTCCGATACCTAGCACCAGGACTTCTGTTGGCTATTTAATTGTAGGTTAATTAAAATTAAGTACCATTCATTTCCAATGTAGTTGCACTAGCTACATTTCAAGTGCTCCATAGGTACACGTGACTAGTGTCTACCGTATTGGACAGCACAGATACAGAACATTTCCGTCACACAAAGGGCTCTTGGGCAGTGCTGACTTAGAGCAAGCAAGAGAAGTAAGAGGAATCGGAAGGATTTATTGAGCCAGCAAGGATCATCTAGTTTATTTCAAAGCTCTTAGGAATGAGTGTACTTAAATGCTTCAGAGAAATATGGTGGTTCATTTTCCTGTTCTATTTTATTTTCTATCAGTTTCAAGAAGTGTCTCTTTACCACCCTCTAGGTAACCTATTGAAATTGTCACAATCAACATGGGCAGGAAGTTGTCTCTAAAGTCTAATCTTGTTTGTGGAATTCTTTGCCCACCTAAGGCAACTGACTTTAAGGCAACTGGCTTGGGCACTTCTCTCATTAAAAAAAAAAAAAAAAACAGGCACGTACCTGTAGTCCCAACTACTCGGGAGGCTGAGACAGGAAAATCGCTTGAACCTGGGAGGCGGAGGTTGCAGTGAGCAGAGATCGTGCCAAATATCTATCTTCTTGGTGTTTTAATTTCCATTATTACAGTTTCAGTTTTATGCTTCACCCCATTAAGATTCTTTTGAAATTGACCCTGGGGTAAACATATCATTATGGACTCAAGTTTATAAGTAAAATAACCAATAACCTAAATTTCAGATGTTCAAAAGTACTGAGAGAGGGGAAACTCGGGCAAAGCCAGAAAAACAGAGTTGTTTCCACGTTTCACTAATGTGTTGGGTTTGAGATTTTGTTGGCTTGTTTGTTTTAATAAGCCCTTTCTCCTTTCTCTCTCTCTCTCTCTCTCTCACTCACTCAAATGCTAAAATTAAAAAAAAAGGAGCCCCAATACACCTTTGAGATTTAATCTTTAACTATTTGCTTGTTTTGGGGTTTCCTCCTCTTTTTTAATCTCTGGTAGTGCCATCATAGTCTATGAGATTCTTTTCTCTCCTCGTCTGTCTGTTACACAGAAGAAACTGTCTATAAAACAAATAGCTATATAGAACTTTATGAGAATATAAATCATGGCCCCCTATTGTGGCATTCATAATGTTTATTTTGCATGCCTTCAAGAGTTAGGCAAAGCCCAAATCAGTCTCAGCTTGATTTAATATAAGCTTAATTTGATCCCTGTAAATGCAACTGAAAATCTTCCATCTTGATCCTGCTTTAAAAAAAATATATTAAATCACATGAACAATAGGAATGTGCTTGCATTTCTAATAATAATTCTAAAACAGATGTTCCCTATTTACAATCATCGCAATTAACATGTCACTACTAGGAATTCACCAGGGTTCACCAGTTCAGTTCTATGCAAACATCTGCTGTTCTTCACCCATCTCCAAAAGAATACATTCCTCTTGCCCATTTAGATCTGGAAAAAAAAAAAAAAAAAACCTGCTGTCTCAATTACTTACCTTCATCCTTGCACGAGAGCCTCCTATGTGATTACACACAAAAATTCTGACCCTTGTTTCTGAATTATTTCTCAATATCCCAGCAGAAAAGTTTTTGCAGTAGGGAGCCTGTGCCTTTCCCCTTCTTCTCTCATTTAAAAAACAAAAACAAAAACAAAAAAACAGCAGTTGCATCACTCTTGTAATATAAAGTATATGTGCTTCAGCACTAGTACCCCAAGTCACAGCAGCCACATTAATCACTTTAAATGCGATTCACAGGGAAGTCCTTTGCTTGAAAGTAATCACGACCTTTTGGGATTCCAGTCGCTTTATATTGGAGCTTGCTGATATGTGCGTACTTTAACAGGGATTCCACACCACATTTACAGATGCACCACCACAGCTTGCATTTTTGAAGGCACATGGACAATTTATCAAGGCTTCAAATTTTACAGAGACACACATGGCTGTGTAAAGAAACTTCAGCTGCCACAATGATCTTCACTGTCACCTGGCCCCAACAGAAGGGCAAATACGATCAAAGCAATATACAAAACGAGCCGATTGTGATCTCTTTTTTAAGGAAGAGAAAACTCTGTCTCTGTTCTATTTCCTTGTGTGTTTCACAGTTTGGGCTCCATGATTATATTATTGCAGAAATCTCTCCAGGAAAATTGAACTCATCAGGACATTTGCACCTTCTCATTCATACACATCTGGACATGTTATATCTGAAAATTGGAAAATCCACGTGCATTCACAGACCATGCAAAAAAAAGAAAGTGGGAAATGCCAAGCCCATTTATCATTCTCAGTGACAAAATTGTACAGGCAGCCTCTTCTGCAAGAAAAGCAAATGAATGAAAGGGTGAGCAGAGTGCTAATAAAGTACCATGGCTCCAGATTAAAGTGTCAGTGCTTCTGCTCAGCCTCTGAGCAGCTGAAATGCTTCTCTGGGTTCTGATTAGGAAAAGGAAGATATTCAAAGAGATGTGAGCTGCATGCCTGGGATACATTTTCATAAGCCAACCATGCCTTGTCAAACCAGAGGCAGAGATTATGTTGGCAAGGGTTGCAGGCCAGGCTGAAGCCCTTGGCAAAATCAGGAGGCAGATGAATTGGTGTTTCCAGGGCTCTTTGCTGAAGCTCCCAAGCAGCCCACCTCATGCCCAACTTTCTACAGTTTATGAGCAAGGCAGAGGCCCACCATGTACATAACCTGCAACACCAGCATCCTCTCAGTATCACAAAGAACTCATTTCTCCCTCCAATCAAGCAGCTCCCCTCACTCTCAGTCTGACCTTCACTGCCTCAGGGAGCACATAGGTTGGGAAGACACCTTAACCACCCCCCCAGACCAAAGAAGCAGAGGCCTCTAGACTAAGGTCCTGGCTATATCCTCTGCAGAGGAGGAGAGAAACGCCTTCCATTCCTTTGGAATAAGCCCACTACCAACAAACGCCAACACAGTTAACGCCTCATCCAGTTTGTCCTGACATCAATTTCAAGCTTTTCTAGGATTGGGTCCCAGACAGGAGCCTAGAGAGACACCCTCAGTGTTTCCTGCTTAAGCTTGGACTGCGTTTCCCCTCCCCCTAGGAACTTTAACTGCCTTCCAAGAGGCCTGCCTCCCAAAGTCACGCCTGTACTGCTAATTTACAACATGAAACCTTCAAAGCATCACGGCAATTAGATTAATCTTTATTGCATGCTTTCTGCTTTTAAAAAAAATGTCGTTATGTAGTGTTCAATTTTTTAATAAATGTGACAGGAAATGAGTCCCAAAGAAAATCTATTTCATGGGTTTTCACAAGTGTCTATGAGTGGCGAGGACATGGGTGGGCTGCCTCTGCATCCTCCTGCTCTCAGGCTGTGTGGGTCACTCCAAGCAAAGGGTTCCCTGCTGACAGCATCCTCCTCGTGGGTGGCAGGGGCTGTGTCTGCCTCTGCTGAGGAGAGGCAAGGAAGTGAAGAGTTCCGATTCAGAAGCACTTGCAGCTGTGGGCAAGAGCCGGTTTCATGCAGATTCACTGTCAAGTGAAGGCTGAGGTAGGAAGTATTCTCTTGATTCTGAAATGAAATCCTGCATTATCCCTCAAGTACATTTACCTATCCCTACTGCTTCTCAGAGAGAGCCAAATCTTTGAGTTCCCAGGAGGCAGAACTGTGTGGGTTCAGAGGTTCTAGAAGACAAAGATCGGACCCTTTTAAAGGCATTACGTGCAACATGAAAGAGCTAGGACACCAAATTTGGAAAATTCAGCATAATCTACAGTGTGACCATCTCACTATGCTGCTTTATAACCTTGTTTTGCCATCTTTAAAGGCCTAAAGTAGCACAGTCAAAGTTTCTAGACTTGGAAAAACAGGAGTTCACAGAGAAATGAGTAAAATAACCAATTCTCCCACCTCCAAGTGAAACCTCACTTAGTTACAATAAACTGCACAAATGCACTTTGCAAACATAGATTAAGTAGTGTAATCAAAGGTCAGTGAATTTGCCACAAGTGTTAGAGAGCTCCCCCAGTTTGTAACATGGAGATAATAACAGGCCGCATATAGTAAGAAAATGTCAAGAGTGAAGGGGCTAAATATTTACTAAAGCATGAGGAGCTTGGAATTTGGTGACAATATTACCAGGAAGCGGAAAGGAGGGGCAGAGGGGAGGGCCTTGCAATGATTTACATCCAAAAGATGCAAGGTGGGCTTTATCTGTTTAAGGGAGTTTCCCATGAGACTAAGTGTTTGAAACCGGTTTCAATAGCCCAAGGTTCATACTGTGTTCCAGAAGTGACTTTCGTTGGAAGGGTCTTTCTCAAAGGTGGAAAACATTGAGTTGTTGACAACTCTAGTGAGTCATGGTATTTTGTAATACAAATATCTAGAAGTGTTCAGTCTTGGTCCAAGTAGATATTTAATGAGGAAATACTAACTTCTTTTTATAACACATTTATCAGGTAAAAAAGCAGTCCCTGAAATTTCATCCTAGTCTAAATCTGATAGTTTTCCTTCTGCTGCAGGGTTACTCAACCTCACCACTATTGACATTATGGACCAGCTAATTCTGTGGGGGATGGAGATCTGTCCTGTGCATTGTAGGATGTTTGCCAACAGTCCTGGCCTCCCCCTACTAGAAGCCAGTAGCACCACTCAGTTGAAACAACCCAAAATATCTTCAGTCATTGCCACATGAGAGTGAAAATTTCTCCCAGTTGAGAAGCTCTGTGGTCCAGAGGAAGGAATAGTTTTTCTTATTCACACAAAGGCACCCTGTGGGCTGGCAGTGGCCTGTCAGCAAAGATCAAGTAAGCCGCATCATCTTGGAAGAATCTGACACGGAGCTATGGTTCAAAATAGCTATTATCTTCAGCAAGGGGCAAACACAGGGAGAAAGGACATGGATTGGAGGATAAAAGTAAGGGTAGAATTTAAAGACAGTGTTAAAAAAAAGGGGGCAGTGGGCTGGTACCAAAAGATTGCTCTGTTTTCACTGTTCACCCTACCAAGAAGTGCGAGTTTAGTGTCTACTATGTGACTGGCTCTGAGTTACACCCTGTGAGGAACACAAAACCAAAGTACCTTGGGGTCCCAGGCCTCCAGAGCCGTACGCTCTGCATGAAGAGGTGAGCACAGACATCCCCAACAGTATGATTACAATCCACAGCAATATGTGATGCATAAAAACAGTGAGCCATGATCGTGTATGCTATGGAACACAGGGAAGGCCCGAGAATGAAACATGTGGAGAATGTTATCAATAGCTCCCCAGATTAATAAATAATTTCAGATAAAGAAGAAATGGGCCCACTCCAAAAATCTTCCATTGCCAAATTCTTGATGTTGCAGGTATCTTTCATCTGCATGAAGAGTTTGGAAGGCCCAGGTTCTAGGCCCAGTCCTGCTGTAAACAGCTATGTGACCCATGACAGCCACTTAACTACTCCAGGCCTCAGTTTTTTCATCTCTAAAATGAGAGGGCTGGACCAGGTGATCTCTTAAGGCCCTTCCAGCTACAGCATTGTATGGTCTGAGCCCTTCTGGTTAATTGCCTCTGGATGATTACATTTATTGTGTTTATTAAGCAGTTTGGGGTTTCTCCATTCAGAGCTTAATTTCCTTTTCTATGACGTATTTCCTCTCAGAATTTTTATATGAAAATTGTATTTCACAGTTTTCCGTGCTTTAGCTTGAAATAGATATTATGCCATAAAGATCACTATAGATTTATAAAGCAAAACTCAGAAACATTAAAGAGCCTATAAGTGCTTTGAGATTAATTTGATCTTCAATTGGTCTGTGAATGAATGAGCTTGACGGAGCCTTTCAATTTCTCGCTCCGCTTCAAAGAGTACACAAAGTACAAACTGTAAATCAACCTCCACATTTGCTGATATGGCCACTAAGCTGGAAAAAAAGAGAAAGAGATATGGCTAATAAACTATTCAAAAAAGATTTAGGAGCCTGGGGCCAGGCATGGTGGTTCCCACCTCTAATCCCAGCACTTTGGGAGGCCAAAACGGGTGGATCACTTGAGGTCCGGAGTTCGAGACCAACCTGGCCAGCATGGTGAAACCACATCTCTACTAAAAATACAAAAAATAGCCGGGCATGGTGGTGCATGCCTATAATCCCAGCTACTCGGGAGGCTGAGGCAGGGGAATCACTTGAACCCGGGAGGCAGAGGTTGCAGTGAGCCAACATTGTGCCACTGCACTCCAGCCTGTGTGACAGAGTAAGACTTCTCTGTTTCAAAAAAAATATATATATATTATATATTATATATATAATATATATTATATATTATATACAATATATTATATATTATATACATTATATATTATATACATTATATATAATTATATATATTATATATTATATACAATATATATAATATATTATATATTATATATAATTATATATATTATTTTATATATAATATATATAATTATAGATAATATATAATTATATATATTTTATATATAATATATATAATTATAGATAATATATAATATATATTTTATATATAATATATATAATTATAGATAATATATAATTATATAATTTTATATATAATATATAATTATATATAATCTATAATTATATATATTATTTTATATATATTATTTTATATATAATATATATAATTATATATAATATATAATTATATATATTATTTTATATATAATATATATAATTATATATTATATATAATTATATATATTATTTTATATATATTATTTTATATATTATATATAATTATATATTTATATATTTGGCATTATATATAATATATATTATATATATTATATATATAATTATATATATATTTTTTGAAACAGAAGTCTTACTCATATATTATATATAATATATTATATATTATATATTTCAAACTTCTCTGTTTCAAAAAATATATATAATGATATATTATATAATTATATATTATATATTATCTAATAATTATATATATTATCTAATAATTATATATATTATATAATAATTGTATATAATATAATAATTTTATAATATATATACTATATATATAATGTGTTTAGGAGCTTTGGAAGCCCAGGGCCCCAGCTTATGACTTACCTTCTTTGAATTATGCATGCTTGTATGATCCAGGTGGAATCTAGATTATCCATTTCCAACAGACATATATGAATGAGTAAGTGACAGGGGAGTGGGGGAGAGAGTTAAGATAGGAGGACCATATAAGATCTAACAGCTGCAGTGTTAAAAATAATAATAATAAATAAAGATAGGAGGACCATAGAAGGAACTGGGACTGAGGTCAGAAGGATCCAAACAAATGATCAATTCACTTCTCCACTCAAGATGGCATGAGTCAAACATAGCAACAGTGAGCCTGATGGACTGAGGCACATTTGGACAGCAAAAGCAGTCCATATGATGGGTTGGTACAGAATGTGCCATCACACATCAGCTGCTCTGTGAAAAGAGAAGCAACATGGAAAGATCATGGACTTGGGATCAGATTGACCCAGGATCAAATCTTAGCTCTGTTACCTTCTAGGTCTGTGATTTGGGGCAAGTTATTTAACCCATTAGAGCCTCCATTTCCTGATCTATAAAATTGGTGTAATAAAACCTGTCATTCAGAACTGCTGTGAGGACTAAATGAAAGAATGTGCATGTTCCAGGATTAAGTCAGCTGCACATAACAAAAAAAAATTCAAATAATAGTGTCTTAAATAAAGTAGAGTTGATTTTCCTTCAAATAGTATGAAATCTAATGGTAGCAGTTCAGCACTAGAAAGGGGACTTCATTGCATCAAGGATGTCCCAGTTTCCAGCTTTATTTTTGCATGTGGCTTCCATCCTCAAGATAACCTTGTAATCATAAGATAGTTGCAGCAGCTCCAACACATTTGCATTTTAGACAAAAAGAAGGAAGAAGAGGGAAGGAGAAAAAGCAGCCTGCCCCCTCATCCCGAGTTGAGTTAGCTCTCTTTAAAGAGTTTTTTTAGATGCCCCACCCGACCACTTTTGTTTCTAATTCATTGCCCATACCTATCTTCAAGGAAGGCTGGAAAAGTTAGGACTTTAGCTGGACACATTGCCGCCCCCAACAATATGGGGGATAAAGGCAAAGGGGAGGATGGATATTGGGTAATTAATTAGCAGTCTCTCCCATGGTATGTAAAGCACCTAGCAAATAGAAGGTACTACATGAATAATAACTGTTATTATTTAATTCATTCTTAAAGCTATTTGAGGGAGGCTTTATCACCAAGGCTGCTGACCAGCCCGGCAGCCAGTGTTCCCTGGTCTGTCCTGGAAACCTTTCATATCACCACAGCTCTCACCATGGCTTAGGTCCAAACTGTGCCACAGCCTCTCAAGAGATGTGGGTCTTTGGAGCCTCTTTAGTGCTGGACTTCTAGCCACAGGCAGCTCTGTGACATCAGGATAACAGAAACTGAAGCTACAGAGTGGAGAGATAACAAAAGAAGAGAAGCAGCCCTGCATCAGCGCAGTCCATCCCACGCAGCATCCCTCATCCTTCCCCTAGGCAGAGGCCCAGAGGCTGTTTCACCTCTGATTCTTCCACAGCCTTACCTGGCCCAAATCCTAGCACCATGGATTCTGAAAGTAACGATAAGAACAGAAATTCATCAGATAAATGGAGCCCCTTTGAATCAAGATCCCTCCAGGAGTATGATTCAGGAAGTTTTGCCACCCAGGCCTACTGAGGAGCCCAAAGCCCTCTCCAATGGAATGGATCTGTGTCCAAGCCACTCAAATGGCTGAAGACCCATCATGACCCTGAAGCTGCCCAAGATGGACAGCCCAGTTATGGAAGGGAGGAAACAGCTGCCATGGACCCATAATCTCAAACCCTGTGGTTTGAATATGCTCACTCTCACTGGCTTCTAGAGCTCTCTCTACTTTGGTGACTCTGGAAAGAGGGTTTCTTGCACCCCACTCCTTTTTTACCTTGGCTCTGACATAAAAAAAAAAGAAGGTATTTTTTAAAACATGTTAAACTGAGGCTAGAGCTGGAGACATAATTGTTTTTTCAGAAATATTCATGCAAAGGATACCCTTGTGTGGAAGAAGCCCTTTTGTACTACCTTAAAGTTAGGCTAAATAATCTCCACAGTGATGTATGGGGGACCCCATCACCTATTTTTGCACCATTTACCCTAGACTAGAACTTTGATTATCGTTTACTAGGTAAAGCATGTTTGTGTTGCTCCAAAACCCAGGCTTCTTGATTCTTTTACCACTATCAATGTGAGCACTGACAAATCATGGCATAGAATGGATCACTGTCCTGCAGCCAGTTCTCCATGTGGTACCTCTTCGGTCAGAGCTTTGGAAGGCAAGCTCCTGTTTTATATGTCACAAAATAAACCCTGGTCTTGCAAAGCCTTTCTAGCACTTTAAAGTGAGATTAATTTAACTGCAATTTGGTTAAAAGCTTCCTAAGGGAGAAAATTCAGTCTACTGATTTGGTATAGATAAATGGATGTTTTTTAAAGTAAAGAAGATGGTAGGTACAATTAGATTATAGTCTTGGGGTTCATGTGAAACTAGTGTCACCTTATTTTGATTTCCTAGTTCAGGTAATGGCCTGAAACTTACACATACCTTGCACAGAAAAGGAAATAGAGAAACTGCCTTTTTATTTCTCTTCACTGTGCACATGTTCAGTATTTAAACACTGTCTCAAATATCTGTTTTGTTTTGTTTTTTTTTTTGATTGATAGTATCTTGTCTGCATAAGAAGCTGACCTTTCCATAGAGAGGCCCTGGAGTCTAAAATTATCAGAACAATTAATTTATTTGTGTCTTTTGTTATGAATTCTTGTTTTAGTAAAAAAAATCCTTATTACATTCTCAAAAAAACAAAAAAGTTATTTTGGAGATGCTTGGTTCATCTCACCACGTGAACTCCTTCAAAAGACCTGTGCCATCTCTGGATCACAGTCCAGAGGTCTCCACTGCTCTCTGGGGACCTCACAAAGGAGGCTAGACCCTCTTCCAGACCATAGCCCTTTGCAGATTTGAAAGCAGCTGTCCTGTGCTCCTCAGGTTCAGCACCAGACTGACTGCCCCCAGTTCATACAGTATTGTCACAAGTCCTGAACATTCTTCTGTGGACTAGACCCCTCTTCGGCTCTGGCTGTCATAATGATAACAATGAGCCAGATATGGGCAAACCAAGAGGAAACAGAGAACCCTGTCTCTTCCCTAGTTTGGGACCCTCTCCAGCTCACTCCCGCCATGCCTGACTCATAAATTGGCCATGGAGGACTCTTTCAGCAAAGGCCCACCCAGCCTCAGCCTCTATATGTGAGATGGTTTGAAAGACATAGTCAACTTTCCTGGGCCTTGCTGCCCTTAGAACATAGAGGCAGGGCTCCTGAGTCTCTGTCCCCACCAACCTCAAATTCCCCAGGCCAGCAGGAGGATACTACCTGCCCACTGAATTCACAAGAAAAAAGGTCCAGGGAAAAGCCTCACAGGATGGAAAGGAGAGAACTCCTGCCCCAGCAGGTAGTGAACTCAGTAACTCAAATCCAGCCCCTTCCTCTGGTCTCTTGTCTGAAACCAAGAGACCCAGATGCCCAAATATCATTCTAGCCAAGGAAAGTCTGCTGGGGATACAGGACTTGTACCCAGGAGATACTGGCCTGACAGCCCTTCTTCATTGGGGTGGAGGAGGAAGGCAGCAAAGCCCTCTTAGGAAAGCACCGCCAGGCCTCTTATTCTTCAACCTCAGGAGTGGGGTGAAAACTCCTCCCATGCCAGAGTAGCTGAATAGGTCAGCCAGACAAATGGCGTAAGTGGGAAGGTAAGAGGGAAATAAAGAGTCCCCAAAACAATGGCTGGATGCAGTGGCTCACGCCTGTAACCCCAGCACTTTGGGAGGCCAAGGCAGGTGGATCACTTGAGGTCAGGAGTTCGAGACCAGCCTGGCCAACATGGTGAAACCCTGTCTCCACTAAAAATACAAAAATTAGCTGGGCATGATGGTGCACGCCTGTAATCCCAGCTTCTCGGGAGGCTGGGGTGGGAGAATCACTTGGGCCCAGGAGGCAAAGGCTGCAGTGAGCCAAGATCGTACCGCTGCCTGCGTGGGCAACAGAGTGAGACTCCATCTCAAAAAAAAAAGAGTCCCCAAAACATACTGACTCCCAAAGCTCATACTTATGAGGCTCAGATTGTGGTTTGGCCTAATCCTGGCCTCATGACTTCAACCCAGCCCTCACTCCCAGGGGAAACAGCACACCCCCATTAAGAGCCTCCCATGAGGAGCCACTCTCCCTGACCAAGGGTCCTCCGGCTGGCTTGGCCTCCATCAGAGGGAAGCAGAAATGGGGGCATATAAAGGAAGAGAGTAGAAAAAAAGTAAAAGGACCCACTCTTGCAGTGGAGAGTGATAGATGTCATAGCTGCTTTTTTTTTTAATTATTATTATACTTTAAGTTTTAGGGTACATGTGCACAATGTGCAAATTACTTACATATGTATACATGTGCCATGTTGGTGTGCTGCACCCATTAACTTGTCATTTAGCATTAGGTATATCTCCTAATGCTATCCCTCCCCCATCCCCCTACCCCACAACAGTCCCCGGAGTGTGATGTTCCCCTTCCTGTGTCCAGGTGTTCTCATTGTTCAGTTCCCACCTATGAGTGAGAACATGTGGTGTTTGGTTTTTTGTCCTTGCAATAGTTTGCTGAGAATGATGGTTTCCAGTTTCATCCATGTCCCTACAAAGGACATGAACTCATCATTTTTTATGGCTGCATAGTATTCCATGGTGTATATGTGCCACATTTTCTTAATCCAGTCTATCATGGTTGGACATTTGGGTTGGTTCCAAGTCTTTGCTATTGTGAATAGTGCCACGATAAACATACGTGTGCGTGTGTCTTCATAGCAGCATGATTTATAATCCTTTGGGTATATACCCAGTAATGGGATGGCTGGGTCAAATGGTATTTCTAGTTCTAGATCCCTGAGGAATCACCACACTGACTTCCACAATGGTTGAACTAGCTTACAGTCCCACCAACAGTGTAAAAGTATTCCTATTTCTCCACATCCTCTCCAGCACCTGTTGTTTCCTGACTTTTTAATGATCGCCATTCTAACTGGTGTGAGATGGTGTCTCATTGTGGTTTTGATTTGCATTTCTCTGATGGCCAGTGATGATGAGCATTTTTTCATGTGTCTTTTGGCTGCATAAATGTCTTCTTTTGAGAAGTGTCTCTTCATATCCTTTGCCCACTTTTTGATGGGGTTGTTTGTTTTTTTCTTGTAAATTTGTTTGAGTTCATTGTAGATTCTGGATATTAGCCCTTTGTCAGATGGGTAGGTTGCGAAAATTTTCTCCCATTTTGTAGGTTGCCTATTCACTCTGATGGTAGTTTCTTTTGCTGTGCAGAAGCTCTTTAGTTTAATTAGATCCCATTTGTCAATTTTGGCTTTTGTTGCCATTGCTTTTGGTGTTTTAGACATGAAGTCCTTGCCCATGCCTATGTCCTGAATGGTATTGCCTAGGTTTGCTTCTAGGGTTTTTAATGGTTTTAGGTCTAACATGTAAGTCTTTAATCCATCTTGAATTAATTTTTGTATAAGGTGTAAGGAAGGGATCCAGTTTCAGCTTTCTACATATGGCTAGCCAGTTTTCCCAGCACCATTTATTAAATAGGGAATCCTCTCCCCATTGCTTGTTTTTCTCAGGTTTGTCAAAGATCAGATGGTTGTAGACAAGTGGCATTATTTCTGAGGGCTCTGTTCTGTTCCATTAATCTATATCTCTGTTTTGGTACCAGTACCATGCTGTTTTGGTTACTGTAGCCTTGTAGTATAGTTTGAAGTCAGGCAGCGTGATGCCTCCAGCTTTGTTCTTTTGGCTTAGGATTGACTTGGCGATGCAGGCTGTTTTTTGCCTTTTAAAAGGGATTGCTGGGCTTCTCATGGAATATATAGAAGAAGAAATGGTGGCTTCCCTTTGGATAGGATGGGTATTCATCCTCTTTTGCCTGGGACAGTCCTGGTCGGTTTACACCTGCTGGCTTGACATAATTGTTAATAACACCCCCTTTCACTCGCAAAAGGTACCTGATTGGACCAAAACAATGACATGGTGACTCTTCCTTGGAAAAGGACTAGAAAGAATAAAAAATTATTCTTTTGAAAATGTTTTTCCTATAACTCATAATACATGTATAGCTAGAAATTGACCATTTCACTGTGTGACCACATTCACCTTTACAAATTAAAAATTATATTCTTATCCAAACTGTCTTAATCAAAATAGTATATCGTCAAGCTGCACTTTTATTCTTAATAAAATGTTATATATGCATAATATGATACTGAAATTAACCAGAGAGAGTTTTGATTAAAATGAGTTCTTGCAGTTCTTTGTTCCCCTAATTGCTGGAAAATTCAATTCGGTCATAAGCTTAAAACTTTCCTGTACTTGTTTTCCTTAAGAAAAACTGAGTTTGTTTCTTTTGAACGAAAAGTTAAAAAGTTTAAAAGACCAAGCAACGAACAACATTTACAGCCTGGAACTATATATGTCAATTTATGTGAAACCACATCTATTTCAGGAGAGAAAACAGAGTTGCTCATTTCCATGGTGGGCCTGCAGCCCCCTCTCCTCCAGAATGCCCTCACCCACCCCTTCTTTACCCAAACCTACCCTTATTACACCAAACCACCAGACACCCCAGTAAGATTTACAGATTCTCTGAGAGCTTCCCTGCAGCATAATTTTCTCATTTGAAAAATAAAAATGCAGTGGGGATTTTTCTCCTTCACACACACAAAAAAAAGATGCTTTAAAAAATGTTTCAAAATACCATATAACACATGTGTAATTGTAGATAGTGTTGTTTTTGGAGCTAGACCTGTATTTGAATCCCCACCAAACCTGCACTACTGCTTATTATTTGAGTGACTTTGGTTAGTGACTGAAACCTTTTGTTTTATCGGTAAATGGAGGGTTAATAATACCTGCCTGCCCCAATGTCTTAACAATGGAATAAGATGGCATAAGGAAATGCCTGGCATTCAGTAGCCACTTTCCCTGATTAGTCCTACAATCATTTGGTGACTAATGATGTGGGCACTATGTAAAATTTGCAACCTCCTTTCTTCTTCTATTTTCCTGTCCCAAGCTGGAAGAGTGAGAAAACTTTAAAATGAATTGAAACTCACAGAAGTCAGCATTAGCCTTTGTTCTTTTTCAGTTTCATTAAAAGGGCTTGATGCAGAAGACAGACTGGAATATTTGGGGTTTTAGATGCACCGGATAATTGTCATTGTCCCTTTATGGTGGAAAAATCTAAAGTTGGTTGGGTTGTCTATCAATCATTCTATCAGACAATATTAATATCCCTAGCATTACATCCTCTATTAAACATAAAGAAAACACCTAACTATGAAGGACCTGGTTTTGCTCCCAGATACACATTCAGTGGCTCTTATTTATACGGTTTGAGTGTATACAACAGAGGAGAGAGATTTTTTTCATAACCAGTTTTCATTTTGTCCAAATGTGTCATCGCATAATACTCCTGTAAAGCATATTTAACTTAGCAAATTGAGTCCTAAAGCATTTCTTTCATTCTGTTTTTTCTCATCGAGATTACTCCTTCATCCACTTCAAATAGCTCTTTCCCTGCCAGAGCTTACCACCTTGTCTTAGGATCTCTCTGACATTTCTTTTTTCCTTCTTTTTTTTTTTTTTTGATATTTCTACTTGATGTAAAGGTCAAACCAGATGGTTAGAATAACCCAGTCCTCGGATGGGCACGGTGGCTCACTCCTGTAATCCCAGCACTTTGGGAGGCTGAGGCAGGTGGATCACTTGAGGTCAGGAGTTCGAGACCAGCCTGGCCAACATGACGAAACCCTGTCTCTACTAAAAATACAAAAATTAGCTAGGCGTGGTGGCATGTGCCTATAGTCTCAGCTCCTCAGGGGGCTGAGGCAGGAGAATTGCTTGAACCTGGGAGGCAGAGGTTGGTGTATTAGTCAGGGTTCTCTAGAGGGACAGAACTAATAGGATGTATATATATATATATATCCTGGGTTATAGGACATATATATTATATATATATATTATATATAATAGATATATTATATATATATATTATATATATATTATATATAATATATATATTATATATATCTAATATATATAATAGGATATATATATATCCTGAGGAGGATATATATATATACACTCCTCAAGCTTGCAGACAGCCTATTGTGGGAACTTGTGATCATGTAAGTTAATAGTTACTTGTATTAACTAGAGGGACATACTTACTTGTATTACTTACTTGTATTACTAGAGGGACAGAACTAATAGGATATATATATAATAGGATATATATATATTATATATATAATAGGATATATATATATTATATATATAATAGGATATATATATATTATATATATAATAGGATATATATATATTATATATATAATAGGATATATATATTATATATATATATATAATATATATATATATATATGCTCCTCAAGCTTGCAGACAGCCTATTGTGGGAACTTGTGATCATGTAAGTTAATACTTAATAAACTCCCATATTGGGAACTTGTGATCATGTAAGTTAATACTTAATAAACTCCCACGCGGGAGTTTATTAAGTATTAACTTACATGATCACAAGTTCCCAATATGGGAGTTTATTAAGTATTAACTTACATGATCACAAGTTCCCACAATAGGCTGTCTGCAAGCTTGAGGAGCATATATATATATATATATTATATATATATATATAATATATATATCCTATTATATATATAATATATATATATCCTATTATATATATAATATATATATATCCTATTATATATATAATATATATATATCCTATTATATATATAATATATATATATCCTATTATATATATATCCTATTAGTTCTGTCCCTCTAGTAATACAAGTAAGTAATACAAGTAAGTATGTCCCTATATGGGAGTTTATTAAGTATTAACTTACATGATCACAAGTTCCCACAATAGGCTGTCTGCAAGCTTGAGGAGTAAGGAGACCCAGTCTGAGTCTCAAAACTGAAGAATTTAGAGTCCGATGTTTGAGGGCAGGAAGCATCTAGCACAGGAGAAAATTGTAGGCTGGAAGACTAGGCCAGTCTCACCTTTTCACGTTTTTCTGCCTGTTTATATTCGATGGCAACTGATTAGATTGTGCCCTCCAGATTAAGGGTGGGTCTGCCTTCCCCAGCCCACTGACTCAAATGTTTGTCTCCTTTGGCAATACCCTCACAGACACACCCAGGATCAATACTTTGCATCTTTCAATCCAATCAAGTTGACAGTATTAACCATCACAGTTGGAGTGAGCCAAGATCCTGCCACTGCACTCCAGACTCCATCTCAAAAAAATAAAAAGAAAAAAAAAAGGAATAACTGAGTCCTCAAGAGGACTTTCTTGGCTTTCAGCCTCATGCTCCTCCTGAATCCTCACCTCACTCCCTTCTGTGTCTCTTAGCTGCCCTCATACATCACCAGTGCTTTTGCCTTCTGACCTTAAATATTCTGAAGCATCATTTGCTTATTGAAATCACCCATTTATGTCAGTGGGGTCTAGCTAAGCAGAAGAGACCAAGATGGCAAGTTCAGCTGCTGAAGTGTCGCAGTTGCCCTTGTCAAGTGGAGACAAACACATACAAAGGAGGGATGGGAGGTTGATGGAAGGAAGACATACGCCCAAAGCCAGCTCATCAACTTCCAATTTTCTATTGACTTGTCAATTAAACACATGTGTGCACAATCCATTCAGCATGGCCCATGCAGGTCCTGCAGGCGGAGAGGGCTGCTTCAGCTTCATGATGGTTTCGGTGGAACATGCCCAAGGGATTCCTTTAATAGTACTCTATAGCACTGAGAAGTTTGTTCATCTCAATTGTTCTCTAATCACTTAGGTCCATTGTAACCTTGGAGAGGTAGAGAGAGGTGCCTTTTATTTTGGTGCAGGTGGGAGATCATTATCAGCCTGATTTATATTCATTAAACAATTGTAAATTCACATTTTCTTTTTGTCATTCTTTCTTCCTTGCATTCTCTTCATCAGTATAGGTTCTGTTGTGAATTTTCCATAGCAGTTTAACCTCCAGTGTGGTCTCTGGAGTCAGATGTCCTGAGTTCAAGTCCTGACACTTCTATTTACCAGCTGCGTAGCCTTGGGTGATACATTTTGTCATTTGGACCTCAGTTTACTGATCCTCACTAATGAGAATGAGAATACTGACTACC
This sequence comes from Homo sapiens, assembly GCF_000001405.40. Lineage (NCBI taxonomy): Eukaryota > Metazoa > Chordata > Mammalia > Primates > Hominidae > Homo > Homo sapiens. The sequence continues at coordinate 104,835,199 of NC_000007.14, forward strand.
TGATTGGTTTGCTGAGACTAAATGAGTTAATTCTCATAAAGTGCTTAGTATGATGCACAGAGTAAGTGCCCCTTAAATATCGTTCCATCAACCAACATTTGCTGTGTGTTCTTCTAGTCAAAGTGATTTTTAGGTTTGTTCTTCATGGAGCCCTACACTTTGCATCTAGGCAGGTAATGTCCAGAGCCTAGGAGATTCTCTGTAGGCACAACAGCACCAGCAAGAAGGTAAGCTTAGATGAGCTATGATCCTGGAGTGGCAGTCACTCCTTCATCTATTCATTTCACTCAGTAAATATTATTGAGCACCTACTATGTGCTAGGCACAGTTCTAGGAGATGGCAAACTAAGTAGACAAAATTCCTGTTCTCCAGAACTTTGTTTTCTTTTTTTTTTTTTGAGATGAAGACATTTGTAATTTATTCTCTATGAATACAAATATATATAAACACACATAGAATCTGTTTTTACAAAAATTGTATCAAATTCTTCATATTGAAAATGGCTCACTTCACATGATGTATTTGACCATTGTTTCATATTGATCTACACGTTAAATTATTATTATTTTTTTTTACTTTAAGTTCTGTGATACATGTGCAGAACGTGCAGGTTTGTTACATAGGTATACATGTGCTATGGTGGTTTGCTGCACTTATGAACCTGTCACCAAGGTTTTAAGCCCCGCATGCATTAGGTATTTGTCCTAATGCTCTCCCTCCCCTTTCCCCAAATGGGAGGAGACAGAAAATAAATAAACGTAAAAGGCAAGAAAATATTAGAAAGTATAAAGTGCTATGCAGAGAATTTATCCTGGGTAGTGTGCTAAGTAGTGACCAAGTAGCTACCCTTGGTTGTATGTTCAGGGAAGGCCTCCGAGGATCTGATATTTAAGCTGGCATGCAGAGAAACTGACCACAATGATAACAAAGATTTCTAGGAGAAGTGAAGAGCATATGCAATGATCCTAAGATGGGAAGGAGAATCAGGAAGGAGCCCAGATTGACTGGTTGGCAGAGAGTTGTGTAAAATGGAGCTGGAGAGGTAGACAAGAGCCCAATCCTTTAGGCTGTATATGTCAGGGAAAGGAGCTTGGATTTTACTCTAACTGTGATGGGAGCCACTGGAGGCTTGTGAACATGGAGGGACATCTGATTTACATTTTTAAAGGTACTCCGTGGCTGTCTTGTTGCTTTCTTCTATTGTCACTGGGCGTGCTGGCCCCATATGCTAAGGCACTTATTGTCTTTGGAAGAAGCTAGCCCACGCAGCCACGCAGGAAGAACTACCAAGATGCCATCAAACTCTCATCTAAAAAGCCTACTGTTCTTTTACCATTTGTGCTCTTAGGAAGTAACAGGATGAAAGCAGTGATGGAAGCAAAAGTTGACCATCTGCCCTGAGAATTGAAGTCCAGGAAAGATCATATCAGGGCTACGGTGCCATGAAGGTTGGGTCCTACATTCTGGCACTCTGTTTTTTATAAGTTCACTATGCTCTGCTACCCATTCTGATATTCCAGAGCTGAAGGATTTACCCCTGCTGAGCAGAGATGAGCCAGGTTAACTTTTGGGGTGTACAACAAACTGGATCTCAAGAATATTTGACTATTTTGGTTTGTTAGTCTACACAGAGTTGCTCCTAGGAGCCATGGCTTGTAGGATGTCAGTTTATCTCTGACGACAAATGAAAATTACACCCAGTCTTGTATCTGGGTTCTGAAGCTAATGAAAATGTGTTTGAAGATAATCCCACGGCCAGATAATAGTAAGATGAGGATCTTTTCTAATATTTCATGGTGATGAAGATCTCCGTTCCATTAGGAAATATTCAGTGTGTGCACAATGAACATTGGGCAGGGAATCAGAAACCCTGAGATCTGGCTTCATATCTGCCACCGATGGGTTGTGTTTAAAGTTTGGCAAGGTACTTCGATTTTGCAACTTAGTCTACTTGTCTCTAAAGGAAGGAACTTGGATGACTTCATCCTGGATCACTCTCAGCTCTCATGTTTGATTGTCCATGTGCCATTACCCTGATTCCCTGCTGGCCACATTTGTGGAATGGCTGGGCTAAGAGCAGAGACGTCTGATCTACCCTAGAGCTGATTGGACCACACAGGGATCATACCTACACCTTTGACTTCTTTAGCACCTTTTCATTATCAATTGAACCAGCCATCTGCAATGAGGAGGAGTGTAGCTTAAGTAGGTTTATCTTCCGCACTAAACTATATACCCTTTAATGCTATAGTCACGAAATTGTACTAAATCTTCCCTGTGTATTTTATATTATTCAATCCTCATTAATAATCCCATAAAGTAAGTGCTAACATTATCCCCAATTTAATGCAAGAAACTGAGCCTTGAGGAGGTTGAGTAGTTCACCTGAGGACACACAGCTAGAAAGCACCAACTTTATTTTTTTTTATTTTTATTTCCATAGGTTATTGAGGAACAGGTGGTGTTTGGTTACATGAGTAAGTTCTTTAGTGGTGATTTGTGAGATTTTGGTGCACCCATCACCTGGGCAGTATACACTGCACCCTATAGAAAGTGCCAACTTTAAACTCAGTCTAACTCAAAGCCCACACAGGAATTTAGCTGCCACATTCCAGTGCCATTGCTTACTTATTTTACCATATTCCACAATACTTATCACGGTGTTTGATAGACATTATTAGACGTTCAATAAGTGATTCTTGAACGAATAAATGTTTAATGCTAGCATGCCTTCAATATAACCTTCAGAAACTATATAAACATGTTATATTAACAAACAATTATAACCTTGTTAACCAGAAGTCTTACCCACTCTACTTAGACTTAGTATGGAATTGCTCATGAAACCAGCTCCAGTAATCAGAGCTTAACCTACATAAGGACTTACGGGTATAACTTACCTCAATGACCCTGGCCATCCTGCAATTAGCCATCCTTTTGGTTCTCAACTGGAGGGATACGGCTGGTAAAGATATATGAGAACCATTTGAGGAACTTTTTCAAAAGACAGAAGTCCTTTGTGCCACACCTGCCCTCTCTAACTAATTCTAATCTATCTGGGGAGGGAGGAAATGGCTAGTTCTGTGCAAGTTCTCAGGTGTTTCTGATACATTTTGCTGTGTACTTCCATCTCTGCTCCTAACCCTACATATACACCTCCATTGAGAAGAGCTACCACTGTAGTGAAAGTCAGCTCTATCTCCATTTAAATGAAGTCTGATTTCATTAGAATCTAAATTAAGTGATAAGGCTGTATGTGGCTGACTTGAGTATAAAGACACCCAGAATTCCAACTGTATTGTTTATTAATTATTTTACAGATGAGTTTTGACTGTAGCTGACATATTTATGTTTCATTGTATCTTTTCCAGAATCTGACTTGTAGAACAAAGTACAGAGCTTGCTTTCAAATTTGACTAAAGCATAATAGGTGTTATAAAGCAGCACCGTCTTGCAAAACAGTGACGGAAATGTTCTTTATCTGCTCTGTCCAATTTCATACCATAGACACATGTGGCTTTTGAGTGCTTGAAATGTGTCTAGTGAAATTGAGGAACTGAATTTTTGTGTTTTATTTTAATTAATTTAAATAACCACATGTGTCTAGGGACTGCTGTGTTGGAATGTGCAAGTACAGAGAAACATTGCTTCATCTTTTTAACCAAAATAATGTAGTTAATACCAGAACTCATTTCATGTTTTTAAAAGTCACTTTTAATAATGTCTAAAGCAAAAACTGAAACAATGCTGTAAGAGCCCAGAATAAATTCTAGCATGCTTACATTTCCACCAGGGAATGAATTCTTAAAGAAAGAGAATATTCTGACCCCAGAGTAGATGAAAGCAGGTAGGCAGAGAAGAGACACTCCCAAGGGGAGCTCCCTGCAGGTTCCTAGTAGGCTGTGAGACACAGAACAGTGAGACCGTCAAGGAGAGAGAAATTTCCCCTCAGAGGAAAATCTAAATGTGGTTTTAGCCACCTGTCACCCCAGAGGGAGGACAGGATAGCAGTGTTAAATTGGTAAGATTGTAAAACAGGGAGCTTAACTAACCTTCAAGGCCAGCTAAGGTGTATAAAGTGCATTTCAGCCAATGGAACTCCATTCCTGAGATCCTGAGGGTTTCCACCTATATGGCAGATTGGAAACCTGAATTTCTTTTATATTATAAAATTAATAATTTGGGGGCCAAGCGTGGTGGCTCATGCCTGTAATCTCAGCATATTCGGAGGCCGAGGCAGGCAGATCACTTGAGGTCAGGAGTTCGAGACCAGCCTGGCCAATATGGCAAAACCCCCCTCTCTACTAGAAATACAAAAAATTAACCAGGCAAGGTGGCAAACACCTGTAATCCCAGCTACTTGGGAGGCTGAGGCACAAGAGTCATTTGAATCCAGGAAGTGGAGGTTCCAGTGAGCCAAGATCGTGCCACTGCACTCTAGCCTGGGCAACAGAGCAAGACTCTACCTTAAAAAAAGAAAAAAAAGAAAGAAAAAAAATTAAATTAACATTTCTGGCTGTCCACAGAGGCTCGCACCTGTAACACTTGCTTGTGAAGATATTAAGTCTCTCTGCACTCAGAGGGTAGGTTGGCTATATTACTCATATTACCTGATGGGTGTATTGCTTAGAAAACTTTGTTTTTCTATTGAAAATGGGAAGCAGTATGGTGGGGTGGTCCTGGATCATGAGTCAGGAGGTCTACCACTAAGTCTGTCCCTAACAGGCTCTCACTTGTCCTCTGAGTTTTTGTTTCCTAATCTCAAAATGAAGCAAGTTGACTGGATAATTAATATTATTAATTGATCATTAAAATTATACATATTAAGATTAATTGACAATTATAATCAATAATTATTAAGTATAATTATTAATGATGTTAATATTATCATTATTATCCAGTCAGTTTGCTTCATTTTATAGATTAGGAAACAAATCTATAACATTTGGACTGGAAAAATTACCAAGTTCACATCCAGCCCTAAACTTCTTTGACTCTAACACTAAATTACAATACTATCTTGTATTCCTTCTCTGAAAGACTTCTCAATTAAAAATCATTTTCTTGAAGATTCTCATTTCTTTTTTCTGTCTTTTCTTGTGGGTTTTCTTTTTTTTTTTTTTTTTCTCCTTTTGAGACAAGGTCTCACTCTGTCACCGAGGCTGGAGTGCAGCGGCACAATCGCGACTATTACACCCTCAGGTTCAAGCCTCAGCCTCAGCCTCCGGAGTAGCTGGGACTACTGGCACATGCCACCATGCTAATTTTCTTTTCCTTTTTTTTTTTTTTTTTTTTTTTTTTTTTGTAGAGACCAGGGCCTTGTTGCCTAGGCTGGTCTTGAACTCCTGAGCTCAAGTGATCCTCCTACCTCAGCCTCCTGAAGTACTGGGATTACGGGCAGGAGCTACCACTCCCAGGTTCTTTCATTTCTGTCCTTTTTATTGCTACCCTCCCCCCACTGAACACCAAATATCCAGAAGGTGATGCATTTGAAGGAAAATCAGTCAATACTCAGCATTCCACCTATTATCTACTACTACCTAGGAAGTGGGAAATTAAACTATAGAACCCAAATTCCCAGGGTTTAGTGAAAATCACCCAAATAAAAAATACTCAGAAGAACATTTTCATGGTTTTTCTAACATTCTAAATGAATGAGACCACAGTTCATTCAAGTTTGAATAAATCAAATAGAAACATAAAGGTTGTCTTTTTTTTAATGTTTCGAGTATAATAAGTAAGCTTATGAAATGAAATCTCAGCTCATTAGTTGAGCCGCCATGATGAGTGATTTTGATATTTGGTGAGTCCTGTGAACAAAGTTCTCCAGTAGGAGCAATAATGGTAAAAGTCGTGTCCGTTGGCTCATAGCACAGAGGAAAGTATGCTTCACCCACACATGCATGGTGCCAGCAAGCCTCGGCTGCCTTTTGGCAGGGGCATTGATCTTCCTTTTCTCTAAGAAATCCTCTCCCATCTTATAGAAAAATGCACAAAAAGTACGTCCCATTGCCTTAATTGGAATATCACCCCTATGATCCCAGGGATCATTTTCAGGGGTCAGGGAGACCCAGAAGAGGTTTTTCATGAGACATGACTATGTAGCTAAGACAGAACCTTCCTCAGTGGCCTGCAGTCCACGTTCTGCATAAAGCCCATCTTCACCTCGATTTATTTTCTCCATCCTAGGAGCATGGATAAGGACATTGCATCCTCGTTTGTGTCTGTGGAAAATTGAATGATCAAACAATGATACTGATTCAAGCCAATATGTATTACGATGCATTATGTGGGGTGTGTGTGTGTGTGTGTGTGTGTGTGTGTGTGTGTCTTTTAGGGTACCTGTGTGTGGCTGTCCCTAAGCCATTACGTGTCTGCTTTCCCATGTATGACTTTGTGTGTGCAGAGCTTTCATTTTTAATCCTTCTTTGCTCCGTCTGTGAATCTCACTACCTGTTGGCTATCTCTCTACCTCTCTTCTCTCCTCTCAACTGCCTCTTTTTACTAGCTATGATATAAAACTGGACGGATCTTTAAAATAACTTTTGCACCCATTTATTTGAGTTCTATGTTCCCCTTACTAATTCAAAAAGAGAGTAGGGCATGTTATACTCCCTCAAAAGAATGATGCTTTATTGATGTGGTCCTCATTGCCCCTCTATTGTTTCAGGAGGTCTCAGGGCAAATAAGTTTCTCCACTCCTGACACCAGAGAAAGCAAAAGGAGAGATAAAAGAGGCCGGATGAGGCTTCATTTATCATGGTGCAGATCCAGTGGGAGCCACTTCCTGTCCTGCCCTTTCTTGAACTCATCCTCCCCCTCCTCTCCTCCTCTCTCTCTATGCTCCCTACCTTCCCCCACCATGAATATTTCATCTGTCCTAGACAGCACTTTTATAGAGGATTAAAATCAGTTTCTAAACTGTTCCCAACATAACCAGCATGTCTGTTCTGATCAACCTCCTCACACACACACACAATCCTTTAAAAAAAAAAAAAATCAGTCATTTTGATGAGTTAAGCATAGCACGGCAAAATACTCTCAAAGTTACTCAGGCATCAGCTCCTCCTCTAGCGGTAGAACCTTTTGCGGGGGTGGGGGGGTGGGGGGAGGCTTTTTCCTACATGGGCTACCCACCAAAACCTAGCCTGACAGCTTACACCTAGGAATCTACATGGCCTGCCTGGGGAGGGGACTGGGCCCTGGAGCCCAGAGCAGACCTTAGAAGAGACTGCCATTGAACACTTGACTAAAACTCACAGTATATGGGATGATAATGTCATGGCTGTCTTCACTGCATTGAGAACTCCAGCCCTCCAGATGGGGTCCTGCAGGCTGATGAGCTCACTGACAGTCCAGGGGATGTGGCATTGCTTGTCTCCTCAACACAAAAAGCGTAACTGCCTCTATCTCTTCTGTCAAAATAATGACCTTCTTCATCTGTTGTGGAACCAAATGCAAGTTGATAATGCCAGATAATGATTCCAAAGCAAGATAATGACTTATTTGAAATGATTTCCTTTGAAATCATCTTGTATTTCCTAGCCTAGTTATAATTTGATTAATTGCTTAATAATTCCATTTAAATGTCTCAATTTCTGCAAACACCAATTCAACATACCTACTTTTTCTGGTTGAAAATGTCTTTGCTTCTCTAAGTATCTTCTGCTCTTTTGCCTGTTTGCACTTTTGCCTGAGCAACATTCTGATGACATAAATAGCATCCCTTCAAAAAGTTGTTGAACAGATCAAGGTGTCTCTCTGTGCTCCAGAGCATGAGCACTATAATCTGTGTCCTTGAAACAGTACCTCTGATTGGAAAGATCTAAGACCATGTCTTTAAAAAGCCAACCTCCCTGCCAGACAAATGAAGCTGCCATTCCTGGCAGCCCTAACCCCTTCCTGCAGCGTGGGGCAAGCTGTACTTGACATAGTGAGAGGCTGCCCAAGAAATTAAAACCCAGGCCCAGACTCTGGGAGCCTGCAGCCCAGCTGGCAGCTACTGAGCTGGGGAAGTCAACTCTGGAGTGCATTTAAATATTTTTTAAATGATCTAGGTTAAAACCCTGCTCAAAGCAGAGGTCTTCTCAGAGCACGTCAGTGTGGGACCACAGATAAACACGCACACTTCCACCTCCGTGGTGGAAGAATGCACCTCGATGGAAGCTGAGCACATTGCTGCCCTCTGTGTTTCAGGGAGCCAAGGCAGCCTGTGACTCACCCTTTCTGGAAAGTTAGGCAAGGCTCCCCAATGGACTTTGATGTGTTCCTCAACATTCTTCCTCTCTGTATTCCATCAGCTAAAAACTTCCAAGGTCGCTTTTCATTTCTCATTTGAAATGGTGTTTCTGACACCCAACTTCATATAATCAATTGAGTCACTTCATCCAAATACTCACATCCTGAAAAGAGCCAACACAGTCTTTCAAGCCTTTGAATAAGTGAGAAGGAGCAGAAAGAAACTTAGAGGAGAGGGCCTGTACCTTCTCTTCTGAAAACTATCTCGGGCCAGTGATGAATACAAGTGACCAAAAGAGAGAAGTAAGAAGAGGGCCAGATGGGAAGCAGGAAATGGGAAGCTATCAGTCAGATAGGAGGTATTGGAGGGGAAGGAATTGGGTGTCCAGAAGGAGAGGACAAGCCATTAATCTGAGTTTCATGGAATGCTACATGTTTTTAAATAAGATCTGTCTCAATAGGCCCATCTACATGAGCAAATGCACCACTGGGAGGTGGAAAGAGTGGGATTCAAATTGAGGAAAAGTGAGGAACTAACTGGGCCCTGGTGCTGACCAACCAGGGACTCAGAGCATGGTCAGCAAAGGCAGACTCAAGCCCAGGTCATCCACAGGGCATTTTGCTTGCAGGTACCTTTTAGACTAAGTGTCCCATCCTTCCCTGTTTGACCACAATATCCTGCCAAGTGAGGGCAAAGCTAATGAAATGGTTCTGGGAAAGAATGGGGGAGAGAAGTTCACCCGCCTGCATGACTTGATCAACCAGTTGGTATTTACACCACCACCCAAATCCCCATCCATGCACTGGCACCTTTCAGCAGTTCTCTGTGAGGCACCAGATGGAGGCAATTGAGAAAATGCAAGACAACAGCATGGCAGGGCAATACCTGAGGATGTGTACATAGCCTTGAAGCGTCCAGCGTGAACCAGGCTTTGGAGTTCTAATTGATCTGTGTGTGTACAATTGATTTTTACTTATCTTTCTTTTAAAGTTACTCTGAATTGCTTTAGGATAATCCAGAATGTGAAATGATGTCCTCAAAGAATTTTAACGACACTTGGAACTATTGCTCTATCCATGTGTTTTTAACTTTTGTCTTTTTCCCTTGATTATTTTTCTTATTGAGCATCTAAAATTCTCTCTAAGTCCTTGACTTTCACTTCTTTTTCCTCTCCTTTGGGTGGTATTGCCTGAGGAAACCAAAGATAAAATAAAAACAACAATGATGTCTAACTCTTAGATAATGCTTGGTATTGACTAGGAATATTCTTTCCTTGTAGAATAATAGAGATATTCTAAGTATTTCTTTTCTTTCTTTTTTGAGACGCAATTTTGCTGTCACCCAGGCTGGAGTGCAGTGGCACAATCTCAGCTCATTGCAACATTTGCCTTCCAGGTTCAAGCAATTCTCCCTGCCTCAGACTCCCATGTAGCAGGGATTACAGGCGCTCACCACTACACCCAGCTAAATTTTGTATTTTTAGTAGAAATGGGGTTTTGCCATGTTGGTCAGGCTAATCTCGAACTCCTGACCTCAAGTGATCCGCCTGCCTTAGCCTCCCAAAGTGTTGGGATTACAGGCGTAAGCCACCGCACCCGGCCTCTAAGTATTTCCCATGTGGTCATTCATTCCATCCGCACCAAAACATGGTGAGGTAAGTGCTACTATTGGCCCGTTTTACGTTAGGAAACCACAGCACGGGAAGGTAAGACACTTGCCCAGGTCCTACAGCCAGCAAGTAGCAGGACTAAAGTATGAACCAGGCAGTCTGGCTCTCAGGACTGTGATTTTCCTCAAGTATGTGCAGAGAATCACCAAGTATGTCTCTGCACACCGTCAATGGAATAGCCAGGAATGACGTTGTCAGTTTTAATCTTTAAAAAATGAAGTGTGAGCTCTTATTTTACCTTTAACCGTTCTGTTTTTTCCTCCCACACTCTCAGATGATGGAAATGCTTAAGGCAAACTAAGGTAGTGTGAGACCACACCATGTAAGTGTGAGCATGGCTTTGTGGGTTCAGCTCTGTTTTGTGCGCTTCTGCCTTCTGTTCCCGCATGTTTTCTCCGCTGTTTTCTGATTCCCGCTTTCAGCGCTTAGCACTTGAGCCGCATGAAACTGCCGCTTTCAAGCCATAAATCTTCTGTCTTTGTTCCTGATTTTATATTTTTACTTCTCTCTCCCACAATCCCTGGCACTTGCAGCTGTCAGCCTGGCACCTCCCTGGGAAGGAGCTGGGGAGTCCTGGGGGATGTGTTTGGTTATTGTTCTCTGACAATGAGCACTTGGATGATCAGCTTTTAGGATTCTAGGCATGTGTCCACACTCTCACTGCAACATACTACTACAGTGTGAACCACGCATGTGGGCATCTCTGTACAAACCTTGTCCTTTGCTATGCAGTGTTCTCTGGGGCCACCACCCTTTGGTGGATTACGGCTGTGGGCGTCTCCATAGAGTGAATGCTAAGTGAAAGCAAACACCATTGTGCCAAGTAACAGGGCTAAAATGAGCCACGGAGAAAAGAGGCCATCTTCTCATGTATTATTTTCCTGTGTACACATATGTATGCGATGGAAACACGTATATATGTGGAACAAAACTGTGACTACGAAGGAAAAAGAATAATGGGTTCCAAGCCAGATATGGACTCTAGTGGCCCTTCATTGTACTGTTCACACATACACACACATGGGCACACACACAATTCCTTCTGGTGTTCCTTGATTTTCCATTACCTATATATCCAAACTGAGTGATTTCAATATGTGATAAACTGGATTTACAGAATAAATTGGGAAGGAGGGATTTGTCCCTAACAGCGTACCTGGAACATTTAAAATATGATCCTGACTGTGATTGCAGGGTTGGAACTGCCTCTTGTTCTCAATTTCACTGAAGTTTCTGTTGTGTGTTGAATGTGAGTTTGCAGGAAACTTCCCAAGTTAGTTGGAAGAGATGACAAGAATGTAAAATTAGAGGGGCTCTCATGAGATATGACTGAGCACTGCCCACACCCCTGCAGTGTTGAGACCCAACCCATCGTTTAGAAACAGAATTCTAGAGCTGATGAGTCCTTAGAGATGATAGAGCCTTGACTCCAGATCCCTTAATTCATAGAAAATGGCCAAGGTTTCAAGAGAGAAAGTAACTTGCCCAAGATGGTGGCAGAGCCTGGATTAAAACTTTATCCTCCTCTTCCCATCAAAGCATCTTTTTGTGTTATGTCCCAGTTCCTTTCTCTCTGGAAGAGAATCTCTTGCACACTACCAGGAGAGCCTTTTAAAAGTGAAGGAGGCTACATCCCGAAAAGGACCCCAGGTCCCTGTCCTGGCTCTGCTATGAAGTATCTGGATGAGCTTGAGAAAGTTGCTCTGCCTCTCTTGGGCTCCTCATCTGTAAAATGAGTTTGAAAGCAGCTGATTTCAAAAGTACATGATGCTAAGTTTGCTGAGTAACCTCAGGCTGTTTTTCATGCAGTTTCCTCTCAGCAATATTCATTTTCCACTGTAGGATTATGAAAAAAGTTATAGTCAGGCTTTGCAAATGGGGACAGCCTCCAGGAGCAAGGGCCTTGTGAATTTCTGTAACTAACTGAAGAAGAACAAGGGCAGGAAGAAGAAAGTGCAGATGAGGAGCACACAGCCTGTGCCCTTTACACAGACCTATCAAACTCAGATAGATGTGGCAAGCTCCGGTTTGGTCATCTCAAATCTGCCAATTTCAGTAGTTTGGGGTTATCCAGCTGGTATGTACTTCTCTTCTTCCTGAGATATCACTGATCAGGGCTCTGGAACTTGAGCAGACCCAACAGGTGAACAAGGTTACATTCTCTCCTTTTCAGTGTATTGCTGACCAAGTTAACAAGGCCAGGGAAGTCTCTGAGGCAGTCAGAGAATAATTCAAAAGCCAATAAGGCAAGAATAGAAACCCACATATGCCAGCTTTCAGCAGAGTTTTGAGATACATCCTTCCTTTACATAAAATTATGGAATTATAGTTATTAACCAAATATGCAATGTCGTTTTTTTAACAGAGCTTTCTCTTTCCATGGTAAGTAAATGGCATTTTTATGGTGAATTTTTTTTCTTGGAGACGGAGTCTTGCTCTGTTGCCCAGACTGGAGTGCAGTGGCACGATCTCAGCTCACTGCAACCTCCGACTCCCAGGTTTGAGCGATTCTCCTGCCTCAGCCTCCTGAGTAACTGGGACTACAGCTACATGCAACCATGCCCAGCTAATGTTTTGTATTTTTAATAGAGACGAGATTTCGCCATGTTGGCCAGCCTGGTATCGAACTCCTGACCTCAAGTGATCCGCCTGCCTTGGCCTCCCAAAGTGCTGGGATTACAGGCGTGAGCCACTGTGACCGGCTATGATGAATCTTTTTTAGAGAGCAAAAAATCATCACTTGATTTAACATTTTGGTCCATTTGGGTTTTCAGATATCAAGTTTAGCCGAATACACAACTTTTTCCAAAATAACACATCTAGTCTGCAGCAGCCTTCCCTGAATCTGACACTGATTCGAAATCTGGTGGGAGGAGCAGGACAGGATATGGTAGAATAGGGAAAATCACAGAAGTGGATCATTTCTTGTGTACTTCTTATGTTCTAATGCGCTGGACAAATAGCACCACAAAGAGCTATGGCCTCAGAAAGTATTACCAGGATAGAATTTCAGCTCCAGAATTTTGGCAGAGAAGGGAATGAGAGGCAGCTCATCTGGCTGGAAGGGTTGTACAAGAGGACTCTTGATGCCGCCTCTGCATGGCACTTCACATGAGATTGAAAGATGACAATCCACCATGTCATTTGAGGGAAGCAGCTGTTGGAGATAATGGAAGGGGACTATAGGCCCTTCTTGGCAACTATCACTGCCCTGGTGTTACCATTCCTTCTCCTGTGACAACGGTAGCACTGTTTGTTTGAAGAGGAAAATGGCATTCTTGGGCAGCCACACAAGACTAGTTGGTCTTCCCGCTGATGATGATGGGCAGGCAGGCAAGAGTCACGAGCTCTTTGCCTTAGTTCTCCCTTTGCTGGAGAGCCCCCAAAAAACAGCCAGCTTGGAGTTGGGGGTGGGTTTCAGGCTTCTTGCAGGTCCTTCTTTGCCCCTTCCTAGGATAATCATTGTCCTGCTGAGCCCTCTAGTGACCAAATTGGAAACTGCAGGTGTCTGAGGAAAGGGAGGGAGGGAGAGGAAGGGAAAAGGAGAAGGGGAAAGGAGGAGGAAAGGAGTCCTATGGGCTGCCCCTGAGCCACAGCAAAGCACCCCACTGTCTGTGCAAGCCTCAGCCTGAAATACTTTCTAAATATTTCAGAAGAAGGGGCACATCTATGGCCTGAGATCCTAAAATATCAGCCTGGAGGCCTGGTGGCATATCAGCATGCGAATATGCCAAGCTGGCTTCCTAGTTAGCCATGGTGATGATGAGAACTCTGCCTTTTTTTGTTTTTTTGGTTTTTTTTTTGTTGTTGTTGTTGTTGTTGTAGACAAAATCTCACTCTGTCACCCGGTTTGTCAGATTGCCAGGCTGGAGTGCAGTGGCGTGATCTCAACTCACTGCAACTTCCACCTCTGGAGTCAAGCAATCCTCCCACCTCAGCCTCCCACCCAAGTAGCTGGGACTACAGGCATGTGCTACCACACCCGGCTAATTTTTGTACTTTTAGTAGAGTTGGGGTTTCACTGTGTTGCCCAGGCTGGTCTTGAACTCCTGGGCTCAAGCCATCCACCCACTTCGGCCTCCGGAAGTTCTGGGATTACAGGTGTGAGCCACTGTGCCCAGCCAACTCTGCCTTCTTTTCTGCTTCTAGTTACTCCAGCTTAGTTCTGAGAACTACTAGAAGCTCTAGATTTGGCCAGGCCTTCATGTCTTGCCATAGAGGAAACCCCAAAACTAACTGAGCTCCCGAGAGTCTGAAGAACCAGCCAACAGAGCCTAGCCATCTGACAGAGACACACATTAATTTGCTCCCTCAGGGCCCTGCACAGACCAGCCTGGCTCCTGGGGGCTGGGTGGCCCTGCACTGTGTGGGGGCCAAGGCCCTTGGCCCACTTAAGGTTCACTGAAAAGTCAGTGACATGCGGCAGATTAATTAATAAGAGAAAAGGCATATAAATTTATTTAACATGTATACCTGGGAGCCTTCAGAATGAAGATCCAAAGATTCAGGAGAAATTGCCCATTTTTATGCAGAGGTTCAACAAAGTAGGGACAGCCATATAGAAATGTGATTGGACAAAAAGGTTAGGATCTACTGCTAATAGACTGAGTGGGGAAACCCAGCAGGGCCTCTCTGTCTAGATTCTTCTTGGCCTCTCTGAGCCAGCATTCCTTCCTTCTGGATGTGGGGCAGGACTCTCCCTGGAATGGGGGCCTTATGGCCCATAGTCAAACAAGGTGGATCAGAAAATTCCTTTATGGCCAGTTTTTATACAGATAGAGCAGAGGGAAAGTTAGAGTAATATATTTAGATGTTATGGCTGGCTTTGGAAAAAAAGGGTTCTGGTTTCTGTGACCAGCCTTGGGGAAGAGGAATTCTATTAGGTTCGTGCAAAAGTAATTGTGGTTTTTTTAGGCCGGGCGCGGTGGCTCACGCCTGTAATCCCAGCAGTTTGGGAGGCCAAGGTGGGCGGATCACTTGAGGTTGGGAGTTCGTGACCAGCCTGACCAACATGGAGAAGCCCCGTCTCTACTAAAAATACAAAATTAGCCAGGCGTGGTGGCACATGCCTGTAATCCCAGCTACTCAGGAGGCTGAGGCAGGAGAATCACTTGAACCTGGGAGGCAGAGGTTGCGGTGAGCCGAGATCACACCATTGCACTCCAGCCTGGGCAACAAGAGTGAAACTCCGTCACAAAAAATAAATAAATAAAAGTAATTGCGGTTTTTGCCGTTATCGTTTCTAAGGCTAGCCTTGGGGGAGAATGGGACTGGGAGACAGGAGAGCAAGAGAAGGTCAGAGAAGATCTTTTGCTTCTGAGCCTGCTTCTGAGGGCTTCATTTTGGGTGTTGTTTTCTGAGCCCCAACAACTGCTTCCCCAGACATCCACCTCCTAGACAGACAGAAAACAAGCCCAGCACCACCACTACCTCCAACACCCTGATGCAGAGGGCTTCCCCAGGACAGGAAGTAGGTTACACCTGACTGACATGAAACTAAATTGTTTTAATTGTTCCAAACTAGTGGTTCTCAAAATGTAGTCTCCAGACCAGCAGCATTGCCCAGAAACTTATTAGAAACGCAAGTTTTCAAACCCCAGACCTGCTAAATCAGAAACTGTGGAGGTGAGCCCCAGGAATCTGTATTCCATAAGCCCTCTGGGTGATTCTGAGATACCCCCCCACCCCCGCCAAGGTTTGAGAGCCACTGCTCCAAACACTGATTCTCAAATGACTATAGATAGAAGAGTAAAACTCTCAGTATTTAAAATGTAGGTTCTGACCCCTCACCCACAGAGATTTAGAAGTTCTGCAGTGGCGTGCATAAATCTGCTTTTTGACCATCATTCCAGGTACTTCTGATGTGGGAGACCCACAGGCCACCACTTTGACAGATTCTGCTCTAGAAGGAATAGCACCACCTTTGCTAGTAATTTTACCTTCTCTTAGAGATAAATATTGTTCTCATGTCTTGCCAGTCATGAAAGAGATCTCAGCAAGTATATCATAGTGTTCCAAGTCTTCAGATGGGATTGTAATGTTTACTTTGACACATTAGTTTTTGCTCCCCTTGTAAGGAACATCTCAGTAGTATCTGCATCATAACTCAAAAAAGAAATATTTCTCTGGAAAGAAATATGAATTAGTGAGAGAAAAGAAAGAACAGGAAGCCTGTGGCTGGGTGTTTTCTGAGCATGGGGATACATCTTGGGAGTCTGAGTCTCTGGGCTGGTTGGCTGGGCTCAACCAAGAAGCCATGAGGTATCTCTAGGCTGTGAGTCCATCAGAGAGCAAGTTGCCCCTTCCTTCTTGGAGAGTTGGAGATTTAGTGATGCTTTCCCAATAGGACTCAAGAGGATAGCTGATTATGAAACTGCTAGGGAAAAAAATGGCTTTCAAAATCTGAGGTTATGAGTATACTTGGCTTATACGGCCAACGCATTGGTCACCCTGGAAAAATTAAGTTCATATTTGTGAAGATTGTTGTGAATATAAAGTCCCAACTCTCCTCAACACAGCTCTGGGCCTACTGGGAGCTCCAGAAGAGATTCTTCTTCTGTATCACTTATCTCCCCTATCTAATCCTTCATGGGGTACTGATTTCTTTGGATGTACCCCAAGAGAACTAAAGATACAGAGTCACATTTTCAAGAATTTGACAAGAGCAAAGTAAGAGACTTGGCGCTGAAGCTCCTTGTCACCCGTGACCTAAGATCCACATTGCCCAGGCACCAGCACTGCAAAGATACCATCTGCTTGGGCCGTAGCTTTCTCAGGCTCAAGCCTCTATTTTCAAACCACGTGGGCAGAGCAGGAGAAAAGCTGGGTCCTTCCATCATTCCTTCCTCCTCCCTTCTGTCTCCTTTCCTTATCCATTTACCCACATTCCTTTTCCCACCTTTTCCATGCTTCTGTTACTTCCACCAACTTTTTTCCCTCTCCCTCTCATTTTTCTTAGGCTGCCCACATCCTGGAAAGCAGATACCCCCCAACCCTCACACACACCCCAAAGAGCTCAAAGAGCCTCACCAGCATTAACTGCTGAAGCCATGTGCATCCTACCAGTCAGGGAATGCCACCTTAATTAACTGTAAGACATAATTAAAAGGCAGATCTCCCCTCTCTCAGACACAGAGAGAGAAGGGAAACAAGAAAGGGCAGAGCAGCAAAGGAAAATCCAAAGAGAAGCCACAAATGATTTGAATTTTAAACTTACTCAGTGTCCAGAAATGTGCAGCCTGCTGCCCCCAGCAGTGGGGATCAGGACACTAGGCAGGAAAGGGAGGTGGAGGAGGAGGGCCATGCTGAAAGTAGGGCAGTAGTAAAGAGAAGAGAAGGCTTTTGTCCAGAGAGCAAAGCCAGTCTTCACAGAGCTGTCCTGGTTGGTTAGGAAGAATCCTGTTTGGGAGTTGGGAATAGGCCAGGCTGGCCATGCTGGCAGGAAGCTCTGACTTTTATCTCACTTACCTGTCCTTTGCTCCTGCCCCCAGGGCCAGCTCCATGTTCTTTGCTCCTACACAAGGGCCACATGACCAGTGCAGTCCCACAGGGACCCAAGCTCACAAGGGCTCCCATGCTTTTGGTTTAAAGCTCTGCAGCCCCAGTCTTGACATTGTTAATAGTCGTATCTTTGAATGTGTGTTTTGTAAGTGAACTCTGATGGGACAGTGAGCTACTGGAGCATGGGGCATGGGGGCATGGAGACTGTTCATGGGGCCAGCTTCCTGCTGCCTCCTCCTCCCTCCACCCTCTTCCCAGTCCCACCCCCACCTTCCGGCAGATGGGTTCTCAGCCCACTCTCTTGAACCCTGAAACCCTGAGCCCTGACCAGCCTGCTTTCCCTGTGCCTGCCCAGTAACCACTGCCACCGTCTGCCCGAGGCAGGAGTTTGGGCACAGAGGGGAGGATCATAGTTGAACGTACCCATCCTGAAGCATCTCGGGGCAGGGCATAGCAGTGTCTGTCCCTGCCCAGGACTGGCAGTGCTGCAGTGTGTCTGGTGGACAGTGGACAGAGTCCAGAGCTCAACGAGGAGCAAGCCTATTGCCCACCTCGATCCAGTTACCTAGTAGAGATGTTAGAATACCCTTGGGGTCATTTGTCTGCCCTGGGTTGGGAATACCACCAGTGAGAAGGGGAGGTTCCTCGAGTCAGGGGACAATGAGTTGGGCCAGCAGCTGGTGGGAGAGAGAATCTAAAAAGCCATCAGTCCTGAGTGACAGGCTGTGAGGATCCTAAGTACCCCCATGCCAGAGGGAGTGCTTTCAGCCAGTTCACTTGAGCCTACTCTGTGCCTGGGGGATCTTTCTCTCCCTCCTTCCAACCTTCTGGAATATGTCTGTTTTTGCCTTTTCTGGCCAGCACACAGCACCTTCCAGGGACAAAAATGCAGACTGCGTGACTTCAGTGATTGTACAGATGAGTTAAATGCTCTGACATTTGCATTTAAACTGGCATTGCATGAAATAAAAATGAATGGTAAATTAGTGCTAATTTGATTTATTTTTATTTACTTAGAATGACATTTAAAAGTATATATTCAAAATCCCACAACAAGATGAGAGGGACCACAGGAAAAAGGGAAAATGTTTGTATTTTAGTACCTTTAATGGCACTTTTTCCTGCTTTTTGAACAATTTTCATTTAACACTGGATCTGCAAATTATGTAGCTGGTCCTATCTGCAGCCTAGTTCCACCTTGACTTGGAGATAATCATCTTTGCCTCTATACAATGTTAGAGGTGAAATTCTAATCCTGTAGGGGGAAAACAGTTCCCAATTTCTGACTGTAGGTAATTTCAATCTGATTATCTGTTTACCCACCAGAGAAAAAAAGGAAGAAACTTAAAAGTAAAAAGCAAAGAGGTGCTTGCATTTAGACAAGCATCACAGGGGAGGAAAAACAATTCTCCTTTTACCCTTTTGAGTTCTTAGCTAGGATGAACCCCTGTAATAAAAGACAGGTTAACAAGATAAAAACAAACAGAAGTTTAAGAACATAACTTCACGTATACATAGGAGATACCCAGAGACATGAGCAAATTTCAAAGAGGTGGCTTTAAGTTCAGGCTTAAATACCATCTTCAGCTGAAACAAAGAAAGGAGGGTATTGCAAGGGCCAGTTAGAGGGAGGTGACCAGGAAAAGCATGGTAAACAAGTGGAAGGTTTGTTATCCATATTTGAGTGCATTCTTCATTGATAAGTCTGACTTAGAGTCATCCTTCTTTACTCAATACAGAAGTTCACCCTCATGAATGGAGATTTCCTTTCTGGATGTGAATTTCCCTTACAAAAGGGAACTCCTACCCTGTCTTCAGAGCTTCTCCTGTGTCTGCAGTTTCTCAAAATAATCAGCTCAAAATTATCCTTATACTGAAGAAATGTATTTCAGGATGGCATACTCTAGCTGGTAACTTCCTATATGCACAGGGCAATATGAGATCTATTCATTAATTATGAGAGACTCTCTTCAACAATGTATCTTCTTATACTCAACACAGATTGTCCATACTTCCAGCATATTACAAATGATTTAGGTCATTTATCACCTTCCGGTCTGAAGTCTAGCACCTCAAATGACAATTAATAAGCTTGTAATTTCTCATAGCTTCAGTATGAAAAAAAGGGAATAAAGCAAAATTAAGAAAATATCACTTCTGTAGCACCATTTGTCTAAGTAAAATGTGCAGGGCTACATTTTAAATGATATTTTTTAAAGAGAGAGTACAGCACCTTGGCCCTTCCTCCCAGGTCAAAAAAAAACTATATATAAAGTGAGGCCTGCAATGGCGTATAATTTCTCATAATTACTCTCCATTGACTATTAACGTATCCACCCAAACACACCTTTCTCTGCACTTTTGTGAACCTCAGTAAGCTCTTTAGTCTGGCGTGGGAAGCTTAATGTATTTCCTGTGAAATTGTACCATTCTCCTTGATCAGCTTATCCCAGGTTTGCAAATTGAAAAAACTTCATTCCTGGCATCAGCAGCCTGTTAAATTGGTTCTCATTAATAATTGAATCTTAAGACCGTTTCAAGACATTTATGAGAACAGATTAGTGAGGAGGGGAGAGCGATACCGTGAGACACCGTGTCATGATGGAACAGACCAATGACCTCACCTGGAGGTTAAGTGTGGAGCCCAGACTGGGGGAGCTTAAATCCTTAGAGAAATCCATTATCAAAATACACAGGACATCACCCCTGCAGACTGATGGGCCTACCTACCATTTATTTTCCAGTGATATACTTTTAATGCTGATCAAGATGCATTCTTTTTGGACTTGGAGTGTGACTGCAAGTCACATTCTTATGTTTCACATTAAGCTCTCTTGGATTTTGAATTATGTATAATGGTGTTGCAGAATATTTCTTCCTTTCATCCAGAGGAGAAAATACAATCCTCCTGAAATGTCAGACTAGAGAAACAGATATGCTCCTAGCTTAACAATCCAAAAGAATACCCTTCTGGATGTTTTTCAGACATATGGATATCCAAATAACTCCAGATTTTTCTTTCTTTTTTTTTTTTTAGTCGGAGCCTCGCTCTGTCACCCAGTCTGGAGTGCAGTGGCACAATCTCAGCTCACTGCAACCTCCACCTCCTGGATTCAAGTGATTCTCTTGCCTCAGCTTCACGAGTAGCTGGGATTACAGGTGCACGCCACCACACCAGTTAAAATAGAGACTGGGTTTTACCTTGTTGCCCAGGCTGGTCTCCAACTCCTGACCTCAAGTGATCTGCCTGCCTTGGCCTGCCAATGTGCTGGGATTACAGGCATGAGCCAAATTAACTCCAGATCTTTATAGCAAATCCTTTAAGCGTGTCCATGCTTGCACAACACCAAAACTTGCCTGGCCCAGAATCTCCCAACCCCATCTATGACTGAAGATAATTTCAGTCCTGTTATTCTTTTACCCATGTGAGAAAAAGAAGGAAAACTAATAGTAAAAGAATAAAGAGATTCCTGCATTTAGATGAGCATCTGTCACATTCTTCAGTAACCCCGGGAGTTTCTCAAAGGAGGCCTGTCAGCTGCCTCAAAGTATAATATCAGAACCATCTGGGGGATTGGTTTAGAATGCCAATGCCTGCACTCTGCCCAGATCTCCTGATTCTGTCCCAGGAAATTTTTTTTTTTTTTTTTTTTTTTTTTTTGAGACAGAGTCTTGCTCTGTCACACAGGCTGGAGAGCAGTGGCGCCATCTTGGCTCACCACAACCTCTGCCTCCGGATTCAAGCAATTCTCCTGCCTCAGCCTCCCGAGTAGCCGGGATTACAGGCACCCGCCACCACACCCAGCTAATTTTTGTATTTTTAGTAGAAACAGCGTTTCACCATGTTGGTCAGGCTGGTCTCAAACTCCTGACCTCGTGATCCACCTGCCTCAGCCTCCCAAAGTGCTGGGATTACAGGCACGAGCCACTGAGCCCGGCCAACTCTAGAATATTTTAGTTAACCAGGAGGCTCTTATGTGGTGCAATTTGAGAACCACCAACCTCTAGACACTTTCACTAATTTCAGTGTATTATTAAATCTAAGGATCCAAAAATTATATTGTACACGTGAGAATCTTTAAATCACTTGCTTAGTAGAATGAAATTGTATGTTTTTTAATTGCCAGAAATTGAAAGCAAATTTCTTTCAACATTCCCCTTTTCAGTAAGCATGTATTGTGACCTGGGTACTGTGTATTATAGTAAGGTGTATTATGACCTGGATACTGTGCTAGGTTCTGTACATTAACTGATCTTCAGAGCTTCTTTATGAGCATTGATACCCTGCATGTTCAGTATACATCAGAAAATCTCAGGCTGCAAGAATAGGATGAAAAGTGAGTATTTGAGAGGCTTAGCAAAAAAGGTAATAATAACAGCTAA
Organism: Homo sapiens; assembly: GCF_000001405.40. Classification (NCBI taxonomy): domain Eukaryota; kingdom Metazoa; phylum Chordata; class Mammalia; order Primates; family Hominidae; genus Homo; species Homo sapiens. Next base: position 104,856,991 of record NC_000007.14, read on the forward strand.
CAGAATCCCAATTTCCTTGCATTTTTGTGATTGTGCTGTATGCCAGGGTCTTTGCCTATATTATCTCATTTCACCCGCGTGATAACTTATGAAGTAGGTACAGGCAGATTGTTCCCATTTCATAGACGTTCATTGTACACATGAGGACACCATAGCTCAGTGAGCCTATTTGACTAGTAGGCGATGCAGCAAGGACGCACTGCCAGCAATCTGCCTCTGGAACGAAGGCTTTTTATTCACCGCTACCACGGCAGTTTTCCTTTCCATAATAAGGCGGGGCAGGAAATGATGCTACCAAATGCAAATATAATATCACAATGATGCCACCAAATGCAAATATAATATCATACATCCAACTAATTTCTACTCCAATAGTGATTCATTCTATATTATTTTACTCATTCTATATTATGGATTCATGAAGTATACAACATATGCCAGACCTTATACCAGGCTCTGGGGATACAAGATGAATAAATGTGTGCCTCAAGAAGCTCCCAGTTACTGAGATCCAGTTATACAGAAAGTTCAGAATTAGAACTCAGAACCCCCAACTTCCTTGAGGCTATTGGCATGCCTTTCTAAAATGCTCCCAGGAAAATTAATTTCCAACCTTGTTGCATTATTGTGATGTCAGAACAACTCTGCCAATTTGACTGTTCTTACTCAACCAAAACCACTCCTGGGGGCAGTAGATTTGAAACTGAATCCTCTTTGTCGTGAAATCTGGAGAATTGTAATTTTTAACATGTTTTGATGTGTTAATGTTAGTCTTTTTCCTCCTTTCTGGATGATGGTAAAATTTACTGAGCTCCCAAAACTGGCACCCTCGGTGTAATTCCTAATAAATAAAGACTGAAACTATGCACAAGAGCAGCGGGGAGTTTTCTAGCTGAAAATTCCACAGGAAACGGGGCTTGTGGTTTGCAATCATTACTACACAGCAGCTTCTGTGGCAGTTAAAATCAAGTTAAAGTCAAGTAGGTAAATTCTAGCTGTGTCCCAGGTTACTTCCTGCTATGAAGGCTGAATGCAAACCAGAGTATCTCACCATCAATATAAAAACTGTGTACAGAGTTTTCCTCAGCCCATTTAACATTACAGGTGTTTCAGGACTGTTGGAGGATTCCTGGGGCAAAATAAACCTAGGGTCTCAGTTACAAGCTGTGGGAGCCACAGGCTGTGGCTCAGATCTTACTGCAACCTACAACTTGCTGGCCTCCTCACCTTTCAATCTTTGGTGCTCAAGAGCAGACCTACCTTGGGAGATCCCCTCTCGAAGGTAAATAATAGACAGACAGTCCTGCCCTGTCCTGCTCAGACATTGTCATCACCCCAGGTTGCTTTCTCCCACCTTGAAAACTCTCCATCCAGGACCACACCCATACCCTATCTGCCTTCTCCACTTCCATTTCTAGGCAGCTGAGCATAGCTGGAGAAAGACCCCAAACATGGTGATGTATCTACATACATACCTCTAGCCTCTGCTGCCCACTCCCTGCCACTTGGTACCTCTTTCATTTCTTGCAGACCCCTCCCACATCCCTTCCAGAAGTGGCTCCAAACCTCCTCCTCTTTGCCCAAGCCTTCAGCACACCTCCACCCTCACTGAACCCCAACAGCCCCTGCTGGGATAAAACTCATCAATGACAGCTCCAAATTCCTTCTCTCACCTCAAATCTTTTCTTTATTTTCAACCTTTTATATTCTCATCTCTGTATCTGTCATTTTTCTGTCCCAGAGCCTACTATTCCTCCTGAGTTCTTAATCCCCTCCCCTTGGGTCCCTCCAGAGGTTCGAGTCTGTCAATTACTTTTTTTTCTCCACATTGGAGTACTTTCTCCCAAGTTGCATCTTCCCATCATCCTATAAATGTGTTTATCCTATAACAGTGCAGGACCACTACCTGCACATGCCATACCTAGAGCTTTTACTTGTTCTCTCACCTTTTCACTCCTAAAATTTTATTTAAAAAAAAAAAAAATCTGTTGACAGGGCACAGTGGCTCACACCTGTAATCCTAGCACTTTGGGAGGCCAAGGCAGGTGGATCACCTGAGGTCAGGAGTTCGAGACCAGCCTGGCCAACATGGCAAAACCCAGTCTCTACTAAAAAAAAATACAAAAATTAGCCAGGCGTGTTGGCAGGTGCCTGTAATCCCAGCTACTCAGGAGGCTGAGGCAGGAGAATCACTTGAACCCAGGAAGTGGAGGTTGTAGTGAACCAAGATCATACCACTGCACTCCAGCCTGGGCAACAGAGTAAGACACTGTCTCAAAAAAAAAAAAACAAAAAACCAAAATCTGTTATTCACATTTCTATTACCACCCTACCTAGTCACTCTTTTTGAAAAAAATTATTATGAATACTTTCTGCATTCAAAAAAGCATTAAGTAGGCCAGGCATGGTGGCTCATGCCTGTAATCCCAGAACTTTGGGAGGCTGAGGCAGGCGGATCACTTGAGGTCAGGAGTTCAAGACCAGCCTGGCCAACATAGTGAAACCCCATCTCTACCAAAAACACAAAAATTAGCAGGGCATGGTGGCACATGCCTGTAGTCCCAAACACTCGGGAGGCTGAGGTAGGAGAATCACTTGAACCCGGAAGGCGGAGGTTTCGGTGAGCTGAGATCATACCACCACACTCCAGCCTGGGTGACAGAGGAAGACCCCATCTCAAAATAAATAAATAAATAAAGTATAAGTAGAGGTATGAATAGGGAGACCACAGAGGATTTTTAGAACAATGAAACTACTTAGGATACTATAATAGTGGATACACATCTGTCAATTTGTATAAATCCATAGAATGTATAATACTAAAAGTGTACTCTAATGTGGACTATAAACTCTGGGTGATAATGATGTGTCAATGTAGGTTTATCAATTGTAACAAATGTATCACTGGTAGGAGATGTTGATAGTGCAGAAAACAGTGCATACCTGGGGACAAGTTGTGTAAGGGAACTCTGTACCTTCTGCTCAATTTTGCTGCAAACCTAAAACTACTCTAAAAGTAACATTTTTTCAGAAGCATAAACTATGATGTGATAAACACCTGCTTACTCACCACTTGGCTTAAGAAATAAAGTACGACCCATAACCCCACTCAGTGTTGGACTGGGACTTAATTTCACTTCTAATCCTTCTACCACCACCCCCCAAATACACACACACATACACCCACCCACACACACACACACACACACACACACACGCATACCTCAAATGGCCTTTTTCTCTCAGGCCTGTTGTGCAAACTTACTCGGCTCTCCCTGCCCAATGCAGGCAGGGTTGATTATGAAATAATCCACTGCTGAATAATGAACCTTGCATGGTGTAGTTACTTCCAGCAATATATTTGTTCTAAATCTGAGCACCAACTAAAGATTTGCTGAGTCTCTGTTTATCAAAGGCTGATCAAGCACTTTACCGCTAATAAAGGGAGCTCATAACATCCTGGGGGTTCACTGTATGTGCAAAGAGCTAAAGACCTCTAGGTTTCCCAGGATAGTCCTCCAAGGGCTGCCCTGGGGATGCCCCTTAAGGATCTACACCCATTCCTTTCATACTACCCCCATCTTGCAGTCTCTTCACAAAAGCATCAGGGTGTTTCAACCAGACACTTTAAGAGGGAGCAGTAACAGCCTATTCTAAGTATCTTAAAAGGCAGCTATATGTAACAGTTTAAAAGTATTTACGTGTATTTCATCTCCTAGAATGTAAAGTGTTTATAGAAGAAATTTCAGACTCTACCAGTGAATGCCTGTCTCTCTTCTGACATCTCTCTTTCTCTTGCCAAGAACTAGAAAAATTAAATAAAATATTTAAGCTTATATCTCCTGTCTCCAGAGTAGACAGGGACACATAGAGTGTGCTAAGAATCCAGCCCCAAGGAGACAGGAGAATTTAATCTTTTTTATTTTAAATTTTTTCTGGGATATGTTTTTATCAATACAACTACCAGAGGCAATGCCATCTCAGACTTTTCTCCGACAATCTTGTGCTTTCCACTGTCGCATGCAATTAGGTGCTATTTATAGCTTTTTTAAAAAAGTAAAACATAAGATAATAAGAGAGAGCCGGTGAATTCTCCATTTTGTTGTTGATAAAGGTTTCTTTCAATATTATTTAAGCCAGATATTTTTCATCTATATTAGTTGTATTAGATTGTGTGTTAGTGTGGGGAAAAGGAGAAGAAAGGGAGTGATTAAAGACAGTTTCAAAAACATTTTGCCCCCCTAAGAGGACATAAGACAGAGATAAAGGGCACAAGGCAGGTCTGGGTTTGAGGCTTAGCTCTTTGGCTTACAGTGTATATGACCTTGGGAAGTACATTTAACTATTTTTTCTCATATATAAAATGAGCAATAATGTTTACCTCAGGGAGTTTTTGTGAGGATTGTGCCTGCATCAGTCAGATACCAGCAGGAGACAGATGGCACCTTCAAACAGGGTAATTTAGGATAGTTGGGAGAAGCAGCTATTTCCACAGCTATGGAGAGGACTTGGGAGAACCTTGGAGGATGACAGGGCCTCCCGGGTTAGCAACAGAGAGAGCTGTTATCTAATGCTGGAGAGAAGTGTAGCTGAAGCTGTCTGTACCTGTGGCTAGAGGAGGAGCCTCCTGGCAGAAGTGGTGGCCTTCTCTAAAAAAACGCAGCCACCCAACCTGGGTGAAAGTGATTCTTCTCCTAGAAAGTGATTCTAGGAGAAACTAATGGTCAAGCACCGAGCTTCCTGGTGGTCTAACATGGTCAAACGCACACTTGGAGAACCTGGGGAAGAGGGGAGAGATGCCTTCCCTTTTAGAAGATCTTCCCTAAAAAGCATTTCTGTCAGGCAAGCTTTGGATTGGCAGAGACATCCAGAGGTTATTCTCTCCAACAAGACCTGGAATGAGTGCTGCTGTCCACGCTGCTGATGGCAGGAATCCACAGGCTTTGGTGAACAGGCTGGCTCGTGGTAGGGCTGGGCTGCCTGTTTATTATAAAAGCACTGCAGCTTCTCATTCCTGGAGGCAGCAGGTTAGAGCTCACTCTGGCAAGCGATGCTGCCGAGTATCTCTTACACCATCTTCCAGCAATTTGTTTGCAACTATCAAGGGGTAAAAGGAAATCACCTGACATGGAGATTAAAAAAAAATACCCTCCAAATGCCACCTTCTTTGAGTTTAAGCCTCAAATACAACTTCCCCAAAATGCCATAGTCTGCCACCCAGAAAAATCAGACCCCCACCTTTTGCTGGAAGTTACAGACCAAGGCTAGTTAGAATCCCCTATGCCCTGAATTGTAATGCAGATGAAATGGGGTGAAAATGAACTTCAGGAGTGGACTTGAAAAGAACTAATCTTAGGAGCTACTACATATTGCCACCTCCAGGCACCAGGCACTTTAAAACATTACTCTAATTTTCTACTTGCCTTCTGGGTAGGCAGTGTTATCTCCTTTGTATTTTTCAGATATGAAAATGAGGTTCTGAGATGATAAGTGCTAGCCCAGGGATGCTCTGATAGAGCTGCATTTGAATTCAGCTTTCTCTGACCTCAAGCAGCACATCCTCAAGGCAAAGGAAGTCTTAATGCTTCCTTCTGCTTTGGAGAAGGGTAGATCTGGGCCAACCTGTGTATAAGCCGCTGGTCCCGCAGTGCCCAAACCCCTGACTGGGTACCAGATCCAGCTACCCCTCACCCCTGCAAAGCTCAAAGCTAGACACAGACCTGGACCTGCTGAACCCTGGGGCCAGCTTTCCAAGGAGCTTTATCCACACCTCTCCTTGGCCCTCACCACAACCTGGGAAGTAAGCAGAGCCTGATAAGTAACATTCATTCCACGGGAGAGTCAAAGAGGTAAACCTGGGATCCCCTAGCTGCCGAGTCGGAGCTGGAAGAAGAGCTCAGCTGCTTGGGCTGCTCCGCCTGGTGGTCTGATACAGTAACACGACAGTATGTGTAGAAAGATGTTGTATAACTGAGAAACCGAGTGTCTGTACACCACCTTATGCTATCTCAGATGTGGACGGCAGAGCCCAGTTACACAGAGCTGGAGTGATCCTGTGTTAATTGCCCTTCATATTTAGCTTAATGAGCTTTTCCTAATTAGTCATACAGCCCTAACCTGCACCCCAAAAAGATAATAAAAATAGCAGTGGCTTTGTGGTATTGATTCCAGATCTTATTTTTTGTTGTTTTCCTTGATCTCCATTTGACTTATCTCTTTCATCTCAAAATCTTATAAAGTGAATGATGCAAAAATGATGGGTAGGGGGTTGACCTCCTACTGGAGACTCACTATTCCTATGAGTGTGTTGAATTTCATTCTGGCCAAACAAAATGGACTCTCCTGTATCCATTTTTACAGAGCATTTGCTGACAAGTATAGTCACTAACCACTTACAAATAGCAGCACAGTTTAAGCCTCTGGGTTTTTTTCCCATGTCATTTGTCAAAGACTAACCAAAATATAAGTGCTGTGTTCCAGGGGTCTTATCTCTTCACTTGGGATCTGCATAGCAAAAACCCTGAGCTGCCTCAGGACAGCTTGTGATCAGGATGTAGGGTGCAGCTGAAAAGGTAATTGACATTTTCCTTTACATTTGCTGAATACCTACACGTGCCAGGCACTCCTCATTGATTATCACTTGGTTCTCACATAACCCTAGAGGATAGAATTTGTTGTCCCCATTGTAGATAGAGGTGAGAACACCGGCTCAGAGACATCAGGTAACTGACTCAGCCTTGCACAGTGAGTCACTGGCTGGGCCAGTATTTGGACCAGATTCTCTGATTACCAAGCCCACTTTCTCTCCTTCTGTGATGCTCCTCACTCCACTTTCACACCTGTGAGAATCAGGCACTGAACTGCATAAACTGGGATCAGTTGTTCACAGTAGGCTAAGGCAGGCAGCCCTGGAGGAAACACCTCCCCTTCTTTACCTGTAAAGTGGGGGTAATAATAGTACCTCCCTCTTGGAATTGGTTTGATGTATACGTCCATCAAATCCCTAGAACACTGAGTTAACAAACTTAACACTGTATAACTGTTAGCTATTATTCTTTACTCCATCAACATTTTGTTAATTTTGGTTGATTGTAAACTTCAACAAATAAACAGAGCCCCTTCTGTGTAAAAGTTCTGTACAAGGGAGCCAAGATGGCCGAATAGGAATAGCTCCAGTCTACAGCTCCCAGCATGAGCAACACAGAAGATGGGTTATTTCTGCATTTCCAACTGAGGTACTGGGTTCATCTCACTGGGGAGTGTTGGAAAGTGGGTGCAGGACAGTGGGTGCAGTGCACCGAGCATGAGCCAAAGCAGGGCGAGGCATTGCCTCACCCAGGAAGTGCAAGGGGTCAGGGAATTCTCTTTCCTAGTCAAAAAAAAAAGGGGTGACAGATGGCACCTGGAAAATCAGGTCACTCCCACCCTAATACTGCACTTTTCCAGCGGTCTTAGCAAATGGCACACCAGGAGATTATATCCCGCACCTGGCTTGGAGAGTCCTACGCCCAATGTGCCTCGCTCATTGCTAGCACAGCAGTCTGAGATCAAATTGCAAGGCAGCAGTGAGGCTGGGGGAGGGGCGCCCGCCATTGCAGACCAGGAAGCTTGAACTGGGTAGAGCCCACTGCAGCTCAAGGAGGCCTGCCTGCCTCTGTAGACTCCATCTCTGGGGGCAGGCCATTGCCAAACAAAAGGCAGCAGAATCCTCTGCAGACTTAAATGTCCCTGTCTGACAGCTTTGAAGAGAGTAGTGGTTCTACCAGCACACAGCTGGAGATCTGAGAACAGACAGACTGCCTCCTCAAGTGGGTCCCTGCCCCCCAAGTAGCCTAACTGGGGGCAGACTGACACCTCACACGGCCGGGTACTCCTCTGAGACAAAACTTCCAGAGGAATGATCAGGCAGCAACATTTGCTGTTCACCAATATCCGCTGTTCTGCAGCCTCCACTGCTGATAGCCAGGCAAACAGGGTCTGGAATGGACCTCCAGCAAACTCCAACAGACCTGCAGCTGAGGGTCCTGACTGTTAGAAGGAAAACTAACAAACAGAAAGGACATCCACACAAAAACCCCATCTGTACATCACCATCATCAAAGACCAAAGGTAGATAAAACCACAAAGATGGGGAAAAAACAGCAGAAAAAAACTGGAAACTCTAAAAATCAGAGCGCCTCTCCTCCTCCAAAGGAATGCAGCTCCTCACCAGCAACAGAACAAAGCTGGATGGGGAATGACTTTGACGAGTTGAGAGAAGAAGGCTTCAGACGATCAAACTACTCCGAGCTAAAGGAGGAAGTTTGAACCCATGGCAAAGAAGTTAAAAACCTTGAAAAAAAAATTAGACGAATGGCTAACTAGAATACCAGTGCAGAGAAGTCCTTAAAGGACCTGATGGAGCTGAAAACCAAGGCACGAGAACTACATGACGAATGCACAAGCCTCAGTAGCCGATTCGATCAACTGGAAGAAAGGGTATCAGTGATGGAAGATCAAATGAATGAAATGAAGCAAGAAGACAAGTTTAGAGAAAAAAGAATAAAAAGAAATGAACAAAGCCTCCAAGAAATATAGGACTGTGTGAGAAGACCAAATCTACGTCTGACTGGTGTACCTAAAAGTAATGGGGAGAATGGAACCAAGTTGGAAAACACTCTGCAGGATATTATCCAGGAGAATTTCCCCAATTTAGCAAGGCAGGCCAACATTAAAATTCAGGAAATACAGAGAATGCCACAAAGATACTCCTCGAGAAGAGCAACTCCAAGACACATAATTCTCAGATTCACCAAAATTGAAATGAAGGAAAAAATGTTAAGGGCAGCCAGAGAAAAAGGTCAGGTTACCCACAAAGGGAAGCCCATCAGAATAACAGCAGATCTCTCAGCAGAAACTCTACAAGCCAGAAGAGAGTGGGGGCCAATATTCAACGTTCTTAAAGAAAAGAATTTTCAACCCAGAATTTCATATCCAGCCAAACCAAGCTTCATAAGTGAAGGAGAAATAAAATACTTTACAGACAAGCAAATGCTGAGAGATTTTGTCACCACTAGGCCTGCCCTAAAAGAGCTCCTGAAGGAAGCACTAAACATGGAGAGAAACAAGCGGTCCCAGCCACTGCAAAAACATGCCAAATTGTAAAGACCATCAATGCTAGGAAGAAACTGCGTCAACTAACGAGCAAAATAACCAGCTAACATCATAATGACAGGATCAAATTCACACATAATAATATTAACCTTAAATGTAAATGGGCTAAATGCTCCAATTAAAAGACACAGACTGACAAATTGGATAAAGAGTCAAGACCCATCAGTGTGCTGTATTCAAGAAACCCATCTCATGTGCAGAGACACACATAGGCTCAAAATAAAGGGATGGAGGAAGATCTACCAAGCAAATGGAAAACAAAAAAAGGCAGGGGTTGCAATCCTAATCTCTGATAAAACAAACTTTAAACCAACAAAGATCAGAAGAGACAAAGAAGGCCATTACATAATGGTAAAGGGATCAATTCAGCAAGAAGAACTAACTATCCTAAATATATATGCACCCAATACAGGAGCACCCAGATTCATAAAGCAAGTCCTTAGACACCTACAAAGAGACTTAGACTCCCACACAATAATAATGGGAAACTTTACCACCCCACTGTCAACATTAGACAGATCAATGAGACAGAAAGTTAACAAGGATATCCAGGAACTGAACTCAGCTCTGCACCAAGGGGACCTAATAGACATCTACAGAACTCTCCACCCCAAATCAACAGAATATACATTCTTTTCAGCACCACACAGCACTTATTCCAAAACTGCCCACATAGTAGGAAGTAAAGCACTCCTCAGCAAATGTAAAAGAACAGAAATTATAATAAACTGTCTCTCAGACCACAGTGCAATGAAACTAGAACTCAGGATTAAGAAACTCACTCAAAACTGCTCAACTACATGGAAACTGAACAACCTGCTCCTGAATGACTACTGGGTACATAAAGAAATGAAGGCAGAAATAAAGATGTTCTTTGAAACCAACAAGAACAAAGACACAACATACCAGAATCTCTGGGACACATTCAAAGCAGTGTGTAGAGGGAAATTTATAGCACGAAATGCCCACAAGAGAAAGCAGGAAAGATCTAAAATTGACACCCTAACATCACAATTAAAAGAACTAGAGAAGCAAGAGCAAGCACATTCAAAAGCTAGCAGAAGGCAAGAAATAACTAAGATCAGAGCAGAAGTCAAGGAGATAGAGACACAAAAATCCCTTCAAAAAAATCAATGAATCCAGGAGCTGGTTTTTTGAAAAGATCAACAAAATTGACAGACCGCTGGCAAGACTAATAAAGAAGAAAAGAGAGAATAATCAAATAGATGCAATAAAAAATGATAAAGGGGATATCACCACCAATCCCACAGAAATACAAACTACCATCAGAGAATACTATAAACAACTCTATGCAAATAAACTAGAAAATCTAGAAGAAATGGATAAATTCCTGGACACATACACCCTGCCAAGACTAAACCAGGAAGAAGTTGAATCTCTGAATAGACCAATAACAGACTCTGAAATTGAGGCAATAATTAATAGCTTACCAACAAAAAAAAGTCCAGGACCAGATGGAGTCACAGCTGAATTCTACCAGAGGTACAAGGAGGAGCTGGTACCATTCCTTCTGAAACTATTCCAATCAACAGAAAAAGAGGGAATCCTCCCTAACTCATTTTATGAGGCCAGCATCATCCTGATACCAAAGCCTGGCAGAGACACAACAAAAAAAGAGAATTTTAGACCAATATCCCTGATGAACATCGATGAAAAAATCCTCAATAAAATACTGGCAAACTGAATCCAGCAGCACACCAAAAAGCTTATCCACCATGATCGAGTGGGCTTCATCCCTGGGATGCAAGGCTGGTTCAACATATGAAAATCAATAAACATAATCCAGCATATAAACAGAACCAACGACAAAAACCATATGATTATCTCAATAGATGCAGAAAAGGCCTTTGACAAAATTCAACAACCCTTCATGCTAAAAACTCTCAATAAATTAGGTATTGATGGGATGTATCTCAAAATAATAAGAGCTATTTATGACAAACCCACAGCCAATATCATACTGAATGGGCAAAAACGGGAAGCATTCCCTTTGAAAACTGGCACAAGACAGGGATGCCCTCTCTCACCACTCCTATTCAACATAGTGTTGGAAGTTCTGGCCAGGGCAATCAGGCAGGAGAAGGAAATAAAGGGTATTCAATTAGGAAAAGAGGAAGTCAAATTGTCCCTGTTTGCAGATGACATGATTGTATGTCTAGAAAACCCCATTGTCTCAGCCCAAAATCTCCTTAAGCTGATAGGCAACTTCAGCAAAGTCTCAGGATACAAAATCAATGTGCAAAAATCACAAGCATTCTTATACACCAATAACAGACAAACAGCCAAATCATGAGTGAACTCCCATTCACAATTGCTTCAAAAAAAATAAAATACCTAGGAATCCAACTTACAAGGGACGTGAAGGACCTCTTCAAGGAGAACTACAAACCACGGCTCAATGAAATAAAAGAGGATACAAACAAATGGAAGAACATTCCATGCTCATGGGTAGGAAGAATCAATATCGTGAAAATGGCCATACTGCCCAAGGTAATTTATAGATTCAGTGCCATCCCCATCAAGCTACCAATGACTTTCTTCACAGAATTGGAAAAAACGACTTTAAAGTTCATATAGAACCAAAAAAGAGCCCGCATTGCCAAGTCAATCCTAACCCAAAAGAACAAAACTGGAGGCATCACGCTACCTGACTTCAAACTGTACTACAAGGCTACAGTAACCAAAACAGCATGGTACTGGTACCAAAACAGAGATATAGATCAATGGAACAGAACAGAGCCCTCAGAAATAATGCTGCATATCTACAACCATCTGATCTTTGACAAACCTGACAAAAACAAGAAATGGGGAAACAATTCCCTATTTAATAAATGGTGCTGGGAAAACTGGCTAGCCATATGTAGAAAGCTGAAACTGGATCCCTTCCTTACACCTTATACAAAAATTAATTCAAGATGGATTAAAGACTTAAATGTTAGACCTAAAACCATAAAAACCCTAGAAGAAAACCCTAGAAGCAAACCTAGGCAATACCATTCAGGACACAGGCATGGGCAAGGACTTCATGTCTAAAACACCAAAAGCAATGGCAACAAAAGCCAAAATTGACAAATGGAATCTAATTAAACTAAAGAGCTTCTGCACAGCAAAAGAAACTACCATCAGGGTAAACAGGGAACCTACAGAATGGGAGAAAATTTTTTGCAATCTACTTATCTGACAAAGGGCTAATATCCAGAATCTACAATGAACTCCAACAAATTTACAAGAAAAAAACAAACAACCCCATCAAAAAGTGGACAAAGGATATGAACAGACACTTCTCAAAAGAAGACATTTATGCAGCCAAAAGACACATGAAAAAATGCTCATCATCACTGGCCATCAGAGAAATGCAAATCAAAACCACAATGAGATACCATCTCACACCAGTTAGAATGGCAATCATTAAAAAGTCAGGAAACAACAGGTGCTGGAGAGGATGTGGAGAAATAGGAACACTTTTACACTGTTGGTGGGACTGTAAACTAGTTCAACCACTGTGGAAGTCAGTGTGGCGATTCCTCAGGGATCTAGAACTAGAAATACCATTTGACCCAGCCATGCCATTACTGGGTACATACCCAGAGGATTATAAATCATGCTGCTATAAAGACACATGCACACGTATGTTTATTGCGGCACTATTCACAATAGCAAAGACTTGGAACCAACCCAAATGTCCAACAATGGTAGACTGGATTAAGAAAATGTGGCACATATACACCGTGGAATAGTATGCAGCCATAAAAAATGATGAGTTCATGTCCTTTGTAGGGACATGGATGAAGCTGGAAACCATCATTCTCAGCAAACTATCACAAGGACAAAAAACCAAACGCCGCATGTTCTCACTCATAGGTGGGAATTGAACAATGAGAACACATGGACACAGGAAGGGGAACATCACACACCGGGGCCTGCTGTGGGGTGGGGGGACGGGGGAGGGATAGCATTTGGAGATATACCTAATGTTAAATGACGAGTTACTGGGTGCAGCACACCAACATGGCACATGTATACATATGTAACAAACCTGCATGTTGTGCACATGTACCCTAAAACTTAAAGTATAATAATAAAAAAAGAAAACTTCTGTACAAAAGACAGCATTGAATACCAAGAAGCAACACATAGCAATGGCTAACCACATGAGATCTGGTATAGCACAGATGAGTTCAAATTCTAGCTCTACCACTTACCAACTCTGTGACCACAGGCTGTAATATTCGCCCGACTTGCACCTCTGGGAAAGGGGAATGGGAACATCTGTCTCCCAGGGCAAGGATTCCAGGTGAAAATGTATGAAAGCTCTTAGCATGGAGCCTGCTTCCTCTTTGTCAGGGGTGAAATAAATGGCCACTGCTAATTTCATCATGAGCAGGGTCTTAAGTCCAAGAAAGTTTCACGAAGCTTTCAGCCAGGTGGAGACAACAGATTGGAAAACTTTCCCACCCAAAAAGTTAAGGCAGGGTGGTCTGTGACAACGGGAGCTTCACCATAGACTGAAGGCCCAGCTGATGCAGAGAAGAAAGAAGCCCTGGGAAGTTTTCCCCGTGGACTCTGAGGTCCTGTGTGGCATCAGGGAGGTCACCTGAGGCAGATCCAAACATGCTGGAATGTAGGACATGGGTTTCTGGAGGAGGACGCAGCCACCCCAAAATCTGCCAGAGTAAAGGATGTATAGCATCCTCCAAAACATCCTAAAGAGGAGGAAAGGATCTCAACTGTAACCTCTCATCCTCACCTAAGCAAGGCAGTGGGGGGCACTCTATAGGCAGTGTAAATGAACCTGGTCATGAGAGGTCCCTGTTCTCTAGGCCAAGGTGGGACTGGAGCAAACAATAGCACTTGACTGAGGGTCAACCTAACTGACCTAGTTTCGCTAAGCTATTCAAATACAGTCAGTTATGTGTCACTTAACAGGGATATGTTCTGAGAAATGCATTGTTAGGAGATTTCATCGTTGTGTGAACATCACAGAGTGTACTTACACAGACATAGACGGTCTAGTCTATTGCACACCTAGGCTTTATGGTATAGCCTATTGCTCCTAGGCTGCAAACCCATATGGTATGCTAATGTACTGAACACTGTATGCAATTGTAACACAATGATAAGTATTTGTGTATCTAAACATAGAAAAGGTACAGTAAAAATATGGTATAAAGGATAAAGTGTGGTACACCTGCATAGGGCACTTACCATGCATAGAGCTGGCAGGACTGGAAGTCACTCTGGGTGGGTCAGTGAGTGAATGGTGAATGAATGTGAAGGCCTAGGATGTTACTGTACACTACTATAGACTTCGTAAACACTATACATGCACTTAGGCTACACTAAATTTATTTTTAATATTTTTCTTTCCTCAATAATAAAATTAACCTTAGCTTACTTCAGTTTTTTACTTTGTAAAGTTTAATATTTTTTAACTTTCTGACTCTTTTAGAATAACACTTAGTGTAAAACACACACACATCGTACAGCTGCACCAAAAATAATTTTTTTTTTGAGGTGGAGTTTCACTTTTGTTGCCCAGGCTGGAGTGCAATGGCTCAGTCTCGGTTCACTGCAACCTCCACCTCCCAGGTTCCAGTGATTCTCCTGCCTCAGCCTCCCTAGTAGCTAGGATTACAGGCATATGCCACCATGCCCAGCTAATTTTGTATTTTTAGTAGAGACAGGGTTACTCCATGTTGGTCAGGCTGGTCTCGAACTCCTGACCTCAGGTGATCTGCCCGCCTCGGCCTCCCAAAGTACTGGGATTACAGGTGTGAGCCACCATGCCCAGCCAATATTATTTTTTCTTTATATCCTTATTCAACAGGTTTTTTCTCTATTAAAATTTTTTTTTCACTTTTTAAACTTTTTTGTTAAAAACTAAGACACACTGTCTGGGCACAGTGGCTCATGCTTGTAATCCCAGCACTTTGGGAGGCCAAGCCGGGTGGATCATGAGGTCAGGAGTTTGAGACCAGCCTGGCCAATATGGTGAAACCCCATCTCTACTAAAAATACAAAAATTATCTGGGCGTGGTGGCACATGCTTGTAGTTCCAGCTACTTGGGAGGCTGAGGCAGGAGAATCGCTTGAACCCGGGAGGCAGAGCTTGCAGTGAGCCGAGATTGTGCCACTTTGCTCCAGCCTAGGTGACAGAGCAAGACTATGTCTCAAACAAAAAAAAAAAAGTAAGACACAGGCGAGGCACAGTGGCTCACGCCTGTAATCCCCACACTTTAGGAGGCCAAGGTGGGTGGATCACTTGAGGTCAAGAGTTCAAGACTAGCCTGGCCAACATGGTGAAACCCTGTCTCTATTAAAAATACACAAAATAGCTGGGTGTGGTGGTGCAGGCCTGTAATCCCAGCTACTCAGGAGGCTGGGATGGGAGAATCGCTGGAATCCAGGAAGCACAGATGGCAGTGAGCCGAGATCACACCACTGCACTTCACCCTGGTTAACAGAGTGAGAGTCCATCTCAAAAGAAAAAAAAAAAACTAAGACAGGGACAGGAACATCAATATCACTATCTTCCACCTCCACATCTGGTCCCACTGGAAGGTCCTTGGGGACAATAACACACGGAGCTGTCATCTTCTATGATAACCATTCTTCTGGAATACCACCTGAGGACCTGCCTGAAGCTGTTTTACAGTTAACTTTTTTTCAGTAAGTAGGAGTACACTCTAAAATAACTATAAACAATAAATACCTAAACCAGTAACACAATCGTTTACTATCAGTATCAAGTATTATGTACTGTACATAATTTTATGTGCTAGACTTTTCTATGACTGGCAGCGCAGTAGATTTGTTTACACCAGCATCTCCACAGACAGGGAGGTAATGTGTTGTGCTAAGATGTTACAACAGCTACAATGTCATTAAACAATAGGAATTTTTCAGCTCAATTTTAATTTTATGGGACCACCATCATATATGCAGCCTGTTGTAGACCAAAACACCATTATGTGGCACCTGACTGTACTAGACAAGAGTATTCTAATGTTTTCAATAGCCAATGCAGGCTGAAGCACTGGGCTGCTTAAACTTTTCAAAAGAAGGCAAAGTAGGGGTGTGTGTATATGAATATTTCTGTCAGGTTTATTTGGTCTTCAGATCATCTTCCTAAAAGGAATATGTGTCAAGTAAACATGTGGTTAGTAAGATTATTTTAAAAGATAAACAGTAGCAGAAGATCCTATTAAGACAAACACACAAAATAGGTGGGAGAATCACTTGAGCCCAGGAGTTTGAGATCAGCCTGGGCAACATAGCAAAACTCCATCTCTACAAAAATAAAAAATAAAATTAGCCAGGCGTGCGGTAGCACTACACCGGTTATCCTAGCTACTTGGGAGGCTGAAGCAGGAAGATGGCCCGAGCCCAGGAATTTGAGGTTACAGCGAGCTACGATCACGTCGCTGCACTCCAGCCTGGGTAACAGAGAAAGATTCTGTCTCTAAAAAGGAAAGAAAAAAAAACTGAAACTGGTATGTTAATGTTTAAACTCTGATTTTTAACAATATATGAATGTGCTCATACACTCCCACACACATTTTCTTTCCGTCTGTATACATTTCCAATGGGATTTTGGGTACTAACTGCAAACTGGCGTCTCATGATGTTTGCCTTCGCAGAGTGGGAAATCTCAGAGTGCGAGGCAAGGCTCCTGACAAGACTGTTATCTGCACCCATTTAACAAAGCTAGTCTCGGTTGCCCTCAGAACGTATGATGAAGTCTGCCTGTGCTTTTATGGCAGAAATGGTGGGGGCAGGGGCCCACACTGGAGGGCTGGTAGTGAAGTAGGCATTTGGAGATCCCTAATGAAAACTGGCCCATGGGGTCTTCCCTCACTGATGCAAACCAAACACTGCTGTTGGGATGAATAGGAGGCATACCCAGAAATGTGCTAGGACTCCCAAGAAATGTCATCTATAGGTAGCTGGCAGCTGCTCTAATCTCATTTCTCTAATTCTACTTATTATTAGAATGTTCAAAATATTAACCTCACTCTGGATATTCAATTAGTTTGGACAAATCACAATTGATGCCAATTAACTGCACTGAAGAGCATTTCCTCTTAGTACTACAATTCACAATTACTCATAATTGCAATCTAATTTATTTGCTTTAATTAATATTTGACTTATATAAAAAGAGATAGGAGAGATTTTTCAAGAGTGTCTTTCTGCTGATAGTGTTTTAATGCCTAAAAGGAATGCTTTTTTTTTTTTTTTTGGGGGGGGGACAGAGTCTCGTTCTGTCACCCAGACTGGAGTGCAGTGGTGCAATCTTGGCTCACTGCAACCTCCGTCTCCACGGTTCAAGCAATTCTCCTGTCTCAGCCTCCTAAGTAGCTGGGATTACAGGCATGCATCACCACACCCGGCTAATTTTTTGTATTTTTTGTATTTTATATTTTTAGAGACAGGGTTTCATCATGTTGGCCAGGCTGGTCTTGAACTCCTGACCTCAGGTGATCTGCCCGCCTCGGCTGCCCAAAGTGCTGGGATTACAGGCATGAGCCACCGCGCCCAGCTGGCACAGAGGTAATTCTTTCTTATGCTTACTGAGTTGGGTTTCAAGAGGCCCTCAGAGTCAAAATTATACCTACTAATTCAGGCTCATTCATTGCTCCTAATCCCACAACATTAAAACTCAGCAGTTTGATGGTTTGGTTCTTTTTCCTTTTTTTTTTTTAAGGGGCTCACTCTGTCACCCAGGCTGGAGAGCAGTGGTGAGATCCTAGGTCATTGCCCCCTAAATCTCCCAGGCTCAAGTGATCCTCCTGCCTCAGCCTTCTGAGTAGTTAGGACTACAGGTGTACACTGCCACACCTGGGGAATGTATTTTTTTTTTTAGAGAGATGGGGTCTCACTATTTTGCCCAGGCTGGTCTCGAACTCCTGGTCTCAAGCAATCCTCCTACCTCAGTCTCCCAAAAATGTTGATATTTCAGGTATGAGCCACTGCAGCCCTATATGGTGGTTCTTGCAGAAAATAACTTCACATAAATTCTCCTCTTTGTTTCATAAGATGAAATGCTCATTCCCCATTACCTATAGATAAGGTAAGCCCCATGCATAATACTGAGGTCCAAATTTGTCTTTGATGCTCTTCCATGTTCCTTTCTTTGACTACCTTGTCAATGTCTCCCTGCACCCACCTCCAAATCCTCACACCCTCCAGCCACCCTCTATCCATCCCACCAGATCCAAACCAGCTCTGCACTCTCTGCTAAGCTGCCTATACCTGGCCTGAGTCCTTCAATACTTATTAGTCTTGACTCCAGGCAGGTTATTAGAGCCCATCTGGGTGAATTACTCATAGTAAAATATTACTTGACTGACGATAGTGTTACATTCCTCCCAGATAATCCCAGATGATCCAGCTCCATCCAACCAGGACCTTCAAAGTCTTAGAAATGTTCAATGGCAGTGGAAGTTTTAGTTGCTACTAGCAGATAGAGGAGATTTGTCAGACCTTAACAAGCCTCTTTAGAAGTCTTTAAATTATATGATAAATAAATAAACAAAAACAAAAACTCCACACCCACAATAAAGAGATAGGAGGATTCCCAGTTTGGTCAAGTACTGATTCCATCTTTATTTCAAACATTTATTGATCACCACTGTGTGTCCCACATTGCACCAAGTGCTAGAGATGAAGGCACACTGTACGTTTGCCAAATTTTTCCCTCCTCACTCTCATTAAAATCATTTGCACACTTCTCTCTCCCACGCACCAGACTATCAGCTCCTCCTGGCACATCCTCTTTATCCTTGGAGCCCCAATGCCTGGCACACAGCATAAATTCAATACTGAACAGAGATTATTAGAATGAAGAATTCCAGGGTCAAATAATGATTCTCTATTTAATAAATGGTGCTGGGAAAACTGGCTAGCCATATGTAGAAAGCTGAAACTGGATCCCTTCCTTGCACCTTATACAAAAATTAATTCAAGATGGATTAAAGACTTAAATGTTAGACCTAAAACCATAAAAACCCTAGAAGAAAACCTAGGCAATACCATTCAGGACACAGGCATGGGCAAGGACTTCATGTCTAAAACACCAAAAGCAATGGCAACAAAAGCCAAAATTGACAAATGGAATCTAATTAAACTAAAGAGCTTCTGCACAGCAAAAGAAACTACCATCAGAGTGAACAGGCAACCTACAGAATGGGAGAAAATTTTTGCATCTACTCATCTGACAAAGGCCTAATATCCAGAATCTACAATGAACTCCAACAAATTTACAAGAAAAAAACAACCCCATCAAAAAGTGGGCAAAGGATATGAACAGACACTTCTCAAAAGAAGACATTTATGCAGCCAAAAGACACATGAAAAAATGCTCATCAACACTGGCCATCAGAGAAATGCAAATCAAAACCACAATGAGATACCATCTCACACCAGTTAGAATGGCTATCATTAAAAAGTCAGGAAACAACAGGTGCTGGAGAGGATGTGGAGAAATAGGAACACTTTTACACTGTTGGTGGGACTGTAAACTAGTTCAACCACTGTGGAAGTCAGTGTGGCGATTCCTCAGGGATCTAGAACTAGAAATACCATTTGACCCAACCATCCCATTACTGGGTATATACCCAAAGGATTATAAATCATGCTGCTATAAGGACACATGCACATGTATGTTTATTGTGGCACTATTCACAAAAGCAAAGACTTGGAACCAACCCAAATGTCCAACAATGATAGACTGGATTAAGAAAATGTGGCACATATACACCATGGAATACTATGCAGCCATAAAAAATGATGAGTTCATGTCCTTTGTAGGGGCATGGATGAAGCTGGAAACCATCATTCTCAGCAAACTATCACAAGGACAAAAAACCAAACACCACATGTTCTCACTAATAGGTGGAAATTGAACAATGAGAACACATGGACACAGGAAGGGGAACATCACACACCGGGGCCTGTTGTGGGGTCAGGGGAGGAGGGAGGGATAGCATTTGGAGATATACCTAATGTTAAATGACGAGTTACTGGGTGCAGCACACCAACATGGCACATGTATACATATGTAACAAACCTGCACGTTGTGCACATGTACCCTAGAACTTAAAGTATAATAAAAAAAAAATTGAGGATTACTGGGTTAAAAGCAGTTTCTTAGACAACCCACCAAATGGGAGACAATATTTGCAAATTATATACCTGATAAGGGACTTGTATCCAAAGTATGTAAACAGCTTTTAAAACTCTACAATAAAAGGACAAATGACCCAATTAAAAGCTGGACAAAAAATTTTAAATAGACATTTCCCCAAATGATATAAAAAATATATACAGATGTCCAATAAATACATGAAAAGATACTCAGCATCAGCAGTCAGTAGGGTAATACAAATCAAAACCACAATGAGATATCACTTCCCATCCACTAGGATGGCTATGATCAAAGATGGGTAATAATAAGTGTTGATGAAGATATGGAGAAAGTGAAACTCTCATACATTGCGGATGGGAATGTAAAGTGGTGCAAATACTTTTAAAAACAGTTTGGAAGTTCCTTTAAAAAAAAGTTAAACAGAGTTACCATATGACCCAGCAATTCCATGCTGGGTATGTATATACCCAAGAGAAGTGAAAATATATCCACACAAAAACTTGTATGGAAATGTTTATAGCAGCATTTTTTTTTTTTTGAGACAGAGTCTTTCTCTGTCACCCAGGCTCGAGTGCAGTGGTGCAATCTCAGCTCACTGCAACCTCCATCTCCAGGGTTCAAGCGATTCCCCTGCCTCAGCCTCCCGAGTAGCTGGGACTACAGGCGCACGCCACCACACCTGGCTAATTTTTCTGTATTTTAGTAGAGACGGGGTTTCACCATGTTGCCCAGGCTGGTCTTTAACTCCTGAGCTCAGGCAATTTGCCCACCTCGGCCTCCCAAAGTGCTAGGATTACAGGCATGAGCCACCGTGCCTGGCCTATAGCACCATTTTTCATAAAAGCCCAAAGATGGAAACAGCCAAATGTCTATCAGATGATGGATAAACAAAATGTGGTACAGGCACACCTCATATTTATTGCAGTTCACTTTATCGTGCTTTACAAATATTGCTTTTTTTTTTAAACAAATTGAAGGTTTGTGGCAACCCTGTTTTGTGCAAGTCTATCAGCACCATTTTTCTAACAGGTGCTCACTTTGTGTCTCCGTGTCACATTTCTGTTATTCTCATAATATGTCAAACATTTTCATTATTGTTATATCTGTCATGGTGATCTGTGATCAGTGATCTTTGATGTTACTATTGTAATTGTTTTGGGGTACTACAAACCGCACCCATATAAGATGGCAAAGTTAATAACTGTGTGTTCTGACTGCTCCACTAACCAGCCATTCCCCCATCTCTTTCCCTCTCTTCAGGCCTCCCTATTCCATGAGATACAACAATTTCAAAATTAAGCCAATTAATAAGCCTACTTAAGTACTAAACAGTGTTTAAGTGAGAGGAAGAGTCACACCTCTTTCACTTGAAATCAAAAGCTAGAAATGACTAAGTTTAGTGAAGGCATGCCGAAAGCTGAGACAGGATAAAAGCTAGGACCCTTGCACCAAACAGCCGAGTTTTGAATGCAAAGAAAAACTTCTTGAAGGAAATGGAAAGTGCTACTCCAGTGAACGAACACACAAATGATAAGAAAGTGAAACAGCCTTTAAGGGATTGTTATGGTTATGGTTTGATCTATCTAGACAACTAAAACTTTTTCTGATATAGAAAAGCTTCTAGTTGTCTAGATAGATCAAACTAACTATAACAATTCCTTAAGCCAAAGCCTAGTCGAGAGCAAAGCCCTAACTCTCTTCCATTCTACGAAGGCTGAGAGAGGTGAGGAAGTTGTAGAAGGAAAGTTTGAAGGAAGCAGAGGTCAGTTCATGAAGCTTAAGGAAAGAAGCCATCTCTGTGACATAAAAGTGCAAGGTAGGGGCTGGCCATGGTGGCTCACACCTGTAATCCCAGCATTTTGGGAGGCCAAGGTGGGCAGATCACTGGAATCCAGGAATTCAAGACCAGCCTGGGCAATATGCGAGACCCCATCTCTACAAAATATGCAAAAGTTAGCTGGGCATGGTGGCACATACCTGTAGTACCAGCTCCTTGGGAGGCTAAGGTGGGAGGATTGCTTGAGCCTGGGAGGCAAGGGTTGCAGTGAGTTGAGATTGCACCACTATGCTCTGGTCTGTGCAACAGAGTGAGACCCTGTCTCAAAAAAAAAAAATTTTAAGGTGGACTAGGGGCAATATCTCATGACTGTAATCCCAGTGCTTTGAGAGTCTAAGGCAGGAGCATCACCTGAGGCTAGGAGTTCGAGACCAGCCTAGGCAATGTGGCAAGATCCCATCTCCACAAAATAAAATTTTAAAAAATTAGTTGGGTATGGTGGCACACACTTGTAGTCCTAGCTACTCGAGAGGCTGAGGTAGGAGGATTACTTAAGCCCAGGAGATCGAGGCCACAGTGAACTATGTGTGGCAGAGCAAGAATCTGTCTCTAAAAGAAAATAAAAAATTACAAAATGAAGCAGCAAATGCTGATGGAGAAACCACAGCAAGTTATCCAGAAGATCTAGCTAATACTGATGAACGTGGCTACACCAAATAACAGATTTTCGTGTAGACAAAACAGCCTTACATTGGAAGAAGATGCCATGTAGCACTTTCACAGCTAGACAGAAGTCAATGCCTGGCTTTGAAGCTTCAAAGAGCCAGGTGTGATGGTATGCCAGTAACTCAAGCTACTCAAGTGGCTGAATCAGGAGGATGGCTTTAGCCCAGGAATTGGAGGCCAGCCTGGGCAACATAGCAACATAGTGAGAACTCTGTCTCTTCAAAAAAAAAAACCAAAGACAGGCTCTCTTTTTAGGGGCTGATAAGGTTTGGATATCTGTCCCCTCTAAATCTCATGTTGAAATGTGATTCCCAGTGTTGGAGGTGGGGCCTTAGTGGGAGGTGTTTGAGTCATGGGGGTGGATCCCTCATGAATGGCCTGGTGCCCTCATGGTAATGAGTGAGTTCTTGCTCTAAGTTCACATGAGATCTGGTTGTTTAAAAGAGTGTGGCACTTCCCCCCTCCCTCTCTCATCATGTGATACATTGGCTCCCCCTTTACCTTCCACCAAGATTGGAAGCCTCCTGAGGCCTCATCAGGAGGAGATGCTGCTGCCATGCTTGTACAGCCTGCAGAACCATGAGCCAAATAAATCTCTTTCTGCATAAATTACCCTGCCTCAGTTACTCCTTTATAGCAACACAAACGGAATAATACAGGGGCTGATACAGCTGGGGACTAAGTTGAAGCCAGTGCTCATTTACCATTCTGAAAATCTTAGGGTCCTTACAGATTATTCTAAATCTACTCTGCCTGAGCTCTAGAAATGGAACAACAAAGCCTGGGTGACAGCACATCTCTTTACAGCATGGTTTACTTAATATTTTAAGCCCACTGTTGAGACCTACTGCTGAGAAAAAAAAAAAAAGATTCCTTTCAAAAAAATTTTCTTTCAAAATATTACTGTTCATTGACAATGCAGCTGGTCACCCAAGAGCTGTAATGGAGGTATATAAAAAAATAATAGTAATGTTGTTTTCATGCCAGTTAATCCAATGTCCATTCTGCAGCCCATGGATCAAGGAGAGTAATTTCTACTTTCAAGTCTTATTATTTAAGAAATACTTTGTGTGGCCAGGCGCGGTGGCTCATGCCTGTAATCCCAGCACTTTGGGAGGCCAAGGCGGGTGAATCACGAGGTCAGGAGATCAAGACCTTCCTGGCTAACACAATGAAACCCCATCTCTACTGAAAATACAAAATATTAGCCGGGCGTGCTAGCAGGCACCTGTAGTCCCAGCTACTTGGGAGGCTGAGGCAGGAGAATGGCGTGAACCTGGGAGGCGGAGCTTGCAGTGAGCCGGGATAGCACCACTGCACTCCAGCCTGGGCAACAGAGTGAGATTCCATCTCAAAAAAAAAAAAAAAAAAAAGAAATACTTTTTGTAAGGCTATTGCTGCCATAGATAGTGTTTCCCCTAATGGATCTCAGCAATGTGAATTGAAAACCTTCTGGAAAGTATTCTTCAATCTAGATGTCATTAAGAACTTTTGTGATTCATAGAAGTTAATAAAAATTCAAAGTTAATAGAATTTATAAAAATATCAACATTAACAAGAGTTTGGAAGAAGTTGACTCCAGCCTTCAAGGATGACTTTGAGTCTTGACTTGATTTCAAGACTTCCGTGGAGGAAGTAATGCAGATGTGGTGGAAATAGCAAGAGAACTAGAATTAGAAGTGGAGCCTGAAGATGGGACTGAATTGCTGCCATCTCATGATAAAATTCAAATACATGAGGAGTTGCTTCTTATGAATGAACAAAGAAAGTGGTTTCTTGAGATGGAACCTACTCCTGCTGAAGTTGCTGTGAACATCATTGAAGTGACAACAAAGTATTTCAAATTTTACATAAACTTAGTTGATAAAGCAGCAGCAGGGTTTGAGAAGACGCACTTCCATTTTGAAAGAAGTCATATTGTGACTAAAATGCTATCAAACAGCATCACGTGCTATAGAAAAATCTTCCATGAAAGGAAACTTCCTTGTGGTCTTATTTTAGAAATTCCACAGCCACCTCAGCCTTCAGCAGCCACCACCCTCATCAGTCAGCCGCCATCAACATGGAGGCAGGACACCTCCATGTTTACCAGCAAAAATTCGTTCATTAATTTATTTTTAAATTAAGTATGTATATTTTTTAGATGTAATGCTACTGCGCACTTACCAGTCTACAGGATGCTATAAACATAGCTTTTGCACTGGGAAACGAAAACTTCTGTCTTTATTGTGATATTCACTTTATTGCAGTGGTCTGGAACCAAACCCTCAATATCTCCAAGGTATGCATTTATATATCCACACAGAATACTATTTGGCAATAAAAAAGGATGAAGTACTGACACATGCTACCATATGGATGAACCTTGAAAACATTAGGCTAACTGAAAGAATCCAACCACTAAGCACTACATTTCATTTATTTATTTATTTACTTATTTATTTATTTAGAGATGGAGTCTCACTCTGTCACCCAGACTGGAGTGCAGTGGCATGATCTCAGCTCACTGCAGCCTTCACCTCCCAGGTTCCAGCGATTCTCCCGCCTCAGCCTCCCAAGTAGCTGAGATTACAGGCACACACCACCACACCCAGCTAATTTTTGTATTTTTAGTAGAGACAAGGTTTCATCATGTTGGCCAGGCTAGTCTCAAACTCCTGACCTCAGATGATCTGCCCACCTTGGCCTCCCAAAGTGCTGGGATTACAGGCGTGAGCCACTGTGCCCAGCCTGTACCACATTTCATTTATATGAAATGTCCAGAATGGAAACATCCATAGAGACAGAAAGTATCTTAGTGGTATCCAGGGCCTGAGGGGAGTGGAGAATGGTGAGTGACTGACAGTAGGTATGGGGTTTTCATGGTGATGAAAATATTCTAAAATTAGATAGTGGTGATAGTTGTACAACTCTATAGGTATACTAAAATCACCGAATTGTATACTTTTAAGAGGTGTTTTATGATATGTGAATTATGTCTCAATAAAGCTGTTATTTTTAAAAGTTTCTCTCCCACAAGACTTCCTAGTGGGAAATAAATCCTGAAGATGGGGGAAGGGTATGATTTATATTGTAGTTAAGGCGACTGGCTGCCTCATTTGCCTGGGACTGAAGGCATTCCCGCATGTAGAACTTTCAGTGCTAAAACCAGAAAAGTCCTGAGCAAACCACGCAATGTTTGAGACTTACTTATACTAAAAAACTGTCAATGTTTATCGGAAATTTAACTAGGCATTCTGTATTTTTATTTGCTAAATCTGGCAACTCTATGATGATCCAATTTATTCAGATCAAGTTGAAACAAAGAGCTAGAATTAAGAGAAAAAGCAAAGAGAAACTAAAAGAGTTTGGAGTTAAGGAAAAGAGCTCCCAAAGCATTTTCTAACCTTGGCCAAGACTATGGCAAGATAGTTTTGCCGAGATCTCTTTTCATAACATTCTAACGTTCCCTCATTTCCAAAGTATGTATCAAAGAGTTCATATTGGAGGACTCTTAAAAACTGATATTAATAGTTACATGAAATAATATGTTTCTTAAAGGTATTTCATCTTGGATGAAGCTTAAATTAAGCTTCCTCCTGGCAGCTGAGTGCATGATGAATTGTATTATAAGTAAGTCTATTTTTAGCCCACTAGTGCATTGGCAGACAGGCTGTTAAAAATAAAAGCAGGCCTAGTAGAATACAGAAGCCCGGGGAGCTTTTCCTTACTATTTAATGAAAATGAAGCGGGTTCTCTGAGCCTATATGGTTGGAGGGAAGGTGAGGTGTGTGCAGCTGTGATCAGGTTACAAGGCAGTGGCTTGTAATTTATAAATTAGTGTGTAACGTGTCACTGAGGCAGAAGCTGAGGGACGTAGCACTAACGGGAGTTTCCTGAAATTGCTCAGATAATGGGAGAAAAGAGTTTGCGTGTCTGATCAGGTGGGAAGTGTGATATTTTAAGAATCTTCCATATTTCCCTGCTGGGGAGCTAGGACTCAGTTCATTGCTTGTTCTTGCCTGGACGCCGCACACCAGGTTAGCAGCCACCAGGGGGCACCAAAGCAGCCCATCCCAGAGGAAAGCGTGGGCCTCTGAGCCATTGAAATTCACTCCTGAGCACACTTCCCTTTGAGCCCGCATAACCTGATGATGGTGCAGATTCAGCAGTGCAACACGTGGTTGGGGCGTGTGGATATGGAATCACACAGACAAGGCTTCTGGGTCTAGCCCTGCCTCGTAAAACTTTTACAGCCTCTGTAATCCCCAAACAGAGATAATAAGAAGTGGTAAGAATTCAATGAGCTGGAAAGCTCATTAATACCTATACCGTGCCTGATGCGTGATAAGTGCCCAAGTCTTCGGTACACGCCAGAAGCCTGGGGTTGTAGGGTGGGTTCAAGTACTAACAACATCACGGAGAAGGCATCTGCTTCCATTCCCTTCTATTCTGGGCTCTCTTCCCCCTTCCTCTTTCCTTCCACTTCGTTCTCTGTTTAGTTCAAAGGCCTTTGTTTTGGCAGCTTGCCAAGCATGTCCTCCTGAGATAGGCCCTCTGACCGCTCCCCTGTCCCCAAGTTCTGTCCAATCCTCTACCTCGGTATTTCCCAGTGTGGTTCACCAGCCACCTGCACCAGAATCATCCGGACCTACCAAGTTGGAATATCTGGGAATAGAACCTAGGAATCTGCATTTCAGTGAATTTCCTAAGTGAATTTTACACGTGATAAAGCTTGAAGACTTCTGATATAGTCTTAGTAAGATCTTTTTTTAATAAAAAGAATATAGTGCAGCCTGATCTCAACCAGCTGTTAGGAGGGAAATTGGCTGATTATCTGATTAAAGTAATTCACATTGAATTGTGAAGAACAAATAAACTCCCCTTTCAGGAGAATTTGCATTCTGACATTTTGCAAGCCTGGATGAATTTCAAAATGGTGAAATGTGTGGGTTGAGTATTTGAAGAAAATGACCTTACCTCTGACCCAAGCTTCAAGGGGAGACTTTGTCTGCACCTGGAAAGGAGGGGTTCTGTAACTTAACAGCCCAGGCCTCCTAGCCTAGAATCACCTGAAATTCAGTCCCAAGGACACCAATTGGTGGAGAGAAGGAGAAGTGGAGTGGGAGGTGCAAGAGGAGGAATGGGCAACTCAGGAAAGGATAGAAGAAGGGAAGGTCAGCAGGCAGGGGAGAGGGAAGAGGAGAGGAAGGAGAACCCTCTCAAATATCCCCATCCTCATAGCACTCAGTGCTGAAGATCTATGTAGGTGCAGCGTGGACTAGTGGAAAACAGACCCAGCCACTGATCTTTCCACTCTACCCCAGAGATCACAACTGAGACTTCGATTTTATTTGCTATTTAGGTAATTTTTCAATATGAAGCTGCCCAGTTCATGGAGGAGGGGTAGTAGCCCCCTTGCCCCTCTTTGGGGCTCCCAAACCATTTCTCCTCCCTCCAAGGGTGGTATGGTACAGGGCCAGTCCTTGGCCTTTCCTCCTTCTCTTTCTACAGTCCCTGCAATATTATCTGTACAATGGATGGCTCCCAAATATGTATCTCCAGTTCCAACCTCTCCCTTGAATTCCAGATCTTTGTGTCTAATGGCCTATTGTGGCTATCTGATTTTCTCCCAAAAAAAGTTTCTCTTGTTCCCCATCTCAGTAAATAGGACCCCACTCACTCAGATGGACCAAAAACTTGGGAGTCATCATGAGTTTTCTCTCAGATACACACACACACACATTCCTCATGTAACCTATCGCCAAATCCTACTGACTCTGCCTTAAAAACGCATCTTAAATCTGATCCCACCTCACCACTTCAACCACTCCCAGCCTGGTCCAAGCCACCACTGCCTCTCTTCCAGACCATGTCATCACCTTCTAACTGTCCTCTCTGCTTCAACTCTTACCCCTTACAGTCTTCTTGTCACTCACTCACTCACAGTGAGTCTTACAATGTAATTCTCATCACCCCCCTCCCCTTCTCCCCACCCTTCAATAATGTCCCATTGCATTGAAAATAAATTCAAAATGCCTCACCATTGCCCAAGAGTCCTATATTGCCCGGTTCACCCTGATGGCCCATCTCCTATCACCAGCTGCCCTGGCTCCCCTGCTATTTCTCCTGCCTCTGCTTTTGCTGAAGCCTCCACCTAGAAGGTGGATTCCCCTAGACATTTTGTTTCCTCATTCCTTCAGGGAAAGTGTCCCTGACCACCTGCTCCAAAATAACAGCTGGCTTCTCACCCCAATTTATTTTTGTTCGTAGCACTCAAAGCCACCTGATGTATTTATTACACATTTATTTGCGTATTGTCTATATCCACATTTCACTGTAAGGTTTATGAAAGCTAGGACTTACTCTCCTTTGTCTGCCACTGTATCCCCACACCTAGAATAGTGCCTAACATATCATATATGCTCAATTCATATTTGTTGAACGAATGACTGAATGAGTGAATGGAGGAAAATGAAGAAAAAGTATTAATGTAGGTAAGGATGGCCACTAACTCGTGGCTCAAAGCCCCATCTGAGGTCTTATTAGGAGTTTTTCGTTGGTTTTATTTTGTTTTGTTTTGTTTTTTTGAGACAGTCTTGCTCTATCGCCAGGCTGGAGTGCAGTGGTGCGATCTCAGTTCACCGCAACTTCCGCCACCTGGGTTCAAGCAATTCTCCTGCCTCAGCCTCCCGAGTAGTTGGGATTACAGGCGCCCACCACCACACCTGGCTAATTTTTGTATTTTTAGTAGAGACGGGGTTTTGCCATGTTGGCCAGGCTGGTCTCGAACTCCTGACCTCAGGTGATCTGCCCACCTTGGCCTCCCAAAGTGCTGGGATTACAGGCATGAACCACTGCGCCCAGCCTCTTTTTACATATTAAGTAAATTCTTCTTTATTCCACATTCTAAGTCCTCAAAAATTATACATTCACATTTACCAAATTACAAACTCAGCTTTTACCCATTTACTGTACATAAAACACAATTAATGAGATTAGGCAATAGGAAGCTTTTCTATTGCAAAATTATATTAATGGAGTCTCCCATGGGCTAAGCTGCTCTCTCTGAAAATCAAGCACATTCCAGAAATCACATTAAAACTCTTTAAGTCCTCCCGGGGTCCCCGGGGTCCCCAGGGTCAAGGGAAAGGAAGACTAATGTGGCTTCACAAAGAGGCTCACTTGCTCTGAACATTTAACTGTGGATTTGGAAAGATCTGCTTTGTGACTTGTTTCCCACGTCTGAAAGGAAAGAAATCCAGAGAATTTTCTCCTTTCATGCCAAAACTTGTTATACTGGCAGCCATTCCCCTATAAATGTTTCCCACAAAGATGGGCACTGACTTCCACCAGGGGTACATCAGCATTAGCTCCACGGTGAATAACAGAAGGCTAAATGATTCCCTTGTAGGAAATAACTGAAGGGAAGGAAAGATGACTGTCTAACTTACTGTATAAGAATATTACCCTAGCTTGGGTTCCCCCATAGATAGATGCTGACACGGGATTTAAGTGCAGGTCATTTTTGTACGTAGAGATCCCAGAAGACACTGGTAGGGGATGAAAAAGTGAGATGGGGAGAGGAAGGTGGTCAATAAAGGGAGTATTAGCAAACAAGTCATTACTTGGGTAACTGGAGTGCAATCCCACTGGGGATTTCTGAGATTCCAGGGGCAAGGGAAGTGATATTTATAAATCAATTCTCATCAGTCATTGACTGAGGACTGCTAGAGGTAAGGGATGGTGATTCCCTGGCATTTCCAGTCTGTCCCATGGGTAAGCAGAGAGGACCCTGCTGGTCAGAGAATGTCCTCCAGCAAAAAGACGCAGAGGCTGGCAGTTAAACACTGGCCCAGTGGGCACTGAAATGGTAAAGCCTAAGGGGAAAGTGGCAGAGAAACGACAGCCTCTACTACAAGTACTGGCTTCTGCAAAGAGCATTTTCTAAGAATGGACGTTCTCTTATGAAGTCATCTTTATATGAACAAAGCTTAAAGGAAGAATGCTGGAAAGAGTTCAATGAGAGCTGAAATCCTGGAAATATGTTTAGAAGCAGGTCATCTTGGTTCAGATTGAGTGGACTAGATCTACTGGTAGGACTTTCAGAGTTGTTTGGGGGTTTTATTTGTGACAACTCTCAACAGCTTGAGAGTCAGAACAAGTTACAAAGAGAAGCAGATCTTGTATACCTGACTGGAGAAAGCAGCTCTGCCTTTCATTCTGGCAGGTGGCACTTCATCTGCTGTGGGCTGATCCTTCACAGAGCCACTGTGTCTACTCTTTCCAAAATCAAGAACCTCACATACATGTACACATACATACATGCTCACTCAGGGGACCACAATATTAGAGACACTGCATTAATTTGTTTTCATGTTTGGACATATTTTTAAGACATCTTACCCCTTCAAACAATAAACATTCTAATTATGTAAATATGTATCATAGAGGCCAGGCATGGTGGCTCACACTTGTAATCCCAGTGCTTTGGGAGGCTGAGGCAGGAGGATCACTTGAGTCCAGGAGTTTGGAAACCAGCCTGGACAATATAGCAAGACCCAATCTCTACAAAAAAAATTTAAATTGCCAGGTGTTGTGGCACATGCCTGTAGCTCCAGCTAACCAGGAGACTGAGGCAGGAGGGTCTCTTGGACCCAGGAGTTGGAGGTTGCACTGAGCTATGATCATGCCACTGCACTCCTGCCAGGGTGACAGAGATCCTGTCTTTTAAAAAGAGATATATAATACAGATATACACACATTCCACAGCAAAGAGATCTTGAAGTCCTACTATGTGCCAGGCATTCTGCTAGGTCATGGGGATTCAGAGATGTAAGGCCTGGTTCTTGTCCTTGAGGCATGCACAATGTCAGTGAGGAAGATTTCCTTGTAAGTAGATACGTTATACCTCTACAATGGAGTCACTGTCACATGTGTCAACAATGCATGGACAATCATGTGTAGGCTGTAGAAGGCAGAAATCTTAAGCCACTTGAATATTTGGGATGAGTCTAAGTTTTCCAGGCGAAGGAAGAGGGGAGATTTCTGTCCAAATTGTTTCCGTTAATGAATCCACTGAAAATCCCCATACTGACTTTTGAAAAGTCAAGCTTACATCAGAAAGTCAGCAGTTAGAAAGATGGAAGGAAAAGAAGTTACATGATAGCTTCACGTCAAGGAGAGATGAGTTGAATCTGACCAAAGACAGAAAGAGAAGAAAAAAAAGAAGTAAAGGTATACCTATTATTTAAACTCACAAAGGCATTGTTTAAAATCAAAATTGGGAGAGAAAGGAGGTGAGAAGGAACGGAGGTGAATCTTCACTTTTCTAGAGAAGACTCAACATATAGTGTCTAAAATTGATAAATGCATAATTAAACAAATGTTAACATAGTATTTAGACTACTGAAGTAACTACTGCAATAAAACTGGAAACTATTAAAACAGCTTGTCTCCAGGGAGTAAGACCGGGTATGAGAAGGGATGAAGTGGGGTGACTCTTCATTATAAGATCATTTGTATGGTCTGACTTTTTAAAAATCAAGTATTGGCTTTTCCAGGCCGAGCGTGGTGGCTCACGCCTGTACTCCCAGCACTTTGGGAGGCCGAGGCAGGTGGATCACTTGAGGTCAGGAGTTCAAAACCAGCCTGGCCAACAAGGTGAAACCCCAGCTCTACTAAAAATACAAAAATTAGCCAGGTGTGGTGTCACAAGCCTGTAGTCCTGGCTACTCAAGAGGCTGAAGTGGGAGAATCGCTTGAACCTGGGAGGCAGAGGTTGCAGTGAGCCAAGATGACACCACTGCACTCCAGCCTGGGTGACAGAGCAAGACTCTGTCTCAGAAACAAAAACAAGGAAAGTATTGGCTTTTCCAAAGAGCATTTTCTAAGAATGGATATTCTCCCATAAAGTCATCTTTATATGAACAAAGTTTAACAGGAGAACTCTGGAAAGATTTCAACGAGAACTGAAATCTTGGAAATATGAAGAATTTCAGTGGATAAATTAATGGAAACATTTAAAATCAATGTACATATTACCTTGATGAAGTAGAAATTTTCAAGTTCAAGCTGCTACACTCTGCCTGCTATATTATACCATCTCAAAATTATACATGTTCAATCAGTTTTTTTAATTAAAGAGCAGTCCTAATTATATTTCCTAGAGATCTTTCCTTCTCTCCTCTTCTCATTCGCTTCTTAGGATAAGGAAACATCTGGCAGGCTTGGTGGCTTGTGCCAGTAATCCCAGAAGTTTGTGAGATCGAGGCAGGAGGATTACTTGAGGCCAGGAGTTTGAGACCAGCCTGGCTACATAGTGAGACCCTCTTCCCTTCAAAAAATAAAAATAACAAATTAGCCAGGCTTCATGGCACTCACTTATAGTCTAGCTACTCAAGAGCCTGAGTTGGGAGGGTCCCTTGAGCCCAGGATTTTAAGGCTGCAGTGAACTATGATTGTGCCACTTCACTCACCTGGTCAACAAAGTGAAATCCTGTCTCTAAAAAAACAAGTGGTTGGGAGATTCTCCTGCTCTATACCTGCAGAGCAGACAGGAGGCCTTACTGGTCCTGTGCATCTTAATCTTTGCTCCATCCCCTTCCTCCCCCGCATTACAACGCCCCGTGGAGCTCAGGGGAAAATACCCAGTTGCTGCCTTGAGCAGTAGACTTGCCTCAGAGCTCCTAGCTTACTGTTTACATGCAGGGTCTGGAACTAAGCAGCTAAATTGGCTGTGTGTTTGTCCCTTTAGAACTGATTGTCAGTCCTTCCCCCTCAGTCCGTTCAGTGGATTCTGAACACTGGCCGGGTGAAGGTCTCATTGCCCAGAGCTGAGATCAACCGCTAACAAGAAGAAAACTATTTCAGGCCAGAGGCCATGGGAGAAATGGCGGGGAAGCCAGGCTCTTCTGTGGATGACACGCCAGGCTCAGGTGGCCAGTGAGGACCATCTTTGTGATTTGTTCATTCATTTTTTTACCTGAAATGGAGACTGATGTGGCTCCCGGGAGGGGGCTATGAAGAGGACAAGGCCTGTGAGGTGCTGCCAATACTTTCTTGCCTCACAGGCTGATGAGAATAGACAGAACCACAGCACCATGAAGCCCACCAGCAGCGCCCCAGCTCCCCAGCCTCGTGCCTGCAACAGAGTAGGTGGTCACTGAAGGTTTCATTTCTTTTTAATCTCCCATAGTAGAGAATTTCTGTTTCTACCATTATGACACAACTGTTGCAGCTATGAGGACAAATCTTTTGAGCCTTTCTGCAGATCTGGGTGCCTTACCCCCAACTTTCATATCAGAGACATCTAGTTGCCAAATTAAGGGTCTGTTTTGAATGGTTTCTTACTCTGTTTTGTGTTGCTATAACAGAATACCATAAAAAAAAAATTTGTTTTGTTTGAATTCTCTTTTTCAGGCAGCCCCCACAATCACAGCAGATTCAGAGAGACTCCCATAAATGTATTTCTTACAGTTCTGGAAGCTGGGAAGTCCAAGGCTGAGGGGCTGCTTCTGGTGAGGGCCTTCTGGCTGCATCATAACATGGCGGAAGGGCAAGCAGGCGTGCGAGACTGGAAAGCAGGCTGAATATCATCCCTTTATCATGTGTGAGACAGGAAATCAGGCCAAATTTCATCCCTTTATTGGGACCCCACTCCCAGTGACAACAGCATTAATCCATCATGACCCCTCATGACCTAAGCACCTTTTAAAGGTCCCACTGTTAATACTATTACAATGGCAATTAGATTTCAACATGAGTTTCAGAGGGGACATTCAAACCACAGTAGTCCCTGAATTGGCATTCTCTTGTGTTGGCCAAGAGCCATTCTCTGAATCACAAATAAAATGAACGCCTGGGCAGAGGTTGGGAAGCCTTTCTAAGAACCAGAAATCTGTTCTATCTGTGGAAGAAGAATGTCCTATTATAGTGAGCAAGAGATGGACAAAGCAGAAATGATATGTGCTGCTAGGAGCATTATTTGGCTCTCCTGTCTGTGACAGCCACCAAAGGCAACAAGAATAATGAAAAGAGATATGGTGTAGACAGGCTGACAGAAATGTCTGGAGGGAGCTCTTAGAGTGACTTAAACAGCCCCAACCTTGTTCTAGGATCTCACTAGACTCAGTGAATCACTTTGAACACAAATTAATCCAGCTACCAGGAATCTAAGAAAAAGAAATTGAAAGTTATTATTTTCTATTGTTATGACTTCTCATCCTTATGAAAGTGTTCTTCTTTTGCAACACTTTGCATATTGATCACAGATTTTCTTCTCAATGCTCATTCACTTATTCAACAAGAATGCATTGGGTGATACATTGAGGAATGCATTGAATGTATGTGAAGGTGCTAAAAGGAATGTTTAGAATAGCTATCCTTTTGGTGTGCTGAGAGTCTTCAGAGCATCTCCTAATCACTCTCTTAGAGAAGCAAATACAAACCCACAATAACATGGAAGATGGTAGAATGTTTAGCTTTTTATTTCCAAGGAATTTAATTTTCAAAATAATAGTGGCACATTTTTCCCAGTTATAAAAATGATGTGTGTTCAGCTCACTGTAAAAATAAAAACAGAAAAAGAAAAATCAGACAATTTTTCTTTTTCAGAGTCAAAAAACATCCTAAATCGTAGGGCATGGTGGCTCACACCTGTAATCCTAGCACTTTGGGAAACTGAGGCAGGCGGATCACAAGGTCAGCCGTTCAAAACCAGCCTGGCCAACATAGAGAAACCCCGTCTCTACTAAAAATACAAAAATTAGCCAGGTGTGGTGGCGGGCACCTGTAATCCCAGCTATTCCAGAGGCTGAGGCAAGAGAATCACCTGAACCCGGGAGGCAGAGGTTGCAGTGAGCTGAGACCACGCCACTGCACTCCAGCCTGGGTGACAGAGTGAGACTGTCTCAAAAAAAAAAAAAAAAAAAAAAAATCCTAAATCTACCATTCAGAGCTCAACTAACATTATGGGGTAGATCCTTCCATATTTTTTCTATGTACATATAAACATATTTGATTTTCAAAAATGAGATTCCATTAATCATGCTACTTCATATCCTGCTTTATTCTTTTATTATGGTATGTATGTTATTCATTTATTATAGAGCTATACAATCATTTTAAATGGCTGTATAGGCTGGGCACAGTGGCTCATGCTTGTAATCCCACGCTGAAGCAGGAGGATTGCTTGAGGCCAGGATTTCAAGACCAGCCTGGACAACATAGCGAGAAACTATCTCTACAGAAAAAAAAATGTTTTTAATTAGCCAGGCATTTGATTGTATGCACCTGTAGCCATAGCTACTCGGGAGGCTGAGGCTGGAGGATCACTTGAGCCCAAGAGTTCGAGGTTGCAATAAGCTGTGATCATACCACTACACTCCAACCTGGCTGACAAGGCAAGACTCTGTCTCTAAAAAAAAAAAAAAATTGGCCTGGCACGGTGGCTGACACCTGTAATCCCAGCACTTTGGGAGGCAGACGTGAGCTGATCACTTGAGGTCAGGAGTTCAAGACCAGCCTGGCCAAAATGGTGAAACTTCATCTCTACCAAAAATACAAAAATTAAAGGGGCATGGTAGTATATATCTGTAGTCCCAGCTACTCAGGAGGCTGAAGCAGGAGAATCGCTTGAACCTAGGAGGCTAGGAGGTGGAGGTTGCAGTGAGCCAAGATCACGCCACTATACTCCAGCCTGGGTGACAGAGCAAGGCTCCATCTCAAAAAAAAAAATTAAAATTAAATAACTATATAGAAGTAACCAAGGTTACTCTCCATTTTTTGCTATGATAATCTTATGTGTACAACTTTGTTGTATTATCATAGTACATTCAGAGCATTTACAAACATTTATTAAATGCTATTCACTGGGCTCAGTGCAGTGGCTCACGCCTGTAATCCCAGCTCTTTGGGAGACCAAGGCAGGTGGATCGCCTGAGGTCAGGAGTTCGAGACCAGCCTAGCCAACATGGTGAAACCCCATCTCTACTAAAAATGCAAAAATTAGCCAGGCATGGTGGCATACCCCTGTAATCCCAGCTACTCAGGAGGCTGACGTGGGAGAATTGCTTGAACCTGGGAGGCGGAGGTTGCAGTGAGCAGAGATCGCACCACTGCACTCCAGCCGGGGCAACAGAATGAGACTCCATCTCAAAAAAAAAAAAAAATGCTATTCATTGGACTTTAAGCACACAACCTGGTATTAATACAGATGCCAGTCTCCATCTGTGCACAGCAGAGAAAGAAGTAGAGTAATAGGCAAGACCATATCAAGACTCAGACTTGTCTAGGGGTTAAATCTAAGTAAAACACCCAACAAACAGCAGAGCCGGACCTAATCTGCCTTTGCTCTTTGTTATCCTTACAGTGGTATGGATACTACTCAGAGTCCTAATCAGTGAGTTACTTTTGTCATTGTTAAAATAGCATTAATAATATTACCTGCCCCGTAACGGTATTTGCAGGATTGCATAACATAATGCACATAAAGCACTTAGCACAATGCCTGGCTAACAAGTAGTGCTCAGTAAAGGTAGCTATTATCATTATAGGGAACTCTTAACATCCAAGTCAAGGGTCTTGCAGGGAACAAGGATTACAGCTGATTTCTAAGCTTTTCTGGGAGATGTCCTTACCAGGGACATCATTTAACTCAGAGCATGACCACATTCATAAAACAGAAGACAGTCTCCCAGGGTTCAGTCCGCTGGCACCTTCACTCCACCTTCCAGCCAAAGGTCAAGTATTTCCAGCACTCAGACATCATCCTTGATGCCTATA
The DNA here is from genome assembly GCF_000001405.40 of Homo sapiens. Classification (NCBI taxonomy): domain Eukaryota; kingdom Metazoa; phylum Chordata; class Mammalia; order Primates; family Hominidae; genus Homo; species Homo sapiens. Next base: position 104,894,580 of record NC_000007.14, read on the forward strand.
AAACTCTCAAGTTATTTTTAAATTCTTAAGTCCAAACAAGCACTAAGAAAGTGTATGAATTTTTTATTTTATTATTTGTTGAAATAAGAAAAACTTCACAGGGAGGTCTAAGAAACTGCTTTTCTCAATTCTACTCTATTTCATCTCCTCTCTCTGTCTCCCTAAAGAGGATAAATGTTTAATGCTGACCTTATTCCTCAAAACCACCCTGTAAAATAGGTATCATGTCCACTTTACAGACAAGAAAAGCAAAAGCATGGCAAGTAAAATGACTTGGCCACATCTAGGAAGTAGCCAACCCAGGATCCAAACTTTTATCTGGCTGCTTCCAAAGTCCAGGTGCTAATAATCTTACACTTGAGTGTACATGAGAATCACCTGGGATCTCAATACTGATTCTGTAGTTTCAGGTGGGACCCTGGAACCTGCATATTCCCAAATATGCAGGTGATCGAGATCCAGGGAGGTTCACAGGCCATAATTAGAGAAACACTGTCCTTGGCCATACAACATTAATGAAGTCCAGCCATAGGATTTTCTTCTCCTAGTCATTACCAAAGTAGCTTTATTGAAACTTCAGTACACCTCAGAATTAGCCATGTGTATATCCTGGATATTTGCCAATTTATGAAATGGTTCCCAGACCAGAGCTGGGACACACCTGGTTTCCGGATGTTTCTGCTGCATCTGTAGAAATCTTCACCATATCATCGCCCCAGGACAGAGTCAAATCAATTGGGTGACCTTTCCTTCTCTGAAATCCTAATCATCTATCCCCTAGGCCAGATTATCTTATCAGCTACTGACCCAGTTAGCTTTCCTACTTCACAACAGGTTTCTAATGCTTTATGTCAGTGTGAGAGAAATGGCAAGTTGGGAAAATTTGTGACATTGCATTCAGGAGGCAGTGAGGTAGAGCAATAGCTTTCAAACTAGATTCCATCAACCCTCAGGACACTGCAGAGGTGCAACAGGGAAAAGGGGCAGGGGAGAGAGAAAAGCCTGGGAGCTCTGAGCCCTTCATTAGAGCAGCTGTGCTCAATTCTGCTTCATATACAGAACCGGGATTTCTAAAAGAGTCACTCAAAAGCTTTTCAGTGGGGGGAGTGGGAAGGGAAACTGAAAAGAGAGAAGTCACAAGAGCTGGATTCTAACCCCAACTCTTCAGTTAACTTGGTATGTGACTTTGGGCAAATTGCTTCATCTCTCTGGGCTTCGGTCTGCTTACCGGAAAAAAAATGAAAACATTGGAACCATTGATGCCTGTCTTAGTCTGCTAGGGCTGCCATAAAAAATCCCACAGACCTGGTAGCTTGAACACAGAAATTTACTTTCTCACAGTTCTGAAGGCTGGAAGTCCAAGATCAAGGTGTGACAGGTTCGATTTCTCCTGAGGCCCCTCTCCTTGGCTTGTAGATGGCGGCCTTCTTGCCGCGTCCTCAGATGGCTTTTTCTTGGAGCATGCGCACCTGGTATTTCTTCCTCCTATAAAGAGATCAGTCATATTGGATTAGGGCCCCACCCTGAAGATCTCATTTTATCTTAATTGTCCTCTTAAAGGCGCTATCTCCAAATACAGTCGTATTGGGGGTTAGGGCTTCAATATTTACACTTTGGGAGACATAATTCAGTCCACAGCCTAAGGCTCCTTTCAGTAAACACCAGGGGTTGTTGAGCAGCAACTATGTGCCAGGCTTTCCTCTGGGTGCTAGGGACACTGTGGCTTCTCAAAAATGCCCGTTGTCTGCAGCCATACCCACCTGAACATGCCCAATCTTGCCTGATCTCAGAAGCTAAGCAGGGTCAGGCCCAGTTACCACTTGGATGGGTGAAGTGGCCCTTGCACTTGAGGAGCTCACTGTCCAAAAGGTGAGCTCCATTAACGGATGACTGGGGCAAAACAGAAACCCAAAAAAGATAAGAACAGTTCAGGAAGTGGCTCCCAGGGAAGCAACCTAAGATGAAATGATGAAATGTGAAACATGAACAGGTGTTCACCAGTTAGAAAACTGGAGGAAGGGCTTTTCCAGCAAAAGGAGCAAAGGCCCAGAGGTGGAGCAAAGGCCCAGAGGTAGAACACATCCAGGGTGCTGGAGTGCAGTCTGAGGTGGGAAACCCCAGAGGAGGGGCTGGAGCAGGGAGAGGCCACAGGAGGCCTCATTAGCTGTGCTAGGCAGTTATGCATATTCAGTAGAAGGTATCACTGCTAAAAAGTTTTAAGCTGGGCTGGGCTCGGTGGCTCATGCCTGTAATCCCAGTACTTTGGGAGGCCAAGGCGGGTGGATCACTTGAGGTCAGGAGTTCAAGACCAGCCTGGCCAACATGATGAAACCCCATCTCTACTACAAATACAAAAATTTGCTGGGCATGGTGGCGCACACCTGTAGTCCCAGCTACTTGGGAGGCTGAGGCAGGAGAATCAGTTGAACACGGGAGGCAGAGATTGCAATGAGCCAAGATTGCACCACTGCACTCCAGCCCAGGTGACAGAGTGAGACTCCATCTCAAAAAAAAAAAAAAGTTTTAAGCTGAAGAACAATCTATTTATTTCTGCATTTTAGAAAGCCCCAAAATTCTAAAATTCTATTTAGCAGTCTCTGGCTTTCCATGACTGCCACGTCATTTGTGGCTAACCAGTGTCAGCCAGCTGGTGATGTATTGCACAGCTACTAAATGCCTTAATTCTTGGTTACTTCTCTCACAGGGCCGTGGGTGTGTGTGCTTATGTGTGTGTGTTCATTAGATCTTGGGTATAAATTGCCTTCTGGACTCTGCAGTCCGCTTCCCTTTGGTCTAGAGAGGAAGCATACATCATACTCAAATGTCTTATTTCATTACAATAAACACCCATAAGGATAATTAGGACCAGGACTATTACATTTGTGGTAACAAAGGCATGTAAAACTTCATGATCCTGAACTCTCTGCCTGCTAAAGATTCACTAAGACCATAGGTTCACATGCTGAGAAACGAAAGCCTCACAGCTTCCTGGAGGAGAGAATGCACTTAAGGTTTTAAAGAGCTGTACCTTACCACAATATCACTGAAACTTACAGAGTATTTAGAAGAAAGGGGAACATCACTTGGGTTTTTATAGATAATTGTTAGTAATCTACTTATTAAACACACTGATTCTAGTGCTTTCTGAGAAATTTGCAAAAGACAATCCTTTCTATTGTAAATTCCTTGCTAAAAGAGGATTAAATAAAGCATTAAATAAAGCAATTAGATGCACAAACACAGATATATCAATATACTTTGTTCAGGTAATATAATTAATGACAACATCTTCTCCCAACCCAGAAAACCTTTCCATAAAGGTAGTAGAAAAAGAAAAGGTGTATTACTGAATAAGAATTAAACCAGAATGGGATCCACATCACAGGCAATTTGCTAAGAGACTGCTGACAGAAAGAAATGTCACCCCTTTTTTTTTTTTTTTTTTTTTGATACAGAGTCTCACTCTGTTGCCCAGGCTGGAGTACAGTGGCACCATCTCGGCTCACTGCAACCTCCACCTCCCAGGCTCAAGTGATTCTCCTGCCTCAGCCTCCCTAGTAGCTGGGATTACAGGCACCCACCACCACACCCCGCTAATTTTTGTATTTATTAGAGACAGGGTTTCAACAGTTGGCCAGGCTGGTCTCGAACTCCTGACCTCAGGTGATCTGCCCGCCTCAGCCTCCCAAAGTGCTGAGATTACAAGTGTAAGCCACTGTGCCCAGCCGAAATCTCACCCTTTTATATAGCCAGTACCACCCATTACATAAAAGTTCTCAAGACACACAGTAACTAGTCCTCAAGTAAGAGGACTGGGCAGCACCATTTATTACATATAGTGCATCCTAAATTCACCTGGTAATTGAGGGTGATTATCTGTTAATTAATTGGTTTTATACAAAGGGAAAATAAACTTCTCTTGTCTTTATGACAGGTAGTTTTACAACTGGAAGCAAGGCACCTCCCAAAGTTAGGCTCCTGCCCTCACTCAGAAACTGGGAGAGAGGGGCACAATCTCCTCTGATGTTTACATTTCAAAGATATGGCTTCCAGTTACTTCAGAAAGACATTTATGGGCCACGAAGCTGGAAAGGGCCAGGCGCGGTGGTTCATGCCTGTAATCCCAGCACTCCGGGAGGCTGAGGTGGGAGAACTGCTTGAGCTCAGAAGTTTGAGGCTGCAGCGGGCTGTCATCTTGACACTACACTCCAGCTTCAGTGACAGCATGAGACACTGTGTCTAAAAAAAAATTATTGGCTAGGCATGATGGCTCATGCCTATAATCTCAGCACTTCGGGAGGCTGAGGCAGGCGGATCGCTTGAGCCCAGGAGTTCGAGACCAGCCTTGACAACAAAACTCTGTCTCTACAAAAATTAGCCAGGCATGGTGGTATGCGCCTGTAGTCCCAGCTACTTACGGGGCTGAGGTGGGAAGATCGCTTGAGCCCAGAAAGTCAAGGCTGCAGCGAGCTGTGATTTTGCCACTGCATTCCAGCCTTGGTGACCGAGTGAGACCCCATCTCTAATATATATATATATATACTGTCAATATTTATTGAGCTCTTTCTATGTGCCAGGTTTATACTTTCTGTTATAAACACCTTATAAGCATCATTTCAATCTTCATGACAGGTTGGAAAGGAAGTACCCCAGCCTATTGAATGGGGAAATTGAAGCACAGATATGTAAAACATCTTCTCTAGAGTTACCCAGCTGGTAAGTTGTTGAATTAGGGTTGAAAGCCAGGGAGAATGGCTCCTGAACACACACATTTAACCACTGAACTATATGCCGCCGAGAAAATCAGGAAACATATTATCAAGGAAGGCCAATTGACTTCAAGATGATATTTGGAGAAAGAACACCTGTGGGACAGACCTCGCTGAGAGAGAGAGAGTACCTCTGGCAGGAAGGGAAGTAAGGACAGAATCAAGAAACGGGAAAATGATACGAAGCTGGTAGTCTTTCCCACACAGGAAGGAGAGGAAGCTTAAAGGAACATGTATGAAGCTCAATATTAAATGACAATGAACAGAGATGAATTTATTATTTTGAAAAGCCAACACTTTCAAAGTATTTCAAAGGACAGCACTTTCAGGAAAGTGCATGTCAGTCACTAAAGTAGGGACAGAACATTAAGATCACCCCCTAATTTATTAATTCTTTTTTTTAGATGGAGTCTTACTCTGTCACCCAGGTTGGAGTGCAGTGGCGTGATCTCAACTCACTGCAACCTCTGCCTCCTGGGTTCAAGTGATTATCCTGCCTCAGCCTCCCAAGTAGCTGGGATTACAAGCACCTGCCACCATACCTGGCTAATTTTTGTATTTTTAGTAAAGACAGGGTTTTACCATGTTGGACACGCTGGTTTCGAACTCCTGACCTCAGGTGATTTGCCTGCCTTGGCCTCCCAAAGTGCTGGGATTACAGGCGTGAGCCACCGCCGTGCCTGGCCGCCAATTTATTAGTTCTCATCAAATGCACTAAGAGTCAAGGATGCTACACTGTCACCCTGCCATGGACCTGTCTTCTGGGCTTCAATAGTAAAAGCCTTTCAACCTATGTAAAATATGGAATGGCTTCATGCCAAAACTGGACAGTTAATATTATTAGGATTTATAAATCAGCAGCAACATTCTATTTTCAATGTGCCTGGGTAAGGCCTGCCAAGTAATTGTGCCTGTTTTCTTGCTTTTAATATATTTCACAGTGTTCCTTAAGGGGAATGAGTGGAAGAAGAGAAAGAGACGTTCATGAGTTAATTGAAATCCCTTCTTGTGAAATACTTACTTTCCAAAGAAAAAAACACATGAGAAAGTGTTGTGCCTTGTGTCAAAGTCTCATTGTCCACTGCATACAGAAATAGCACAGAATTATCAAGGCCTGACTCTTAGGCCATTTTCTGCCCCTTCTCACCGAAGATCTGCATAAGTAGCTAGAATAATTTTAGTAATTATCCTCCATCGTCTCCTGTGTTGAAATCGGTATGTCAGATCCAAAGGGAGACAGGAGGAGTCAGCTCTCCTGACTGTGGGGGCTCCAGACCCTAATTAAAAAGGTCAGACAGGAACAATGAGCAGAAACCAACCACAGGAGACATTTCAACATCTGTAAACACGTGGAAAATTCAGCCAAGTAGCATTTAGATAGCCTGGACAATAGGGCCATTATAAATGCTGCACTCATGAGCAGTGATTCAAATGACAGCTTTGAAAAGGATTTGCAAAGAGCCCTTTGGAAATGTAACATGGGCAACTCCGAGCCCATGACATGTTACAAGGACAAATCTGACTGAACAAAGATCCAAAGCAGCATTGAATGACTTATTTATTCATTCCTGCTCTGTACAAACCTGGGAGAATGTGACATATTTTAAATTACCTCCCCTGATAGGCAACATCCATGGTGCATGGGAAATGTTAGCCAAGTTTTTAAAAGAGCAGAATGTTTCACAAGGTGGCAATTACACCACACTGATGCTTCCACCAAATTCTGCAAATTGTCCTCGTGTCTCACGGTCTTAAGACTGAAGGAGTGATGGCCACATCTGGAGAGGAAAATTCTGACTTTTATTTCCTTCCACTTACTCTCTTTACAAATCTGTTTGAAGAGCTAGTCCTTGCCAAGCCTTCAGGTGGAAAACTCTTCATGTGCATACTATCTAAGTAGTTGTAATAACATTCTAATTTTACTCCCCCAACAAAGTGTTTTCCTGATATTCTGTGGGGAGTGGTTGTGTTCTGATCACAGCTGGTTATTATTATTCAGCCTAAGAGTCTGCAGAACTTCTGCATGCCCTGGGGTTTCTGTTGCGTGGTGGTGTCATGCAGTAGGAAGAAAAAATATGCTCTGGTCGCAGTGTCTAAGTAACTCAAATCCAAGCAAACATTCCCAGCACGCCTTCTGATGAGCAGCATGCACTCATGGGCAAGGCTGGGATTAGGGTGAGGCAAGCTAGGTACCTAGGGGGCAAGCTTTTTTGTTTTTTTGTTTGTTTGCTTGTTTTTTGAGACAGTCTTGCTCTGTCATCCAGTCTGGAGTGCAGTGGTGCGTTCATGGCTCACTGCAGCCTCGACCTCCTGGTCTCAAACGATCCTCCCACCTAAACCTCCCACATAGCTGGGACCACTGGTGTGCACCATCACACCTGGCTAATTTTTTTTTATTTTCTGTAGACACAGCATCTCCTTATGTTGCCCAGGCTGGTCTTGAACTCCTGGGTCAAGCAATCCTGCCACCTTAGCCTCCCGAAGTGCTGGGATTACAAGCATGAGCCACCACGACTGGCCCTGCAAGTTTTAAAGAAGCACTCACCTCACACTTGCATGACCCTGCAAGTGAGCTCCTTAAATTTTATACCCTAGACACTCACTTGCCTCACCCTATTCCAGGCCTGGCTCACTGGCTTCACACTTTCATTTTCCCACTTACTTCTCAGCTCCCTGCCCACCACAGATACTGTGGGTCAGAAGTACAGTCCCAGAGTTGACAATACTCAACAAAGAAGAAACCTTTAATGGCCAGGTGCAGTGGCTCATGCCTGTAATCCCAATACTTCAGGAGACCAAGGTGGGAGGATCACTTGAGTCCGGGAGTTTGAAACCAGCCTGGGAAACATAATGAGACCCCATCTCTATAAAAAAAAATTTTAAATTAGCTGGGCATGGTAACGCGTGCCTGTGGTCCTAGTTATGTGGGAGGCTGAGGTGGGAGGATCATTTGAGCCTGGAGGTGGTAGAGGCCACAGTGAGCTATGATTGTGCCGCTGTAGTCAAGAAGCCTGAGTCACAGAGCAAGACCCTGTCTCAAAAAGAAGAGGAGGAAGAGGAGGAGGGAGAGGAGAAGGAGGAGGAGGAGGAGGGGGAGGAGGGAGAAGAAGAAGAGAGCTTTAGGAATGAAGGACTGACTAATCAATAGTGAGATTAGGCCGGGTGCGGTGGCTCACTCCTATAATCCCAGCACTTTGGGAGGCCGAGGTGGGTGGATCACCTGAGCTCAGGAGTTCGAGACCAGCCTGGCCAACATGGTGAAACCCCATCTGTACTAAAAATAAAAAATTAGCTGGGCATGGTGGCGCATACCTGTAATCACAGCTACTCGGGAAGCTTAGGCAGGAGAATCGCTTGAACCAGGGAGGCGGAGGTTACAGTGAGCCGAGATCACGCCACTGCACTCCAGCATGGGCAACAGAGTGAGATTCTGTCTCAAGAAAAACAAAAAGAGTGAAGTTACAGCGAGGGATCTAATGAGGGATTTGGCCATATGAAGGCCACGGGTGACCCAAGACCAGAGCAGATTCAAGAAGGGTTGTTGATGAATGACCTGTTAGGGTCAGGCCCCAGGCTGTGGGCCCAGATGATGAAGGAGAAAGAGAAAGTTTTGTGAAACTGGCCGCAAATGTTCCCGGAACCTTCCTGTAAGAGAGCTGAGGATCTTCCCAGGGAGACATCTGCCCTGCCGGAGGCTTCCTTCTCCCCTCTACCTCCCGCAGGTATGGGTGTCACTACCCTGGGGTCTGATCTAAAGTCCTTCCAACACTCACTGCTCCCTTCCCAGCCCACTGAGAACAGGTCTTACCCTGACTGGGATGCAGCCTTAGATACATGTACTTCCTTCTTGGCAATCTTACTTTTCCTTCATCCTGTGATGTCATAAAGTCAAACCAGGCAGCTTAGCACCAAGGAGAGAGAAACAGGGAGTCTCTGGTTCATGGATGCCAACAAATGATTCACACCAAAGCAGGCTTTTCTATTATGAAATTAGGAGTGTACTTACTTGAGAACCTCAAGAAAATGAGGACTACCCTCCTGACCCCGTTTTCCCCTGCCCCACACACACATAGATGGCCCTCTGTGGTCTCCCTATTCATCCTTCTAGTTATACTTTTTTTTTTTTTTTTTTTTGAGACAGCGTCTTGCTCTGTCACCCAGGCTGGAGTGCAGTGGTGTGATCTCAGCTCACTGCAACCTCTGCCTCCCGGGTTCAAGTGGTTCTCCTGCCTCAGCCTCCCAAGTAGCTTGAGACTACAGGTGCCTGCCACCATGCCTAGCTAATTTTTGTATTTTTAGTAGAGATGGGTTTTCGCCATATTGACCAGGCTGGTCTCGAACTCCTGACCTCAAGTGATCTGCCCACCTTGGCCTCCCAAAGTGCTGGGATTGCAGGCATGAGCCACAATGCCCAGCCAATTTTTTATGGCCACATAGTATTCCATGGTGTATATGTACCACATTTTCTTTATCCAGTCCACTACTAATGGGCCCCTAGGTGGATCCCATGTCTTTCCTATTGTTAATAGTGCTGCAACGAACATATGAGTGCATGTGTCTTTTTGGTAGAAGGATTTATTTTCCTTTGGGCATATAGCCACTAATGGGATTGCTGGGTTGAATGATAGTTCTGTTTTAAGTTGTTGGAGAAATTTCCAAACTGCTTTCCACAGTGGTTGATTGTTTTGCTTTTAATAATATCTAAAGAAAGTATTCCTTTCCGTAGGGCTTCTGCCAGCATGACTCAATCTCAGATAATCATTATAGACTAATCATCATTATGACATGATCATATTTCAATTATCCTCTGTGTAGTCTGGGTATATTAAAGTAACCGTGAGTTCTCTTGCTGAGAGAAGTTCATTAAGATCATAATGTGGATACGATTTTTTTAAGTGTGTTGAAAAACAAGGGGGAACATACCAAAAACAACAACAGAATGATCCAGAGGATTTTCTAGCACACATTCAGAAACCATATCTTATCTTGTGTTTTAAAGGGCTCTGTGACGCAAAACCTCGGCTGGGCACAGTGGCTCATGCCTATAATCCCAACACTTTGGGAGGCCGAGGCAGGTGGATCACTTGAGGTCAGGAGTTCAAGACCAGCCTGGCCAACATGGCAAAACCCTGTCTCTACTAAAAACACAAAAATCAGCCAGGTGTGGTGGCACATGACTGTAATCCCAGCTACTGGGGAGGCTGAGGCAGGAGAATCGCTTGAACCTGGGAGGCAGAGGTTGCAGTGAACCAAGATCATGCCACTGCACTCTGGCCTGGGTGACAGAGTGAGACTCCATCTCAAAAGTAAATAAAAATAAAAACAAATAAATAAAAAATAAAGTGCTCTGTGATGTAAAGCCTAACAGGCTGTTTCCTTTTGGCCCAAATATGGCACACCGTGACCAGCTAGCTGTATTTACCCAACTTCCCAATATATAAGATACCCTTAACCCCTGGTTCACAGTGACAAAAACCTATGAAAATCATTCAAAGAATAAGGTTAATCATACTGTTTGAGGTCTAGCTGTATTGATACAGGATCAGTCCCTAATCTATTGGAGAAAAGGAAAAGTAATTATCCCCTGAGAATTCATCCAAAAGAAACAAAATTTTTTGTGTGTGACAGGGAGGGTCTTACTCTGTCACCCAGGCTGGAGTGCAGTGGTGCGATCTTTGCTCACCACAACCTCGACCTCCTGGGCTCAAGCGATCCTCCCACGTCAGCCCCTTGAGTAGCTGGGACTACAGGCGCACCACCACACTCGGCTAATTTTTGTATGTTTTGTAGAGATGGGGTTTCACTATGATGACTACAAGCTGATCTCAAACTTCTGAGCTCAAAAGATCCTCCCGCCTCAGCTTCCCAAAATGCTGGGATTACAAGTGTGAGCCGTAACACCCAGCCAAGAAATATTTTAAAATATAAATAGATCTTTATATAAAAGATATTCATATTTATAATAATAAATCAGAAACCTTCCTATATGTCTGACAATAGTGAAACAGTTGCAAATGGAATATTGAGCATAGAGTAGAAAGGAATGAGAATGAGGCAGAATATTATGCAGCCATTGAAAATTCATGCTGATGGTGGGGCACAGTAGCGCACACCTGTCATCCCTACACTCTGGGAGGCTGGGGAAGGTGGCTCACTTCAGCTCAGGAGTTCGAGATCAGCCTGGGCAACATGGTGAAACCCTGTCTCTATATTATAAATTAAGTAAATAAATAAATAAAAGAAACTTATGCTGATATGGACAATGGAAATTTAGAAAATTGTCTTTAATGTAATGTTTAAATGTTTAAAGTATCATCTATACTGTAATTACAATTGTATAAAATAATTTCCCATTTAGATAAGGAATGGAAAGAAATATAGGAAGAAAACAGTTGTGTCCAAGTGATTAAATTGTGGGTCATTAATCTTTATAATAATTTCTTTTGTAGCTGCTATAATGTTGAGTTCAAATAAATAAAACTTGGAAAGAAAAGGAAAACACTCAAGTGACACATTTTTCCATGCTAAGCAGAAAAGTCAGTGATACTTGGGAACAGTCCACATTTTTCCTTGCTCCTTCAAAGCAGCCTCTAATCTTGACCCAGATGGAGGGAATACTCATGTTCTTCTTGCTGGGAAGACTGTACTGTGGGTTGAATGGAACAGAAATCTCAAACTTTCCAGTATTGTTTGGTAACAAATGCAAAATGCATTTGAACCATTCATTGGTATAGTTTTTCCGTGACAAATATTATGCACAAAAATCTTGCAGACAGAAAATGATGTATTTTTTCTCTCCCCCCACCCTTTTTCTCTCTCTTCCCTCCAATTTCTGCAGTTCTGCTAAGCCAATATTCTCTAGAATGAGCACAAAACAAATCGAATAACAGCTAAACAAATCGAATAACAGCTAAACGAATCGAATAACAGCTTTTGTACATCAACATCAAGAAGGAATACGCCTGAGAGAGATCAGAGTATATAGATGAATATGAACAAGAATGGAACATTCACTTGTCAACGCACTTTCTAAATCTAGATCAGCAGAGATGGGAGTGATTTTCTGGAAAGAGATGTGATCATGGATTAAACACCAGCTCATTGGAAACTCATTGGATGAGATCAGAAAACGTTCATGAAAAATCATATTCAGGAAATAAGGAAGAGGAATATAAATGCTCTAGAGTTAACATGTAAAATATATACGTACTGAGGTTTGTAAACTGTCCTTTTTAAATCAAACTGAAAACAAAAAGCTTTAACCTTTCAACAGAATTTTTAAAAAGGCAGTTAGTTCTAAATTATTCCTATCTCAATAGCCAAGAGGCTGATCAAGCGTCATTTATTGAGGAAGCATCTTAGAAAATGCCTCTGAATGTTTTCATAGGAGCCGTGACCTTTGGTTCTTCATCTCTACCATTCATTTACTTCACTGTGTAATTAGTTACAACCACTCAGTTATTAAGAGACGTAACGCTTCAAACTTTTTACCAAGTCTGTGTTCTGTTTAATCTGTCCATACAAGTTATTACTGAGAAAGTGTTTATGCCATATACTATTACTCCATCAAGCTGTATATTACAGGAAGTACATCTTTACATCATAGGTTCCCAAGCAACATAGATTTCCCTATCTTTCAGGAAACAGCATCAAGGAACTCTGAAAAATATAGAAAAAGTTCATTTTCACCTTGGAAGCTCACGTGTAATATTATAGGCTACTATCAAATAAACACTTTTTTTCTAATTCTCCCTAGTATATGCATAGGAATTTAATATACTTTATAAATAAGTATCTAAAATGTCTCCTACTTTTTTCCTATTTCTTTGCCATACATGTTATCAGAAATCCATGTCTTCTATTTCCCTTACTGATGGGCACTCATTTTTATTTTTTTAAAAATCATTCCATTAAACATATTTCTAAATAATAGTAAGTGGTACTAACAAAATAAATAATAATTTAATAGCCTTAGAAATAAATGACTGTATACTTATACAGGTTGAAAAAAACTCGGTAGGAATAAGTTACCTTTTTGTTTACTAATGTTGGTTTCAAAAATACTCAGATTCATTTTAGTTGGCTGACATCTGGAAGTAGTTAACAACTAACCAGTGGACTTCAACAATCATTTGCTCCCAGGCTTCCCCCATCATCACCCTCACCACATATCCTGCTAATATCCAACAACAAACAAATATTTAATATTGAAATAGCCCATTGCCTGAGAATGAACACAAGCTAAAATACATGCAAGGGTACTTAATGGAAGCCAAACCATGTTCTATACCTAAGGAGAAAACATGGACATGTAGAATGCTTTTATTCATGTATTCAAAATCAGAACAAATCAGTGTATATCACTAGAACATCAGATGGAGGATAACACAAGAAGTGATACAGATCAGGGTTCACTTCTCTTACCCTCTCTCTGTTAGGACCACATTCCTATTTTAGCCAAATGTTTCTGGTACGGGCCATCTTTTCACCATAAATGGCATTATGTTTCAAATGGCTAAAAGCATATTATGGGTATGCTCAAAGGAGTAAAACCCAATTCACAGAGATGTGGCTTTTCTAAAGAACCAAATTAAGGGAATACTTAGTATCTACAACTAAAGTATTAGTCATTCTGAGGATTATTTGTTGCTTTAAGTATTAGCTCCCTACTACATCCATAACACCCTACTTACTAAATTTAATTACACACAACTTTTCAAGAATTCGTATTTTATTTGAAGGGAGGTACCTGTCTACTTTATCTACAATAAAAACAAAGGGTATTGGCTTTCTCTAATCCATGCAAACTACAAATTCCATCGGGAGTCCTACATCACTAACAGTGGTATGAACAAAACTAAGAAAGTACTTCCTATCCACATGTGAATGTTTTAAAAAAGTTTTTGCCATAAAACCTAAGTGTAATTTAGCATACCACAGTGCTCTGAAGATGGGTCATTGACGATGTACCATTTGTATATAGGTAATACACATGTAAATCACTAATTGTTAATTAAATATAAGAAGTAGGTTTTTATCTTTTTAAAAAAAAAACAAAAAAGGTGACTCCCTTTCTCATTCTGTTCTGTTGTATTGCGTCCAAAAGTTGTGTGTAATTTTTTTAAGGTCCAAGAAATGTAAAGAAATTTGTTGGAATACCTGAATTTCTGTAAAAAAATAAAAATAAAAATAAGATTTTGTTACTTAAAAGAATTTTTGGTGGTGTGGTACATATTTGGTGCATTCAGTTTCTGTCTTTGTCCAGTGATCTGGTGACAGCTGATGGTTCCACTGAAGTAACTATCTCGGAAAATCTCCCTGCTGTTGGATTCCATATCTGTCAACAGCAGGACTCTCATGTAGAAGGCATGGTTAACATCTCCAAAGCCTCTTCTGGCCAAATGTAGGAATATCTCCAGCTAATTCTCCATACACTCAGTGGAATGAAATTGATAACTAAATAAATAGCTGGACTACTCAAGTAAAACTTGACCTGCAATATCCAATTGCCCAATCTCCCCTTTGCAAATTGAAAACAACCAACCATTCCTCGCACATGAGCAACCCTTCATACTGGGTATATGAAGCAACAACACTTCATACTGGGTATATGTTGTCTGAGTGGGTTCCAATCCCTGATCCTTGGTTTACTATATGACTCTGAACAACTCTAAGCCTCAGTGTCCTCACTGGTAAAATAGATATAAATAATATTACTCAGCTCCATAGCATTGTTGTAAGGATATAAATTAAACTATACTGTTGTTGTGTTTGACAGGTAGGGGATATTCAGTGAATGTTCATTCCTTCCCCTCCTACTATATGCAAGACACTGAAGGAAGAAAAGAAACATAAAAAAAAGTCTCTGCTCTGAAGATCCTGAAGACAATTAGAGTGACATTTATAAGCAGGGATTGAAAATTCAAATGCGTACAAGGGCCAATAAATTCACAAAGCAAGCTCAGCTGGGGACATAATAGGGCGTAGTAGGAACTGGCCTGGCACAGTGGCCTCTAATCCCAGTACTTTGGGAGGCTGAGGCAGATGGATCACTTGAGTCCAGGAGTATGTGACCAGCCTAGGCAATATAGTGAGATCCCTTCTCTGAAAATAAAAAAAAAAAACAACAATAATTTTTTAAATAAAATAAAATAAATTTTTAAAAGGAAGTAGTGGGAACTGTGGAGCACTGAAGAGCCTAGGTCCCGTCTAAAGGGAATAAGTAGTCAACGCTCAGCTCTAATGATTCAAGAAATATGTATTGAGTTCCTACTATGTGCCAAGAACTGTTCTAAACTCTGAGAATATAGTGGTGAATCACACAAAACCCTGCTTTCCTTTCATAGGTCTTATGTTCTAGTAGGGGAAGACAGACAATAGACTGGAAAATGTCAGCTAATAATAGATGCCCTAAAGAGAATTAAAACAGGGTGATTGACAGAGAAATGGAGAGAGGAGTCAGGTAAGGCCTCCATGAAAAGGTGGCATTTAGAGTGAGACCTGAACAAACGTTTAAAAGCCACGTGTGAAAAAAGCAGAAGGCATGCCAGACCAGGAACGGCAAGGTGGCAGAGTGGGGAGCCACGTGGGCTAAGCTAGGACCCAGCTCTGGGCTTTGTAGGCCAGGATAGTTTGTACATTTTAAGTGTGAGAAAAAGCCACTGGAGGATCTTAAGCAGAAGAGTGATATAAACTATTTCACATTTCTAAAAGATTACTTTTGGTTTCGGCATCTAGCAGTATAAACTAGATACTCTAAAAAGCCTTTCTTTTTTTTTTTTTTTTTTTTTTTTTTTTAAGACGGAGTCTGGCTCTGTCACCCAGGTTGGAGTGCAGTGGGGCGATCTTGGCTAACTGCAACCTCCGCACCACCATGCCCAGCTAATTTTTGTATTTTTAGTAGAGACGGGGTTTCACCATGTTGGCCAGGCTAGTCTTGAACTCCTGACCTCATTATCCACCCACCTTGGCCTCCCATAGTGCTGGGATTACAGGCGTGAGCCATTGAGCCCAGCCTCTAAAAAGCCTTTCTTATGCCATACTATTAAATCTTAGATAAATTACAATAAGTTTATTTTTAACACACAGCTTAGATTATAAGAAAATAAGGGAAATTCCAAAAACATTTCAAAAAAGAAGTGGAGTGAGCTGAAAACTAAGTGTGAAATGTAAGCAAAGGCAAAAACTGGGCTTGCCTGAAGGTAAATCTGTATAACAAAGTAGGGAATGGAAGATTAAGCGTTGGGCCACTGGAAGCAGGTGAGTTAAATTTGACATTCACATCCAAAAGCAGGATGCTTGAAGATGGCTACATCCTAGGCAAGAGTGGTCTAGGAAAAATCCTCATGCTAGCGAAAGAAATCTATCAAGAACACCATCTCCACACTGGCTCTAGATGGAAAAAAAAAATAATAATGACCCCTTGAAATTTATCATATGCCTGCCCCCGTCAAGTATGGAATTCAGTCTTACACTCTCCATATGATCAAAGAAACCCCAACCAAGAAATTAAAGAGCTTTTTAGGGCCCCTTGTACCAGGCAGATACAAGCATTTGTTGTCTAGAGGAAAGCATCTCTCGCATAGCTCTCACCAATTAAGCTCAACAAAGTATGCAATTGCAATTTTAAAATTACTAAATATGGCTGGGCGCGGTGGCTCACGCCTATAATCCCAGCACTTTGGGAGGCCGAGGCAGGCGGATCACGAGGTCAGGAGATCGAGACCATCCTGGCGAACACGGTGAAACCCCGTCTCTACTAAAAATACAAAAAGAAAAAAATTAGCCGGGCGTGGTGGCGGGTGCCTGTAGTCCCAGCTACTCGGGAGGCTGAGGCAGGAGAATGGCGTGAACCCGGGGGGCGGAGCTTGCAGTGAGCCGAGATCGCGCCACTGCACTCCGGCCTGGGAGACAGCGAGACTCCGTCTCAAAAATAAAAATAAAAATTACTAAATATACAAATAAACTGTAAGCGATAATCAGCAGATATAACTAACAGCCGACTTATCACCCTACAGATTTTAGATAGTGGAATTACCAGATACACAATATAAAATAATCATGTTTTACATGTTAAGGAAATAAAGACAGCGTCTAAAACAATGAATACAATAAAGAGTACATTACATATAATCAGATAGATTAGAAGGAAATTTTTTAAGTCTTAGAAATTAAAACTATAATCACTGAAATTTAAAGTACAATGTGTAAATTACAAACAGGTATAACTGAAGAGAGGAGCTGTGAACTAGTAGACAGATCTAAAGAAATTACACAGAATACAATACAAAAAGCCAAGGGGTTGGTAAATGACAAAGAGGTTAAACAACAGAGAAGACACAGACATCTAACCAGATTTCCAACAGGAGAAATAGAGAGAATAAGGGAAAGGCAATATTTGAATAGAAAATGTCTGAAAATTTTTCAAAAATGATAAAGATATGAATCCACACATATAGGAAGCACAATAGATATCAAGCAAGATAAATATAAAGGAAGACATGACAGTAAAAATACAGGGAAAAACAGAGGAACTACCATAACAAGAACCAAAGAGAAATGGCATACCTCAGGGTGCGTGCCTGTGGTCCTGGCTACTTGGAGGCTGAGGCAGGAGGATGGCTTGAGCTCAGGAGCTCTGGGCTGCAGTGCACTGTGCCCATCAGGTGTCCGTGCTAAATTCAGCATCAAGAGGGTGACCTCCCTGGAGCGGGGAACCGCCAGGTTGCCTAAGGAGGGGTGAACCGACCCAGGTCGGAAACGGAGCAGGTCAAAACTCCCGTGCTGATCCTTTGCACCACCTGCAAAGGAATAATTTCTGGGCCAACAATAAATACCAGACACATTAGCATGATATATTTAAACTGCTGAGATAAAATAACTGTCAAAATAGACAGAGCGCACTGGCTCATCTCTCTACTCCCAGAACTTTGGGAGGCCAAGACAGGCAGATCACTTGAGGTCAGGAGTTCAAGGCCAGCCTGGCCAACATGGTGAAACCCCATCTCTACTAAAAATACAAAAATTAGCTTGGCGTGGTGACGTGTGCCTGTAATCTCAGCTACTCCGGAGGCTGAGGCACAGGAATTGCTTGAACCCCGGAGGCGGTTCTAGCCTGGGTGAGAATGAGACTCTGTCCAAAAAAAAAAAAAAAAAAGAGAGGAAAAGAAAAACAACTTGGCATTATCTTCTACAACTGAACATTTGCATGCACTAAATTCATCAGTTTTATTCCTAGGTATATATGCTGGAGAAATTCTTGCACATAAGCACCAAAAACCATGTACAAAAATGGAAAACCTTCGTCTAACAGATTGCTAAAAATACAAGGAAAATGTCCATCAACAAGGATAAATAAACTATTTACAATTTGCAGTATTTTTAATTGACTAATTTAATACCTCTGTAAGCATGGAAATGAATAAACCTCAGTTACAAACTTCAATATAAATGATTACATTAGATCAGAAATACAATGTTGAATGCGGAAAAAAACAAATTGCAGAAAATATACTATGGCTCCACATATAAATCTCAAAAAAAAAGAGAAACTAAACTGTATATTGTTTAGCAATAAATACATCTATGCTACAATTATAAAGATGTAAGTATAGGAATAACAAAAAAAAAAATCCAGAATTGTGTTTACTTCTGAAGAGTAGGGAGGGGTTACAATCAGGGAAATGCATACAGGCTATGTCAATAGTTCAGAATTTGAGTGGACAGTTCATAGGCTCATTTGTTTTACACTTCTTAAATTGTATATATGTTACATTTTTGTATCAAATATAATCTAATGAAATAAGATCAAATAAACAGAATATCTTAAAAAGATAACTAGGGTCAGGTGCAGTGGCTCACACCTGTAACCCAGCACTTCGGGAGGCCAAGGCAAAAGGATCGCTTGAAGCCAGGAGTTCTAGACCAGCCTGGGCAACGTATCAAGACCCCCATCTTGAAAAAAATAAAAAATAAAAATCAGCCTGGCATGATAACGCATGCCTGTAGTCCCAGCTACTGGGGAGGCTGAGGTGGGAGGCTGAGGTGGGAGGATTGCTTCAGTCCAGGAGTTTGAAGCTGCAGTGAGCTATGATTGTGCCACTGTACTCCAGCTGAGAATGGACTGAGCAAGACTCTATCCCTAAGAAAATAAAAAATAAAACATAGCTGTATTAGTCCATTTTCACACTGCTGATAAAGACATACCCAAGACTGGGCAATTTATAAAAGAAAAGGTTTAACTGGACTCACAGTTCCACGTGGCTGGGGAGGCCTCACAATCATGGCAGAAGGCAAAAAGGAGCAAGTCACATCTTGCATGAATGGCAGCAGGCAAAGAGAGAGCTTGTGCAGGGGACCTCTTGTTTTTTTAAACCATCAGATCTCGCCGGGCGTGGTGGCTCACGCCTGTAATCCCAGCACTTTGGGAGGTGAAGGCGGGCAGATCACGAGGTCAGGAAATCGGGACCACCGTGGCTAACACGGTGAAACCCCATCTCTACTAAATATACAAAAAATTAGCCGGGCGTAGTGGCGGGCGCCTGTAGTCCCAGCTACTCGGGAGGCTGAGGCAGGAGAATGGCGTGAACCCAGGGGGCCAAGCTTGCAGTGAGCCGAGATCGCGCCACTGCACTCCAGCCTGGGCGACAGAGCGAGACTCTGTCTCAAAAAAATAAATAAATAAAATAAAATAAATAAACCACCAGATCACGTGAGACTCATTTACTATCACGAGAACAGCGCAGGAAAGACCCGCCCTCATAATTCAGTCACCTCCCACCGGGTTCCTCCCACAATACGCGGGAATTGTGGGAGTTACAATTCAAAATGAGATTTGGGTGGAGACACAGCAAAACAGTATGAATAGCTGACAGTTGTGAAAGAAATGAATGGTCGAATGAAGAGCAAAAGCAAGGAGACGGGGAAAGGCAATGCAGCAGTCAAGGTGAGAGAAGGTGGTGGCTTAACCAAAATCGTAACAGCAAGATAGAAAGAGGCAGGTACACTTGGGATAATGTTGCAGATTTGGTTTCCAGAAGGGGAGGGAAGGACACAGTCTAGGCAGGAGGAGATGCTGGGCTCTGAGGAGGTCTCCATGAGGGCCTTAGCTGACCCCACAGGCAGCACTGGGATGTGCTGGGGTGGCCTTCCAGAGTTGTCTTGGGTTACTGAGGGAGTGGGCCTTTATATGCAAGCAGGAAGGGATGTGATCTTGGGTAAGGTGGCTCTCTGCAGCTGAGGGCAATTTGCGGAGAGGGCAGAGGGCTGTGAGGTGGCAGCATGCCCAGCAGCTGTGGGAATAAGTCCTGCAGTCCTGGGAAGGGCTCTGCGTAGCACATTATGGCATCTGCTAAAGAGAAGTGTGTTTTTGGAACATAAGACTTGTTGAGGGATTGAATGTGGAAGATGAGGAGAGAGAGCTACTAGGTTTTTTTTTTGCTCTGAGGGTAGATAGTGGTGCTATTTACTGAGAAAGGAAGAAGAGGAGAAGAAGCAGGGGTTTGGGAGATAAAACTCCAAAACTTCTTTTTTAAGTTTAAGCTGCTTATTAGAAATTCAATTCATAGCCGGGAGCAGTGGCTTACGCCTGTAATCCTAGCACTTTGGGAAGCCGAGGCAGGTGGATCATCTGAGGTCAGGAGTTTTGAGACCACCCTGGCCAACATGACGAAACCCCATCTCTACTAAAAATACAAAAATTAGCAATCCTACTCATGCCTACTTGGGAGGCTGAGGCAGGAGAATTGTTTGAACCCAGGAGGCAGAGGTTGCAGTGAGCCAAGATCACGCCATTGCACTCCAGCCTGGGCGACAGAGTGAGACTCCGTCTCAAAAAAAAAAAGAGAGAAAGAAAGAAATTCATTTTTAGATATCAAGTAGGCTATTAGTAGAGTTCTAGGGAGGAGCCTAGGCTACAAATCCAAAGTTAGTAGTCATGGCAAATAGATGGCTTTTAAAGATTTGAAGCTAGATGAAATCATTTAGGAAGAATGTACAAATAGAGAAGAGGATGCTAGACCAAGCTGAGACCACCTGACTTGGAACAACGGACAGAAGTCAGCAAAGCAGATTAAGAGGGACCCGCAAAATGGGTTGTTACGGAATCCAAGAGGGAGAAAAAGTATTTTAAGAAGTAGATATCCTGAGAGTGACACTGTAAAAATAAAATTTTAAAAAAACAAGTAGAGAATGATTAAGTGTCGACCAGGCATGGTGGCTCATGCCTGTAATCCCAGCACTTTTGGAAGCCAAGGCGGGCAGATCACCTGAGGTCAGGAGTTTGAGACCAGCCTGGTCAACATGGTGAAACCCTGTCTCTACTAAAAATACAAAAATTACCAGGCATGGTGGCCCTCACCTGTAGTCCCAGCTACTCGGGAGGCTGAGGTGGGAGGATCGCTTGAATCCAGGAGGCAGAGGTTTCAGTGAGCCAAGATTGCACCACTGCACTCCAGCATGGGTGACAGAGTAAAAGCCTGTCTAAAAAAGAAAAAAGAAAAGCATGATTAAGTGGCAAATGCTGCCAAAAGGGCAAGTAAGACAAAAGCAGAGACAAACTACTGGATTTGGCAATTGTGGAGGCTCTTGGTGACATTAACAAGAGCAATCTTCATGAAATAGCAGAAATATGAGGAGCGAATTGGGAAAAAGTTGATGTTGAGGTGGTAGAGAAAGCAATATAGGCAACATTTACAAGAAGTCAATTGTTGCAAGTCAAACCTGAGAAACCAAGGCTGCTAGCTTTCCTAGTTTCTCAGCAGAATTTTTTTAGAATATAGGCCAGACGCAGTGGCTCATGCCTATAATCCCAGCACTTTGGGAGAATGAGGTGGGAGGATTGGTGGAGGCCAGGAATTTGAGACCAGTCTGGACAATATAGTGAGACCCTGTCTCTACAAAAAAATTTTAAATTAGCCAGGCATGGTGGTGAGCATCTGTAGTCCCAACAGGAGGATTTTTTGAGCCCATGAGGTCAAGGCTGCAGTGAGCTATGATCTCACCACTGCACTCCAGGCTGGGTGACAAAGTGAGACTCCTCTTCTAAAAAAAAATAAATAGAATACAAATTGTCAGGTAAGTTGATGCATTGTCAAACACAGTGCAGGCCAACATTGTGAGAGTCAGAAAAACCTCTAGGGATCAGGTTTAGCCAGTGGGCCAGGAGTTTCTGACTTCTATGAAGAGGGCATACTCTCAAGAAAGAAGCTAAACATCATGGCAGAACATGCGAAGGGACAGGTGAGTGAGACAGATGCCAAGGGCTGCAGGAACCCTTGGGAAGCCTGCAGTGGGGGAAAAGGATGAGTAGGATCAACTCTAAATGACCACGGAGAGGAAGACAAGCCTCAGGTGGACTGTGTCTGAAGGTCTAGACTGGGGGAATGGGAAGCAGAAATTGTCAGCAAACTCTTTTGGCCACATAACCTATCCTCTAGTACAGCATTTATCCACCAGTAAAACATGTTTTAATTTCCATATATCTGACTTCTGTGTGGCCCTCTCATTGATGTTATTTAGGTAGGGAGGCCAGATTGTTAATGGTTTTTAATTCCAGCTACTTTGAAGGTTGGACTTTATTCTGCAGGCAATGGGAAACCATTGAAAGTTTCTGAAAAACGGAAAAGAATAATCCAAGTGTGATTTTAAGAGGATTATTTCTTTATTAGTGAGCAGGATGGAGTCACGCAAGGCTAGATTACAGCCCACTTAGGAGATTCTTCCAGTTATGGAAATATAGACTGAGGGATGGGCCGGGCACAGTGGCTCACGCCTGTAATCCCAGCACTTTGGGAGGCCAAGGCAGGTGGATCACGAGGTCAGGAGTTCAAGACCAGGAGCCTGGTCAGGAGCAAAACCAGGTCAGGAGTTCAAGGTCAGGAGCCTGGCCAACATGGTGAAACCTCGTCTGTACTAAAAATAGAAAAAGTGGCTGTGTGTGGTGGTGGGCACCTTTAGTCCCAGCTACTTGGGAGGCTGAGTCAGGAGAATCGCTTGAACCCAGGAGGTAGAGGTTGCAGTGAGCCAAGATCGCGCCACTGCACTCCAGCCTCTGTGACAGAGTGAGACTCTGTCTCAAAAAAGAAAAAAAAAAAAAGAGACTGTGGATGAAGACCAACTGGGGTCAGGGAATGAAAAGGAGGACAAAGATGATGCTTGGGTTTCCAGTCTACATTATTAGAAGATGGGGGGTGGGTGGAGGGCAACCACTTACTGGAGTGAGGGAAAGCAGGGGTTTGGATGGAGCCGCGTGATGAAAGCACTAATAGTCAATATTCTGATAGCACCGTGGAGTGTACAGGTGCCTTCGTGTCCATTATCTCATTTGCCCTCATAACTACCCTGTGAGGTATTATTATGCCCACTTTACAAATGAGGAATCCGAGGCTCAAAGAGGCTGAGTGATGCCCTTCATTAGGTCTTGACCCCAGCTGTTCTCACTCCTTGTTTTGACAATGGCTTTTCGGATACACTTTGGCTCTTGCTGTTCAGTGTGAAAAGATGTCAGCTTATGTTTGCCTTTCACAAGTCATGTCCCGAAAACTTCAGTTTCTTGGGGGAATTAGCTGGATTCCATTTCTTTGATGCTGGTTCCTTGTGATCCTTCTAGAAGACTAATAACTTATATAAGTCAGCTGGAGGAAAAAAAAAAAGAAAAATCCATTTCTAAATCAGTTTTCCCTTTTGAGAGAATTTGGCATCCAGGTGTAAGTGTATAGCTTCCTCTGAAATGAAACATTAATTCTCTCACCTAGTCAGGAAACAAGTTAGAACATTAAAATTCATCAGATGAGAGCCAAACCCTCGTGAACCAAGGTAAGTAAATGCGTTTACCTCACCCCGTACTACCGGCTACTCCTCTCTCAAAGAAAAAGTTGGGACTCCTCTTCTGACAGGTGAGATCTGTTTCGTTATCCCACCACAAGTCAATAAGTTCAGGGCCTCAGATGTCAAACCAAACTGTGTGTCAATCCTAACTTCCCACATTATTTAAGCACTGGATTTTTCTCTGGCATTAACTGAATGGAACTTCACCTGAGGACAAAATTGGCTGTTACATTTGTAATTATGGAGTAAAGGTTGATTCTTAGCCAAACCAGGCTGGAAAACTGAAAGAATTCAAAAAGTAAGTGTGTAGATGTGACGCTATCTTGCTGATGCAAAGTTTCTCAAGTCAAAACATTTACTTGAAACTTTGGCTTCCTCCAAAGCAATAATTTTTTACATTTTAGGAGCAGCTTTCCTTGTAAAAGCCTTTACACTTGTCAGGCCTTCTGCCTTAACAAAGATTGTGAATTCTCTTCTAGGTGATTAAAATCAATTCTGAATTAAATACAGTTGCCCTGATCATGTCAAAAACGATGCAGCTGCTTTCCTACAGGTTAACTTATCTTGCAGATTTAAAAATCAGTTGTTTTTAAAACTTGGTTTGTACTGCCATCTAGTGATACATTTCATTGACAGTTTCAACATGCTAAATTTATATAGATCCACAGGGTTATCCTTAAGGGCAATGTAGTGCCACATCTATTTTTTCTTTTCTTTTTTTTTTTTTTTTTTTTTTTTGAGATGGAGTCTCGCTCTGTTGCCAGGCTGGAGTTCAGTGGCGCGATCTCGGCTCACTGCAACCTCCACCTCCTGGGTTC
Source organism: Homo sapiens (assembly GCF_000001405.40). Taxonomy (NCBI): domain Eukaryota; kingdom Metazoa; phylum Chordata; class Mammalia; order Primates; family Hominidae; genus Homo; species Homo sapiens. The sequence continues at coordinate 104,918,992 of NC_000007.14, forward strand.
AAGCGATTCTCCTACCTCAGCCTCCCGAGTAGCTGGGATTACAGGCGTCCGCCACCATGCCAGGCTAAATTTTTAAATTTTTAGTCGAGACAGGGTTTCACTATGTTGGCCAGGCTTGTCTCAAACTCCTGAGCTCGTGGTCTGCCCGCCTCAGCTTCCCAAAGTGCTGGGATTACAGGCGTGAGCCACCGTGCCCAGCGAGTGCCACATCTTAAATAGAGCATTTACATTTGCAAATATAGAGAGAAGACTACCTCCTATACACAACAAAGTTCCCTCATATACCTTACAGACTAAGAAAAAATTTTTTATCATAAATATTAAAGAGAGCCCAAGCATGGTGGCTCACGCTTGTAATCCCAGCACTTTGGGAGGCCAAGGTGGGAGGATTGCTTGAGCCAGGAGTTCAAGACCAGCTGGGCAATATAGTGAGACCTCATCTCTACAAAATAAAAATTAAAAAATTAACCAGGCATAGTGCGCACCTGTGGTCCCAGATAAACAGGAGGCTGAGGCAGGAGGATAGCTTGAGCCAAGAGATCGAGGCTGCAGTGAGCCGTGTTTTACCCCACTGCACTCTAGCTTGGATGACAGAGTGAGAACCTGTCTCAAAAATAAACAAACAACAAATATATATATATATACACACACACACACACACACACACACACATATATATATACATATATATATGAAAGAGATGTCCCACTAGTATCCTATTAAACCACAGAGACTAGTGGGCTTCTTACATTAGCTTTTTTATTTACATCTTTGATTTTTACCATAATTAAAGCAGTTCATTTCTCCTAGATAAACAAATACAATCCTGGATGTTGAATTTAATGGCCAATCTGTTTGGAAAGGCAGAATTGCATAAAGGTTAAATGCATGGGAACTAGCATGATGCTCTCTGGGTCCAAATCCTAGCTCAGCACCTGCAATCTGTGTGCCCTTAGGTCAGTTATGTAACATCTCCATGCCTCAGTTTTCTAATCTGCAAAATATGGATAATAATCAAACCTACTCATAGAGTAATTTAAGAGACACTATACTTAGCACAGAGGCTAGCACAAAGTAAATGTTCAATAAAACACAACCAGAGCACAGTGAGCCTAATTTGCATAGCCCCGTGGGATGCTGAGATAGCAGGGAAGCTCCGGGTCTCATTCCACCGGAAAATAGATCCTTAGACACAGTAAAGACCAAGATCAGGACTCTGGATGCTAGAATCACCATATGATCCAGCAGTTGCATTTCTGGGTATAAAGGAATTGAACTCAAACAGATAAATATATGCCAATGTTCATAACAGTATTATGATAGCCAAAAGGTAGAAACAACCCAAATGTCTACTGATGGAGGAATGGATAAACAGAATGAGAAATATACATACCAGGGAATATCATTCAGTCTTCTTGTTTTCCTTAGGCCATCCTAATGAACAAAATTCAGTCTTAAAAAGAATGAAATTCTAATACATGCCACAAGTGGATGAACCTTGGAAACATTATACTAAGTGAATAAATTAGACACAAAAGGACACATATTGTATGATTCCACTTATATGAAGTACCTAGAATAGTCAATTCATAGAGACAAAAAGTAGAATAGAAGTGACCAGAGGCTACAGGAACGGAGGAAAGGGGAGTTCACGTTTAACAGACACAGGCTTTCACTTTGGAATAATGAAAAACTCTAGCTATGAATATAGCAGTGATAACAATGTGTTGAGGGTCATGATGTATTGTACAAAAAAGAAAAAAACCTCCACAACAACAATGTGAATGTAAATTGTACACTTGAAAATAATTAAAATGGTAAATTTCATGTTATGTGTATTTTATCACAATTTTCTTTTAAAAGTACAGGCAGGCCAGAGCCCTGGCCACATGCTCCTCTTTCCCACTTCCTTTACCCTCATTACATCCATATGCTTGCTGGGCAGCCCAGGACCACATCCAGAGGACAAGGATAGTGGCCAGGATGCACCAGGAACTCAAAGGAGACCTTCCGAGCTCCCCCATCTTCCCTCCCCCACCCCACCACACACACATACCAACACACATAGGCAGGCACCTTTAGAGGAAGGAAGAAGATGCAACACTCTGGGATCCTAGAAAGCTGGGAGGACTGGTGCAACAATTGCCCTTTGACTCCAACCTGAGCTCTAATTTTCCCCTATAGCTGCCTTGGTCTGGTAATCAAGGTTACACTTTTAAAAGAAGGAAAATGTCAAAAAAGTGGACATGATCCTAATTACATTTGTGTGCAGAGCAAGAAATGAATGTGAACAACTTCGATGCCTACTGATTAATGCTGAAAAACAACTCAAATGAACCAATGAACCAAAAGATAAGCCAAATCCAGAAACAGCTGTGGCTCAACCCCCAGCAATGGACTGGAAATCCATGAGACAGCTCCGCAGATAGAGAATGAAAAGTCTGTTCTTACATACGTTATACTCAGAGTAAGTAATCTTATGTGTAAAAGCAGCCAGGGAAAAACAAAATCAAAATGTCCCTTCCCCAAAACCCTTCTAGGAAACAGTCATCTTGTGAAAAAACAAAGTTTTGGCCCAGTGTTTTGAAAATATCTTACAGTGAGGCATACATTTTTTAAAAATGTATAACCCAAATTTATTACTTATTTATTGCTACATAACAAGTCACTTCCAAACACTGTGCTGTAAAACAACAGTCTTACTATCTGTCACATTTTCTGTGGGCCAGGAATTCAAACAGAGCACAGTGGAGATGGCTAATCTCCTCCAGAATGTCTGGAACTTCAACCAAAAAACTTGAAGGCTGGAGGCTGGAATAGGCTGATGGCTTCTTCATGTACATGCCTAACAGTTCATACTGGCTGTTGACTAAGGGCCAGCAGCATCACCCACACCTGGCCTCACTATGTGGCCTGGGCTTCCTCACAACATGGCAGCTGGGATCAAAAGGCAAGCATCAGCAGCGTGCAGTAGCACATGTCTGTAATCCCAGCGCTTTGGAAGGTCAAGGCAGGAGAATCACTTGAGCCCAGGAGTTTGAGACCAGTCTGGGCAACATAGTGAGACACTGTCTCTACAAAAAATTTAAAAATTATCCAGGTGTGGTGGCACACACCTGTAGTCCCAGAAACTCAGGAGGCTGAGGTGGGAGAGATTGCTTGAGGCCAGGAGGTTGAGGCTACAGTGAGCCCTGATTTCACCACTGCACTTCAGCCCGGGGAACAGAGCAAAACTCTGTCTCAAAACAGGGGGAAAAAAGGGAGGAAAAAAAGTATTCCAAGACAGAACCAGAGAAAAAAGTATTGCCTTTTATGACCTCACTCTGGAAATCATTCAGCATCCCTTTGGCCATGTTCCATCACTTGGTGCGGTTACAAAGATCTGTCTAAATTCCTTAGAAAGGAAGGAGACATACACCCCACCTCTCATGACACAGCGTAGAAAGAGCATGTAGGATGTGATATGTAGCTACATATTGGTGTAGCCAACTTTGGAAAACACAGTTTGCCACATTGTGCTTTATCTCAGTTAATCCTCACCCCCAAAAGAAACTGTATGCTATTACTATTTTACAGTAAAGGAAATGAAAGCTCAGAGAAGTGAAATAACTTTCCAAAGTCACACACTTAGTAAATGGCAGAGTAGAGATTCTGACTCCAGTGTCGAAGTCCTTGATCCCCAACCTGCTCTTCCTGCCATAGGTCACATTGCCTTATCTACAATTACAGAAGCTGGAAGTTCAAGTTCCAGGTCTCCTTATAAATATGTACAAGTTCTTAGAAGAAAAATAAATATAGAGGCATTGGATTCTCTGCTCCTTCTATACTCAGGGCTGCAGCTTCAGAGTAGACTTTATAGAAATATTCTATTAGGCCCAACAGTACCAAGTACATTCACAGCCCAGGGGAGACATCAGTGGGCTTCATATGCCGCCAAAGAATAAGCCCAAAAGTACCTGCAAAATGGCCAGTGCACTTGGCACTGTTAGTTGCCACCATTTGGACCTTATCCAATTGACCCTAAAATTGGCCCAAGTACTTGTGGTAGCCAACTTCCACAAGGTGGCCCCAGCGATCTTTACCTCTGGGTATTCACACCCTTGTGTAATCTCCTCCCACACTCTGTCAAAGTCGGTCTGTGTGACCAACAGCATAAGGCAGAAAATGGTGTATTACTTCCAATATTTGGTTTTAAGATACCATGACTTCCATCATGGGCTCTCTCATCACTCACAAGGGAAGCCAGTCGCCATGTTGTGAGGACAGGCAGGCAGCCCATGGAAAGGCCTGGAAAGCAAGGAACTGACACCCTAGCCAACAGCCAGCAAAGAACTGAGGCCTGCCAACAACCATTTGAGTGAGTTTATACACAGATTTTCCAGCCCCGGTCAATCCTTGAGATGACCACAACCCCAGTGAACAGCCTGGCTGCAACTTCATGAAAGACTGCCTCAGAGCTACCCAGCTAAGCTGGTCCCAGATTCCCTGACCCTCAGAATAAATGTTTATTGTTTAATGTTTACATTTAATGTTATCAATAAACCGATACCTTTAGGGGTCATTTGTTACATAGTAATGGATAACTAACAGAGTATTGAATTTAAAATCATGATTATCTGTTAGTAGAAAGAGTTGGGGCTTTGGAGACAAGCACACTGCCTTTAAATCCTGATTCCACCACTCCCTGGGTGAATAGCATGGACTCTCTGAGCCTCAGTTTCCTCATAAGAATGGGGATGATAAATTTATTCTCAAGACTGAGGATCAAAGGAAAGAAGTTAGAACAGGGAATATTCCTCTTCTTCCTTCTCAACATTTAATTTTTTAATTTTATTTATATTTATATTTTATTTTATTTTATTTTTGAGACGGAGTCTCACTCTTTCGCCCAGGCTGGAGTCAAGTGGCACAATCTCAGCTAAATGCAACCTCCTCGCCTTGGATTCAAGCGATTCTCCTGCCTCAGCCTCCCGAGTATCTGGGATTACAGGCACCCGACACCACACCCAGCTAGTTTTTGTATTTTTAGTAGAGACGTGGTTTCACCGTGTTGGCCAGGGTGGTCTCAAACTCCTGACCTCAGGTGATCCATCGCCTCGGCCTCCTAAAGTGCTATGATTACAGGCGTGAGCCACCACGCCCAGACCCTTCTCAACATTTTAAAACCGGAGTGAGGAATTGCCTCAGAGCAAGCACAACTTGCTCTGGTGATAATAATAATTGTACAACCAACTTCACTTATACTTTTATTCTTTCTATAGACACATTAGAAAGAGTGTAGCATTAATAGTAACATATCATGTATGTTTAAATCCTGTTATGCAGAAATGATAAACCAAAAAATCTGCTTATAGTATAAGAAAATAGTTACATTATTAAACAAACACCGTGAACATATTTTAGCTGCTTCCCATCTACATATAATCGGTCAACAATTCATAGACAACTATTTATTGGGTTCCCATTATGTCCCAGATATTGTCCTAGGTTCTATGAGGAATGAAAAATAGTCTAAGAAGGGCTGGGCACTGTGGCTCATGCCTGTAATCCCAGCACGTTGGGGGGCCGAGGCAGGTGGATCACCTGAGGTCAGGAGTTCGAGACCAGCCTGACCTACATGGTGAAACCCTGTCTCTACTAAAAATACAAAAATTAGCCGGGCATGGTGGCACACGCCTGTAATCCTAGCTACTTGGGAGGCTGAGGCAGGAGAATGGCTTGAACCTGGGAGGCGGAGGTTGCAGTGAGCCAAGATTGTGCCATTGCACTCCAGCCTGGGCAACAAGAGTGAAACTCAGTCTCAAAAAAAAAAAGAAAAGAAAAAGAAAAATAGTCTAAGAAATCATCTCTGTCTTAAAGGAATTTATAGACTTTTTAACATAATATGAAAACCAAAATACTGGCCAAGCATAGTGGCTTATGCCTGTAATCCCAATGCTTTTGGAGGCCAATGCAGGAGGATCACTTGAGGTCATGAGTTTGAGACCATCCTGCACAACACAGTGAGACCTCATCTGTACAAAAAGTTAAAAAATTGTGCTGGCATTGTGGTGGGTGCCTGTAGTCCCAGCTACTTAGGAGGCTGGGGCAAGAGGATCACTTGAACCCAGAAGTTCAAGGCTGCAGTGAGCTATGATCTTGCCACTGCACTCCAGCCTGGGCAACAGAGTGAGACCCTGTTTCAATTACAAAAAAAAAGAAAGAAAGAGGAATATCTTACGCTGTAAGTGAAGTTGCAAGGAAGTAAATGACTAAATAACAGCAAGGTGAATTGGCTTCAAATATGCAGATCTTAATCTCAGATTTACTGTTTACTAGCTTTGTGGATTGAGGTATAATCACTTACCTATCTGTGCCTCAATTTCCCCATCTGTAAAATTGGGCTAATAAGGTATGAGGTATGCCTCACAGAGTTGCTGTAAGGACCAAATGAAGTTTTATATATAGAAGTATGCACACACACACAGAGTGCCTGATATAGGAAAAGTACTCCATTTCTTTTTCTTTTTTTTTTTCTGAGATGGAGTCTTGCCCTGTCACCTAGAGCTGGAGTGCAATGGCTTGATCTCGGCTCACTGCAACCTCTGACTCCCGGGTTCAAGCAATTATCCAGCCTCAGCCTCCCGAGTAGCTGGGATTACAGGCCATCATGCCCAGCTAATTTTTGTATTTTTAGTAGAGACAGGGTTTCACCATGTTGGCCAGGCTGGTCTGAAACTCCTGACCTCGTGATCCCCTCACCTCGGCCTCCCAAAGTGCTGGGATTACAGGCGTGAGCCACCGTGCCCAGCCCATTTCTAATATACATAATACGTGTGGGTATTTGTTTACGTGGGGGTTATAGGCTATTGAGAAGAGAGGGATAAACTGGGTTGGAGTGTGGAATGTGCTGGGAGATACTGAGAAAGTACTTCTTGAATCAGCCTGAAGACCAAGCTGGCTTTAGATGGTCTGGGAGGAGAGAGGAATCCCAGAGAGATGGGAGAACCCAGCCTACTCTGATGTAGGGGACATAGCCTTAACATCTTCCTGCCACAAAGGCGCTGCCACCAATAACAATTCCACCTTGTTAAATAAGAAATAGGCCAGGTGCAGTGGCTCACGCCTGTAATCCCAGCACTTTTGGAGGCAGAGGTGGCCAGATCAGGAGTTCGAGAAGGCAGGAGTTCGAGACCAGCTGGGCCAAATAATCAAGGGTGCCTGTCTCTACAAAAAAAAATAGAAAAATTAGCTGGGCGTGGTAACCCACGCCTGTAATCCCAGCTACTCTGGACGCTGAGGCAGGAGAATCACTTGAACCCAGGAGGCGGAGGTTGTAGTGAGCCGAGATTGCACCACTGTACTCCAGCCTGGGCAACAGAGCTAAACTCTGTCTCAAGATAGATAGATAGATAGATAGATAGATAGATAGATAGATAGATAGATAGATAGATAATAGAACAAATAATAAGAATGGCTTACCTAATGTAGGGCTGAAGACTGTGTTTATTAGCTCATTTCATCCTCAAAACATGCCATGAGGTAGTAGTCCACTTTCATCCCCATTCTGCAGAGGAAGAAACTGAAGCTCAGAGAGCTTAAATAACTTGCCCAAGATCATGTAGCTAGTGAGCAGCAAAACGGGGCCTCAAACCTCAGCAGTTTTGCTCCAGACCCAGGGCTCTTAACTGCTGTAATAAATTTCCACTGGTTAATCAGTGATACATTTTTCACTCTACTTAACATTTTCCCACCACCTAGCCAAATCCCCAGCCAATTGAACGGAAATCTCTTAGGAAAGGTAAACTTATTTTAAATTAGCTAAAGTTAATACTAAACCAATAGAACTTTATCTGGATTAGTCACAGAGTAATGATTTTTAACCTTAGGGGTCAGGGTCTCCCTTCAAAAATCTGACAGTAAATAGGGCCTCTCTCCCTAGGAAGATATACATCGCCACTCCTAAAAACGTGTGCACAGAATTTCAGGGATTCCCTGATGCCCAGGGAGGAACCCTAAGTTATCACCTCTCGACCTCACACTTCCCAAAGCCAGATAAAGCTCCTCCATGTGTAAATAGTCTGGGGGTCACACTGGGGACCCAGACTCCCCCTCCCCAGCCCCCGCCCCATTAGCACAAATAATCAAGTGTGCTGGGGTGGGAAACTGTTCTGCCCACACACATACTCAAATTACAGACTTTCCCTTCAGCTGTGTGTGTTTTATTGAATGAGCACTTGAGTTCTTGGTGAGCCTGTCGTCTGGGGATGCCAAAGCTTTCCTACTGCTAAGGTAGAGCAGGAGCGGGCTGTGGGCGGGCCCTGCTGGAGAAAGCCTTCGCGACCAGCTGGTATTGCTGCTGAGAAGCCACTTCCAGCCTAACAGCCCAGAAAAAGCTAGAATTAACCTAACCCAGGTCCCATCCTGAAACAGCTCTGTCCCATGTGTTGGTGGAAGCCGAAAGCATAGTAAATAGTCTTTGAGTCTCTAGGGGTGGCAACTTGTGGGAAGGCAAATAATTGGCAGATAAAGGCTGGTTAGGAGAGCTCCTTGGTGTAGATTTCCTCCAGTATCACCTCCAGGCCCAAACGGTCCAATGCTGTCTTTAGTAGTTAACCTTTGTTCTCCCTGGTAGAAGAGGAGGCCAGGATATCTTTTGTCTCTGGAAATCTATGTCCTGCTTTTAGGCAAATAGAGGGAGGGCAGAGAGCTTTCTCCATCTCCTTCTTAATTGTCTTCAGCTCGACAATCCTTCATATTTACGGGAAGCATATTCTGGTCTCCTACATGTGCATGTGTAAATAAATGACACTTGGCAAATATTAGCCAGTCCTGAATTTAGGTGAGGGTGGGTGCATGGATAGGTATGTATTCTACCACATGTTTAAATATCTTCATAAGAAGTTAGAAAAAGAAGACATTGAGGGAAAGCTCAGAGGAACATGTACCCACATGTGCCAGAAAGGAAGCCGGCAAGCTACCCTGGCCACACCAGGGTGAACAGAATAAACTTGTTATGGGCTAAACTGTGTCTTCCCATAAATTCATATGTTGAAGTCCTAACCCCCACTATCTCAGAATGTAACCATATTTGGGGATGGGGTTCCGTAAAATGGTAATTAAGTTAAAATGATGTTATTTGGGTGGGGCCTAATTTAACATGACTAGGGTCCTCATAAGAAGAGGAAATTTGGGCTGGGTGCGGTGGCTCATGCCTATAATCCCAGCACTTTGGGAGGCCGAGGTGGGTGGATCACCTGAGGTCAGGAGTTCAAGACCAGCCTGGCCAACATGGTGAAACCCCATCTCTGCTAAAAATACAAAAATTAGCAGAGCATGGTGGCAGGTGCCTGTAATCTTAGCTACTTGGGAGACTGAGGCAGGAGAATCTCTTGAACCCGAGAGGCAGAGTTTGCAGTAAGCTGAGATCGTGTCACTGCTCTCCAGTCTGGGCAACAGAGCAAGACTGTCTGGAAAAAAAAAAGAAGAAGAAGAAGAAGAAATTTGGACACAAACACACATATGGGGGAAGGTGATGTGAAGACACAGGGAGAAAACAGCCAAGGAGGGAGGCCTACAAGCCAAGGAGGGAGGCCTGGAACGGATCCTTCCTCATAGATCTCAGAAGAAACCAACCCTGCTGACACCTTGATCTTAAACTTCTAGCCTCCGCAACAGTGAGAAAATAAATTTCTGTTGTTTAAGCCACCCAGTCGGTGGTTCTTTGTTAAGGCAGCCCAAGTGACTTACTCAGTTCGGCTGCTATAACCAAATTTCTTAGATTGGGCAATTTATAAACAACAGAAAGTTATTTTTCACAGTTCTGGAGCCGGAAAGTCCAAGATCAAGGCTCCAGCAAAGTTGATGTCTGGTGAGGGCTGCTGTCTGCTTCACCGATGGCGCCTTGTGTCACTTCGTCACATGGTGGAAGGGTCAGAAGGGCACTCCCCCCAACTTCTTTTATAAATGGATTAATGGCATTCCTGTGGGCAGATCCCTCATGACTTAATCACTTCCCAGAAGGCCCACCTGGTAATACTATCACATCGGGTATTAGCTTTCAACATATTGGAACATATTGAAATTTTAGGGAGATACCAACATTCAGATCAGAGCACCTAGCAAACTTATACAGAGTTCCTTTTGATTTGCCATGCAAGTGCAGGGGTGTTTTTCCATACCCCCAACCAGTGATGTCTCCTTGAAACTCCACTCTGGTAACTTGCAGATTCCACATTGGGTGGAGCATGACAGGAAGGTCCACCCAACTCTGGGCCTTGAGAACAGAGCTTTGCTTGTCTGAAAGCAGTTGCCCTCTGGCTGGTGGTGCACATGTGTTTCTGGGCTCCAGAGTACTGCACATCTGAACAGTTGGAATCCAAGTCTGACCCATGTTGGTCCTGTACTTTTCCTAAGTGCTTGCTTGTTTTTCTTTCTTTAAGGTTAAGAATGAAGGCCCGGCGCAGTGGCTCACACCAAAAATCCCAGCACTTTGGGAGGCCAAGGCAGGTGGATCACATGAGGTCAGGAGTTCAAGACCATCCTGGCCAACATGGTGAAACTCTGTCTCTACTAAAAATACAAAAATTAGCTGGGCATGGTGATGTGCACCTGTAATCCAAGCTACTCGGGAGGCTGAGGCAGAAGAATCGCTTGAACCTGGGTGGCAGAGGTTGCAGTAAGCAGAGATCGCACCATTGCACTTCAGCCTGGGCAACAGAGTGAGACTGTCTCAAGAATAAATTAAATAAATAAATAAGAATGGAGGTATATGTGTGCGTGTTGGGGAAGAGGGAATCTAGCTATAAAAGCCCTATAGCTAATCTTTATACTAATTAACCATTAATATTTACTAATACTTAGAACTACAGTTACTATTTACATAGTATACAGCCATAGCTTATTATTAAAATATTTAAATAATTTCATAGTTGATTATAAATAGCATCACCCCTCTTCCTCACCCAATGCCTCTCTGGAAACTCCCCACAGCCCAGCAGCTAATCGGTTAATGCTGGCACTGAAGTGTTCTCCAGAACCTGCTCCAGCACAATCTTGACCTCCAATCTACAAAGAAGGAGCTTCCTCTGCCCTTACTGGTTGTTACATGTTTTTCAAGTTCATCCCTGCTTGGTATGTTCCCAGCACTGCCCTCTCAATTCTTTATGCTACATTATCTCACAGCAACCTGGAAACATACACTATGAGTATTTCCTTTTGCCTATAAAGAAACTGTGGCTCAGAGCAGCTAGAAGGAGGCAGAGTTCTTAATCACCACTGCTCCCTATTTTCCAGCTGTGCCCCCTGAAATTGGTATGTGAGAATTCTTTTATTCTCAGAAGAGCAGCCAAGAAGAGTTGAGAGGCTACAGCCCCAGAGTGCTGGGAAGGCTGGGTGTTCTCAGGCCTCTCCTTTTCTCCAGGTAAGATCTCCCCACACTGGCTGAGTGCAGTGGCTCACACCTGTAATCCCAGCACGTTGGGAGGCCAAGGCGGGTGGATCACTTGAGGCCAGGAGTTCAAGACCAGCCTGGCCAACATGGTGAAACCCTGTCTCTACTAAAAATACAAAAATTAGCAAGACTTGGTGGCACATGCCTGTAATCCCAGCTACTAGGGAGGCTGAGGCAGGAGGATCACTTGAACCCAGGAGACGGAGGTTGCAGTGAGCAGAGATTGCACTACTGTACTCCAACCTGGGCAACAGAGTGAGGCTTTGTCTCAAAAAAAAGCTCTCCCCATACTGAGAGAGGTCCCAGGTCACAGTAAAAACAAACGACAAAGAGTCCTGCAGGCAAACAGTTTTCTTTTCTTTTCTTTTTTTTTTTTTTGAGACAGAGTCTCACTCTATCACCGAGGCTGGAGTGCAATGGCACAATCTCCGCCCACTGCAACCTACACTTCCCAGGTTCAAGCGATTTTCCTGCCTCAGCCTCCTGAGTAGCTGGAATTACAGGTGCACACCACCACACTCAGCTAATTTTTGTATTTTTAGTAGAGATGGGGTTTCACCATGTTGGTCAGGCTGGTCTCGAACTCCTGACCTTGTAATCTGCCCACCTCAGCCTCCCAAGGCAAACAGTTTTCTAAAGCTGCACAATGGTTCTGAGCTCCTCACTGCAGGAATTTTGGGAACTCAAGAGGACCCCTCACTGGCATCGTTGTACCCCTCGGAGGGCACAGGACTGCTGAGAAGGGGGGCATGACCCACTTCAACCTTTGAAAGCCATGGCAAAAGTCTGCATCGCTGTCTGCTGGAACACCTGGACACTCTCCTGGCTCCCACCCAGGCCCTGATTGTTTTGTTGTAGGAACCCTACAGGCAAGTCCCTAACAATGCTCTGCCAACTTAGTGGACACTCGCCCAGACTGTGCGTGCAGGGAGGCCCACCTCCTTTCACCCTTGCCCTGCCTCCTGATTTCCTGGTGACCTTCTAACTCTGCTTGGGCCTTTCCCATGGCACTTAACCCCTGTGTGACCTGAAGACTCTATAACCCTAAAAACCAGTCCTGCTCACCAGCTGGCCTGGGTACAATAGCACTTGGAAAGCAAAGTCATGGGACTGAAACCAGAAGAAAACCTATTCATTAGAGGAGCAGCTGGCAGCTGGAAAACAGAAGGAGAGAGAAAGGAAGGCCAGTTCCTACCTCCTGTAGGACCGATTAACCAGGGATTTCAGAGCCAGTCACTCAGCCTGCCTAAGGCCCCCTAGGCCCCTCTCCTAATGAAAGCAGTGATGCTTATCATATCTCCCACATCCTTCCCAGCAGGGCTCAGAAGGGCAATCCCGCTGACAGGAGCTTTGAGATGGAAAGCAGTGGAGGGAGCGCAGGGGGTAGGGGGTGGGTTGGTGGGGGTTGGTGGGTGGGACCCAGGCTCTGACTTTGACAGTCAAGAGTATTCTTCGTCTAATTCCTCTCTCCAATTAAACATCAAAGAAATATTTCCAAGGGCATATGTTATTATTAAATAATGTTATCCTTTGAAAAAATTTACAAGTAATATATTTTCACTGAAGAAAAAAGTAGAAAATAAAAAGATGACAGAAAAGTCACCTATAATTAGGAGCCACTTTCAACATTTAGAATTCATTTGCTTTTCACACACGAAAAAAACGAGACGATACTGTACGTATGCACAACAAAAGATCATGAAGCCAAGCACAACAGCTCACGCCTGTAGTCCCAGCTACTCAGGAGGCTGAGGTGGGAGGATCACTTGAGCCCAGGAGTTTGATGTTACAGTGAGCTATGATTGTGTCACTGCACTCCAGCCTGGGTGACAGAGTTAGACCCTGTCTCTAAAAACAAAACAACAGTAGATCATGAACATCGTTCCATGTCAATAAATCCACTTCCTCCACACCCTTCTTAATGGTTGCAGTATATTTCATCGCGTATTTAAAAGGTGATGGAGTCAGTCAGTCCCCTACTGTTATGTGTTTAGATTCTTTGTGAGGGAATTTAAATTCTTTTATGAAGGGACAGACTGAGACTAGAGGAGATGATATCCCAGCCTGTTCAATAGTTCTCTCCCCATCATCCGCACCCACTCACCCACCATCTCACTCACCCACCAGCTCACTCCAACCTGGCTACTCTGCATTTCCATCTATTATGTTCCCTTAGACTCAACCTCAGGAAGTTTTCAGATGTGTTCCTGTGTCAGCCCTGTCCATAAACGTGTTATAGGGACCACAACATCATCTCTTATTTGGGCTTCCCCCTTTCAGCCCTCAGAGACAACAACTACAGCTGAGGCAAAACAAGTGGCTTCAGCTAGATCTTGTTTCCAGCATCATGTATTTTATTAGTGGAAGGTGACTTCCCAATTACACTGTTGGCACCACACACACACAAAACACACACCCATTAGTGTCCTGCTGGATTAGACAAGGGGCCTTCAAACTGGCTTGCAGGTAGTTAAAACACTCCTGCAGTGAGAGTGGGCTGAGGCAGGGTTGGGAAGCAAGAGATGAGATGAGAAATGATCCAAATAGATGAACACACACACACACACACACACATACACACATGCATACATGCACACATATACATGCATATACACACATGCACACATGCACACATACACATGCATACACGCACACATGCACACACATACATGCATACATACACGTACCCACACATACATGCATGCATACACACACGCATACACACAGGCATATACACGCACACATGCACATGCACACATATACACATACACGCATACATACACATACACACATGTACACACATACACATGCATACACATACACACAAACATGCATACATACACATACACACACATACACATACACACATACACACACGCATACACACATGCCTACGCACACGTACATACACATTCACACATACACATACACATACCCGCATACACATACACACACACACACATTCACACAGGTGTGCTCCAGAGCCTCTCCACATAGGAGACGAAAAGCTTTCATAAGGAACCAAAAGTTGTATCTTCTGCATTTCAAAGGGAGAAATACCAGGACCTGTGAACTGAATGCAAGTATCTATTTTGCCCCATTTGACACTACGTCCAGTGTCAAAGGTGTCCTGGGGGTGCTGACCCAGCACTGGACTGAAATGAAGTTGCAGATGTATATTACTACATGTTTCTCATCACCTCCTCCTCCTTAGTCTCGTGAAAGGGATATAACTTTAAGGCCCTTCCCTTTCTCATTTCCTCATTGTGACATCAAGAACACCCTTGAGACCATACTGTGCCTTTAAATGATTAAATGCGTTTAATTTAAATGATACAGCTTCCAAGGGAAAAAGGAACAAGGGGCAAGGGGAGGGGAAGGGGAGAGGTCACTCCTGCTTTCGGCAATTGAAGGGACTGACTGCCAGCCTCTCCCCTCCGCAGGGAGTGTTCCAGCAGCCACGCCCCTGACTCACCTGCCTCATTCTCTTAATGGTACCCACCCTCTCCAAATCTCTTAATGGTACCCACCCTCTCCAAATTGCCCAGACTGGGAAACCTGAAACCATCTTTGTCTTCTCTTTCTTTTTCCCCTCATTCCTAAACATCTATTTCGTTGTCAAGTTCTGTGGGATTTTTCTTTTTCTTTTCTTTTTTTTTTTTTTTTTTGAGACACAGTCTTGCTCTTTTGCCCAGGCTGGAGCATGATGGCACAATCTCGACTCACTACAACCTCCCTCCTCCTCCCCAGTTCAAGTGATTCTCATGGCTCAGCCTCCCGAGTAGCTGGGATTACAGGAGCGTGCCACCACGCCCAGCTAATTTTTGTATTTTTAGTAGAGACGGGGTTTCACCATGGTGGCCAGGCTGGTCTCCAACTCCTAACCTCAAGTGATCCGCCCACCTCGGCCTCCCAAAGTGCTGGGATTACAGGTGTGAGCCACCGCACCCAGCCTTGGGTTCTTTCTTTTCAAACACTTTCCCACACCCCCATTCCTCCCTTTCCATTTCCATAGCAACTACCCTGAGGCCTTTACCTCTCACATTTGAACTGTCAGAGCCTCCTGTTTACACTTTCCCACCCACCTTCTCCTTAATTCCTCCTAGCCCATTCTTACCAATGGGATTCATATCCTTGACAGATGATTTGCTTTGTTGCCCTCCTACTACAAAACTCTCAAGGGATGCCCTTTGCCTATCAAAGGCCACTTCTTTGGCCTGGCAGGAAAAGCCATCACATCATTTGGCTGTGTCCTGCTCTCCTACCCTTTTCTCACCCTGGCTGCTTCTGTCCACCTCCCAGACATTCAAGTGATTTAGTCTTCCGTGGAATGCCCGCCTGTCCCTGGAATTCTACACCTGGAATGCCCAGCCATTCTCATCTTTACTTTTGGAATCAGAAGGACTATTCAAAGCAAATCTCCATAAATCTGTCACTTATCTTGCAACCACAAGAAAGCACTCTCTCGACTATATCTTTGTTCTTTGTACCTTTCACCCTGTATTTTATTATCTGGTTAAAGTGCTATTGGAGCCGGGCACGGTGGCTCACACCTGTTATCCCAGAACTTTGGGAGGCAAAGGCGGGTGGATCACTAGGTCAGGAGTTCAAGACCAGCCTGGCCAAGATGGTGAAACCCCGCCTCTACAAAAAATACAAAAATTAGCCAGGTGTGTTGGCGGGTGCCTGTAATCCCAGCTACTCAGGAGGCTGAGGCAGAGGATTGCTTGAACCCAGGAGGCGGAGGTTGCAGTGAGCCAAGATTGTGCTACTGCACTCCGGCCTGGGCAACAGAGCGAGACTCCGTCTCAAAAAAAAAGAAAAGAAAAGAAAAGAAAAGTCCTATTGGATTACAATTCCTAGGGCACAAAGGCTGAGTTTTGTTGGTCACTGTACTGCCTGTAGCTCCAGAAAATTCTGAATTTATGTGAGCTCCACTAAGCAATTATTTCTATCAAATACTACTAGCCCAGAAGCCTCAGAAGTTCACCCACTTCCTGAATTCCCAGTGATGACAGAGTGGACATTTACCCTTGCAGAAGGAGGCTAGACTGTTGTCATAGGTAGAATTATGACCCCAGCAAAATTCTGTGTTAAAGTCTTAACCCCTAGTACCTCAGCATATGACATCTAGAGGCCAAGGAAAAAGTTCCCTTTTGCCCTCTCAAGTTTCACTGACAACTCAACTCATTGAAAGGCAGGTTAACTGGAGAAAAGCAACACACATTTATTTAACATGTATGCACAGGAGTCATCACAATGAAGACCCAAAGATGCAGGGGAAATTGTCCATTTTTATGCTTAGTTTAATAAAGTATGGACAACCGTGTAGAAATATGATTGGACCTAAAGGGGATCTACTGCTAATAGACTGAGGGGGGAAACCCAGCAAGGCCTCTCTGTCTAGATTCTTCTTGGCCTCCCTGAGCCGGCATTCCTTCTGGGTGTGGGGCAGGACTCTCCCTGGAATGGGGGTCTTATGACTATAATCAAGCAAGGTAGGTCAGATAATTTCTTTCATTTTTTCTTTTTTTGAGACAGGGTCTCATTCTCTCACCCAGGCTGGAGTACAGTGGTGCAATCTCGGCTCACTATAACCTCCACCTGGAATTGGTTGCTTCTGAGGCCTTCATTTTGGGTTGCTGTTTTCTGAGCCCTGACATACCTTATTCGGAGATGAGATCTTTACCAAGGTAATTAGGTTAAAATGAGGAGCAACCAAAGTTCTTCTCTGAATCCCATCTCTAATCCAATTTGACTGATGTTTTTATAAAAAGGGAACATTTGGACAGAAACCAACATGGATGGAGAGAAGATGATGTGAAGACACAAAAGGAAGGTTGTCTACAAGCTAAGGAGTGCAGGAGGCTACCAGAAGCTAGAGAGAGGTCTCCAATAGATGCTTCCTCACAGATCTCAGAAGGAATCAGCCCTGCCAAAGACGTGACTTTCAGACTTCTAGCCTCCAGAGCTACAAGACAATATACTTCTGTTGTTCTAAGCCACCTAGTTTGTGGTGCTTTGGTAAGGCAGCCACAGCATACTACACAGCTGGAGTCCTGAGAAGCCAGAGGGCCTCCAAAGTGAACCCCATCTCAGGGCTGGGGCCACAGGTCCTGGGAGGGCAAAGGTAAGGCTCTGAGATGCCCTGAGCAGAAGAACAGAGGCACTTACGGCTCCAATGAGCCAAGCGGAATGGCTGGTCAGCCACACAGGGCGTGGGCCAGTAGTTGGTCCACCTGACACAGGCCTTTGAAGACAGCGTTTTGTTTCTGCAAGTGGGCAGGGGAGGGTGGCATGGAGACAGGGGCAGGAAACTCTGCTGAAGGGCAGACCGTTCTTCCAGGCCCCAGGTGCTTCCGGCCAGACTCTTTTAAAGAGACATGGAAGGACATCATCAAACGTGGCAGCGTAGCCAAGCTCTGCCCTGGAAACCCCTCTCTAGTTACTGCTTTCCACTGAAGCTTCTGGTGCCTGCTGCCTCCTCAGTGGGAGGGACCAGTGATGTGAAAATCCTTTTCCTCCTGACTCAAAGGAGCATTTCCTGAACCCTCCTTACTCAAAACATGTCCACTTGCCCCCCGGAGCCCCAACAGACATGCTAATTCTATTGGGATTTATTTGATAGAATTGGATTAGCTAACAGTGTCAGGGTTCCCAATGAGCAGACAGGAAAACTAAGGCAGGGCCAAGGGGCCCAGCGTCCATGTAACAGTAACTACCATGGTAATAGGGAACACTATGAGCCAGGCCTTGCTCTAAGGCTGCGCTGCCCATTATGGCAACCACTGGCCACGTGTAGTTACTGGACACTTGAATGTGGCTAGTCCAAACTGAGTTATGTAGTAAATGTAAAAATACACACTGAAATTTAAGGACTTAGTATGAAAAAAGAATATTAAAATATCATTAATTTTTTTTAACTTTTATTTTAGGTTCAGAGGTATGTGCGCAGGTTTGTTATATAGGTAAACTCGTGTCATGGGGGTTTGTCGTACAGATTATTTTGTCACCCAGGTATTAAGCCCAGTACCCAATAGTTATTTTTTTCTGCTCCTTTCTCTCCTCCCACCCTTCATTCTGAAGTAGGCACCATTGTCTGTTGTTCCCTTCTTTGTGTCCATGAGTTCTCATCATTTAGCTCCCACTTATAAGTGAGAATATTCGGTATTTGGTTTTCTGTTCCTGCATTAGTTTCCTAAGGATTATGGCCTCCAGCTCCACCATGTTCCCACAAGAGACATGATCTTGTTCTTTTTTATGGCTGCATAGTATTCCATGGAATATATGTACCACATTTTCTTTTTCCAGTGTATCATTGATGGGCATTTAGGTTGATGCCATGTATTGCTATTGTGAATAGTGCTGCAAATTCTCGTTAATATTTTAGAAATATTGATTACGGGCTGGGCGCGGTGGCTCACACCACTGGTAATCCCAGCACTTTGGGAGGCCGAGGTGGGTGCATCACCTGAGGTCAGGAGTTCAAGACCAGCCGGGCTCACCTGGAGAAACCCCATCTCTACTAAAAATACAAAATTAGCCGGGCGTGGTGGCACATGCCTGTAATCCCAGCTACTTGGGAAGGCTGAGGCAGGAGAATCGCTTGAACCTGGGAGGCGGAGGTTGTGGTGAGCCGAGATCGCGCCGTTGCACTCCAGCCTGGGCAACAAGAGCAAAACTCCGTCTCAAAAAAAAAAAAAAAAAAGAAAGAAATATTGATTACATGTTAAATGGATACTATTTATATTGTGTTGTATTATTAAAATTAATTTTACTTTTCTTTTTACCTCTTATAATATAGTAGCCACTAGAAAATTTTAAACTTTAAGTTACATGTCTGACATTTATATTTCTCTTGGAAATGTCAGGGAGCAAAAACTTTCCCTCGACCGACTTAGCTTTAATCACTGGGAGCCTGCAAATTAAACTGACAAGCTGGGTGTGATGGCTCATGCCTATAATCCCAGCACTTTGTGAGGCCGAGGAAGGAGGATCGCTTGAGCTCAGGAGTTCAAGACCAGTCTGTGCAACATGGTAAGATCCTATTTATACACACACACACACAATTAGCTGAAAAAAAAATTGGCATGGTGGTGGTGGGAGGATTGCTTGAGCCCAGGAGGTTGAGGCTGCAGTGAGCAGTGATCGTGCCACTGCGCTCCAGCTTGGGTGACAGAGCAAGATCCTGTCTCAAAAATAAATAAATAAACAAACTGACAAAAGACAGATTACCAAGAGGAAAAAATATATATTTAATTACTTACTTATGCAAAGGAGTTCACAAAGAACTGTGATTCAAAGAGGCCAATAGAATTTGGGGGCTTATATATTACCATCTAACAGGGGATGGGGAGAGGCAGATGGACATTTTTGAGAGAACAAATGACTTCTTAGAAAGTGGGTGAAGGACAGCACTTAGGGAAAAACAAATTACTCTTTGGAAAGATACATGGGCCCTTAGCAACATAGATGGAAGATATGATACTTTTGTGACAAATGTCTGCTTGGATATGGTGCCAACCTTCTTTGCCTAGCAGAGATTAGGGGAGGTGATTTACAACAGTTGAGTTCTTTGGGGAGGCTCTGTTTTTAGGCAGATAAGGGATTTTAGAAACTCAAATGCCTTCAGCTCAAAATAATTCTTAAGCCACAGTGGTTTATCCTAGATGCTTTCAGGTGGCCCTATTCCAAGCACAGCATCTGAACTCTTAGCGCAACCTGCAGGGTGATGTTATTCTCATTTCTATTTTAGAGACAGCACTCAGTCCTTAGATGTTAAGAAACTTGCCCAAGGTCACACAGCTGGTAGAAAGAGAAAACCAAGGGAGTGCAAAAGTAGCAGCAGAG
This sequence comes from Homo sapiens, assembly GCF_000001405.40. Taxonomy (NCBI): domain Eukaryota; kingdom Metazoa; phylum Chordata; class Mammalia; order Primates; family Hominidae; genus Homo; species Homo sapiens. Next base: position 104,939,273 of record NC_000007.14, read on the forward strand.
AAATCTGTAAGGTGGTGAGCAATGAGGGTGGCCTGGAGTAGGGAGCAGCAGTGAGTCAAAAAGATGAGGTTTGATATATATTTTTTAGGTGGAAGTACTTGTGGTGGTATGTGTGAGGAGCAAGGAGGATGGGAGGAAAGAATGATTCCAGGTGTCTGGATTAAGGCATGGGAGCCTTTGGTTCTGTGCCTAGACCTGAGCTGCCTGGTGAAAGAGGCACAGATGGAGTGTTCGCAACCTAAATTTTCTGTTTACTGACTCCATTATCTGGAAGTTCTGTCACCTCTTGGTACTTAATTACCTTGGGAATAATAGAGCCTCTCCTAACAAGTGTTGTAATGAAAAAGAAATAGGATAATGTATGTAAAAATTCTACATACATGTTTGTTAATTGTTTTAAAAGAGAGAGCACTTTCAGAGGATCCAGAAACATTCCTGGCCTCCCCTCTCTCTTTCATTTCTCAGGCTGCTAAATCAATGATTAGCTCTCAGGCCAGCTCCCCTGGAAAGCGCATGAAAGGGAGAGTGAACAGAATGGCTTCTCTCTCCCAAGGAGGCTGCCTCATCAGGGTCACAGCCCCTCTGCCACCAGAAAGCCTGGATCTGGGCCAGAGCCACAAAGGCTAACAAACTCCCTTCATGTCGGCTGAGAGTAAAGAGTTGGGGTCCATCTGGGCCCCTCTCCCCAACTCTCTAGGGGCAGCGAGAGGTGACAGTGTGCTGGCAGCCTTCACAGCCCTTGCTCACTCTCGGCGCCTCCTCTGCCTGGGCTCCCTCTTTGGCGGCACTTGAGGAGCCCTTCAGCCCGCCGCTGCACTGTGGGAGCCCCTTCCTGGGCTGGCGGAGGCTGGAGCCGGCTCCCTCAGCTTGCGGGGAGGTGTAGAGGGAGAGGCACAGGCGGGAACCGGGGCTGCGTGCGGTGCTTGCAGGCCAGCACGAGTTCCGGGTGGGTGTGGGCTCAGCGGGCCGCACTCGTAGCGGCCGGCCCGTCCTGCCGGCCTGGGCAATGAGGGGCTTAGCACCCGGGCCAGCGGCTGCAGCGTGTGTGCTGGGTCCCCCAGCAGTGCCGCCCACCATCGCTGCGCTCGATTTCTCGCTGGACCTTAGCTGCCTCCCCACGGGGCTGGGCTCGGGACCCGCAGCCCACCATGCCTGAGACTCCCCCACCCTCCGTGGGCTCCTGGGGGGCCCAAGCCTCCCCGACGAGTGCCGCCACCTGCTCCACGGTGCCCAGTCCCATAGACCACCCAAGGGCTGAGGAGTGCGGGCGCACGGTGTGGGACTGGCAAGCAGCTCCACCTGAAGCCCCCGTGCAGAATCCACTGCGTGAAGCCAGCTGGGCTCCTGACTGGTGGGGACTTGGAGAAACTTTTTGTCTAGCTAAGGGATTGTAAATACACCAATCGGCACTCTGTACTAGCTCAAGATTTGTAAACACACCAATCAGCACCCTGTGTCTAGCTCAGGGTTTGTGAATGCACCAATCAACACTCTGTATCTAGCTAATCTGGTGGGGACGTGGAGAACCTTTGTGTCTAGCTCAGGGATTGTAAACGCACCATTCAGCACCCTGTCAAAACAGACCACTCCTCTCTCTGTAAAATGGACCAATCAGCAGGATGTGGGTGGGGCCAGATAATAGAATAAAAGCAGGCTGCCCCAGCTGGCAGTGGCAATCCTCTCCGGTCCCCTTCCGGGCTGTGGGAGCTTTGTTCTTTTGCTCTTTGCAATAAATCTTGCTGCTGCTCGCTCTTTGGGTCCACATTGCCTTTGTGAGCTGTAACACTCACGGCGAAGGTCTGCAGCTTCACTCCTAAAGCCAGAGAGACCACAAACCCACCGGGAGGAACGAACAACTCCAGACGCGCGGCCTTAAGAGCTGTAACACTCACCGCGAAAGTCTGCAGCTTCACTCCTAAAGCCAGCGAGACCACGAACCCACCAGGAGGAACGAACAATTCCAGATGCGCCGCCTTAGGAGCTGTAACACTCACCGCGAAGATCTGCAGCTTCACTCCTGAGCCGGCGAGACCACGAACCCCACCAGAAGGAAGAAACTCCGGACACGCCGCCTTTAAGAACTATAACACTCACGGCGAGGGTCCACGGCTTCATTCTTGAAGTCAGTGAAACCAAGAACCCACCAATTCCGGACACAGCAGGATCCCACCCACAGAACCGCCAGGTGCACAGCTGCATATCCTCAGGGGAAAACTCCCCTCCCCTGCCACCTTACTGATAGGCTTCACTTCCCAGAGAACTTTCCCAATCCTGTGCAATGCCTGAGTGGTACATTGTATTCTATGAGAATGGCGCCCCCGCCTCCAGAGTTGTGCAACAAGACTTCCATGAATCAAAGCCCATCGCTGGCTGCCTCCTCTAGCCCTGCATAGCCCAGGTACATCTGAAAGGAGTGAGAAGTGTTTTGAGGGCTCTCCCTGTCTCTTCCTGCACCTCTCTCTTGTGATCCCAGGTAGGCACCTGCTCTGAATCTTGCTCTTCCTCAGTTGCAGTCCCGGGTGGAAGCAGATCAGAATCGAATGAGTGGCCCCTCTGCCATCCTGCCCTGGCCTCCACCTTGCCACTCTCATTAGACTGGGCATTCCTGGTATGTGGTGCTCAATGCTTGTTGAATGAATGAATAAGTAAGACTCTGCTAAGATCTCTGCCAATAATAACCACAGAGATAGTTATATTATTTTAATGGAAGTTTCTTTAAAACCAAGACAATTACAAGAGCCAAAGGATTGACAACTCTACTGATGGCATGTCTAGAAGAGACCCTTAGAGAAAGGAACCTTTCCAATCCTTTTTAGATGATACCAAGCAGGCAACCGCCTCCCCCAGACGCTTGCCCCAGTCTCCTATGGAAGGTTCGGGTAGCCTGGACTGCAGCTCTTCTAGGCAGCTTTCCAGTTGTATTCCCTGGCATAATTGTAACTTCAACACCTAGGTCTTAAGAAACATGTGTCCAGGCACAGTGGCTCATGCCTGTAATCCCAACCCTTTGGGAGGCCAAGGTAGGAGGATCGCTTAAGGCCAAGAATTTGAGACGAGCCCAGGGAACATAGTGAGACCCCATCTCTATAAAAAATTAGAGGCCAGGCACGGTGGCTCATGCCTGTAATCCCACCACTTTGAGAGGCCGAGGGGGGCAGGTCACCTGAGGTCAGGAGTTCCAGACCAGCGTGACCAACATGGAGAAACCCCATCTCTACTAAAAATACAAAATTAGCCTGGTGTGGTGGCGCATGCCTGTAATCCCAGCTACTTGGGAGGCTGAGGCAGGAGAATCACTTGAACCCAGGAGGTGGAGGTTGCAGCGAGCCGAGACCGTGCCACTGCACTCCAGCCTGAGTGACAGAGTGAGAGTCCATCAAAAAAAAAAAATTAGAAAATTAGCTGGTGGTTTGCGTCTGTAGTCCCAGCTACTTAGAAGGCTGAGGCAGCAGGATTGCTTGAAGTAATGCAGCAAGCTATGACTGTCCCACTGCACTACAGCCTGGGCAACAGAGTGATACACTGTCTCTAAAAAAGAAAGACAAAAAAGCAACATGGCCTGGGTTATCTGGGCAACACATTCCACACATCTTGGAGGACCCTCACCTCCTGATAATCAAAATGAGCATTTCCATGTTTCATATTTCTGAGTGCCTGTCAACAGCACACCATTTCACAGCAGAGCAGGGACTAGAGTGAGGCATAGGAGGCACTCAACATGGGTGCAAAATTCAATTTTTTTTTTTTAGATGGAGTCTCGCTCTGTCACCCAGGCTGGAGTGCAGTGGAGCGATCTCGGCTCACTGCAACCTCTGCCTCTCAGGTTCAAGCTGATTCTCCTGCCTCAGCCTCCCGACTAGCTGGGATTACAGGTGTGTGCCACCACAGCCAGCTGATTTTTGTATTTTTAGCAGAGACGGGTTTCACTGTGTTGGCCAGGCTGGTCTTGAACTCCTGACCTCAGGTGATCCACCCACCTCAGCCTCCCAAAGTGTTGGGATTACAGGTGTGAGCCACAATGCCGGGCCCATGGGTGCAAAATTTAAGGGGCCGCCAAAAAACTCAGTAAACAAGATAAATATTTTAGTGCAGTTCTTTTAAAATTTTTGATATTTTGTTCATCGTGGATAATTTTTTATTTTTATTTTTTAGTGGTTGCATTAAAATATTGTTTATCATGGTTGCTGAGTCTTTTGGCACCCATTGGACTTTGTACGCTGATCCGGTACCTCCTTCTTCTCAATCTAGTCTCAGTCTCTGAAGAGCAGAGTGCACTCATCTCAGCTCCGATCTCTAACCAGTGCTGGCTTGTGAGAACCGGCTTGAAGAAGATTGATAGGTTGATGGTTGGGCTGGAGCGTAGAGTGGCTGGAGGCCCCGTCTACCTCTTTCAGAAAGCCACGAAAACAGATAGGCAGGGGGCCAAGTCTATTGTTCCAAAGTTTCCACAGGCCTTGAACGGCCCTTGGGCTTTGCGGTCTGGTGATCAGAGCTGTAAAGGTTTCTAAACAATCAGAGGCCTTTGATATGGTTGCCAACACCCACATTTTCCATTCTGGGAACAATGCCATCAAGGGCCACAGCCTCAGTCCCCCACCTAAGTGAGGAAGTGTCTGCTGGTTGCTGGTAGGAGCAGGTCCTGTGAGGGCAAGGGTCAGAAGGACAGAGGAGTCTTCTTATCCTGGCTGCTCGCCTTTTCCCTCTGGTCACCTCACCCTTTTGCATGTTCAAAATCTATGCTCATCTTATCTAGCCCATTCCTCTTGGCTAAAGCCAGCACACATCCTGTTCCTCTCAATGGGAGAACTATCCGGGCAATTGCATTTAAAGGTTTTCTTGCATTGGTTCGGAATTTGCCCTGGCTCTGCCCTTATTTCCTGATCCCAGTGTAGTTTCTTTATTCAGGTGTGCAAAAGAGTGAGCTATTTTGTTATGGAGGCAGAGAGAAACAACCTCAGGTTCCTCTAATAATGCCTTTAGAACTCTCTTCTGAATAACTGGGGCGTTAAATTCATCGACAAAATCCCTTTGGGAGATACACCATCTGGGGACCCCCTCAAAGGTAGATATCTGGGCTAATTTGACTGCTATTTTGCAGGAATGCAGGTGGGCAAAAGATAGTTTCCACTAGGTCAGAATGTTTTTTCCACTTTCTGTTCTTTGTTATTTTGCTCACTTCCGGTGTGAAAGCACTGAATTTCAGAATTAGATGAAACTTATAGTAAAGGCCTGCCACAAGGTCTTTGTCAACCCCATATCCTGGTGACCAAACTAGATTTCATGACGTCAATCATTTCAAAAACACAGGCTCTTCCAACGGCGTCAGCAAGCAGAAATCCTGTTCACAAACACTGTTCTAAATCAGTCTTTATTTTATTTTATTTTTTTTGAGACAGAGTCTCACTCTGTCGCCCAGGCTGGAGTGCAGTGGCACTATCTTGGCTCACGGCAACCTCCACCTCCCGGGTTCAAGGAGTTCTCCTGCCTCAGCCTCCCGAGTAGCTGGGATCACAGGTGCCTGCCACTACACCCAGCTAATTTTTTGTATTTTTAGTAGAGACGGAGTTTCACCATGTTGCCCAGGCTGGTCTCAAACTCCTGACCTCAGGCGATCCGCCCGCCTCGGCGTCCCAAAGTGTTGGGATTACAGGCATGAGCCACTGCGCCCAGCCAAATCAGTCTCTTAATACTGAGTCTGAATCTCTTGAGATTTTAGCCCCTCAGTGCTGACCTGATGGAGATGTGCCTTTTTTTTTTTTTTCCGGGGAAGTATTCACTTCAACTCCCACAACCCCCGAGGAATGACTAGTGGGTTTCTTTCCCCTCCCCTCGGGTGGCCTTGTGAGGAAGCCAGGAAGTACTGTGAGCGGCAGGGCCTGGGAGAGCCCCTGTGGCCGACAGGAGGAGATCAGCCTTCATCGCACTCTCAGAAACGGAAGTGTGGGCGTGTGTTATGTTGCTGCAGCAACCAAAGGCAACCGAGCAGCAAACCTCAGATGACTGAGCCCAGCCCATTCAACGAGGGGGAGTTTCAGGTGGCCTGTGTTCCCCAGGGACTGGGCCTAGCTCAATCGGGAAAAGTCAGCATCCAAAAGTCCTCAATGACGCAGAGGAAGCCAGGAGAAAACAGTCAATGGCTAGTCATCACTGATTCGTGGTCACAGGCGTTAGAACAGGAAGGATCTGCACAGATCAGCCTCTCCCACCCCTCACTTTCCTGATAAAGGAACTAAAGTCCGGAAAGTACTTGCTCAGAGTCCTACTGCCAGTGGGTGTGAAAGCCAGAACCACCACCCTCATTGCCTTCTGTATACATAGCTTTAACAGTTTGCAAACACTCTTATATGCTTTAATTTCATCTGATCCTGGACTGAGAGCAAATATTTGTATTTCAACCAAAAGGCCAAATGCTCAGTTTCCTCATCTGAGAGGATAATAAGAGTACTTTTCTAATGGAATTCTTTTTTTCTTTTAATTTTTGGTAGAGACAGGGTCTCACTATGTTGCCCAGGATGGTCTTGAACTCCTGGCCTCAAGAGATCCTCCCAACTGCACCTCTCAAGTGCTAGGATTACAGGCATGAGCCATTGCTCCCTGTCCTCTAATGGAATTTTTGTTAGGATTAAATGAGTTAATAGTTTGGAGATTTGAGAGACTATAATAGAGGAAACCTCTCTTCCCTTCCCAAGTTCTGAGTAATTAAGAGCTGGGCAAGGAGAAATAAAAACAAATGGGATTGGCCAGGAGCAGTGGCTCTCTCCTGTAATCCCAGCACTTTAGGAGGCCAAGGCAAGCAGATCACTTGAGGTCAGGAATTCAAGACCAGCCTGGCCAACATGGAGAAACCCTGTCTCTACTGAAAATACAAAAATTATCTGGGTGTGGTAGTACACACCTGTAATCCCAGCTACTCGGAAGGCTGAGGCAGTAGAATCACTTGAACCCAGGAAGTGGAGGTTGCAGTGAGCCGAGATCACCCCACTGCATTCCAGCCTGGGTGACAGAACGAGACTTCATCTCAAAAAAAAAAAAAAAAAAAAAGCAAATGGGATCAAAACATCAACTTTATCACTGATACATTTTATATAGGAGTCCATGGTTTACATTTGTGGGTAAGTGAATGCCAGAATTAGGCAGGGTACCCACGCAGGCTGGGGCATGCCCCCCAGTTGGAAACTGTCCCTGTAAACAGTGGAGCCTGGGAGAGCAGAGCCCAAAGCATGCTCTGGAGGAGGATGGCTGCCAAGAGGACAGAGATGGGCTGAGCTATGCATCTCCAGTTCCTCCCCAGCGTCTCCATTGAGAAGTTGCTCCTCTTCCTGTACCACCCTCTTCACCACCACCACCACCCTCCTGGGCAGGAATGAGTCAAAGAGCAGGGAGACAGGTCAGAAATCTCATGCCAGAGAAGCTTCTTCCACATGGAAGGAAATGTAAGGGATGAGGAAGAATCTTTTTCCCTTCTAATAAATATACGTAAAGCACTTAGTACCTGGCACAATAGTAAATGCTCAATAGAAGTTAGTGATTACAGGCCGAGCGCAGTGGCTCATGCATGCCTGTAATGCCAGCACTTTGGGAGGCCGAGGTGGGAGGATCACCTGAGGTCAGAAGTTTGAGACCAGCCTGACCAACATGGCAAAAACCCATCTCTATTAAAAATACAAAAATTAGCTGGGCATGGTGGTGGCCACTGTAATCCCAGCTTCTCTGGAGGCTGAGGCAGGAGAATCACTTGAACCTGGGGGGTGGAGGTTGCAGTGAGCCAAGATTGTGCCACTGCACTCCAGCCTGGGCAACAGAGACTCCATCTCAAAAAAAAAAAAAAAAGAAAAAAGAAGTTAATGATTACTATTAATACTTGAGCTATAGCTTATTCATCATACCAGAGACTTCTGTACCTCTATTGATGTGACTTCTCTAATCATGTCTGCTCTTATTAGATGTGTGACCTCGGGAATTTTATTGACCCTCTCTAAGCCTCAGTGTTCTCCTCTATACAATGGCTACCATGATGGTACTTATAATTGGGAAGACTACATGATTTAGTGTAAAGGGCTTAGCCTGGATGCCTGGAACCTAGTGAATATTTAATAAATGGTGACTATTGTTTATTATAAAAGAACTTGGGAGTCCAGCACAAAATAAATGCAAAATTTGCAATCATGAAACATGATTGATTTAGAAGAGGCATGTAGGCTGGGCACGGTGGCTCACGCCTGTAATCCCAGCAGTTTGGGAGACCGAGGCGAGCAGATTGCTTGAGGCCAGGAGTTTGAGGCCAGGCTGGCAAACATGATGAAACCCCATCTCTACCAAAAATACAAAAATTAGCTGGGTGTGGTGGTGTGTACCTGTAATCCCAGCTACTCTGGAGGCTGAGGCCTGAGAATCGCTTAAACCCAGGAGGCAGAGGTTGCAGTGAACCGAGATTGTGGCACTGCACTCCAGCCTGGGCGACAGAGCAAGACCCTGTCTCAGAGGCATGTAAAGGAAAGGCCGATTATCAGAATTAGAGCAATTGCTTCCTTTGCAGACACGATCTAGATACCTAGGTTTTATGCCCAATTTTGCCCCTGAGAATGAAGCACCAGGAGTACTGCAAAATCATCTGGGTGTTTTCCCATCACTTTCCATAAAATGAGGAGAAACTCACAGTCTAGTGTTCACCTTGGGAAGATGGTGGTATTTTGGTATTTTTGAAGCTGTGAGGTCTTTGGGAAAGAATATTTAAGTGCTCTTTCATGTGTTGAACAAAAATGGCTTCAGCCAATCACAGAAGCTAAGAGCCACTGTCTGAACTGCAGGAGGATAGATGCTGGATTTATCTCACCCACTGCTTTGTCTTCAGCACCTGGCACAACATGTGGTACATAGTACACATTTATAAAATATTTGTTGAATATGTAAGTGAATGGAGCAGGTGCCTCAACACACAGCAATGGTAAGATGCTGCCTAAGGGGATGTGGTCTCACTTTTTTTGTAGATCTAGGTAGGGCAAATCTATGGAATACGGAACTAGAGGCATTTGTATAATCGTTGACTGGTCTTCTTGGTGGAGGGTTGGAGGTGGACCACAGGTTGCTGAATAAGGAACCCACAGAAATGTTGATTGCTGCTTTTTTTTTTCCCTTCAAAAGCCCCTCGATGCCTGTTATTTTGAATATGGGAGCTTGAGTTATTTATACTCTATTTCTCATGCAAAGTGAGATAAGAAAAAATGAAAAATGTAATACCTTAACGATCAGGGTAAGTTATAGAAATAGCCCACTTTGAGACAGGGATAGATGTAGACCCTGGCAGATTAATCAGATTTCATCCTAAAGTCTCAGACATGCAAGGATGCTATATGCACACTTTATGTAATAGCAAAAGACTAGAAAAAATGCAAATGTCCACCTATAGGGGACGTCGACACAAGTAATATTGTGCAGCTGTAAAAAGGAATGAGAAGTAGTTCTGTGTATTAGTATAACCTATATTAAGTGAAAAAAACAAAGTGCAGAATGGTGCATAGAGTATGCTATCTAAGAAGGAGAAATACAACTACATATATGTATGTGCCTTTTTTAAAAAACTGGAGGCCAGGCATGGTGGCGCACACCTGTAATCCCAGCACTTTGGGAGGCTGAGATGGGTGGATCACCTGAGGTCAGGAGCTCAAGACCAGCCTGGCCAACATGGCAAGACCCCATCTCTACTAAAAATACAAAAATTAGCCATGCTTGGTGGTGGGCACCTGTAATCCCAGCTACTTGGGAGGCTGAGGCACGAGAATCTCTCATACCTGGGAGGCGGAGGTTGCAGTGAGCCGAGATTATGGTGGGTGACACAGTGAGACTCTGTCTCAAAATGTAAATAAATATATATTTAAGAAGTGGAAGCATAAGCCAAACACCAGTAAAAATAGTTATCTAGGAGATAGGGGAAGAGAGTAGAAGGGAGAAAAATGGAAGCTAGGCTTGACTTCCCTGAATGTGCCTCATTTTGTAGGTTTGACATTGGAACCATGGATATGTTTGTTTGTTTGTTTGTTTGTTTGTTTTTTGAGAGTCTTGCTCTGTCGCCCAGGCTGGAGTGCAGTGGTGCAATCTTGGCTCACTGCAACCTCCGCCTCCTGGGTCCAAGCAATTCTCCTGCCTCAGCCTCCCGAGTAGCTGGGACTACAGGCACCCGCCACGACACCCGGCTAATTTTTTGTATTTTTAGTAGAGACGGGGCTTCACTGTGTTAGCAAGGATGGTCTTAATCTCCTGACCTCATGATCCGCCCGACTTGGCCTCCCAAAGTGCTGGGATTACAGGCATGAGCCACTGCACCCACCTGGATATGTTTTACATAATTATAAAACAAAATTTAATAAAGATGGACCAGGCACAGTGGCTCACACCTATAATCTCAATACTTTGGGAGGCCAAGACGGGTGAATCGCTTGAGCCCAGGAGCTCGAGACCAGCCTGGGCAACATGGTGAAACCCCATCTCTATAAAAAATAAAAAGTTTAACTTGGTGTAGTGGCAGGCGCCTGTACTCCCAGCTACTTGGGAAGCTGAAATGAGGCCAGGGGGCAGAGGTTGCAGAGGTGGCTCTATTGCACTCCAGTCTGGGCAACAGAGTGAGACCCTGTCTCAAAAAATAAAAATAAAAATAAAATTTAATAAAGATGGGGGCAAAAAAGAAATTCCTAAAAACTGAATGCAATTGAAACAAATAATTTTAACTGTGTATTGAATTAGTGATTTAATTTTACAGAGATGAATTATTTTAAGTGACTTTAAAATACAGTAAGCGATCTGTACTGTAATATAGCCTAAAGATGAATGGAAACAGTATATTAGTTTGCTGGGGCTGCCATAAGAAGCACCACACACTTGGTGGCTTAAACAACAGAAACTGGCTTCTGCACAGTTCCCGAGGTTTGATGTCCAAGGTCAAGGTGTGGCAGAGTTGGTTTCTTCTGATACCCATCTTCTCGGTATGTAGATGACTGCCTTCTCTCTGTGTCTTTACGTGGTCTTCTCTCTGTGCACGTATGTGTCCTCATCTCTTCTTATAAAGACACTAGTCAGCTCACACCTGGAATCCCAGCACTTTGGGAGGCTGAGGCAGGCAGATCACAAGTTCAAGAGATTGAGACCATCCTGCCCAACATGGCGTGAAACCCCGTCTCTACTAAAAATACAAAAATTAGCCGGGCGTGGTGGCTCATATCTGTAGTCCCAGATACTCAGGAGGCTGAGGCAGGAGAATCGCTTGAACCTAGGAGGTGGAGGTTGCAATGAGCAACAGAGCAAGACTCTATCTCAAAAAAAAAAAAAAAAAAAAGACAGTAGTCATATTGGATTAGAGCCCACCATAGAGAGCTCATTTAACCTTCATTACCTCTTTGAAGATCCTATCTCCAAATACAGTCACATTCTGAGATACTTCAATGTATTAATATGGGGAGGGGGGCAAGGGCAGGGAGGAGACACAGTTCAGCCTGAAACAAACGTCAAAGAAATCTAAAACTGCATTCTATGGTGTAGTTGTAATATTGACATTGGTGTGTGTACAGTTTGAGTTTTAGCCCCAACTAAGGTCCCAGACACCATGGAGTGTCCCGGATTCCCTTCCCAAATTCCTGACCCATAAAATTATGAGCAAAATTTAAAAGTTGCTTAAGCTACTGAGTTTTTGGATAATTTGTTATGCAACAATGGTAAGCAGTGCAGAAGCTTTTTTGCTCCCTTCCAAAAAAGGACCTTATTTGGGAACATGTTAAGGGAATCTGATACCACAGAAAAGTCAGAAGAAAATAAAAAATATCTAAAATGTGGAAATCTCTAGAGGACAAATGATCTGGCTTTTATAACAACAACAAGGTTGCAAGAAGGAAAAAGAAAGTGAATTTTTAGGTTAAAGAGATGAGAGACATACCATACAAATGCAAATTCAACGTGTGGGCTTTATTTGGATCCTGATTCAGAAAACAAAAACAAAAATATTATTCATGAGACAGTTGGGAAAATTTGAATACTGACTGGATGTCTGTTCATATTTATGGTTTATTATTTTAGGTTTGAGAATGTTATTGTGGTTATTTTTTTTGTTTTGTTTTGTTTTTTTAAGAGTCCCTGTCTCTTTAAGAGTGCTTACTTAGTGTAGGCCAGGCACGGTGGCTCACGCCTGTAATCCCAGCACTTTGGGAGGCCAAGGCAGGCGGATCACGAGGTCAGGAGTTTGAGACCATCCTGGCCAACAAAGTGAAACCCCGTCTCTACTAAAAATACAAAAATATCTGGGTGTGGTGGCACGTGCCTGTAATCCGAGCTACTTGGGAGGCTGAGGCAGGAGAATCACTTGAACCAGGGAGTCGGAGGTGGAGTGAGCCAAGATTGCGCCACAGCACTCCAGCCTGGCAACAGAGAAAGACTCCGTCTCAAAAGAAGAAGAAGAAAAAAAGACTGCTTAGTGTTAAATTCCCAGGGTACAGAAATGTATCAGTCATGGTACTGCCTCCTTGAAGCCCATGGTCAGTAGTGAAGAAAGCATGTACACAGATGAATCATAAGGAGAAAAAGATGTTAAGTGCCACAAAAAGAAATAGGGAGTGTGCTTAGGACAAAGTTTCAACGAAGAGTTTATTTTTGCAGAATCCATTCCTACCCAACAATGACTTAGACACTGTCGTCAATATCTACACCTGAGCCTCCCAGAGGCTAGCATGATATAGTTTGAACTTGTGTACAGAATATGACCTTAACCTACTTGAAAAACTCTGTGTTGTGATGGCTGCTGCTTTCCTGGCATTATAGAGGGGGGTTGACTTTATATATCTACCTAATGGCTGATTGTATTTATCCATTTGGGCTTCCATAACAAAATACCATAGACTGGGTGGCTTAAACAACAGACATTTTTTTCTTACAGTTCTGGAGGCTGGGAAGTCCAAGATCAAAGAGCCCAGTGATTTGGTTCTGGGTGAGGAATCTCTTTCTGGCTTGCAGATGCCACCTTCTTGCTATATTCTCATTTGGTGGAGAGAGAGCACTGGTCTCTCTTCCTCTTGTAAGGGGACTAATTCCAACACCACAGCTCCCCCACCATGACCTCATTAAAACCTAATTATCTCCCAAGGCTCCATTTCCAAATACAGTCACATTGGGGTTAGGGCTTCAACATATGGATTTTAGGGGGACATGATTCAGTCCATAGCAATGGTGTCCTTTAGCAATACTGAGAGCAATGATCCAGAGACCCCCAACTTCATCAGAATCACTTGCTTTTTTTTTTTTTCTGAGACAGAGTCTCATTCTTGTCACCCAGACTGGAGTGCAGTGGCATAATCTCAGCTCACTGCAACCTCTGCCTCCCGGGTTCAAGCGATTCTTCTGCCTCAGCCTCCCAAGTAGCTGGGATTACAGGTGCCCACTGTAATGTAAATTAGCATGATGCCTGGCTAATTTTTGTGTTTTTAGTAGACACGGGGTTTCACCATGTTGGCCAGGATGGTCTTGAACTCCTGACCTCAGGTGATTCACCCTCCTCGGCCTCCCAAAGTGCTGGGATTACAGGCATGCGCCACGGTGCCCACCCCACCTCATGTGCTTTTTAAAAAATATCAGTACTAGAAAATGTGTCCCAGATTCAGTAGGTCTGAGCTGAGCCCTGACATCTGACAGCTGACTTTTTAAATAGTTCCCTGGTCATTCCCTCTCTTTTTTTTTTTTTTTTTTTTTTTTTTTTTTTGGCAGGATCTCACCCCATCACCCAGGTTGGAGTGCAGTGGCACAATCATGGCTCACTCCAGCCTCGACCTCTCGGGCTCAGGTGATCCTCCAACCTCGGCCACCCTAGTAGCTGGGACTACCACGCCTGGCTAATTTTTGTATTTTTTTGTAGAGACGAGGTCTCTCTATGTTGCCCTGGTTGGCCTTGAATTCTGTCTGCAGTAGCCTCCCAAAGTGCTGGGATTACAGGTGTGAGCCACCAAGCCCAGGCACTTTTTTTAAAAAATTTTTATTTCAACATAACACTCCTGCTATGTTGCCCAGACTGGAGTGCGGCGGCTATTCAATTCACTGCAGCCTCTAACTCCTGGGCTGGAGCCATCCTCCCACCTCCTCCCAAGTAGCTGGGACTACAGGCACATGCCACTGCACCCAGTCCCTTGTTATTCTCTTGAGCATCTCAAGATGAGAGTCATTGACTGAGGAATTGCTGGCCAGTACATTGCAGCAGGGAGGGGAGGGACTTCAAATAATGAAACATTTCACAAGATCCTCCAATTTCCACTTGCTAATTTTGATTTTGGGTTTATCTTGCATTTCTTTTGCTTTTGTGGTTCAAAGCCTCCTCACTCTGGGCCCCAGCATCCACATTCTCTTTTGGGCAGATACTAATCCCTTTATTTATCATAATCTCCCATATCTGAATGTACTCACCATTTTGTAGTCATCTGAGCTAGTCCAACTTGATACCTGAATTATTTTCTTTGGCTGGAGTACTTCAGAAAGCAGCATGAAGTTTTTGAAGTTTCTTTCTTTTATTTTTTTTCTTTCCAGTATGAGAAAACTCTTCTTCAACAAAGGACTATAATATTTTCTTTTCTGGTCAATATATTCAACCTCATTTAACACCTTTGCGTCCACCTAAGAAAAAGAAAATTTCTAGATTTTCAAAGAATTACACAAATGGTTTCTTAGAATATAAATTCCCTATAAAACTGTGACATTGCTTTAATTCATGAAAATGTGTAACACGTTTCATGGTATTGATTTCTAAAATGCTTCTGGGCCTTAGAATGGATTTCAAGGTGCTAAAATCAATTATTGATAAGCTGCAAGTTGGTTTTGAAATTTATTGAAAATGTTCTTTTTGCCCCTTGTCTGTTCTCTGCCTGCCTATTCTCTGCTCTGTGTAGCTTCCTTGCTTCAACCCATCAGCCAGCAGTGGCTGAGTGCCCTCTGACCCTGTATTCTAGGTGCCATGGGGAATAGCAGGAAAGGAAAATGTACAATTCTATCTTCCAGATTAAAATGCAGATGCGGGTCAGGCACAGTGGCTATCACACCTGCAATCCCAGCACTTTGGGGGCCAAGGCAGGTGGATCACTTGAGGTCAGGAGTTCAAGACCAGCCTGGCCAACATGGTGAAACCCCATCTCTACAAAAAAATACAAAAATTAGCCAGACATGGTGGCAAGTGCCTGTAATCCTAGCCATTCGGGAGGCTGAGGCAGGAGAATCACTTGAACCCAGGAGGGGGAGGTTGCAGTGAGGTGAGATCCTGCCACTGTACTCCAGCCTGGGTGACAGAGTGAGACTCTGTCTCAAAAAAAAAAAAAAAAAAATTAAAATGCAGATGAGGAGATAAGGCTATCACAAGTGAGAGATTATGAAACAGTATAAGGTGGTATGTACAATGATTACCATGATCTAATTTTTTCTTCTAGTTAGAAAAATTAGAATCTATATTCATCTACTTATTTGTTGTTATTTTATTTATTTATTTTTTCTTTTGAGATGGAGTCTCACTCTGTCACCCAGGCTAGAGTGCAGTGGTGCGATCTCGGCTCATTGCAACCTCTGCCTCCTGGGTTCAAGTGATTCTCGTGCCTCAGCCTCCCAAGTAGCTGAGATTACAGGCACACACCACCGAACCCCGCTAATTTTTGTATTTTTAGTAGAGATGGGGTTTCACCATGTTGGCCAGGCTGGTCTTGAACTCTTGACCTCAAGTGATGCACCCACCTTGGCCTCCCAAAATGCTGGGATTACAGGCATGAGCCACCACATCAAGCCAATTTTTATTTTTATTTTTATTTTTATTTTTTAGAGACACGGTCTCACCTGTCACCCAGGCACTGCAGTGGACGATCATAGTTTACTGTATCCTGGAACTCCTGGGCTCAAGTAATCCTCCTGCCTCAGCCTCCCAATGCACTAGGATTACAGGCGTGTACCACTGCACCAAGTCCTACTAGTTTAATTGACTAGATAAACTGAACGATTTGTTTTCTTCATTCCTCTTTGACCAAGCGTGGGGCTATCCCAGAAAGTAATATGGCATTTTCTCACGGGACTATAATTGGAGTACTTTATTGAGAGAGGATATAACTTCCAAGCAGTGGCTTGGAACAAGCCACTCTCAGGGACATTCTTCACCCTTCTCCTCCCTTTCCTCTCACTTCAGTCATTGCTGTTACATAAACTCTGTCATCATTCTTTCCCCTGAAGTTCAAGTTTGCTTATCTGGGCAGTACCTTTTTCCAATGGGCTGGCCTGTAGTGAGCTTTGTCAGACATGCAGGTCTTCATATACTAACCAAAGGATCCTTCAGTTCTTATGTTACCTTTTTTTTTTTTTTTTTTTTTTTTTTTTGAGACAGGGTGTTGCTCTGTTGCCCTGGCTGGAGTGCAGTGGTGTGATCATGGCTCACTGCAGCCTTGATTTCCTGGGCTCAGGTGATTCTCCCACCTCATTCTCCTGAGTAGCTGGGATTACAGGTGAACACCACCATGCCCAGCTAATTTTTTTTTTTCTTTTGGCATTTTTGTATTTTGGGTAGAAATGGGTTTTCACCATGTTTCCCTGTCACTCCAGGACTCAAGTGATCTCTCCACCTCAGCCTCCCAAAATGCAGGGATTACAGGCATGAGCCACCGTGCCTGGCCCTGTTACATTTCTTTTAACATTTTATAATTCTCAAACTTTGAGAAAGCAAAACCATAACCTAGCATCCAAAGAAAGGCAATTTGAAAGCTGGCTGATTAGCTTTTTGTTTTAAATAGCTAGCTTGTCTTGCCATTTCAAGGCACTTAGTTTAATTTTTGGCCCTTTCTTGCTTATAATTTACCAAGTGCACAATATTGTAGGTTAGCAAGATTTGGACTCTTTGCCCTTGGTTCAGGCTCTGATGTTGTGATTCCCCTAAAGTGCATGTTTGATTTTACACACTCTACACCCTTCTCTTACTCAATCAAGATATGGAAATAAATAAAAATGTCTATTTCATACTTACCATATCTCCCTTTGGAAGAAAATTGCAAGGCGTAAGAGAATTCCCTAAGAAACGTACCTTAAAAGATAAAACTGGACTCCAGAAAATTTGCCAGACTGGGTTGCCAGACTGAACTGTTCAACAGCCTCTCTGTGTGATTCCAAATGCCTTGGCCACCAAACTCCTCTTAGGACCTCCTTTGATTGTAAGTCAAATTTACACGCAACCAGTATTTCTTTGTCACTGCTTAGCTGCTTTTCTGCTTATTCCATTAAGATGAGCAATGTGACCAGCTATCCTTGGGAAGTGAATGCTTGCTTGGTTTGGTTATCTTGCTATCATGACAAAATCTAAACTTATTTCACCTTTATAAAAATCAGTCAGGACTATGTATTTTGGGGGCGGTCTTGCTATGTTGCTCAGGCTGGTCTTGAACTTCTGACCTCAAGTGATCCTCCCACCTTGGTATCTCAAAGTGTTGAGATTACAGGTGTGAGCCACTATGGCCACCCAGAATCATGTGTTGTATGATTCCACTTATATAAAATATCCAGAATAGGTAAATCCACAGAGACAGAAAGCAGATTAGTGGTTGGCTAGGGCCTGGGGTGTTTGGGCAGAAATAGGAACGACAGCTTTTGGGGATGAGGTTTCTTTTGGGGGTGATTAAAATGTTCTGAAGTTGTTTGTGCTGATGGTTGCACAATTTTGTGAAACCAAATGGTAAAAACCATTGAATTGTGCATTTTAAATGGATGAATTGTATGGAACATGAATTGTATCTCAATAAAGCTGTTATTTAAAAGAAAAAAGTCAGGAATTACTCAGGCGACACTGAAGAGGATGTGTACATGGCTTCTTTCCATGGAAGGAGACAAACCACCTTGTATTATTGAAGAGAAAGACTCTGGTATCCCAGCCTTCTACTCTTACTATATACACAGTTTCTATTTTGGTCCTTTTTAAAGCCTTCTTGTTATAGTTAGTGAGCAACAGTTAAGTCGAAAACCACAGTGAGGCCTTGGTTACAGCTTACCCTTGTTTTCAATCAACAAAAAATATGACTAATGTCACTGTGGCTCGACTCAACCACATATGTGGATTCAGGAGGCTTTGGACATGTGCTAGAGGCTGCTGGGGCTGACCAGCTGGAAGGACAGCAGTTAGCTGAACTTAGGCTCCAGGAATAAGATGTTGGTGAAGCCTGGGAAAATGTCTTCCGTGAGCTGGGGGTGGAAAGTTGTTGTGGAAGTAACCCTGAAGGAAAAAAGAGTTCTCTGGCTGGCTTGGCCCAGAGATACAGGCTGGAAATTAGTAAGAAGAGCAGATTTTGAGGCCAGCATT
Organism: Homo sapiens; assembly: GCF_000001405.40. Lineage (NCBI taxonomy): Eukaryota > Metazoa > Chordata > Mammalia > Primates > Hominidae > Homo > Homo sapiens. The sequence goes on from NC_000007.14 coordinate 104,957,601, forward strand.
TCTCTAGCTAACTTCTAGCCCAGCGCCCCTTTTCCATCCTACTATTTCATACATGACCCCCAAGGGAAGCCATATCAGGTTCCTAGAGTTGGGAGAAGAGAGACTCAGGGGGAACCTGTACTGAAGTGACTGTGGCAGAGGCAGGGTGAGGCTGAAGAGCACCAGAACATGAGACATTTCCCCGCTGTCACTTAGTAACAAGGGCCCTGTGATGATTAATTTTATCTGTCAACTTGAGGGAGGCTGAGGCACAAGAATTGCTTGAGCCTGGGAGGTAGAAGTTGCAGTGAGCCAAGATCGTGCCACTGCACTCCAGCCTGGGCAACAAAGTGAGACTCCATCTCAAAAAATAAAATAAAAATACAATACAATACAATAAAATTGGCCGGGCACAGTGGCTTACACCTGTAATCCCAGTACTTTGGGAGGCCGAGGTGGGGGGATCACTTGAGGTCGGGAGTTCGAGAACAGCCTGGCCAACATGATGAAATCCCGTCTCTACTAAAAACACAAAAATTAGCCGGGCATAGCGGCACATGCCTGTAGTCCCAGCTACTCAGGGGGCTGAGGCAGGAGAATCGCTTGAACTCAGGAGGCGGGGGTTGCAGTGAGCCGAGATCATGCCACACTGCACTCCAGCCTGGGCGACAGAGTACAACTTTGGCAAAAATAAAATAAAATAAATAAAATTTTATCTGTCAATTTGGCTGGGCCACAATGCCCAGATACTTGGTCAAACATTATTCTGGCCCCATCCAATTGATTGAAGGCCTGAATAGAACAAAAGGCTGACACCCACCCACTCCCCAACCCACACCCGAAGAGGGACTTCTGCAGCAGGCTGCCTTTGGACTTTGTCTGCAACATCAGTTCTTCAGGGTTCACTGGCAGACTGCCTTTGAACTTGAGCTGCAATGCTTTCCTGAGGCTTCCCTGGTAAGATTTCAAACTTGCCAAGCCTTCACAATCACATCAGCCAATTCCTTAAGACAAATATTTTTATATGTATATACACACACATCCTTTTGGTTCTGTTTCTCTGGGAGCCCTGCTAATATAAGCAGTATTTCTTTCTCCAGGATTAGCCATTGGAACAGATTGTAAGTGCAGCTCTGACCTCACCAAAAGGAGACAGTAATCCAGGGACAGGAGCTTTCTGGGTAGGAGCTGAGGCTTTAGTGCAGTGACTTAGTAAAGACAGCCAATTAAAGAGTCCTGTGAGAAACGCTCACAACGCCTTCAACTAGATAAGGGGTACTGGGAACTCCCACTTCTAAGTATGCTCATGGCCGGTGTATCTTTGGAGAAATGTGGGTTTGCTGAAATTCCAGAGCACATATGAAAAAAAGCTCATCATCACTGGTCATTAGAGAAATGCAAATCAAAACCATAATGAGATACCATCTCAGGCCAGTTAGAATGGCAATCATTAAAAAGTCAGGAAACAACAGATGCTGGAGAGGATGTGGAGAAATAGGAACACTTTTACACTGTTGGGAGTGTAAATTAGTTCAACCATTGTGAAAGACCGTGTGGCGATTCCTCAAGGATCTAGAACCAGAAATACCATTTGACCCAGCAATCCCATTACTGGGTATATACCCAAAGGATTATAAATCATTCTACTATAAAGACACATGTGGCTGGGTGCGGTGGCTCACGCCTGTAATCCCAGCACTTTGGGAGGCCGAGGCTGGCAGATCACGAGGTCAAGAGTTTGAGACCAGCCTGAAACTATGAGGTTTCAACATAGTGAAACCTCATCTCTACTAAAAATACAAAAATTAGCTGGGCATAGTGGCATGAGCCTGTAATCCCAGTTACTTAGGAGGCTGGGGCAGGAGAATCGCTTGAACCTGAGAGGCGGAGGTTGCAGTGAGCTGAGATCACACCACTGCATTCCAGCCTGGGTGACAGGGCGAGACTCCATCTCAAAAAAAAGAAGACAAATGCACACGTATGTTTATTGCAGCACTATTTACAATAGTAAAGACTTGGAACCAACCCAAATCCCCATCAATGATAGATTGGGTAAAGAACATGTGGCACATATACAGAAAATCTGGCACATATACACCATGGAATACTATGCAGCCATAAAAAAGAATGAGTTCATGTCCTTTGCAGGGACATGGATGAAGCTAGAAACATCATTCTCAGCAAACTAACACAGGAACAGAAAACCTAATACTGCATATTATCACTCATGGGTGGGAGTTGAACAATGAGAACACATGGACACAGGGAGGAGAACATCATACACCAGGGCCTGTTGGGGGGTAGGGGGCAGGGGGAGGGATAGCATTAGGAGAAATACCTAATGCATGCGGGGCTTAAAACCTAGATGACGGGTTGATGGGTGCAGCAAACCACCATGGCACATGTATACCTATGTAACAAACCTGCACGTTCTGCACATGTATCCCAGAACTTAAAGTATAATAATAATAATAATAATAATCCAGAGCAATTCCCTCCTGCCCTGTCTGAGATTTGATGTAAAAAATGCGTCTTCCAGGCTGGGCACGGTGGCTCACGCCTGTAATTCCAGCACTTTGGGAGGCCGAGGCAGGCGGATCATGAGGTCAGGAGATTGAGACCATCCTGGCTAAGATGGTGAAACCCCGTCTCTACTAAAAATACAAAAAAATTAGCTGAGTGTGGTGGCAGGTGCCGGTAGTCCCAGCTACTCGGGAGGCCGAGGCAGGAGAATGGCGTGAACCCGGGAGGCAGAGCTTGCAGTGAGCCAAGATGGTGCCACTGTACTCCAGCCTGGGCGACAGAGCGAGACTCCATCTCAAAAAAACCAAAAATAAATAAATAAAATAATGAAAATTTAAAAATGCTTCTTCCGGCCAGGCGCGGTGGCTCACGCCTGTAATCCCAACACTTTCGGAGGCCGAGGCAGGCGGATCACCTGAGGTCAGGAGTTCAAGACCAACCTGGCCAACATGCCAAAACCCCATCTCTACTAAAAATACAAAAATTAGCAGGGCATGGTGGCGGGCGCCGGCAGTCCCAGCTACTTGGGAGGCTGAGGCAGGAGAATGGTGTGAACCTGGGAAGCAGAGCTTGCAGTGAGCCTAGATCATGCCACTGCACTCCAGCCTGGGTGACAGAACAAGACTCTGTCTCAAAAAAAAAGAAAGCTTCTTCTAGGGAGGTTTAGTCTCAGGCTGGCTCTCCAGGCCCAGAAGGGGTCATCTCAAATTTCTGCTCTTTGTGGACAGAGCTAATCAAATACTTTTTGGGTAGGGACAGCAGACATTGCCATATTCAGCTTCTTGAAGCTCCTTCAGACAGTGGAAGCTGGACCTTGAAGCTCCCCTAACAAATAATGTAGCAATTGTTGAGAGTCCTCATGGTCATGGGATAATGCTTGGCAGTCAACAGGGGCTCACATTCTGAAATAAGTAACGCCAACATGGTCATGCTTACTGAAAACTGTAAACTACTTTGAAGCATACAGAAATGTGTATTCTGAAATAAGAGACAGGCTGATAAAAGAGGAAAAGAAAAAGGGGTTTGCTTGGTTCTTAAGAGACAGGGATGGGAGTTCCCTGTAAGCAGAGTTGCACAAGAGATGGTATGGAGGCAGAAAAGAGGAAGCAGGGAGCAAGGCAAGGCCAAAGTCAACTGAAACAGGAAAACTAGCCAGAAAGCACATTGCTTGCTCTTTGAAGACATTTCCTTCAAGTTCTGCCTTGCCCCAAAACCTAACCCAGGCCAGGGTGGTGAGCGCTCTCACCTCTGAGCCTCTGACACATGGACTGCATGTACTGCTATTGCTCCTTGGCATATGGCCCAATTTTCTGAAATCATAAGCATTTCTGTGCAACCATCCTGTCACTCCAGTTAAATTTCAAGACAGATTTTTTTTTTGAATAGTATATCCTTAGTGGAAGAAATAGGAACCATTTTATTTTATTCATTTATTTTTTTTGAGACGGAGTCTTGCTCTGTCACCCAGGCTGTAGTGGAATGGCGCGATCTTGGCTCACTGTAACTTCTGCCTCCTGGGTTCAAGCCATTCTTCTGCCTCAGCCTCCTGAGTAGCTGGGATTACAGGCGCCCGCTACCACACCCAGCTAATTTTTTTTTGTATATTTAGTAGAGACGGGGTTTTGCCATATTGGCCAGTCTAGTCTCGAACTCCTAACTTCAGGTGATCCACCCACCTCAGCCTACCAAATTGCAGGGATTACAGGCGTCAGCCACCGCGCCCGGCTCCAGACTGGGTTTTTTAGCAAAGAAGGAATTAATACAGGGAAGTTGGTGCTCATGAAATAGTTGAAAGTACTGAAGGAATAAGCATGTAGGCTGGGGCCTTCTGGAATGTCTACCTGAATGCCACAGAACTGACCCTCATTTCCCTCCCTCCAGAAGCTACAACCTCAGCCCAGATTAGCAGGCTGAGGGGTCAGGAGGCTGTCACTGGAGCTGTTGAGCTCATGAACACGCCGAAGTTGCTGCGCTCCAGAAATGTGGAAGTTGGAATGAAGAGCCACCACTGCTGCCACCAACATGAAGCTTGACCAAGCAAGCCAAGAAAAGATGGCCAAGAGCCTCTGCCTTCCTTCTGCCTTCTGCAACGCAATGGTGAGCTGCACATCCACAACTTGAAGGGAGTCTGGGAAATGCAGAGTTAAACTTTCTAGCCTCTCTAAGCTTTCAACTGTTACAGAAAGGCAACCCAGGAGGAGACTGGAATAAATGCTGAGTGCCAATTTCCAACACAAGTAGTCATTATAATTGGGGTGAGTGTTATCTTGCCCTGGCTCAGGGGTAATCTTGTGTTGGTTCTGTTCATCCCCACCAAAATCAAGTGCAGGGCTTATTCTCCCTTCCCTAACCATCAGGTCACTAGGGGTCCAGGGCCTCACCTTCCTTCTCAAGAGTTAATGAGCATTCCAGGATGTTGTAAGGAAGGACTGTCCATATGGAATAGGGAGGACACAAACCCAACATTTTGCTCTGACTGTTAGCCAATAAACAATGTCCTGGTTGTTGCTTGCTGTCAGGCATAAGTCCTCACTAGACACCTACCAGAAGGCAACTAACCCAATGGTCTGGCATAGGCAAAGGGGCTTACTAAAATGTAGGCTGGCACTCACTTCTAGCCCTCTCCTCCTGTCCCCACCACCTCTCTGTCTTATCACTTCCCTTCTATCTCCCCTCCTCCCTCAGCCTAGAGAATATTTTTCTAACTTAGGTAAGGAGCTTTGCTGTTATTCCTGATGTTTTCTCCTAAATCTTTTACCAGTTTGTTCTCTCCAGTTCACTAAGGATCTAGACCAGTGGTTTTCAATCTGCAGCCTACATCTGAGTCACCTGGAGGGCCTGTTAAAACACAGAACGTGGAGCCCAACCCCCAGAGGTGCTGATTCAGTAGGTCTGGGGTAGGGCCCAAGAATTTCCCTTTCTAACGAGTATCCAGGTGATGCTGATGTGGTCTGGAGACCATACTTTGAGAACCACCGGCCCAGGCTTTTGAAACTGAAAAACTTTGCTTTCTGCTTGTAAGACCCATCTCTTAGATAGGAGCAAAGAATGGTTTGTCTGTTCAAATGGGGAGATGGAATAGAAGAAAAAAAATCTAGAAGAAAAAAATCAAAATCAATGTTTTAAAAATAGTATTCTAGCATTCAGTAGTAATAATATAACCCCTTTGCTATGCCTTTAATATCTGGAAGAGAGAAGCTTGAGTACTTGCAAAATCTTGCCCCTGGATGGTGCAAAATAATGTCTCATTTTCCTCTTGAGTCTTTTGTCTTTGCCAAATCTATCTTAGAGGACAAAAAGGAGCAAGTCCTTCCTCCCTGCTTTCCTCTGTCTCCTCTTCTCTTTCCTCATGATGCTTCGGTCTCTTCTGTTATCCCTTGGCTCACCCCTCAGTCTTGATTTTTCTCACTCTGTGTTCCTAGCTGTCAGTCACGTGGACCTAATCCAGTGTTCTCCCAAGTAGAGGGGCTTAAGCTACTACTTTCAGGCTGTGCTGAGTGATATACATACAATGCCTCATTGACAATCCTGAAGGATGGTATTTTGCTTCTCATTTCACAGATGAGGAAACAGATGCTCAGAGAGATCACACTGCTAGGAATTGGTGAATCCAGAATTTGAGTCCAGTTTGTTTAGCTCCCAGTCCCAGGTCCTTCCCACATGTTCATGATCTTGTGTCCTTTTGCATCCCCAGCCCACAGGACAAAAACCTTGTCATGCTTGGGGTCAGGTTCTGGCCCCAGCTGAGGGCTGAGGGGAGTGGGTGGACACAGGGCAGGGAGCTGGAAGAACACCTGAGAGACAGCATGTAAGTGAGACATGGCTTTATTCAGCAGCCCCTTTACAGGGTCAGTGTTACATTTATACACTACACAGACAATAGTGGCTGAGAGCCAGGTGGTGAGCTTCTCTATGTTATGTCTACATGGCTATGATTGTATAAGACACGAGACTGCACTTGCGCCCCAATACTGCTGAGTCATTTAGGCTGTTTACCTTGACCTATGCCTGCTGCTCTATGCCTGCTTGGCTGCAGCACAGCCATGTTCCTTACAGACCTTCAGATGGAGATTTGCAATGAGTGCACTAAAAGAGACTCCATGTCAGATGCCAATCTCTGGGCCAAATCTTTGTGGGATACTTTACTCATAGTAGGAACTGCAGGACCACTACTTCCACTGGAGCATTTGTGTGTGTGTGTGTGTGTTTGTGTGTGTGTGTGTGCGTGTGTGTGTTTTCATGTGTGGGACATTCTTTTTGAAAATGAACATGGTGGGAAATTATGGTCTCACCCTCAAAATCCAACCAAATTCTCAGCAAACCCCAGATTGTGTAGGTTGTAGGAAAGAAGCATGTTAGTTTTGGCAGAAATACTCTTAGTCTGGCAGTAAATTTCTTAAAACATAAAAATGCTTTTTAACATCCTGTTTTTGTCCTCCTTTTGTTGATTTTTGAGCATTTCTTCCCAAGCAAGGAATTATGTAGCAAGATTTGAAAATTACCAAACTTTATTTTGTTAGTTTTCTTTGGTTCCTTTTCTATGTTTCTGTATACGTTATCTGCTTTAAACTTTAAACTCAAGGATTAAAGTGACTCTAAAGCACTTCGGAGTGATCCAGGAACCACATGGGGCTGGATAGCAGTTTCCTAGAGCAAAATGACAAGCCCTGAAAAGCTTACTGTAGGCCATCGAGTTCATACATGGCCCCCTGTCAGTGGGTAGATAAGCTGTGAACCTAGGAATATGGATGCCTGTGATAACTGGTCCTCACTCTTCTTCCTAGACAAAGTTTCAGATCTCTGTGTCTTTCTGGGCATCTTCGAAAACTTCCATTCCCCATTTGCCATGTAAGCCAGACTCATGTAGAAGTTAGGATTTGTAGACCCTGGAGGTAAACAGCTTCCTCCAGAACCTTGTTCTGCCTCTTAGTAGCTGTGTAATCTTGGGCAAGTTACTTAACCTCTCTAGGGCTCAGTTTCCTTACCTGTAAAATGGAAATAAAGCACATTCTTCCAGGCCAGGCATGGTGGCTCATGCCTGTAATCCCAGTGCTTTGGGAGGCCGAGAAGGGCAGATCATGAGCTCAGGAGTTCAAAACCAGCCTGGCCAACATGGTGAAACCTCGTCTCTAAAAAAAAGCAAAAATTAGCTGGGTGCAGTGGTGCACACCTGTAGTCCCAGCTATTCAGGAGGCTGAGGCATGAGAATTGCTTGAACCTGCTTGCAGTGAGCCGAGATCCCGCCACTGCACTCCAGCCTGGGCGACAGAGTGAGACTCCATCTCAAAAAAAAAAAAAAAAAAAAAGCACATACATTCTTCCTAGGGTTGTAGTGTGGCTCAAATAGATGCTTACTTAAAGCAGTCTCTGGTGTATAACAAATGCTCAATTAAAGTTGCTATTCTTGGCTGGGCACGGTGGCTCATGCCTGTAATCCCAGCACTTTGGGAGGCCGAGGTGGGTGGATCACCTTAAGTCAGGAGTTCAAGACCAGCCTGGCCAACATGGTGAAACCCTATCTCTACTAAAAACACACAAAAAAATTAGCCAGGCATGGTGTTGCATGCCTGTAATCCCAGCTACTTGGGAGGCTGAGACAGGAGAATTGCTTGAACCTAGGAGGTGGAGGTTGCAGTGAGCTGAGGTCGCACCACTGCACTCCAGCCTGGGTGACAGAGCAAGACTCTTTTTCAAAAAAAAAAAAAAAAAAAGAAAAGAAAAAACAACTAAAGTTGCTATTTTTATCATGAAATTGCTTTTGTCTTGTGGTGTCAATTAGATCACAATTATGTGAATATATCTATGAACATCTTCCTGGCTTCTAGACTGGTAAATGAACTCAGAAAGTCCTGGTCCTTACCAAAGATGGGTGGTAGTAGCAATTCCTCCAACAATTTACCCCTCATCAGCAACATGTGTCATCCTTTTAGTTAGGCCTCCTTTGCTGCTCCATGTCACAGATTAAAACACAGAGGCAAAAGTCAAAGGTTAAGTAACCTAGCTTGTCTTCAAAAGCCCTGCTGTGAAATGTGGCCTTCCATGGTTCCAGTCTACTCAAGGTGGCTTGGAAGCCATGAAACCTCAATCTTGGCTCTGCCATTAACTAGCTGTGTGATACAGGACAAGTCACTTCACTTCTCTGAGCTTTAGGTCTCAATAGTAAAATAAAAGGCTTGAGCCAGAACCCTGTGACTTGGGGCTCCCTAGATCTTGGGGAAACCTGTACACATCTCAGCGAGCTGACAGATGTCTGCACTGAGATTAACTTTGATCATTGTCGGCCATTTCTACTGACAGTGAAGCCAGCTGAAGTAGTAGAAGCATAAATAGGAGAGGCAGAGATGACCAGTTTTTTTTTTTCTTTTTTTTTTTTGAGACGGAGTCTCACGTCACCCAGGCTGGAGTGTAATGGTGCGATCTCAGCTCACTGCAACCTCTGCCTTCTGGGTTCAAGTGATTCTTCTGCCTCAGCCTCCCGAGTAGCTGGGAGTACAAGCGCCTGCCACCATGCCCAGCTAATTATTTTTTATTTTTAGTAGAGATAGGGTTTCACCATTTTGGCCAGGCTGGTCTTGAACTCCTGACCTCCGGTGATCTGCCCACCTCAGCCAGCCCCTGAAAGTGCTGGGATTATAGGCGTGAACCACCGCACCCGGCCAGAGATGACCAGTTTTCTGATGAATGGTGTCCAAAGGCTAGGCCCAGACCCAAGGCCTGTAGGGAGGCAGTATAGCTGAGATCTGCACAGTCCCTTCGACAAACATACCATGTGTGGGATAGATGAAGGGGCAAAGGAACCTTGAGAACCCTTGGCCAGTGATTAAGAGTATTTACCTGGCATCAGAAAGATCTAGTCTAGGTTCAACTTAAAGCTGTGCTATTTACTCTTTGCGTGACCTTGAGCAAGTCAACCTCTCCCAGCCTCAGTTTCTCCAAGTGTTGTGGTCATAATTAAATGAATTTAAGTACTGATGTACTTAAGACAGTTCCTGAGACAGACTGAGCTCTTAACTGCCATTAATTACTGCTATCGATGTGAATATTCGAGCAGCACCAGCTGATGGGAAGGAGGAGGATCCAGGATTGGGTGGGTGGGTGACAGCAAGCAGGGAACTAACCTGGCTGGCTAGACTGGCCTGGGAAAGGTAACCAGGTGGGCTGAGTAGATAAGGCAAGCTGGGATCTGGTTCAGTTGATTATCAGTATCTTCAGGGAGCAAAGTAAGCAGCTGGAATGACTGTGAGAGAGTGGGGATAGTAGACCAAAGTCAGGAAGGAGTCATGGCTCTTGAGCAATTGACTTAATCCAAGCAGAGCCCCAGCCAGTAGGGACTGAGGAAGGTTGGAGAGGAAAGTATATTGGCAAAGAGGAAGACAGGGTGATTGAATCCCAGCTGACAGGCGGAGTCCAGTCCTAATAAGGGAAACTGAGGCACAAGGGCATCCTAATGAACTAGGTCACTGCAAAGTGGACTGTCCAATAGAGGAAGGAAGGGGAGAAAAGGCTGTGATGAGGTAAACCTTGAACTCTCAGAGCTCTGTTGTAGCCCAGGAGATAATTACCAGCCTGCTAGGCCTGGCAGGGTCGGTGGGGCTGAGCCTTCCGAAGTTCTTTCTAGAGCAGTCATGGTCACCAGTGACTCGAGCCAGTTTACTCCCCTCTTGCACCCAGCCACTCAATCAGAGTGCAAACTGCCCGATGCCAGACCACAGCTCCTAGCAATGTGATAATCTGGTGCCCAGGAATGTGAGAATGGTCAGTGCACAGGAATCTGAGGCAGAGAGGATATATGGTGACCACTCCTCAACAGTGGCAAGAGCCTGTACTTGGAAGAAAAGGATTTTTCTTATCTTCCTAGGACAAACCTGTACTTTGTTACTAGAAGAGAGCTCCTGGGTTTGCCCGAGCTGTCTGCTCAGGTTTTTTTTCTTTTTGGAAACAGTTTCGTTCTTGTTGCCCAGGCTGGAGTGCAATATGGCAAGATCTTGGCTCATCACAACCTCCACCTCCTGGGTTCAAGTGATTCTCCTGCCTCAGCCTCCTGAGTAGCTGGGATTACAGGTGCCTGCCACCACGCCCAGTTAATTTTTTGTATTTTTAGTAGAGATGGGGTTTCACCATGTTGGCCAGGATGGTCTCGATCTCCTGACCTCGTGATCCGCCCCCCTCAGCCTCCCAGAGTGCTGGGATTACAGGTGTGAGCCACTATGCCTGGCCTTGTCTGCTCAGTTTTATAACGATCGCTGAAGCAAAATGAAATGGAAAGGTTGGAGAGTAAGAGTAAATAAAATGACTTGGCCTGCACATTTTGTGGAATTTCCCCAAATAGTTTACCAAATATGAAATGCTTCGGGCTCAAATGGGATTTTTTTGTTTGTTTCTTTCTTTTAATTTAGAAGCAACCCTGAATATTTGACCCCTGGTATAAATTGTGTTACCAGAAGCCTAGAAATTTGTATTTCAAATTTCCTGTCATTTTTTTTTCTTTTTTTACACATTTGTTTGTAGTCATTCACTACTCATTTAAGGAAAAAAAAAATCACTATCTGGGATGGATAGCAGTTTTTCTAAATTTCATAGTAATTTTTTTACCTGTTCATAAGATTTTGATTTACTTTAACATCTCTTTGGGGCATAGTTCAAAATATCTACTGCTCCCTTACAAATCACTACATGATTTTGGCTTCAGCTTTGTTTGAATTTATTGAGCTTTTCTGTTTATGTTGCCTGCAAGCCAACTGTCTACATAAAGCACTCTTCCACTTCAGTTTTGTGCCACAGGACTTCATCTACCCAAGTCTGAAACAAGTTCCCAGAGGAATTAGCTTTATCTCCTTACTAATAAAATTTTTTTTTTTTTTTTTTTTTTTGAGATGGAGTCTTGCTATGTCACCAGGCTGGAGTGCAGTGGTGCGATCTCGGCTCAGTGCAACCTCCACCTCCTGGGTTCAAGCGATTCTCCTGTCTCAGCCTCCTGAGCAGCTGGTATTACAGGCACGCACCACCACTCCCGGCTAATTATTTTTTATTTTAGTAGAGATGGGGTTTCACCATTTTAGCCAGGCTGGTCTCAAACTCCTGACCTCCAGTAATCTGCCCACTTTAGCCTCCCAAAGTGCTGGGATTACAGGCATGAGCCAGCATGCACAGCAAGCAATGACCATTTCTTTTTATTTTTTTTCTAATAGAAAGTTTCAAAGAAATCTCTGGAGCCGGGAATGGTGTTGTGTGCCTGTAGTCCCAGCTACTCAAGAGGCTGAGGTGGGAGAATCACTTGAGCTCAGGAGTTTGAGGTTGCAGCGATTGCACCACTGTACTCCAGCCTGGGTCACAGAGCAAGTCAAAAAAAAAAAAAGTCTCTGGTTTGAAAAATGGAAATGGGAGAAGCTGACTTTCATCTTTATAGATTAAAACCTTTCAGTGCAGGTTATAGACTTTGGGTTTTTGAGGTTTGTTTGTTTTTTTTTTTTTTTTTTTTAGTTGATGGTCATCATCCAATAATTTTAAAAAAACCTGTCATGCTTCTTACAGTATAAACTATATTTATTATATCTTACAGTATAAACTATGTCTGTTTTATTATATCCATATTATTTTCTAACTCCTGGCACAAAAATTTCAATTTAGGCACAAGATCTGAGAAGATGGTTTAGGGACAAAGGGGTAAAGATGATTCCTTTGTGGATTTCATCAAAGCATGTTTCAAAAGTATTGTGCTATTGGGCTGTTATTTATCTGTTTTTGAGGCGGAGTCACTCTGTTGCCCAGGCTGGAGTGCAGGGGCCTGACCTGGGCTCACTGCAGCCTCCACCTCCCAGGTTCAAGCGATTCTCCTGCCTCAGCCTCCCAAGTAGCCGGGATTACAGGCACGCACCACCACATCTGGCTAATTTTTGTATTTTTAGTAGAGACAGGGTTTCACTTTGTTGGCCAGGCTGGTCTCAAACTCTTGACATCAGGTGATCCGCCCGCCTTGGCCTCCCAAAGTGTTGGGATTACAGGCGTAAGCCACTGTGCCTGGCCAGGCTGTTATTTTTGGAAGCATGATAGTTATATAGGCCTAAAGTTGTATGTAAGTAAGTAGAATATGTATTTTAATTTAGCGGTTAACAGATTTAATTTCATTACCTATTAATGGAATGTAGAATGTTCTCAATAGTTATTTTGGCTTCAAGTTGGCTTTCTGCCTTCATGATCTCTGCTAGATTTAACTGGCCTAAAACCAGCTAGAAAAGACTACATTACAGTTCTAATTTATTGGTTTCAAATCCGAGCTTTTATAAAGGTCTATTTTATGGACAAATAATGTCCATCAAAATAAACTATTTAAAGCCTGGTAAACTTTTTTTTTTTGAGATAAGGTCTCATTCTGTCACACAGGCTGGAGTACAAATGCTGCCATCACTGTTCACTGCAGCCTTGACTCCCTGAGCTCAAGCGATCCTCCCACCTCAACGTCCCACGTAGCTAGGACTATAGGTATGCCACCATGCCCAGCTAATTTTTGTATTTTTTGTAGAGACCCAGGTCTCACTATGTTGCCCAGGCTGGTCTTGAACTCCTGGGCTCAAGTGATCCCCCTGCTTAGGCCTCCCAAAGTGCTGGGATTACAGGCCTGAGCCACTGCACCTGACCTAAACATCTTGCTCTCAGCATTTTTATTAGTCTGCCTTTAGACTTCATCATTATAAAGAGATTCCCTTTTGATTTCTGTTAGAAACAGCTTAGTTAGGAAGTAAATATTGGTAGATTCATTCTTGGTTACCAAATTCTATTTGCAGATGATTGAAAAGTAAGAATTTTTATTTTTTTTAGACGAAATCTCGCTCTGTTGCCCAGGCTGGAGTGCAGTGGTGCGATCTTGGCTCACTGCAACCTCTGCCTCCCAGGTTCAAGCCATTCTCCTGCTTCAGCCTCCCAAGTAGCTGGGATTATGGGTGTGTACCACCACACCCAGCTAATTTTTCTATTTTTAGTAGAAACGGGGTTTTGCCATGTTGTCCATGCTGGTCTTGAACTCCTGAGCTCAAAGCGATCCACCCACCTTGGCCTCCCAAAGTGCTGGGACTACAGGCGCAAGCCACCATGCCTGGACTAGAGTTTTTTGTTTTTTGTTTTTTAATTGAAGAGTAGATGTAAATTGTTTGCCTAGACTGTTTAAAAACATGTTTAAAATGGTACTTCCAGACCAATGATGAGAATGTGTCCTGAAACAGGTATTATTACTGATTTAATTCTGTGCTCCTGAAGTTTATTTTAAAAATAGCATATTGTAAAGGAGATAATCCTAGATTGTGTGGGTATAGTGTGTGCATTTCTATATGTACATAGCAGTCATAAAGTAATATTCTGGGCACCACAAATCTAAAAAACGTCCAAGTCATGGAATCATAGTAGAGATGTCAAAGGGAGGGAAAGGGTGAGAAAAGGGTGAACTGAAAAAACCTGATAGTATTATTTCTTCCTGCTCAGGGTTAATAATATAGTAAAAAGAGATTTTTATTACATACAACTAGAAAGGACCAATTAGAGTGTGGAAAGTGTTCCTTTGCATAGTCAAATGATAGGCAGGGGAATATAATTTCACCAGAAATTACTATAGCGAGTTTCAATAAAGGACTGCAGAACAATAAGGCCTTGTTAATCCCATACTGGTCTGTTCAAATAGTGTGTAATTCAAAGCAATTGCTGCTCCCTAGGCAGGAATTTACAATTGCTACATGTGAAGGGAGGATAATGTGTCATTCCAAGGGGAAATCAGGTTCTGGAAAGGGCCTCCTGGCTGCAGAACTGTATGTGTCCCCAAACAGCTCCACAGCAGGCCAAGTTAAACAAAATAAGTAGAGAACCACCCTGTGAAATGAGTCTGCTTCGAATTGATCTGTATTTGCCTTGCTCTCTCCTGCCTTTTTGGTGGATGACAAAATGTCCCCAAACCAAGGATCAAGAGGGGAAGGCAGAGAAACTCAGACCTGAATAAGCTATCACTTAGAAATTGACTGCCTCCACCAGTGCACGGTGGCTCACGCCTGTAATCCCAGCACTTTGGGAGGCCAATGCAGGCAGATCACTTGAGCTCAGGAGGTAGAGACAGCCTGGGCAACATGGTGAAACCCCATTTCTAAAAAAAATGCAAAAATTAGCTGGGCCTGCTGGCACATGTCTGTAGTCCCAACTACTTGAGGAGTGCTGAGACAGGAGAATTGTTTGAGCCCAGGAGGTTGAGGCTGCAGTGAGCCATGTTCATACCACTGCACTTCAGCCTGAGTGACAAAGTGAGACCCTGTCTTAAAAAAAAAAAAAAAAAAAAAGGCAAGAAAAAGAAAAAGACAGAAAAAAGAAAGTGACTCCTCCCACCCTACTCCCCTACTTGGCAAGGGCATACAACTTCATTCAAGTGAACTGCAGCCTACATGTACGGACTGTATGTATATTTAATTGATAATAGTGATGCATACAGAGCACCATCCCTGGGCATAGAAACACTGGACAAGAGTCAAACATGAGTCAACTGTAAGAGGAGGCTTGAATCGTAATACATTTTGAACAATTATGGTCAATAATCCTTCAGAGAACAACCCTTCAGTTCTACGTTGTCATTTTTGTGGAATTAAATGTGAACAGCTTAAAATTCCATACTGTTTTAAAACTCAGCTTTGAATTCCAATGACTGACTAATCCATGCTCCCAGGGACACCAAGCTATGTCAGTCCTCCAACAACATATTGTGAGGCCACGCTGAGCTGCTAATTCCTGTGGACTAGCTAATTAGGTAAAAAATTAAATTAAAAACGAAAAGCCCAGGCATGGTGGCTCATGCCTGTAATCCTAGCAGTTTGGGAGGCTTAGGCAGGAGGATTGCTTGAGCCTAGGAGTTTGAGACCAGCCTGAGCAACAAAGTGAGCCCCTGTCTATACAAAAAAATAAAAAATTTAAAAAAAAATTAGCATGGTGGCACACACCTGTGGTCTGAGCTACATGGGAGGCTGAGGCAGGAGTATTGCCTGAGCCTAGGAATTGAGGCTGCAGTGAGCTGTGTTTGTGCCACTGCACTCCAGCCTGGACAACAGAGGAGAGGAGAGGAGGAGAGGGGAGGGGAGGGGAGAGGAGGGGAGAAGAGGGGAGGGGAGGGGAGAGGAGAGGGGAGGGGAGGGGAGGGGAGAAGAGGGGAGGGGAGGGGAGAGGAGAGGAGAGGGAAAACTCTAGAGGTAAAATCATTATGCAGAACCCACTGGTGTGCTGTTTTTGACACGAGGACTGCCTATTAGGTGCTCAGGAAATAAATAAGAATCTTAGATGAGACATCCCAGCAGATTAGGATCCAAAAGATCTGTCTGGAATTCTGAGATGCCATAACACGTAGTAACATGCACACAGCATTAAAAGGCTGTTGTGGCAGAGGCATTTATTGTATTGCTCACCAAATATCCATAGGCTTCCCCATCTGTCCCAGTCCATCTGTAGTTTGTTCTGTCCAACCACTGAGACAGAGGTGATATGTGTCCCTTCCAGGCTGAAGTATAGGACACATGTGAATTCTCTATGCATTCTCTCCCTCTACGGCCAAGATGGTGATGGCCCAAGGCTCCAGTAATATAGCTGCAAGTGCCAGAGCCTCTATCAACCAGGGTGCTTAAGCAGAATTCCCATCTCCACTTCCCATTCCACCACCAACCTGTATGTGTCATTTAATGAAAACACGAAATAAACTTTTACTGTGTTAAGCCAAGACTCCAGAGCTAATTTGTTACTGCAGCACTGTCTATGCTAGTACAGCTGATTTTCTAGATCTTTTTGTAAAAAGGGAAACTCCATCTGGAGAAAGGATGATGACCAATCCAAGTCACACAGCCCTTAAATGAGCCACCAGGTTACCTTTGCATCACGTGTCCCAAATGTGTTTCCACTCCCTCAGTTGTCGCTGTTCCTTCAGGGAGTGGTGATGTGGGGAAAAGCCCTGGTTGGTTGGGGGTTGGTATCTGACAGTCCCTTTCTGATTTCTCTTTATTCACCAACCTCCTCTTGGGATTTCAGGCTTGCTAAACATATGGTACAAATCAGTAAAATTATTCATTGTGGTTTTCATTTGAGTGAGCCAGTTTCCGCTCCTAAGAAATGTCTTAACAAAACAGGAAGTTTTTCTTGGATCTAGAAATGGAACTTTGCCTTCTGACATTAGCTTTTACCAACTTCTACAAATCTCTGTTTTCCTACTTCCCTGTCAGAGGGTGGGGCACATAGAAGAGAAAATCTGGATTCATGTAGTAGAGTTAGGGCTGACTGAGTTGGGGAGTGGGTGGAGTGTAAAATGGCAGCTTGACCAGGCTGGGCCATAGCCACTCATCTGACCACTTTATCTCTCACCTCTTCCCCCACTTTGGCCTTGGGAAGGAGGCATCAAGGAGAGTGTGAAGGACCAAGGAATGCTAGGGATAGTTGGTGGCCACTTCTCGACAGTAACCCTTTACCTAATGTATCCCAGCTGATATTTCTCAAAACATGTTGCTATGCCTCACTCATTAGGTTCCACTCCATGGGGACAGGGAGCATGTGTGTCTTGTTCTCAATACCTGACACATAGTGGGCATTCAAGAGTACTTGAAGGAATACAGGGAGGAATAATTGATTTTCATAACTATCTTAGGGATTAGAAAAATCAAATGTAGGCCGGGCGCGGTGGCTCACGCCTGTAATCCCAGCACTTTGGGAGGCCGAGGCGGGCGGATCACGAGGTCAGGAGATCGAGACCATCCTGGCTAACAAGGTGAAACCCCGTCTCTACTAAAAATACAAAAAATTAGCCGGGCGTGGTAGCGGGCGCCTGTAGTCCCAGCTACTCGGGAGGCTGAGGCAGGAGAATGGCGTGAACCCGGGAGGCGGAGCTTGCAGTGAGCCGAGATCGCGCCACTGCACTCCAGCCTGGGCGACAGAGCGAGACTCCGTCTCAAAAAAAAAAAAAAAAAAAAAAAAAAAAAAAAAAAAAAAAGAAAAATCAAATGTAACTAATTTCCATTTTACAGATGGAGAAATGGAAACATTAAGGTTTTAAGTTGTTTGGGAGGCCGAGGCAGGCGGATCACAAGGTCAGGAGATCAAGACTATCCTGGCCAACATGGTGAAACCCCCGTCTCTACTACAAATACAAAAAAATTAGCCAGGAATGGCAGCGTGCACCTCTAGTCCCAGCTACTCGGGAGGCTGAGGCAGGAGAATTGCTTGAATCCAGGAGGCGGAGGTTGCAGTGAGCTGAGATTGAGCCACTGTACTCCAGCCTAGTGACAGAGCGAGACTCCGTCTCAAAAAAAAAAAAAAAAGATTTTGTGGGGGCCAGTTGCAGTGGCTCATACCTGTAATCCCAACACTTTGGGAGGCTGAGGCGAGTAGATCACTTGAGGTCAGGAGTTCGAGACCAGCCTGGCCAACATGGTGAAACCTTGTCTCTACCAAAAATACAAAAAAAAAATTAGCCGGGAGTGGTGGTGGATGCCTGTAATCCCAGCAACTCAGGAGGCTGAGGCAGAATTGCTTGAACCTTGGAGGCAGAGGTTGCAGTGAACCGAGATCGCGCCACTGCACTCCAGCCTGGGTGATAGAGTGAGACTCTGTCTTAAAAAAAGAAAAAAGATTTTCTTAGGTTACTGATTCAGGGTGACACAGGGTCAGTTGGTCAGTGAAGAGGTAGAAGTGAAATCCAATTCTCCCAATTTCTATTTTCTTTCAATTGTATGACAGGTTAGGTTTAAAGTCCTCTCCCCACCTGACATACACAATAGTACTGGCCATTTATCATCACGATGGTGGTGATTGACATTATATAATGTAAATCGGCACCATGAGATTGTATGTTATATATGTCTACATTTGTTTCAGGAAAGTCTATCAGGAAAGACATCAAAATCCTACCATTATTATCACTGGGTATAGAGTCTCATGATGTTAATTCTTAAGTTCTTACTGATTTGTATTTTGTTTTCCCCTCAAGAATAAACATGTACTACCTGTGCTACCCAAAAAAATAGAGGGTGCAAAACAGCCTCTAGTTTTTTTTTTTCTTTTTTTGAGACAGGGTCTTGCTGTGTCACCCAGGCTGGAGTGCAGTGGCACAATCTCAGCTCACTGCAACCTCCGCCTCCCAGGTTAAAGCAATTCTCCTGAGTAGCTGGGATTACAGGTGCCCACCACCACGTCCAGCTAGTTTTTGTGTTTTTAGTAGAGACGGGTGTGGGCCACCGCACCTGGACAAGCCTCTAGTTTTCAACATGTTCTTTACATAGGGAATTAAATAGGCTTTTCGCCCAGCAGTTTGAATATTAATCAGGTATGTTTGGAGGGGTAAGCCACAGGAAGGGAATCCTGGCAGAAAGTGCTAGTTTATCTTCCAATCTGTACTTTTCTTCTTATATAATGGAATTTTTAGCTGAATACAGAGTCATCCAGTTTCCAAGCCTCCCTTGCAGCCAGATATGGTCATAGATGGGAGTAAAAGTGATGTATGCAACATCCAGATTCTTTTTTTTTTTTTTTTTTGAGACATGGTCTCACTTTGTCACCCAGGCTGGAGTGCGGTGACAAGAACATGGCTCACTGCAGCCTCAGTCTCCTAGGCTCAAGCAATTCTACTGCCTTAGCCCCCCATGTAGCTGGGACTACAGGCGCACACCACCACACCTGGGTTATTTTTGTAGAGACAGGGTTTCACCCTGTTGCCCAGGCTGGTCTCAAACTCCTGAACTCAAGCGATCTGCCCACCTCAGCCTCCCAAAGTGCTGGGATTATAGGCATGAACCACCGTGCCTGGCCCAGATTGTTATCCTTAAAAGTGAGGACAGTGTCTTCATTTTCTCCCTTTCTGCTGGAACACAGATGTGAGGGTGGGAGCTGGAGCAGCTATCTTAAACAGTGAAATAGAAGCCATGTATTGAGGGTGGCAGCACCAAGAGAAGGAAAGCAGGCCCCTGACATTACTGAACTGCTACTCAATTTTGGCATCTGTTTGTTACAGTTGTCCAACCCCTATCCTAAGTAATACCAGATCTAAACATTTAGCACAACAGTGCTCTGACTTCCTCATCTGAAAACAAATGTGTTCTTTGGAAAGAATGTACAATTGCATTAGCCAAGCTTTCTTTTGTTTATGGGCACAAGGACCCAATTCTACCTCAGTGATGAAGAATGAGTCCTTAATCCAGGGCATGTTATATAATATGGATGGTAAGGAAACTGCAGAAATTCACTTGGTATTTTCAGCAGATCATGAATGCTTGGGCACTTGGTTTCTGGCTCTTTCTGCCCGATTCTAACCACCCCCTCCTCCTACAGACACAATTCAGAATTTGTGCATGTGGTGCAGAGTTTTGTGTAGGAGGGCTGCCTAAATGAGCCTTCTTGCCATCTGGCTTCTTGGGCAGTGTGGAGAACTCAAGGCCACATCTGCCACTTAGTGCAAATTCAAATGTATTGAGAGTTATAATGGCTCACGTATTAACACACAGAATAAGTTGACTGAAGATAAACCGTAGAGCAGAAACTTCTTTTTTTAAAAGCAGCTTTAAACAACATTTATTATCTCACAATTTCTTTGGGTCAGGAATCTCGGGTACAGCTTAGCTAGGTGCCTTTAATTTAGGTTCTCTCACAAGGCTGTAATCAAGGTGTTGGGCTTCCACCTTTTCATCTGAAGGCTCTCCTGGAGGCAAATTTACTTCCATACCCATTCATGTGGCTATGGGAAGGTCTCAGGTCTTCTAGCAAGCAGTAACTTTTTTTTTCTTTCTTTTTTTAAAGGCAGGGTCTTGCTCTGGGCCTGGAGTGCAGTGGCACAATCTTGGTTCACTGCAACCTCTGCCTCCTGGGATCAAGCAGTCCTCCTGCCTCAGCCTCCCCAGTAGCTGGGACTATAGGTGCCTGTCACTATGCCTGGCTTCTTTGTATTTTTTGTAGAGATGGGATTATAGGTGTTAGCCCCTGTGCCTGGCCAGCAGCAACTTCTTAATAGAAATTTTGAACTTTCTGGATTCTTAGGAACACAAAATATACTTACCTTTTGAGTTGAGGTTGGTCACTGCCAGAGGTTTCAGCCAGTGATTCTGGTCTGTGACCTTCTTGGGTTATGCTGAGCGTCCTTTATACTATATAGACAGAATGTCACAATTTATACCGGAGTTGGTCTCAAGCCCTCTTAACCCAAGTACTTAGCAGCTCTCCTCTATTCATGAAAGTTTGCAACCCATCAAGACTACTTAAAGATTAAAATAATACCTGATTGAATCCTGGATTATATTTCAAAGTTTTGTCTGAGAATTCCCTCACAACTTCTGAGGTCATTCTCTGATACCATGGTCAAGGTACGTGATATTACTTCTTTTTCCCATTTTTCAAATGAAGAATCTGAAAAATTACACAGCAGCATCAGGATTTTTTTTTTTTTCCTAAACTACTTGATAATGTGAGTCTAAGGATTTAAACGTTCCTGTCTGAAGCCAAAGCCTATTTTGTTTCCAGGCCTCAGTAAACAGAGTTGGTCCAGAGGCTGGAAAAGTCATTTGACAGCATTCCAGCCCTGTCAGCATCTTCACTGAGTAGCTTTGTTATTTGCTATAAACAGTTGTAAATTTCCAGAACTGCAGGCACACCCATATTAAAGTGTTCATTACTAAAATGCCTCATAATGCCAAATGCAAATCAACAAGTGAATTAAAGTCCCAGTGGAATTCTGTCCCTGGATCCCCTCCACTAGCACAGATAATTGAGAACTGACAAAATTTAACTTTTCTTAAATAATATTTAGTCAGATATCTCAAATCTGACCCCTTCTATCATTTAATGGAACTTCTCAATTGTGGAGGAAGAATGGTTGATGCTATGCTTTAAGCTGCTTTTAAAATGTGAAACCTATTTTGTTAACGGAGAAACGACACTTTTTTAAAAATAACAGGACTTCTCTAGGCCCCCAAGTTTTGCTGAAACTCAGGGAACACATATGGACAACTCTCTAGTTGTTGTTCTTCCTATAAATCCCAGAAACCATAGCTTCTGATTTAATGCCCCACCGGAACTGCAGACCTTAAAAAACAAAAATCCCACTGGGATGAAAGAGGCTCATTTGTTTTGAAGTTGTGGCCCTTCCACCCCCTGGGTGGCTCCTCCCCCATGTCTGTGTCTGTGGCTTTGATTTATAATCTTCCACCCCCACAAGCCTTGGCATTTACTGGGATCCTACAAAGAGGTTAAGGTGTAAAGCAGGAAGAAGCTTTTAAGGACAAGAGGGAGTTGGGGGTAGGGGCTGGGGTATGAAAAGAGAGTTAAGGAGAGGAAAAGCAATTATAAGAGACCACATGCGTAGCATAAATGAATGAGCACACGGGCAGGGAAGGCCCTGGCTGATTGAAGAACTGCTGAATGTGGTTTTGCCCGCCAAGGCAGTGCCTGTGGTTCTGTGATACAGCTTCCAGTGGGAGAGCTCCTTGCCCAATGCACTGTAATGAGGATAGCCAGTATGTGAACCCCCCTCCTGCTTTGTCAAGGTTTTTTATATGCTTGCACAGCTAGCTCTGTGTTCCCAGCTGTAAGGCCTGGGATTTGCAGTTTATCCCCTGGGGGGTAAATAATAGGAGCTGCAATCTTCTGCCAGAAAAGAACTTGCTTCACCAGCTTGGACACTCAGTTGATGATGAACGCAAAAGATTTTCTGGAAAATAAAATGAGATACCCCATGGGCCAACCTTTGAAAACTGTGAGGTGCCAAGTAAATGTGAGTCATCGCAGTTCTAATAATTATCAGGGCTAGGTAGGTGGGTTTTCTTGAAAAGGATGAAGCCTCAGAACTTATGGCTTAGTGCCTAAAGGGAGCTTCATGATTTTCCTTGCAGGAATTTCTGGAGACAGACAACTCAAAATTTTCCCTTTGGAGTTTCTGATGCAGTGTTGAATCCACAGATTCTAGAGGCAGACTTGGGTTGGAAGTCTGGCTCTGCCATTTATCTGTGTGAACTAGGGCAATTCTCCCCTCTGGAAAATGGGAATACTCTATTACTGGATGTGGTTGTGAAAGAAGTAGTGGATGTAAAATGCTTAGCATAATGTATAAGCATTAATAGAGGCACAATGCATGGTTACCTGTATCATGTACCTTTCATGAGAAAATTGGTCTGGTTTAGCACTGAGGCAATGGAAGGGAAGGAGAGACAACACTGTGACATGTCTAATATAAAGCACACAAGAAAAATAAGCAATGGGGACATTTATTATATACAGGCCCAACCAAAGATTCCAGGGACTCAGGGTGAGAAGCACCCAATGCTTTCCTCAAGCAACTGGGTTCTTGGAGAGCCCAAGAAGTACTGGTATTAAGTACCAAAGTCTATGTCTGTCAGTGCAGGAAAAGAACTATAGATGGTCATGTAGACTATGTGGAGAGAAGGTATCTCTTGGAATGTGTCTGAGGAAGTAAATTTTAGCTGTATAGCCTATGCAATGCTGAAAATGGGTGAGAATGGATGACGGCAGGATTCTAGAACCTACTATTGTCGTTGTCAGTAATGAGTCACAAAAGTCACATAGCGAACATATGAAACACACAGTATAATTATGCTGCTCATTTGCACACGGGTAACACAAATCTTGTCCACAGCCTGTTCCGAAGCTACAATCCAAAAAATGGCATTTGGCTTCTGCCTCAAATAACAGAAAGTTGAATCCAAATACAAATTTTTATACTAATTATTATTTTCTGTCATTCTTCATCTTGTTTGCTAACCATTTAGCTTGAATATTAACACAAATATTTGTTGACAGTGTGCAATTATATGCACTGTGAAGGATGCAAAGGAATTTAACATGTTCCCAGACTTCAGAATTGGCATCAATTGACTCAAAAGGGAACCAAAGATGAGTATCAAACCCAGGCCTTCATTCTTTATTTTTTGGTTCCTCTTTAACATTTTCCACTTTCCTACTAGCAGATTCTGACATCTGAGTCAAGATTACTTGTCTTTAATCATGTTAGTACTGACTCGATCTATTTATATGTTAGAGTAGCTAGCACTAATCGAGCTTCTACTATGTGCCAGGCATTCATGTCACAAGCATAGACCATTCAGTTAGTTCTCAGGACCCTATCTAGTATTTATTATCGTCCTCATTTTACAAATGAGAAAATTGAAGCCTAGAGATTAAAGAACTACTGTGAGGTCACAGCCTAATGTCTCATGGCTAGGAAACATGTAGGTGCAAAGAGGGGAGGTGGACTGAGATTTACATTTTTTCTAGCTGTTTGGAGTATTATCAGTTATAAGATAATGCACTAGAGGGCGCTAAATACACAAGCTTTAGCTGTTTCCATAATGCAGTTCCCACAGTAGTGAAAGATATATAATTGGTAATGGATGCAAGCCAAAAAGGCCCTCCCCAAAAAAGATGCAATTTATGATAACTGAGAAGCTGTATTTCTGTCCCCTCAATTAAGAAAAACCCTCATTTTATATTGAGCAATATTTATATTTTGTCTCTAATTTGATATTGATTGCTATTCAAAGTTCCTTTCAGTTAGAAGTTTAATTTTTCCTTGTTCTGCCTGCTGAATGACAAAGGGAAAGGGTAGAGTAACCTGGATGAAAATAAATTTTTAAAAATTGCACTGAGATACATTGCATCTTTTAAATTTTATTTAGCAAAGTTAAACATACATATATTTTAAAAGAGAAAAAGAGGAACTCACCCAACCCTCATATCCAAGAGCTTAAAATCACAGGAACTCAAGACCCATCCTCAACTTCAAATGCCAGTCATTATTTTAGAGGTAACTCAGATTTCTAAGTAATGCTTCTGTTTCTCGATTTATCAAATAGACATTATTTATTTTGTTTTCCTACATGAGAATTGAGTAGTTAACAGAATACCCATCTCTTATCAGTAACAAAGATTTACAAAATAACTTTTGTTTTTCATAATTACAAAAGCAATACATTATTATTGAAGAACATGTTTTAAAAAAAGACAAAAAGTAACAAAACTCTCCATTATCCCAACAGGCAGAGGAAGTTATTACCATTTTAATGCATATCCTTAACACATACATGTAAAAGATACATATACACATAAAAATATAAATGTTTAACAGAAATTACTTTGTACACAATATTTGATTAAACTATGATCTGTCTTCTTTCATTTTCGTTTTATTGTAGTAAAATTTACATAAAATGCATAAATCTTAAATCTATACATTTTTACATTACATAGAAATGTGTAATTATATACTCCATGCTCCCTCCCAATCAGTGCTGCCTCAAAACGAACTGCTCTTCTAATTTTAGAGCTTAACTCTTCTCGTCTCTATCACCACAGATTAGTTGTATTTTTAAGCTTCATGTAAAATTTTCCATGTCAACTTTGAAAACATGACAGTTAAAAGTTCTAAGGAATCTCCAGTTCTCCAACTGGTGTGGGAATCAGATAACTTGACTCCAGTGTGAATTGTGGTTACTGATGGTATCACTGAGTCTGTTATGGGCCACCCAGTCTTAAGGGCCAAGAATTTATGGCCCTGCAGGGATTGCAGAAAGAAACCAAACCGAAGTTCATAACTCAGCCTAAAAGGAGAAAGTTCTATTACTCAGTATCTCAAGACTAAGTGGATCATAAATGGTGTCACAAGTTTGCAGTTTTTTTTTCCTGTGGAAGATAATAATCTTTTGTATGTTTAATTCGTTATCATTGCCTTATAAATTATCACAAGCAGCACAGATAACTACTGGAGTCATCAGTGCAACTTAAAACAACAAAACTAGCATTTCTCACTTGCTGTTTTTCAGACACCTCCCATCATCTGCACCTGGTCCCCAAACCAGCTGTCCATGAGCAATGACAAAGAACTAAAGCGGGGATGGGGGAGAGGGGGTGTAGGGCCCAAGAGCTGGGGAGCATTATGGCTTGCTGTCAGCTGGCAGTCTAAGATGTACTTGGGAAGATGTTTCATACCCATTTTCCCTGTGAAATTAAAAATGTGATGCTACCAAACCTTTGCTTGTCCACCACCCTTAAAAGAATACTCATTCAGTACAAAGCCCTGCAAAAAGGAGTGAGCCAATTTGAATAAAAGCGGAAACTTCGTAGGAATTAGGAGCCTGAAAGGCTGCGTGAGAGATCGCAAACATATTGAGGCGTTCTTGAAACACCTGCTCTCTGATTACAGGTGGGAAAAGGCCATTCCTATGCCTTCTCCCATGGGCACGGCGAATCAAAGGCACTTTCCATATTTAATACGACTAATACGTCATTGGGCAAAGAGATACTCAATACATCCCCATAGCTTTTCCTTACTTTTACTTAACCTTTATGTCGGACGCTTTATGCCTAGTACTGTTCTAAGCGCTTTGCATGCATCATCTCATCAACCTAATATTTAATAAGAGGCTCGGATAGATTAACTTTTAAAATCTGGATACAGCTGGTTAAGGTGGCAGAAGAGTTGGAATTCAAATAAAAGCCAGTCCTATAGCAGGGCCATTATTGCTCCTGCCTCCCCTAGCTTGATCACGAAAAATGAGTAGTTCTTTCCTCTGGGCACACAGGACAATGAACAGGCGGGCTGCTGCCAGAATTTACCGAAGATGGCCGCTGTGCTGGGCTCGGAGTGAGCTGACGGTGTCTCAGCGAGAAAAGTCGGGAGCGGCAGCAGACTGCTTTTTTGGAGGGCAAGAGGGGAGAAAAGGGTTCAACGGAAAACGGGGGTAACATAAGAGCCCGAATAAGGGAAAAGGAAACCCCTGACTCCCCTAGCCACAGAAAGCGCTGGGCGGAAATGAACCGGCCTAGGACGCGCCCTGCGTGGAGGCAGGCCCGCGCGGCGGAAGTGCGTTTCTGGGGCTCCTCCTGAAGAATGCGGAGGAGGAACTGAGCTGGCGCGCGGGCCAGCTGTCCTCTCTTCTGATCCCGAAGACAGGATCGGATTATGGGTTGTTACCGGCTTGTGCGGCCCTGGGGGTTGCCGGTTCCTGGAGACGAGCTGCACCCCTGCAGTTTACTGGGCTCTTCTGTGACCCGCTTTCCGACCCCGCCTGGGGTATTCAGACCGGGGCAGACAAGGCCCTTCTGCCCCTCCTAGCGGCCGCCTCTCCTAGGCTGGAGGGCGGCGCCCCATATGACACAGAAGGCGGCTAGGGATACGCCCTGTACCATGCCGGCCAGTCTGGATTGCCCTAACGCCAGGCCCCGACTCGCTCTGGCCAGCGGGCATGCGGCGAGTTTGCCCCCGCAGCGCAGCCGCCCACAACTCGGTCTTCCAGAGGAGCGAACGTTCGGACTGCTTGGTAGTTTACTAGGGCAAAGTACCACCCCACCCCGAGCGAGCAAGCGGACCTCAGGAAAGGGGCTCCTTCTGTGTAAAGTGATCGGCAGGCCTTGCAGTGGATCTTCGGTGTCCATAGTTATATACCAATCACTATTTTGTCTACATCATTTGGACTGTGCAGAATGAGATGCCAATAATATATCACATACAGTAAAAGGGCTATTTTCACAAAAGGTCAAAACTGGGATATATAACCTCTTTCTTTTGATTAGTCAGACTGACTTCAAAGGGGGCTTAGGGTTGCTTATTAAAGAAAAATGCCTCCCCGTGGGTTTTCATTTGAGCCACTTATAAGTGGGCTAGTTTCTCCAACACCAATTGAGCTGGAAACTAGAGTAATTAGAACACAACATATTCCCGACCTGAACAGGATACTGAAATAAGTTAAAAGCCTCATTACTTACCAGCCTTCTCTCAGAACCCTAACACCCCTTGCAAGGGATTTCTAACTAGGAGTCGGTAGATAAAATTTAGAATGTGTGAGCATTATGTAATACACATGTAAAACATTCTGAGATGGGATCCACGGGCTTTTGGGGGCTGTCAAAAGGCCCACGGCACAAAAATAGTTAATCTGTATACTTGAGGGAAGAGAGAACCATCACTGGAAGTATTAAGCTCTAAGCTCATTCAGGCTTATTTTCTGGGAACTTGTAAACAAAATGAAGTTTATGGTCCTAGCCAGACTACTCCAGATACCATACTGAGACGTTACCCTTTCCTATTTTCCACTCTCTACTGGCGATCAGATGGTTGGTTCTTAGTTGTAAATACTTTGGTTTCATAAAACCATCATTAGAAAATGGAGACTTTTCATCAATCACGTCTTAATCTATACTTTGGGGGTGTTTAAAAGACATATTCCTTATGTACAAATAACCTGGTTTTTCCATTTCTCAAAAGATTCTCCTTTCCAGCTATGACCAGGGTTCACAGGATACTAATGTAATTTAATAGCCCATCAACAGTCATTTGAGAGTACCATGTTTGTTTATACTGAACCCACCATGCAGATAATTAACTACTTAGAAATTTTGATGACTGCTAATCCTTTTCTCATTTTTAACTCATTGGCCAAGTGAATTCTCCCTGGCCCAAATTCTCCAACCTGCAACAATTAAACATCTTCATATATTCATATATATATAGTTACCTTTAATCATGTAATTCAACAGGAATAGAGAGGACGGGGACTATGAAATCTCAGCTGTGATGCAATTATGTCTGCAGCTCAAAATAGATGTTCTTTTCTCCCTCTCTTTTCCTGCTAGGATTGCACTGTAAATTCATAGCTCTTGAAAAATCATTGCTCAAATATGCCCCCCTCTTTACCACCATTCATGTTATCCCCTATAATATCTGCATTCCTAAAAGGCTTGTTAAAATACAAATCTGCTTCATAAAACATTCCATAAATGAACCTAATATTACACCATTTTAAAAAGGTGGGAACATTGTCTTCACTGCAATTTCAGTATCTCAAAAAAATCTTTTTATTACAGTTACCTTTTCAAAATGTAGCACTGATTTGATGTTGACTTCGTACATTTGTCCAGAATCTACAGTAATTCTGATGCAGGTTGACTCAGTGTCCATATTTTAAGAACCACTAGTTTAATGATGATTCCACTGGTTGGAATCATCTCTTTGGCTGGTCCCAGGATACCCTGAAGGCAGTAGGTTGTGCAGAATCAGATGGAACACACTTATGGAGGCATGAGAGTCACCAAGTGAACCTTTTGTGCAAAAGTGCAAATTTGATTTGGAATTCTCAAAGTCCTATTTATTACAGAAACAAAGGAACCCAGTCAAATGAAATGTGCTGGATAGAAAATTGTGGTCTTTCCATAGAAAAACCTGTTTCACCAGTGCTTTGTTATTCGAATATTTAAGGTATTCATATTTCAAGTTTATTAAACCAGTTTAAATGCTCCTCCACCTACTTATGATTAAAACTTTCAACTCTTTATTACCTTGGTTAATGTTGACTAAGGACCTCCATGTTGAGGGAAAGTGCTGGGGTTAAGCAAATTGAACCTTTGTAGGCCCAGACAGGACCTTAATCAAGATATAAGAGGCCAGGTGTGGTGGCTCACACCCATAATCCCAGTTTTGGGTGGCCGAGGTGGAAGAATCGCTGCAGCCCAGGGATGCTGAGGCTGCAATGAGCCTTGATCATGCCACTGCACTCCAGCCTGAGCAACAAAGCCAGACCCTGTCTTAAAAGAAAAAACAAAGACCCTGAACTGCAGTCACACTTTCCTAAATACCTAGTAAAATTAGCTGGTTAAATCTAGTAAGACGTTCCCCAAAGATTTACGGCAGATGCTGTTTTATATATATTGCTGTGTCCCTCTGTGACAGGAAGTTACAGGGTTCTTTTTACCAGTAGTCCTGTACCCGGGGCCTTGCAAATCAGTGTCATATGGTAGAGAACAGAATCTGATCACATTTCCTACTTCCTAAGCAAGTACCAGAATATACTTACTAAGCTTGTATACTGCCCTCAACTGCTATATATTTTTTTCTTTTTTTTTTTTTTTTGGTGATAGTAGGGTCAAATGCTAAATTGTTCTGCATAAGAAATAAGAATTACAAAGACTGGGCAGCTGAGAAGAAACAATACTGCATACTTAAATTGTTAAGGTAGGTCTTGTGGTTTTTTTTTTTTTTTTTTAAATCACACACCCAAAAAGCTTAGGTGATAACTGCAAAGGATTTTTTTTGGGGGGCGGTGGAGGAGAAAAAAGGGGAGGAGTATTTTTGCAATTTAAACATCCTCTGTAATTTTTCCCGTAAAATCATTCGTAAAATAAACATTACTCATTAGTGCCTTATGAAGTTCTCCTTTTGGGGAATGTGATTAAACATATGGCCTTTATTTTATTTTTTTGAGATGGAGTCTCGCTCTTGCCCAGGCTGGAGTGCAGTGGCGCGATCTTGGCTCACTGCAAGGTCTGCCTCCCGGGTTCAGATCCTTCTCCTGCCTCAGCCTCCCAAAGGAGCTGGAACTACAGGCGCCTGCAACCACGCCCGGCTAATTTTTTTTTTTTGTATTTTTAGTAGAGACAGGGTTTCACCGTGTTAGCCAGGACGGTCTCGATCTCCTGACCTCGCGATCCGCCCGCTTTGGACTCCTGAAGTGTTGGGATTACAGGCATGAGCCACCACGCCTGGCCACGGCCTTTATTTTAAAATTTGGCATAGGAGTCAAAAGCTGCCCAAGGAGGGCAGCTACCTATGGGGTGTGCATACATTCATGACCAATATTTAAGTCCAATATAGCTTTGATAATTGTTCTATAAAATGTTTACACCTCACTGAAGAATCTGTCGTTTTAAAAGAAAATCTTTACATTTATTGTATCCAATTAACTTTGTTAGTAATCTGCCAAGTAAAACAAGTATTCATAGTAATTAGTGACTCTATTGCATTAGAACTGTAACTTAGTGCCATTTTTGAAGACTGTTTTCCCAACAAGGAGGCATTATCATTTATCCAATTACTTTATTCTCTTTGAATAGCAAGCATGATGTAGGCCTCAGCTCACAATTTACTTACCTGATTAGCTTCCATTTCTCTTTAAGGATATTGACTATGTGACACTTCTAAGAAGGCTGACTAGTACGTAAGATTATGTAAAAATCCTACCAGAGTATGTACTAAAATAAAGTTAACATGTCTATTTTCTAGTTGCTTGTGATTTATCTTAATTTTCTTCCTATGTCACTAAGATATGGGTAAAGAGCCCTAAACTCCAAACATTTTTACATGTTAATATAAATTTAATGGTGGCATATTATTCCATCTACTGGCTGGGACATGGTATATATAATTATTTGCCTATTAATCGGTTCTGAATATTTGTATTCTGACTCTTGGCTAAGCTGGCTTCTGTCTTTTCTAACTACTGACTGAACTGAACCCTTTGATGACCAGCAAGGTCTCTGACTTCCAAGTGCAATTTGAGCACTATTTATTTTTAGAAGTTTTAAGTCCAAACTATTTCCTTTAATTGCTCTTGTCCAGAATACACAAGCTTTTTCTATATAGGGCCACATAAGAAATATTTTAGGCTTTGCAAGCCAATCTCCCTCACATATTCCTTTCCTTTCCCCCATTAACAACTCTTTAAAACAAACAAACAAACAAACAACAAAACCTGAAACTGGAAGTTTTAAGTTTACTGCCACATGGGTACAATCATATACTTAGGTCGATAACTTTATAGTTTTAAATGTAACATCTCACATTTCAAGCATCTCCTAAAACTTGCCATTGTAATTCTAGTTGCTAACATAATGGACATCATTATTTTTATGAAAATATTCCTATAGAATTAAAAATAACACTTGAAAAAAATTAAGATTGTTTTTCAAATAGCTTACTTGGTTAAAGTCTACTTATGGAGCAAGCTACAAGTCCATATAATCTTTGCTGTTTGCCACCTACCTAACCAATTCCTCATTTTACTCATGTTTTGTTAGACAGAATCAACTTAGGATATTGTCTTCCGTCCTAGGGACCCAGAGGAAAAGAGATGACCAAAGATGCAATAAACTGCCCCAATATACTGTGTCTATTTAAACAGAAATCAATCAGCTGTTAGGCAAGCCAATGGGTGCATAAGTAGGGAGAGGGGTCAGCCAACACTGGACACCTTAGAGCAGTGGTTCCCAACCTTTTTGGCACCAGGGACCCGTTTTGTGGAGGACAATTTTTCAATGGACAGGGCAAGGGGATGGTTTTGGCATGAAACTCTTCCACCTCAGATTATCAGGCATTAGTTAGATTCTCATAAGGAGAGCACAACCTAGATCCCTCACACGTGCACTTCACAATTGGGTTCTCACACCTATGAGAATCTAATGCGGCCACTGATCTGACAGGAGGCTGAGCTCAGCTATGATGTTCACTGGCCCATCACTCACCTCCTGCAGGTGCGGCCGATCAGGGGCCGGGATTGGGGACCTCTATCTTAGAGGGTTTTAGGCGAATCCTAAATAGTGTGTCTCCACTAATATTTGTTAAGTTTATGCTTAACATAGCAAGACTGATATTTGTGACAGCCCATAGACACATCTGCTCTCTTAAGATGTACAATGTTTCACAGGAATTTTAAGGGGTGTTCTTGTTTATATATTTGGCAGTTGTGTAAACTTTGGTCCTAGGAATAGAGAGAGATATGAGTCTCCAGGGACAGCAAAAACAATCAAATGGTAAAGAAGAGAGGCCATATTTTCTTTAACACCCTTAATTCCATCCTTATCTCTGCTCTTGGGTGCTTATACAGCACATTATTTGTAACTGTAGTCACTCTAAATTATCCCTTACTGCCTCTTTGATGAGGAAGAATGATTAACACAATGGAATGTTGGAAGGTTTAAAGTCTACACCTCATCTTTCCTGGTATCCTTGAATTTACTAGTCAGGAGGAGTTAAAATATAGTCATCTTTAAAAAAATCTCTCCCCTTTTCACTTCACAGTTCTTTATTTTATCCATATACTCTTAAGTGCAACTGCATTTTCTTTTGCCTTAACAGTTAAAGAATCCCACAGGGAATGATCATAGGCTACTCTGGTTTTCAATTTGGGGAAACCCTATACTTTAACTTGAATAAAATAACAAAGTCCTCCAAACTAATATGTGATTTCTGCCCAGAGCTCTGAAAGTCAAAGTAAAGAAATTCAATAAAGTGAGGGTAACAGGGAGTAAAGATGACTTTCAAGGTAGCCAAATGCCTCACCATCTAAATAATGACGCCCATCAATGAACAAACAAGATTCCCACTGTCCCATCTCCTATCCAGTGAAACACAGCCAACTTGATAATTTGTGCAGGGAAAGACTCTGTTTAGCTTATACCTTGAACCTAAGGGAAATTAAATTGCACATTTTCTGTTCCTGGCTAATCTTCTGAATAATGTACTGAACACAGTAGGAGTTAAGAATTAAAAATACCTGTCTGCAGTTTCAGAAACAATCACACACAAAATATTTGTTTATTTCCAGACTGATGAAAGACTGAATTTTTGGTCTCATGTATTTACTGTATTGTTTCATATATTTATCTATATGCTTTGGCTGTATTAACTTGTTGAAATAGTTTGTGGTTCTTTATATTTAGCTTTTATAAATAATTGAAAATCTAATGAATGCTTACTTAATAACCAATCTAAACTGGGGACTTCAAACATAGGGAGTCAAGTAATCTGGTTGTGTAATAAATAAGCAAGTTGTTATCTTTCAGGCTGAGGGCATATCAACCAAGCTAAAAGACGTGTGTGTATTAAAAAAAAAAAAAAGTCTACCAAACCACCATATGATATCCAAGGTTAACTATATAGGAGGTCTAATAACATTCAGAAGGTGCTAGATGAATATACCAAAAACATGCGGAATTAAATGATGAAAATTATTTACTGGCATTAGGACGGAATTTTTAATGTCAAATTTTAAAAATGGCCCATTAAAGTCCCAGCTCATGACATCTAAGTATCTGAAGACCCACTACTATTCCTTTTTCTTTTTCTGAGACTGTTACTCTGTCACCCAGGGTGGAGTGCAGTGGCATAATCTCGGCCCACTGCAACCTCTGCCCCTCGGGTTAAAGCAATTTTCATGCCTCAGCCTCCTGAGTAGCTACGATTACAGGTGTGTGCCACCACACCCAGCTAATTCTTACATTTTTAGCAGAGACAGGGTTTCACCATGTTGGCCACGCTGGTCTCATGACCTCACGTGCTCCACCTGTGTCAGCCTCCCAAGGTGCTGGGATTACAGGCCTGAGCCACCACAGCGAGCCAGATCTGCTATTCTTTTAAGTTACTAGTATTAAGTGATGCTTCTACTCTTGAGTTGCACCTCAGGATCTCAAGTTATTGGTTTGACCTTTAGGGAAAACAGTAACCGTAATAAAAAGATCACAATGTCTAAACATCTTGCAGTAATTCATTGTAAAAGTAGTAGGGTGAACTCTTACTATGCTTAAAATAACAGTTGATAGCCCCCCTCCACCTTTTTAAAAGATGCTTATGGCTGGGTGTGGTGGCTCACACCTGTAATCCCAGCACTCTTGAGAGGCCGAGGTGGGCGGATCACCTGAGGTCAGGAGTTCGAGACCAGCTTAGCCAACATACTGAAACCCCATCTATACTAAAAATACAAAAATTAGCTGGGTGTGGTGACACAAACCTGTAATCCCAGCTACTGGGGAGGCTGAGGCAGGAGAAATGCTTGAACTCGGGAGGCAAAGACTGCAGTGAGCCGAGATCTTGCCAGTGCATTCCAGCCTGGGTGATAGAGCAAGACTTTTTCTCAAAAAAAAAAAAAAAAGATGCTTATATTAAGTGGGGTGGGGGAAGGAGGGATGTATAGAAGTTGGTTAAATGGTACAACAGTAAAGTTAGAAGGAGTAAGTTCTACTATTTTACAGTACAGTAGGAAAATTATAGTTAATAATTTATATTGTATATTTCAAAATAGCCAGATTTGTAATGTTCCCAACACAAAGATGTTTGAGGTGATAGCTATTCCAACTACCCTGATTTGATCATTACACATGGTATACAATTATGAAAATATCACATGTGCCCCTAAAACATGCACAAATATTATCTATATCAATAAAAAGAAAGAAGTAAAGTGTTACATTAAGTGGGGAGTTTAGAAATAAAGCCTTCTCAGGCTGGGCACGGTGGTTCACGCCTGTAATCCCAGCACTTTGGGAGGCCAAGCGGGCAGATCACAAGGTCAGCAGATCAAGACCATTCTGGCTAATACGGTGAAACCCCGTCTCTACTAAAAAAGAAATAAAGCCTTCTCTCTCTCAACAAATCTAAACACTCCTAAGAAGAGATACTTTCTGGGCTAACAAGACTTTACCTGTTTGACAAGAAAAGTTTAGGCCATCAGAATATTCTAATTTTCTTAAAAAGAAAAATCCTCTTTCAGCGGTAGGTAGGTAAGATAAACTCCTAGAGTTCTGTAATTTGGTCACTTTTTTTTTTGGTTTAGGATTTAATGTTTGAAAAACACTTCTGCTAGAGAGGTTCTGCTTTTGACTTCTTAAAAGAACTAAAACCGGCCTTAAAGTTTATGCTGTAAACAGAAAAGCTAAAATGGGTATTAGACAGTATAACTGAGTTTACTCATAGCTAGGCTTCAAAGTGCCTGATTTCAAGGTGACTTGGAAATTTACTTTGTGTCTGCCCCTCATTTAAAAAATAAAGAAGCCAAGAAGCTGGTTTATTTCAATCTTTAGGCAACTCCTCTAGGCCAATGATTTTACAATCTAACATTCATTTATTATTCTAAGAATTATGTATATTATTAATAATATACACAAGGGTCAAATTTATTTGAATGTGGAATTTTAAATACAGGTGACCCTTGAACAACATGGGTTTAAAATGTACAAGTCCACTTATACACAAATTTTCTTCTGCCTCTGCCACCCCTGAGAAAGACCCCTCCTCTTCCTCAGCCTACTCAACGAGATTGAATACCTTTATGATCCACTCCTACTTAATGAACAGTAAATATATTTTTTTTTCCTCATCATTGCAACCTTTGCTTCCCAGGTTCAAGTAATTCTCCTGCCTCAGCCTCCCGAGTAGCTGAGATTACAGGCGCCAACCACTATGCCTGGCTAATTTTTATGTATTTTTAGTAGAGACGGGGTTTCACCATGTTAGCTAGGCTGGTCTTGAACTCAACAGGATCTCATCCTGTCACCCAGGCTAGAGTGCAGTGGTGCAATCATAGCTCACTGCAGCCTTAAACTCCTGGGCTCAAGCAATCCTCCTGCCTCAGCCTCCTGAGTAGCTAAGACTACAGGCATGCACAACCATGCCTGGTTTGTAGAGACAGGGTCTCACTTTGTTGCCCAGGGTGGTCTTGAACTCCTGAGCTCAAATGATCCTCCCACCTCGGCCTCCCAAAATACAGGGATTACTAGCCATGAGTCATCATACCCAGCCCATTTGATTTTATCTAGTTACTTTATTGTAATAAGACAGTATATAATACATATAACATACAGAATATATGTTAATTGACTATGTTATTGGTAAGGCTGACAGTCAACAGTAGGCTATTAGCAGTTAGGTTTGGTTTATGGGGAGTCAAAAGTTATATGTGAATTTGACTGCATGGGAAGTGGGTCAGAGCCCAACCCCTGAGTTGTTAAGAGTCAACTGTATATGCTTGGAGTTACCGCAAAAGGAAACTGATCCAGGACACTTTATTTTTAAAGCTGAGAATGAATCATGATACCAAAATTAGAGAAGTATTAGTGTTGAAGCTTTAAATAAGTTTTACTAAGAAAAATTAACACATGTTCCCAGAGCCAATCCTAAATATCACCCAGTAGGAACACTAAAGATTGAGGGTGAGTTCAGTGGAATTTAAATTTTCATAGCAACCTGCAGCAAACATCAACTTAATTTGTCCTGAAGTCTATGTTAAAATGCATGCCTGCATCCCAGAAATGAGGCCTTCTCGTCCCAGGTAATCAGAGTCACTTCAAAGATAACTTTTGAATTACGGAAGAAATGGTTCATGGCAATAGTACCTCCAAACTTCTCAGGTCGGATGTCTAATATTACAGTAACACTCCCCCAAAAAGAAATGAAAATATAATGTCTTTGCACTGTTGCTTTCCACAGACATTTTAGAGAAGCAATCCATTCCATATATCAGTGTTATCAATGTAGCATTTGCAAATTAAATACCTGGGAATGAGGGGTTTGTCAAAAATGCAGATTTTTATTAAATAGTGCAGCATATGGTTCTTCAAAAATTGCTACACTGTAAGAAAATTATGAATGATGACATCTAACATCTTGTTTCTGGGACCTGTGGGTAAGAAGCCTAAGAGTATTTTAATAAGTTTCAGAAATGATTATGGTGATCAAACCGGCTTGGGAACTACCAACTTGCAGCATTTTAATATGTCCATAGCAGGGAAACTTGTACTTTATGTAGTACCTACAACTACCACTTTGGAAATTTGTTGGTATCTATGTAACAGAATAAATCAACTTATTTATTTTTGCAAAACTTAGAAGTGACTTTTAACTTGGTGCCAAATCTTTCCAAAGAATACAAACTTGCTTGCGTTGTGGAAGGGATTAATTAGCACATTGATGGACTCAACTTTTTAAAAACAGGTATTAACATCATCATCTACTGTTAATTGTAAATCATTCAGAATCTCTGTGCAGACTGACATGTATTTTTACCAGTGCCATTTTGGGCTACAAATCTGTTTAGTTCCTATGACTGTTGCTGCATGTTGGTAAGTGTTGATGTCTCTGCATCCATACTTGGAGGACAGTATCTATTCTTTTGAAATAAGATGCCAGAAAATCTACCTGAACTTTCATCCTGTAAATAAGGCCACTGAACTGTTAAGAAAGTGAACTGTGGGAAAGTTCTCTTCTTTGAAGTTCCCTTGAAGTTAAAGTACCTTTACAGTTGCAATGGACACATGAGTACCAGGGTATGTGTCATGTGGGATTGCTAGTCTTTCAAGATAATTGTGCCTGATGAAACCTAAGAGGAATATATGCCCAACTGTTTTCTTGGTATTATTTTTTCTTTACTAAGGATGGCTACGTTCTTGGACATTAATCATCATTAACTACAGAAATGCATCTCTAACCTTTCTTCTCTTTACAATCTAGGTTTAGGAGATATTTTGCAGATTTATACTTACACCAAAGACAACAGACCCAATTAATTCAAAATTTACTTAAGCACTTACTATGTCCTAGGTACAAATGCAGGCACTACCCGTTTAACAATAAACTGAATCCTTTTATCTGAGGGAGACAATGCAAGTTAGATATTCTGCTCTTCAGGGGCTCATATTCTAGTGCTGGGGTCCCCAACACCCTCCCCTACCCCACCACACAACAGGAGGTGAGCTGTGGACAAGCATTACCCCCACCCCCAAAGCTCTGTCTCCTGCCAATCAGCTGTGGCATTAGACTCTCATAGGAATGTGAACCTTCACATGTGAGGGATCTATGAATCTAACTCCTTATGAATCTAACTCATGCCCGATGACCTGAGATAGGCACTTTGTCTCAAAAATAAAAAATAAAAGATGCTTATATTAAGTGGGGTGGGGGAAGGAGGGATGTATAGAAGTTGGTTAAGTGGTGCAAAAGTAAAGTTAGAAGGAATAAGTTCTACTATGTTACAGGAGTAGAATAAGGAGCGTGTGCCCCTAAATATGCATAAATATTATCTCTATCAATGAAAAGAAAGAAGTAGAGTGTTACATAAAGTGGGGAGTTTAGAATCTCATGAATCTAACTAATGCCCGATGACCTGAGATGGAACAGTTTTATCCCAAAACCACCACCACCCCCACATCCCATCCATGGGAAAAAACTGTCTTCCACAAAACTGGTCCCTGGTGCCAAAAACGTTGGGGACTGCTGTTCTAGTGGGTAAAGAGGCTATAAATAATTGTAATAAACTGCAGTTAAGCGCTATAATAGAGCTGGGGTACATGGAATTATAAAAAATAAGACTTATTGGAAAAAGATCAGAGAAGGCTACACAGAAAAACACTTGCATTCACAAAATAGACAGGGGTATTCTATGAAGAGATAATAGTACAGGTTGCGTATCACTTATCTGAAATGCTTGAGACCAAAAGTGCTCTGGATTTTGGAATATTTGCATATACATGAGATAGATATATTGGGGGTGGGATGCAAGTCTAAACATAAGCTCATTTATGTTTCATAAATGCTTCACCTTATGCACACTGCCTGAAGTAATTTTATACAATATTTTTAATATCTGTGCATGACACTAAGTTTTGACTGTGACCTATCACATAAGGTCAAGTGTGGAATTTTCCACCTGTGGCATCATGTTGGTAGTTTCGAATTTTGGAACATTGCAGATTTTGGATTTTCAGATTAGGGATGCTCAAACTGTATTAATATGGCTGGAAGCAAAAGCAGCAGCAACTGGGTACTTCTGATTGGAAAAAAAGGCAAGAGGCAGATCATGGGATTCATTAAAAGCTTTCAAGCAATATCAGATACACATTTAAGTAAAATCACTTTGAAGTGTTAACAGATGGATTAGAAAAATTAAAAGCCAGGGTAAGCTAGGAGGTTACTACACAGTTCTATACACAAACTCATGTATTTAGCAAATATTCAGAGTGAGTGACTGAATACACTTTTCCAGACCTGAATTAAAGTAGTGGCAGTGGGAGTGAAGACAACGAGGGGAGATAGGCCAAGAACTATAGTTAGAACAGACATTAGGGACATAAGGAACATGGGTATTAAAGAAAGGAAGATGATTCCTAGGCTTCTGATAATCTGAGACCATACTGTTTTCAGTTTGTATCCCATTTTTTTTTTTTTTTGGACAGAGTATTGCTCTGTTGCCCAGGCTAGAGTGCAGTGGCATGATCTCAGCTCACTCCACCTCCTGGGTTCGAGCAATCTCCTGCCTCAGCCTCCCGAGTGGCTGGGATTACAGGCGCCCACCACCGCGCTCGGCTAATTTCTGTATTTTTAGTAGAGACGGGGTTTCACCATCTTGGCCAGGCTGGTCTCGAACTCCTGACCTCATGATCCACCCACCTCGGCCTCCCAAAGTGCTGGGATTACAGGCATGAGCCACCAGGCCCGGCCAGTTTGTATCCCATTTTTAAGTTAATATCCAAGCATCAGCCCATTCCCATTTTTTTGGTAACATACGCCTGCTATAGAAAATCCATCTGTAAGCCTATAACCCAAAAAGAAACCATTATTTCCTTTACCTATTTCTATGGAAACATACACAATATACAAAAGTCCTATAAATTGTGACCTATATTTATATTTTCACCATTTTTTTGTAATATGTGATGCTTTGAAATAACTCTTTGGAAACAATTTTAATTGCTATTTATGGACATATCCTAATTTAAATTTGTCAGAAATTCACAAGTCTTTTATACATTTTTGTATCCTTCTAAGACTAACTTGTCACAATTTAAAAGAATGCTGATGACTATTATTATAAATCTATTTTTTTAACAGCTGAGAAAAGTAGTTTCATTTTAAAAACTGATTAAAGAATTGTCTTTGAGTTATGCTTTCCATGTTGGTAAAATCAGACAGCCGAGATACATGAATTATTCCAAAACAATATTCCAAAATGAATGTTGGATAACTTTTCATTATTCTATAGCAAAGTGAGAATAAGAACAATGTAGCCAGGTTTTAAAAAGACACTTTTTAAATCATAAGACAATGTCCTTATTTGGTATTAAAAGATCCATTTTAGGCTGTGCTTCGTGGCTCACACCTGTAATCCCAGCACTTTGGGAGGCTGAGGCAGGTGGGTCACCTGAGGTCAGGAGTTCGAGACCAGCCTGGCCAACATGGTGAAACCCTGTCTCTGCTAAAAGTAAAAAATTAGCCGGGCATGGTGGTGGGCGCCTATAATCCCAGCTACTTGGGAGGCTGAGGCAAGAACTGCTTGAACTTGGAGGCAGAGGTTGCAGTGAGCCAAGATCGCAAC
This sequence comes from Homo sapiens, assembly GCF_000001405.40. Lineage (NCBI taxonomy): Eukaryota > Metazoa > Chordata > Mammalia > Primates > Hominidae > Homo > Homo sapiens. The sequence continues at coordinate 104,998,001 of NC_000007.14, forward strand.
ATTGCACTCCAGTCTGGGTAACAGAGTGAGACTCTGTCTCAAAAAAAAAAAAAAAAAAAACTATTTTAAAACTCAGTATCTAATTGAATGCTAATACTGAGTGAACTTAAAACTGACAACTATACTGGTTTCCATTCAATTCATTCAACAAATCCTAAAGTCTAGGAATTTGACTGGCTCTAAAACCCTTGGCAACTCTCTTTAGTTTGCTTCTCATATACACTGGATCTCCATAAAAACTCTACCAAAAATCCCACAAGAGTTTCATAATTATTTTGCTTTGTTGACTCATATCTTAGAGCTACATGGACATACATTATTTGGTCTATCCTAAAACTTTGAGAAAGTTATCCTATTTGAATTTCAGGAATACAGAATGTGAGCCTTTCCTTTCAACCATTTATTCTATATTATAAAGGATTCGGTGAGACACAAGACCTAGATTATGAAGCAAAGGGTTCTTTGATTCAAAAGGAACAAATCCAACCTGCTTGATGTGAAGCTATCTAATCACTGGCTGCTATTACATAAGGGAGTTACTTAGGCACCTTGACAAAGATTATTATGATTAATAATTACCCTGTTCTTATAAGAACACTTCTCCCAACCAGTTCAAAGCCTTCTGGTATACAATGCCTCCCTCGATACATACTAACAATATGAATGAATCCCTCCACCAAAATTAATTCCGCTAATGAAAGAGAGGCTAGGTTGCAAAGGACATGTATAACCAAACTACTTTCAAATTCATACCTTTAAGTCCAAACGACCTGTGATGTCAAAACTCCTACTCCCTCAATCTAAAGAGGGTCTATTCCCTACATTTACCTTCATCTGAACATTACAGAGCCCCAAGTTTTCAAAAAGTTAGCTGGTCTGGTTGCAATTATTGAGTTATAAAGTACCAAATTTTGGCCAGGTGCGGTGGTTCACGCCTGTAATCCCAGCACTTTGGGAGGCCGAGGTGGGCGGATCACCTGAGGTCAGGAGTTCCACACCAGCCTGGCCAACATGGTGAAACCCTGTCTCTACTAAAAATAAAAAATTAGCCAGGTGTGGTTGCAGGCACCTGTAGTTACAGCTACTCAGGAGGCTGAGGTTACTGTGAGCCGAGATTGCACCACTGTACTCCAGCGTGGGAGACAGAGTGAGATTCCGTGCCCTCCCCCCCAAAATCTTATTCTTTTCACTATGAATTTTAAGGAAATAAATTAAAACTCCATATATCAATGCTTAATTCTCTTCTTCCCATCCTCATGCCTCACCCCACAACTTGATTTTGAAATCTGGCTCCTTCATTTTGCTTTGTCAATTCATGTTTTAGAGTATTTTAATCTTCACACAAATTATAGTTATTTCATAAAAAAGGCAAGAAAAAATTTTTACTTTATTTGCAAATATAAAATGTATTCCACAAACATCTGACTTGTTCCATTGTTTTAGAAACAAATAAGACACAGCCTAAGTGACACTGGTTTTTTTAAATCCACTATGATGAAGGCTGTTAGGAGGAAAAAGACTTCTATCTTAATTTTATGCATAGAAAACCAAATAGCCATTTTTTTCCCCACAAATGACCGATTTTACTGAGCACATATACAGGTAACTTAACCATGCATTTAAAGAGATTAATTTAAAAATACATGTTATGTTTTGATCTAGGCCTCTGACTAAACTACTGATTAGTCCTTCCTTATCCTTGAAAATAATTTGATAGTTTCTATTTATTTACTTATATATTTTTTGAGAAACGGTCTTGCTTTGTTACCTAGGCTGGAGTGCAATAGCAGGAACATGGCTCACTGCAGTCTTGACCTCTGGGGCTTAAGAAATCCTTTCACTTCAGCCTCTGGAGTGGCTGGGACTACAGGCTTACGCCACTGCACCTAGCTAATTTTTGTATTTTTTGTAGAGACAGGGTCTCACCATGTTGCACAGGCTGGTCTTGAACTCTTAAGCTAAGCAATCCATCCTTCTTGGCCCCTGCCAAAGTGCTGGGATTTACAGGCATAAGCCATTACACCTGGCCACCAGTTTCTATTTAACTGGCAAAAAAAAAAAAAATTCAATTTGATTGGTTGTCAAAAAAGACAGAGATACACAAAAATACCTGTATGTCATCATCATTTTGATGGCATATAACTTCACCCTACAATCTTTTTCAATATGTTTTGTTTTGTTTTTAATTTCAGAGAAGGCTACTTGGACCTAAAGGAATGAATTAGGAAGCGGTCTACTACCAAAGTACAATGAAGGTCAGTTTTCTTCATACCTTAATATGAAAAACGTTTTAAAATGTCTCAATTTCCCTATGCTAACCTCTGGTCACAGAGGCTTGAGGGCTTCCTATAGTACCAAAGTATGACTTGCCAGTTAAAAAGAAAACGAATTCTTGCCCCCAGGGGTAAAGATAACAAATTTAGAACACTATGACATACATCTATTAATATTTGCAGAAGGAGTATATGTTGTTACATTAACATACAGAAATTGCATAGTTGATCCAGAGGGAAGTCTGGAGAGTACAGGGATGGAAAAAAGGAGGAGGATGGAAAAGAATGGGAACTAAAACTTAGGTGACTACGTTAAGGATTACCCATGAGAGCAAGACACAGGATAAAGTACTGAAAACAAAAAAAAAAACTTAATGTAACCACTTATTTGAATAAATTGATTCATATGAATCCAATTTGATAGATAAAAAAAGATCAAATTTGATAATACCCAGGAAAATATAGTACCTATATCTGAGTTATCTCAATTTATCTCAACTACCTCATTGGCAAAAAGATTCTCTCTCCTATCACTAAAAACTAATTTCTTTTTTTTTTTAAAAGGGCTCAAGGGCAGTGACTGCCCCACTCCACCACAGAGTGGGAGAGGGCTGGACCCCAGTGCCACTTTCGGCCACCCCTGGGCCACACGGCCACCCCTATCCCTGGGACAGGGACTGCAGGGTCACACCCTCAAACAACCACGCCTCAGCCATACTCGCGCCACACTTTCCAAGCCTGTCCCAGACCAGGGACAAGCCCCTAGTAGGGTTGGGGGAGGAGACTAGAACTAGAGAGGTGGGACACCAAGCATGGGCACCCCTGCAACCTCGGCCACCCCCAGCATGGCACCATGCCCCTGAGCACCGCCAGCTTGGAAAGGCATCGGATGGAGACGGGCGCTTTTCGACGAGATACCCGCCACTTGCTCTGGGATCCCGGAGAGGGTGGGCAAGCGTGGACCAGGGAAGGAGGCCCCCAGGGGTGTTGGGAGGGAGTTTGAGAGGGAGGAAGTAAGAGAGACGGATGGCAACGGAGACGCCAGGCATGCGCGAGGGGGTGGACAAACCCTGTGTCCAGGGCTGACTTTGAATAGATGGCAGGGAGGGAGCTGCTCTGCTATGTATGAAACCACGACCTAAAAACTAATTTCTGTAAGATACACCATAAAGGTAAAAATAATGCAAGTGTTCAGCTGACAGTAAGTATAAATGGTACTCATTTTCATTCTTAGCTGGTTCTGACCTTTAGCGATCCATAGAAAGTACATTCATGAAAATAACCAGTTTTAAGCACACAAACAATAAAAGCATATACACTTGATATAAAATGGCCGTAAGTCAAGTATTTTCAAAATGTTTGATTTCAGAACCTTTGATGGTTCATTAAGATAGCATAAAAACAACCTTCAGAAGAAAGGAATAAGCTGATATACCCAGCATCATATCTGATGACACCTTACAACTCAAACAGGGCTTAGACATTTTTATCTTTTTTAAAAATGCACTCTTATAGCCTGGTGTGGTGGCTTATGCCTGTAATCCCAATACTTTGGGAGGTCAAGGCAGGAAAACTGCTTCAGGCCAGCCTGGGCAACACAGCAAGACCCCACCTCTACAAAAATTCTTTTAAAAATTAGCCAGGCTTGGTGGCACATGCCTTTCCTAGCTACTGGAGACGATGACGGTGGAGGATGGCTTGAACCCAGGAGCTCTATGTTACAATGAGCTATGACTGCCCTGCCACTGAACTCTAGCCTGGGCCACAGAGTGAGATACGGTTTCTAGAACAAACACAAAAAAGCACTGTGAAATTTATGAAAATTTATGTTTTAATTTTGAATGTTGTATTTTAGTGACGGGCTTCTTTCATAAAGTAGAACTACCATGTTAAGTACCAACGAAGCTGATAAAATGATGAGAGATGTCGATAAATATTTTTTAACTTAAAAGCCACTAAATCAAACGTTTGCTTTTTAAAATTTCAAGGGTGATGGAATTAAAGTGATCAGAATGTATAATATGGACATTTGCCCAGGCAAAAAATGTTATTAAAGCAAAACATGAACCAGCCATACATGGAAAAGAAAGGGCAGAAAAAGACAAGACAGCATACTGTATTTTTCCTCTTAAAATTCAATGTTACAATTAAATGATTGTTATCTGAGAATAAGTTAGCTTCAGCTTTCTAATCGATGTGTTCCCACATCTACAAATTGATATGAAAAATTATTTTGAAATGCACACTGCAAAATGGTGAGAATATGAAAGTTACCTGGGAATTAAATCAGAACTGTCTCCATATGACTATTTCCAAGTCACAATCATAACTTTCTTAATAGCAATGGTTATATATGTGGCCAGATAGTATTCAGTTTCACAGTAATGTCTTGGTCACATAAAGATAGCAAAGCATAGACATAGTACAACAATTTATTATTTCTGCTGATTGCCAAATGTGCATAAAACTATAAAGATATATTTTCCAGCCCAGGTGACAGAGACCCTGTCTCCAAAAAAAAAAAAAAAAAAAAATTTTGCATGAGTATAATGAATTTAAGATGTCCAAACATCAACAAAAATGCTAACCTAAAATTTGAAGCATTTTAATAAAAGTTTTTGGGGCCTAGAATAAGAAATAACAGAATAATAATATTAAGAATAAGTATCAGTTGTCAAGATGTATTTCCTGATACAACAGCAAAATTTGTGGTAAATTCTGGCTTTTGCTATAGATACAGGTATAGACACAGATTGCCAGTGTTACATGGATTCTCAGCATAAAACTAAAACTTCAAGAACTCTCTAAGTCCGTGTTTATTAATAGCAATGACAACCAATTATCCAATATCTAATGCTGTCAGGTAGCAAGCTACACATTTGTAGATAATCAAACAATTTACAGATAAGGAAACAGTTCAGTGAAGTAATAAGATCATGCAGCCTGTAGTAGGTGAGTGTACTGGGAAAGGAAGTCTGACACTTAAAACTCATGCTTGCTCCTAATTTCATTTCATTTCTTTTCTTTGGAGACAGGGTCTTGCCCTGTTGCCCAAGCTGGAGTGCAGTGGCGTGATCACAACTCACTACAACCTCTGCCTCCCAGGTTCAAGAGATCCGCTTGCTTCAGCCTCCCAAAGTGCTGGGATTACAGGAGCATGCCAGCACGCCAAGCTAATTTTTGTATTTTTAGTAGACACGGGGTTTCACGATGTTGCCCAGGCTGATTCTGAGCTCCTAGACTCAAGGGATCCACCCACCTCTGCCTCCTAAAGTGCTAGGATTAGTCATGAGCCACTGTGCCAGGCCAATCTCTTTTTATGTACAACAAGGAAGAAAAAAATGTAAGAATCAAGTACTTTTTCTAATCTTGATTCCATCCAAGTTAGATTAGAAATGAGATCTTATAACCCAGTATACAACAGACTCTTTACTGACTGTCCTATTTTCAACTTAGAGGTAGAACAGCAATATTTAGGGGTTCAGGCCTGGCTCTGTCCCCCATTACACTGCGACTCAGTCAGTCATTTCCCTGAGACTGTTTCCTTAAATATAAAAGAAACAAAATAGAGAAAGTAGTGGCCTAAGACTCACAGAAAAAAAGACTCCAAATTAAAAATAAAATAAAATTATGTGGTCCAATCCGCCCCCTTTCCAGTCTCATCTCTCAATGTACTAGGTCACACAAGCCCAGTGAAATTGGTTTACTTAAAACATTGTCTCTGTTACTGTTTTATGCCTTTACACATAAAACCATGCTGACTGCAAATATGTTGTACTCTACTGCCCCACCCTTTCCCTAATGAAACCCAGAACTATCTGCCTCCTAATCCAAAAATTCTATTTCCTCTGTGAAACACATTACCCCATGAACTGGGATATCTGGCTGAATGCTTACAGTACTTGGTTACTTACTGATGTGGCTTAATCCCAAACTAGATTATAAATGAATAGAGTAGGGACTAGTCCTTCTAGCTTGCAACAAAATAGATACATGTTTTTGAAAAGTGTGGGAAAACCCTCTGAAGTCTTACAAGATGATGGTATAGAATCAACCAGACCATTTGCATCAAATTTTATATTCAAGGGACTTTCTATTGTAATAAACACATACTATGGGCAACATTTTCAGGCATCTGGCATCAAAGCAGATTATCTATTCATTTGTGCAACAAAACTGCATGCCTATTACATGCCAGGAACTGTGCACTTCAGCCATAAAGATGAAAAACATTGTGTCTATCAAGATCTCATATACTAATGGAAAAGAGGAACATGAACATGACAGCATGATAGGAACACATGTTAACAAATAGAAGGGAATGTCTTATTTTCTGGACCAAAAAAAATTGGGATTACAAATCAATAATTGCTCCTGAAAGGTTTTATATCTAATTTAATTCTTAACGCCATTATATAGTTAATATTTTACCTGCTGTATGGATTATAAAACTGAGTCCCAGAAAGCAAACTACCTAAGTCTTCCTTGAAGTGGAAGTGGTATTCAAACTTGGATTATTCTAGTTCCAAGCAGCGTTCATGATGTTCCTAACACTTTGGGAGGTTAAAGCAGGGGTCAGATGAAGGACCTGGCACGTCACAGTGTGTTTTGACTCGACCCTCAAATCTCTGGTCAATGAACAGTTTTTTAAGTTAAAAAGATTTTTCTGGAAACATATTTTTGGAAAAGTGTTTGATTTTATGAAGCTAGAAAATAGTTTTAGCCATTATCTAAAGAAAGGTTTTTTTTGTTTTGTTTTGAGACAAAGTCTTGCTCTGTTGCCCCAGCTGGAGTGCAGTGGCGTGATCTGGGTTCACTGCAACCTCCACCTCCCAGGTTCAAGCAATTCTCTCACCTCAGCCTCCCAAATAGCTGGGATTACAGGCACGTGCCATCATGCCTGGCTAATTTTTGTATTTTTAGTAGTGATGGGGTTTCGCCATGCTGGCCACGCTGGTCTCGAACTCCTGACCTCAAGTGATCTGCCCGCCTCAGCCTCTCAAAGTGCTGGGATTACAGGTGTGAGCCACCGTGCCCGGCCAAGGTCAGTTTTAAATTTGTTTAGTTTGAGGTACTTCATAGGACAAGTAATGTATTTAGTAGTTTCAGTTGAGTTCAGAGATTACAAATTCTAGAGTCATCGACAGGTAAAGGTATGGGAATTGATTATTGCAGTTAGTAAAATGGATAACGTAACATTGGTGGGGACACAACACTGGGAAATCCAACATTTAAGAAGCTGAAGAAATCAACTAGTTAAGAGTATTAGCATAAAAGCAAAGGAGTTTTAAGAGGATATATATATATTTTTTCTTGAGCCGGAGTTTCCTTCTGTCGCCCAGACGGAAGTGCAGTGGCGCGTCTCGGCTCACTGCAACCTCTGTCTCCCGGGTTCAAGCAATTCTCCTGCCTCAGCCTCTTGAGTAGCTGGGATTATAGGCGTGCGCCACCACACCCAGCTAATTTTTCTATTTTTAGTAGAGACGGGATTTCACCATGTTAGTCAGGCTGGTCTCAAACTCCTGACCTTGTGATCTGCCCGCCTTGGTCTCCAAAAGTGCTGGGATTACAGGTGTGAGCCACTGCGCCTGGCCAAGAGGATGTATTCTTAGGAATCAAATGCTATGGGTTATATAAGACCACCTGGAGCTCATAAAAATACAGAACTTTTGGCCGGGCGCGGTGGTTCACGCCTGTAATCCCAGCACTTTGGGAGGCCGAGGCGGGCAGATCACAAGGTCAGGAGATCGAGACCATCCTGGCTAACACGGTGAAACCCCATCTCTACTAAAAATACAAAAAATTAGCCGGGCATGGTGGCAGGCGCCTGTAGTCCGAGCTACTCGGGAGGCTGAAGCAGCAGAATGGTGTGAACCCAGGAGGCAGAGTGTGCAGTGAGCTGAGATTGCACCACTGCACTCCAGCCTGGGTGACAGAGACTCCGTCTCAAAAAAAACAAGAAAATACAGAACTTTCACAAAATATTATAAATGCAAATAACTGCATATGTTTCTTATTCCTCAGAAAAATAAAACTTACCTACATGGGCAGAGTTTGTGGAGAAAGGGAACTAGTTAACTTTTAGATACTTTCAGATGAACCCTTGACTCGATGTCATTTGTAAAACCTTTTTCAGTCATTTAACTTCTAAAAGAATGCTTCAATCAAAGCTATCTAACGTGTCCTCTTACCCTTTTGACTTCCATTTGCCCTTTCACTGGCCATAAAGTAGGAGCATGGAATAGAACAAAGAGAGTCGCTACAGAATGTCTGTTGTATAGATGTGGTCAGATAAGCTGTGCTTGGGACATGGGAGAGATGCCTAGACTACCACAATATTGTTATCAAATGAACCAGAGAATAGTGAATATTTTTGTTGCCTTTTCAAGTTTTTCATAGAATGAGGAAAATTAATTGAACATTACTTATTTAAGTAAGTGTTCTTCAGGAATGAAGTATCGCCTTAGCACAGCCTTCCTTCATGAAAAATTTAAATACTAGAGATA